>NC_000019.10:50990874-51615874 GCF_000001405.40 Homo sapiens
AGCACCCCGCCCAGACCGGAGAACACAGGAGGTACTTAAATAAATACTAGTCTGCAAACTTCTGGCATCCACAGGTCCACAGGCCTTAGATTCAGTCCTGCCTTGATCCCTGAGCTGTTCCACCATGCAGTGTGACAGAAAGAACTAGAAAGAACTTGGACTTTCAACCCAGCTTTGAATCCTGGTTGCCCACCCTGTGACTTCGGGTAAGTGACTTCATTTTTCTGAGTCAGACTTTGCCCCTCCCCAAAGTGGAGGAGAGCAAAACCTATTTACCGAGGCAAATGAGAGGATTAAATAAAATTATGAATGGAAAATTGATGGGCACATAACAGCCAGTGAATTAACATGAGTTCCCTCAGCCCATCACCCACGGAATGAAGAAGCAGCTCCCATTTTCCCCCCTACATTTAGTGTGGTGTGTCTGTATTCCTCACATTGGTCCAGGTGAGGATTGTCATCCCCATTTTACCTTTATTTTTTGCCGCCTGCCCCATCATCCCCATTTTATAGATGAGAAAATGGAGGTTTAAAAAAGGCTAGATCACTTGAGCAAAGTCACAGAGCTGAGGAGTCAGAAGTGTCAGAATTCAGCCAGGCGTGGTGGCTAAAGCCTGTAATCCCAACACTTTGGGAGGCCGAAGTGGATGGATCACTTGAGGTCAGGAGTTCGAGACCAGCCTGGCAAACATGGTGAAACCCCATCTCTACTAAAAATACAAAAAATTAGTCGGATGTGGTGGCATGTGCCTATACTCCCAGCTACTCAGGAGGCTGAGACAGGAGAATCACTTAAGCCAGTAAGCAGAGGTTGCAGTGAGCCGAGGTTGCACCACTGCACTCCAGCCTGGGTGACAGGGCAAGACTCCATCTCAGGAAAAAAAAAAAAAAAAAAGCCAGAATTTGAACATTGGGATTCAAAGGCCTATGGTATCACTACTGCACAAATCCATACTCTGAGAAGGAAATTTCCTTGTTACATCCACATGTACCCTCTGAGTCTCATTTGGTTCAAAACAGACTTGGATCGCCCTCAGCCTATTAATGATGCATACCCCCATGTCAGAGAGAGGCCCATATCCAGGCCCCCTGTGCCCTTTGCATTTAGTCCTGGCACCTGTTGCTAAGTGTCATCCAGACACCCAGCCCCATACCTCCATCGTCCTCAGACCTATGTCCTGAACCTTTGTTAAATGACTCATCTTCCACCTTATGATCACACCTGAGAACTGGCATCTGATAATCTTGCCAGCTATGCCTTTCCCTGAGGGATTCTGAACACTGTGACCCTCGTACCTCCTGACTCAGCCCATGGGTTCTGATGGCCCATTGTTTCATACTTCCTGGATTCTCTTCCTCCTTATTTCTTTCTTTCTTTCTTTTTTTTTTTTTTTTTTTTTTTTTTTTTTTTTTGAGACAGAGTCTCACTCTGTCACCCAGGCTGGAGTTCAGTGGTGCGACCTCAGCTCACTGCAACCTCCACCTTCCGGCAGAACCCCATTTCTTTTGGGGGAGATGCTGCCTTATTTCTTATAGTTCTGGTGAAACTGTCAATCGTAGTTCTCCAACTCCACCCACCCACTGAGGCGGAGAAATGACCCAGGCCAAGTCAACAAGATCAGTGTTTTCTCTCTGGCAACAATGATAGATTCAAGGGGTGGGCCCAGTTCAAACTGGACCAATTAGAGTTCCTCCCTGGGATTAATATCAAGATGCCAGGAGAAAGGAGATTTTTGTTTCTGTTAGTAGCTGCTATGTTCCCTCCATGCCCCTCCTTAGTACCTAAGATTGAGTAAATCAATCCCCAAGTCTTTTCAGGCTTATGTTCCACTGGAGACATTAAAGTATCTCCTGGACCAGCCTAGGCAACATGGTAGAGTCCTAGCTCTACTGAAAAAAAAAAAAAAATGGCTGGGCGTGGTGGCACATGCCTGTGGTCCCAGCTACTCAGGAGGCTGAGGTGGGAGGATGGCTGAAACCCAGGAGGTAGAAACTGCCTTAAGCATTGTTTGTGCAATGCTCACTGTACTGTAACCTGGGTGACAGAGTAAGACCTTGTCTCAAAAAGGAAAAAAATCTCCTTGGCATTGGATGATACTAAGAAAGTATCAACTGTGTAAGGTGTGATAATGTAAGTTGGTTATGTTTAAAACGAGTCTCTTTTGGAACAAGGATTGGCAAATTTTTAAAATAAAGGGCCAGAGAGTAAATATTTTAGCTTATGTGGACCAAGAGAGAAAAATGGAAGATATTATGTAGATATTTAATAGCAGGAAAGAAAATAAAATTTCACAATTTTTAATTGATGAAATTCAAAATGTAGTAATGATAATTTAGTACAAATTTTTTGTTGCTATTCCTTATCAAGCTCACGCCTGTAATCCCAGCACTTTTGGAGGTGGAGGCAGGCAGATCACTTGAGGTCGGGAGTTCAAGACCAGCCTGACCAACATAGAGAAACCTTGTCTCTACTGAAAATACAAAAAATTTTAGCCGGGCGTGATGGTGCATGCTTGTAATCCCAGCTACTCAGGAGACTGAAGCAGGAGAATTGCTTGAGCCAGGGAGGCGGAGGTTGCGGTGAGCCGAGATCACGCCATTGCACTCCAGCCTGGGCAACAAGAGCGAAACTCCATCTCAAAAAAAAAAAAAAAAAAAAAAAATTTAGCTCAGGAGATTTGGTCCAACAGCTGTAATTTGCCATCCCCTGTTTTAAAAATGCATAATAAAATATTTAAGAATGAGATGTTGTGGTGACTGAGATTGCTTCAAAATATTCTGGCATTAGGGAAGTGTGTGGTGGGAGTATAGGTGAAACAATAATTGGTTTTGCATTAACTTTTTTTTTGAGATAGGGTCTCACTCTGTTACCCAGGCTGGAGTGCAGTGGTACAATCATAGCTCATTGCAGTCTCAACCTCTCAGGCTCAAGTGATCCTCCCACCTCAGCCTCCTGAGTAGCTGGGACCACAGACGCATGCCACCATGCCCAGCTAATTTTTTAATCTTTTGTAGAGACCAGTCTCCCTATGTTGCCCAGACTGGTCTTGAATGCCTGGGCTCAAGCAATCCTCGTGCCTCGGCCTTTCAAAGTGCTGGGGTTACAGGCGTGAGCCACTGCACCGGACCTTGCATTCATTATCGAAGTTGGATGGTGGTATATGAAGACACATTATGTTATTCTATTTTGCATGTGTTTGAAATTTTCCATAATAAAAATTATAAAACAATTCTTTGAGTTGAGATGTCCCCCCCAGAAATGCATCCCTGGCATCAGAAGTTTAATGCCATGCTTGAAAGACTTCCTCAGGATTTCTGGTATGGGGGAACTGTCATAAAGCATCAGGGAGATTGATGAATGCAAGGTATCTCACACACCCACGCCCCTTGTGGAGAATTGCCTTCCCATAGCACTAAGTGGCCATGTTTCATATCACATGACTCCAAGTAGCCACTGATTGGCTAAGATTTGGTCACCTGACTGGGATGCCATCAAATGATTGGCCATTCAGTGACCAATGATGTGGCTGAAGAAGAAAAGGTGAGCTAGATGAATCAGATTCTCTTTCATGAGACTATTTTCTAAAGATCCTAGTGAAGGAGGAGGCGGGGTTTAACTCTGGACTAGATTGAAGACAGCTGGAACAGGGAAAAGGCACCAAAAGCACATCTCCATAAGACGTGCACACCAGCACCATGACAGTTTGCCACTGCCATGACAACACCCAAAATTTATCAGCCCTTTTCTAGAAATTTCTGAATAACCCACCCCTTAATTTGCATGTAATTGAAAATGGGACTAAATATGACTACAGAACTGGCCCTGAGCTGCTACTTTGTGCTCAATGCCTATGGGGTAGCCCTGCTCTGCAAAGAGCAGTACCTCTGCTACTGTGCAGTACTGTTTCAAGAAAAGTCACTAACACCACTGGGTTGCCCTTGAATTATTTCCTGGACAAAGCCAGGAACCCTCCCTGGCTAAGCTCCAGTTTTGGGCCCACCTGGCCTGCACCACTAGAAGAGTGACTATATCCTTGTAATAACTACCCCCTCCACACTCATCTTTCCCTAAAACAAGTTATGTTAAGCCTTTGCTTTAATGAAAACTTTCCCAAATGCCCTTTGCGTCACACTTCAATTTGGACACACCACTCATTTCCTTCTACCACAGCAGACACCACCAGATGGCTCTAGGCTGTGAGAAAGAGTTCTATCTGGATTTTTGGGAGCTCTCAAGATTTTTGACCCGAGTGGTGGTTTCATGGTTGTTCATTTGTGAATATTTAAGCTGTTCATATATTTTCTGCACTCTTTTCTATGCATATCTCCCAATGTTTTCCCTTTTCTTCTTTTTTTCTTTTTTTTTAAATAAAAATAGAGATGAGGTCTTACATTGTTGCCCAGGCTGGTCTTGAACTCCTGGGCTCAAGTGATCCTCCCACCTCAGCCTGTGAAAGTGCTGGAATTACAAGCATGAGCCACCATACCTGGCACAATTATTATTATTAATTTATTTGTTTATTTATTTTGAGACCGAGTCTTGCTCTTGTCACCCAGGCTGGAGTACAATGGCATGATCCCTGGCTCACTGCAACCTCCGCCTCCTGGGTTCAAGCGATTCTTCTGCCTCAGCCTCCTGAGTAGCTGAGTTTACAGATGCCCACCACCACACCCTGCTAATTTTTGTATTTTTAGTAGAGACGGGGTTTTGCCATGTTGGCCAGGCTGGTCTCGAACTCCTAACCGCAGGTGATCCATCCGCTTCGGCCTCCCAAAGTGCTGAAATTACAGGCTTGAGCCACCGCACCTGGCCAATTATTTTTTAAAGGGGGAAAATTTTATCTCCAAAGCTTGTAAATGCTTTGCTCAGGAAAACTAAACACAAACTCTTTCAAAACTGTCTTTCACATACCAGCCCACTGAATGTTTGAAGACCTTTGTATGTATTTTCTCCCCTGAAATAAAGCTCTTACCCAAGTTCTTCCAGAAAACGAGGGATCACTTTAGGCAGTGGTGATGGCCAAAGTGACCATGAGAACTTGGTTTCTGCACATCCCCACCTAGTCTGCCAGCAGGAACAATCCCGGATCCCCATCCAGCCCTCCCCACAGGGCCAAAACAGAGACAGGCAAGGAACCAGAGAGTTGTGAGTTTATTAAGGGAGATCTAGTGCTTATCCTAGAATCAGCCCTTGCTGCCTATGATCTTCTTGATCCAGTCCAGGTAGCGGCAGATGTTGGTATAGACGCCAGGTTTGTCGGACCTCCCACAGGGGTCTGAGCCCCAGGATGTGATGCCCTGGAGTGCACCATCACACACCAGGGGGCCTCCAGAATCGCCCTAGACAGGGAGAATGAGAACAGCCTTGCATCTGAGATGTCCACAACGTCCCTTTTCCTGCTGTCCCAGCGTTTTACCAGTTCTTTGGCATGATTGGTCCCCTGTAGCCAATGGGGGTAAAAGCATTGTCCCCTGAGACCAGTCAGGACAGGGCTTGGGGCTTCCATGTACAGACAGACATGGTGTCTAAGGGTAGTGGTCAAAACACTGACAGAAGAGGGGAAAGAATGAAATCCCAGACAGGCTTGGTGGCTCACACCTGCAATCCCGGCACTTTGGGAGGCCGAGGCGGTAGATCACTTGAAGTCAGGCGTTCCAGACCAGCCTGGCCAACATGGTGAATCCCTGTCTCTACTAAAAATACAAAAACTAGCTGGGTGTGGTGGTGCACACCTGTAATCACAGCTACTCGGGAGGCTGAGGTGGGAGAATTGCTTGAACTGGGAGGCAGAGGCTGCAGTGAGCCAAGATTGTGCCACTGCATTCCAGCTTGGGGGACAGAGCGAGACCCTGTCTCAAAAAAAAAAAAAAAAGAGTTCTCGAGGGTCCAATCCAGGGAGAAGACAGTAGGGATTACTTGGAGAGGACTGAGCTGAAGTTTCCTCTGTTCCTGGCCAATAGTGAAGGCATCATTGATTGCAGTTGCCAAACATAGGAGAAAGGATCAAGATTCTTATGGACACACACACACACACACACACACACACACACACACACACACACACCATATCCCCAAGAGACCATGGCTGAAATATTTGTGGAAGAGACCACTATCTCTACAGAACAATCCAGAGACTGGCTTTCATGGCAGTATCGCTGATGGAAACGACTCCATTTTTGGCCAATGGGGAAGAAAGCATTGTATTTAGGGACCAGTCATTGGCAAAGGTGGTGGGGCTTCCAGGAAGTGGACAAAGCCAGGGGAAAGTGCTAGGAACAACGAAGTTGCAGTTAGAAGAGAGAGTTATATCTATGACAAATCCCAAGAGAAAGGGATTGGAGCTCATTGAGGAAGCACTGAAGTCAATGGCACCATTTACTCCAGCCAACTGGGAAGACACCATTGTCTCCCAAGGAACCAATCACAGGAGAAGGGAACCAGCCTTGGGATTCTAGCCCGGTCTCAAAGAAAAGTGGCTGACCACCGGGCCGGTGGTAAAGTCGGCACAAATTCCACGATGTAATGCTGGGAACCAGAGAGCAGGCAACTCGTCTAAACTCTAGCCTCAGACTCTCTCCTTGCTGGACATCTACCCCACCCTCTATAGCCCCCAACTCTGCATCCCATCCTGTAGTTAAGCGTTCGAAAGAAAACAGCAGCAGCAATTCAATGCTCCTAATCCCTATGCAGTGTGACTTTCAGAGAGAGAGTTTGGCTTCTCTGAACCTGGCTCCCAATCCGTAGAGATAGGGGTGAACACTCCGGGTGCCAAGTCTTTGGGGTCACTCCCTTACCACCCCCACCCCCATCCAAGCCTTGAACCTCGAGAGGGCAATGAGGGATGTGTGAGGAGAAGGATTTCAGAAATTGCTCACCTGGCACGTGTCAGCCCCTTTGCTGCTGCCTGCACAGACCATGCCATCTGTGATCTGCCCCGGGTAAGCATCCTCACACTTCTTCTGGGGAAAGATTTTTACTTCTGCACAGTTGAGAGTGTCAGGAAAATTCTCTGAGGGGGAAGAGGTTGTAAGGTTCCCTGAGAGAGCAGCCCTTTGCCTCCATCCCTGTCTGGATCTAACCCCCTTTCTTTCCAGGATGTAATGGGGGAGTTTTCCAGCTGCATGGGGGAATTTTCTGACACTGTGCACAGGGGACATCACTTCTCACCACATTAAACGAAGCTGTACTTGTTGCTATTGGGCTTTCTCCATCTAGAGAGGGGCCCTTGGATCTCACGTGTTTTTTCTTACCCTGAGCCATTTTCAAATCAAGGGGCTGGGGGTTACTTGGAGGTGCCCCTTTATGATACCTCTGACCCTCTCTTTCCAGTCTTCCTGCCCTCAGACAACCGGGTCCTCAATCTGTGCTAAATCCTGCTCCTTCCAAGTGTCACCTCCTCCTGGAAGCCTTCCCTGACCACTCGAATTAAAAAATACCATCCCTCCATTACTCCCTATCCTTTTACGCTCCACAATATTTCCTTACAGCACTTTGCCTAATGTTTTATTTTATGTGTATTTGTTTATTGTCTATTTCTCCCACCTAGCTTGCAACTCCATAACGACAAGGACTTTGTACAGTTTGCTCATGGCTGTATATCCAGCGCCTGCAACAGCACCTCAGGCATACTAGGTGCTCAGTAAATAAGAGTTGAATTAATGATTGAAGGTGGAATTGATCTTTTTTATTAACCTCTTTTGAGGAATAGACTTCTCCAAAGCCTCTTTGAGGGGGAAAAACTTCCATCTGGCATCTCTACGTGCCAAAAGCAATATGCTCATAATCTCATTTAATCCTCACAACAGCGCTTTGAAGGAGAGATGCATTCATTCATTTCATTATTTATTCATCAGGTCATCCATTCAACAAATATTTATTGAGCATCTACCATGTAGCAGGCACCATTCTGAGCACTAGGAGAACACAATGAAGAAAACTGATGTAACCTGAACCCTCACGTAGCTAAAAAATCTATTGGTTAATGATTCCCATTTTGCAGATAAGGAAAGTGAGGCTCAGAGATGGAAAGGAATTTGCCCAGGGAGAAAGGGCAGAGCCATAGTTTGAACTGATCTACTTGATTTGCGAGCACGTGTGTTTCCACAGCCGCAAACTGTCTCATCCAAAGCATTCAGAGCAGGAGTGAGGCAGGCAGGGACCTGAATGCTGACTTTGCCACTTCCTGGAGAAGCTCCTTGACTCTCTTAGGTGAGTCCCAATGTTTTCACTGTGAAGGAAGGCGAGGGGCTCTCTGGATTCTGGAGTCCCAAAGGGACAGCTTCATTGGAGGTCCAGATTTTGGGGTCCAGAGTCAAGAGGGAGCTAGGACTGCTGGGTCCTGGGAGAAGAAGGGCCTAGACTCCCGGGTCTGAGGGAAGAGGTGACCAGGGCCCAGGTTTCCTGGGTTCAAGAAGGAGAAAAAGGCCAGGGGCGGTGGCTCATGCTTGTAATCCCAGCACTTTGGTAGGCCGAGGCGGGCAGATCACTTGAGGTCAGGAGTTCGAGACCAGCCTGGTCAACATGGCGAAACCCTGTCTCTACAACAAATACAAAAATTAGCTCGCGTGGTGGCGGGTGCCTGTAATCCCAGCTACTCGGGAGGCTGAGGTTCGAGAATCGCTTAAACCCAGGAGGCAGAGATTGTAGTGAGCTGAGATTGTGCCACTGCACTCCAGCCTGGGCGATTGAGTGAAACTGTGTCCCCCTGCAAAAAAAAAAAAAAAAAAAAAAAAAAAAAAAAAAAAAAAAAGGAGGGAGGTGGGGGAGAAGGTGCTTAGGAGCCTGTTTTCCTGGGCCTCTGAGAAGTCCAAATATCCCAAGTGTGTTAAGATTATATAAAATCCTATACAACCAAAGGTCCCATAGGGTAGTGCTCTCCGCCATACAGGATGGGCTTTTCTGGCCCTGCTTAACAATCTGCTAGTTGGTTCTTTCTCTCACCACTCTTGTTAGTAGTCAGATCTTCGAGGCTTCTCATATGACTCCTGCTTGTGAATCTCAACATCATGATCACTTTCCCTTCTTTGTCTCCCTCTGGGGGACCAAGCTTTGCCAATAGCTTGGGTTCCACTGGGCCAACCAGCTCCTCCTCTCCCTCCCATTAGTGGACAAGCCCACTACCTCGGGGACTGGTGACAGTGCCCCAGCCTGAGACGGTGCACTTCTGGCCAGGCTGGGTGCAATGATCTGCCAGGCTGATGGGCTTCACTTTGGACCCCAGGGATGCCTGGTCACGCAGTTGAAGAAGCATCAGATCATGGTTGTGGTCCTCCACATCGCTGCTGTTGTAGCAGGGGTGTGGGATGGACTGAACCACAGGTATTTCTTGCTCTGGGCCATCTTTATTCTGTAGGCTGTGGTCTCCCAGGCGTACTGTGTATTTCCTGTAATGGTGGGGATAGTTTGGGACCCAGGCAGGGGTATTGCCCCCAGCCCCCTCCTCCTTCAGACCCAGGAGTCCAGTCCTCAGCTCTCTCCTTCCTGAGTCGAAACCCCAGCCCCCTCTTTCCTTAAGCCCCAGCTGACCTCTGCCCCCATCATCCACTCACGGTTTTTTACAGTGGGCAGCTGTAAGGACCCAGTTGCCACCTACAAGGACACCGCCACAGAGTAGTTGCTGGCCCTGGAACAAGGCCGCCTGCCAAGGCTGCGAATGGGGTTGGCACTCATGACCCCCCAGCACCTTGTCCTCCTGTGCCCTGGAGTGTCCTGCAGCAGGAGGGAGAGGGTTGGATCGCCACCCTCTGGGGCAGTGCGAGGGCTGGGAAGGCCACTGTGGGTTCAAATGGACACACGGCAAGTTCTCCGCATACAACTTAGTGAGGAGGTCCAGGCTTCCACACGCTGCCACACGGGGACACTCATTTCAGTCCATGTGTCATCATACAAGAGTCACACACCCAAGAATGCCCCCACATGCTTCCACATGAGTCTACAGGCCCCGAGTACTCCCAGGTGAATCTATGCCCCCAAGCAAGCAGCCCCCAAAGGCTGTAGCTATTCAGACAATTTACAGCATCACGGAACCTACTCCTACCTGCTGCTACCTGTTTCTTGCCTCTGTCCACCCTGAGGAAAGCCCACAGAGGCTCCTGCACCGTATCGCACTCTTCACATCCGTGCACACGCACCCACATAACCCCCGCGGCATTCCCACAGACTCCCCAGCGCCACTGCTGCCTTCAGATCCCTCCCCTCCGGAGGCCTCCGCAACCCTCCTCACCTGCCCAGGCTCCCCCCAGCAAGAGCAGGAACATCCACGTCTTGGCCGCACGAGGTCGGGGGCGTCCCATGGTGAGGTCTGGGAAATGGAGAGGGCGGGGCCGGTAAACAGGAAGGAGGAGCCTGAGCTCCCAGTTCTGGATTTGGGCACTGGGGAGGCAGCCGAGAGTATCTGGGGCTGTTCTGGGCTTCTCTGGAGGAAGGAGGAGGCTGGGGGACTGGATTCCTACATTCCAAGGGAGGGGGGAGTCCTCGATGTCTGGGTCTGAGGGGACAGGGAGCTGGGAGCTGGGACTCCTAAATTAGGGAGAGGAGGAAGCCGGGGTCCAGACTGCTGGATCTCGACAGAGAAGGGCATCTGAGGCTGGGGTCCTGGAATCTGGAGAAGGAGGGTCCGGGGCCTGATGTCTGTATCTGAGTACCTCTGCACCTCACCTTCCAGAATCCAGGGGCGGGGTCACCTACTGATTCGGACCCAGTGGAGGAGGCCCCAGTACTTCAGTTCTCTGCCTGGTACACGATTCTGGAGCCTTTTAACTGGGAATCTCCACCTCCTGCTCCTCCTCCTTCTCCTCCTGCACTAGAGCCTGGGGAGCTTCTGGGAACTGGAACACTGGGTGTGAGTGAGAAGGGGCGGAGGGGATTGAACGTGAAATCTTGAGGGAGGAGGGGCTGGAATCTCAGACTCCTGAGGCTAGGGAGAGGAGGGACTCGGTGCTGAGACTCTACGATCTGAAACATAAAGGGCTGGGGGCCAAGATTTTAGTTCTGAGAGGGGAGGAGGCTGGGGGCCTGGATTCCTGGGTCTGAGGGAGGAGAGGCTGGGGGCCTGGACTCCTAAATCTAAGGGAGGAGGGACTGGGACCTGGGATTTAGGTCTGACCGAGGAGGGGCTGGGGGCCCAGACTCCTGGGTCTGAGGGAGGAGGGGGCTGCTAGGGGCCAGGACTCCTGGGTCTGAGGGAGGAGGGGCTAGGGGCCTGGATTCCTGGGTGTGAGGGAGGAGAGAGCTGGGGGCTGAATTCTAAGTACTTTTAAAAGGAGAAGCTTGGAACCTGATCTTTTGTGGGAGGAGGGGGCTGCTGCCAGTAACCGGGAACCGAAGAAAGGCAGGTCTTCTAGGGTCAGAAACCAGAGGGTGGATCAGGCCCCGCCCGCTGTCCCCTGAGAGGTCCGGGATCTGGGAGGGCAGGTTTGGGAGGCACTGTGACCTGGTTTCCCCTTCCCCTGGAGGCGGCAAGACCAACCCAAGCAGAACCCAGGAGTCTTGCTGCAATAGGGCTGATGGACAGAGACTTTAGGCAAAACTTACTAGGGGTTTAAGGGGGAGTTGCAAGGCGGTACCGGTTCCCTCATCTGCCCTTCACCGCCCACCCGTTTGCTCTCCACTCATCTCACAGCTCAGGCAGAAAGAAGGTGAGGTTTCCCGCGTTTACTGAAAAATCATCCGTTGCATTGGCTCTAAAGGTATCCAGACCCTCCCTCAATTTCCCCCCAGGTCTCCGCCAGGATTCAAACCCAGCACACGCCCAGGACGGGGCCACAAGGGGCTGAGCTCTACACCGCCCGAGCTCCACGTGGGCGGAGCTACTGCGCCCCTGACATCACGAGGGGCGAGATCTCTGGTGAAGGAGGCGGGGCCACAAGGGGTGGAGTCCCGAGGGGAAGTCCCACTGGGCAAAGTTCCGAGGGGCGGAGCTATTTTGTGTAAGTGGTTCCTTGGGGCGGAGCCACAGGCTGTGCTGTTCCAAGAAGGAGGTGATGGCTGTCGGTGACGTCATAGAGACGGGCTCTGAAGGGCGTGTCCCTGCTCCGTTCCGAGGGGGCGCGACTGTGTCTTGCTTGACCTCGTGAGGGGGCGGAGCCTCAGGGGCGGAGTCTTAGTGTCCAGAGGGGAGTCAGGGCAGCTGGAGGTCCAGGGCGGGAACCATTGAGGCTGGGACCCTACGAGAACCCCCTACCCCGTGCCCTTCGGCCTCTCTTGGTCTTCCAAGGTGCCCCCGTGGCGCGCGGGCTCAGTTCTCCATGATTTCTTGGATCCAGTCAAGGTAGTGGCATACGCTGGTGTAGACTGCGGGGCGCCGGGGTCTGGAGCAGGGCTCAGCACCCCCAGACACCACGCCTGCCAAGGTTCCATTGCAAACCAGGGGGCCCCCAGAGTCACCCTGTACGCGAGAGAAGGGCAGAGGAACTGTTAGGCCACTCTGTTCATGACAATTACACGGGCCACTTCCTCCCTCCCAGAAAGGCCCCAGCCCCTTCCTCCTCCAACATCCGAGAGTCCTCCATCTCCAGCCTCTTCTTCCTCAGACCCAGGAGTAAAAGCTCAGAGGGCCCACCTCCCCGCAGGACCTAACCTCCTCCTCCCCGAGGACTCAGACTCTGGACGCCCAGCCCACTCCTCCTGTAGATCCAGAAGTCTGGACCTCCAGACCTTTTCTCTTTTACACTAAGGAGTCCAGGCCCTGGTCCCGTCCTCTCCCAGGAACCAGGTATCCCAGTCTCCTTCTCATTTTGACCCAGGAAGGCTGGGGGCCGACCCCTCTGCTCCCCTAAATCCTAGAAAACTTGGCAGGACAGCCTCATTTTCCCCAGAGTAAGGTCTCACCTGGCAGGAACCTCGGCCCCCCTCCCACAGGCCCGCACAGAGCATGCTGTCCGAGATGTGTCCAGGGTATGCCCAGTGACAGAGTTTGTTCTCCAGGATGCTGATGTTGGCACACTGCAGTGTGACTGGAAACAGCGCTGTCAGGGAAGAGAACTGTCAAGGATCTGCAACTGTCTCCAACACACTCAGCACCCCACTGCCCTGAGTCCTCCCTGCAGCTTTTCCAAAGGACCAATGGAGCCACATTTAGGACTCTCAAAGATAGAGACAAGAGACAGTGACAGACAGACAGTCATAGCACACAAGAGAAACAAATGGAGACAAGGAGGAAGAGGGCCAAGTAGAGAGAGAGGCTGGCCGGGCACCGTGGCTCATGCCTGTAATCCCAGTGTTTTGGAGGCCGAGGCCGGCGGATCGCTTGAGGTCAGGAGTTTGAGACCAGCCCAGCCAACATGGTGAAACCCCATCTCTGCTAAATATACAAAAATTAGCCAGGCATGGTGGCAGGCGCCTGTAATCCCAGCTACTCGGGAGGCTGAGGCACGAGAATCACTTGAACCTGGGAGGTGGAGGTTGCAGTGAGCCGAGACTGGTCACTGCACTCCAGCCTGGGAGACAGAGCAAGACTCCGTCTCAAAAAAAAAAAAAAAAAAAAAAAAAAAAAAAAAAAAAAGAAAGGAAGGAAGAGAAACAGAAAGATGCATGCAGAGAGCCAAGAGATAAGAGGAGATGCATATATAACTCCCTAGCACTTTGGGAGGCTGAGGCGGGCGGATCACAAGGTCAAGAGATTGAGACCATCCTGGCCAACATGGTGAAACTCCGTCTCTACTGAAAATACAAAAAATCAGCTGGGCATGCTGTTGCACACCTGTAGTCCCAGCTACTCGGGAGGCTGAGGCAGGAGGATCACTTAAAACCCAGGAGGTGGAGGTTGCAGTGAGCCGAGATCACACCACTGCACTCCAGCCTGGGCAACAAGAGCAAGACTCAGTCTCTTAAAAAAAAAAAAAAAAGAAATAGAAAAAGACCCAGACCTCAAGGGGTGGAATGAAGGCAGTGAGATAAAAGGAAAGAGATTTGCAGGAAGATGGTCACTGATGGAGACAGAGACATAGACAGAGATACCAGATACAGTGTAGTCAGTATAGATGTGGATATGGATATATAATACACATGTGCATCTATATAAGACATGGGTGCAGGCTCCGATGCATCAAGGGATATGATAAACAGAATTGGTAAACAGAAGTCGGGGACGGGGGCTGTGCAGGGAGACAGGAGCCATTTGGGTCCATTGGAGTGAATCAGAGAACTTATCTTGGCTGAAGGGGGCAGCCTCCATTGACTCAGCCCAATGCTTGCTATTTTGGGAATGTGAGTTCTTCAAACTTTTTCAGGTGAATCCAGAAACCTGGCTTTTGTATAAAACTTTCCAAGTTTTAGATATTGGCAGCAACAAATTCAGACTGTTTTTCCAATCCACTGACCCAATTTGGCTAATGGGTCAGTGATCCGTGACTCTGAGAGACATGGTCTTATTCCCATTCTAAGATGAACGCATTTCACATTTAAACATCTCTGGGCCAGGTACAGTGGCTCACACTTGTAATCTCAGCACTTTGGGAGGCCAGGAGTTTGAGACTAGCCTGGACAACATAGCAAGACCTCATCTTTGCTAAAAATAATAAAAATTTTTAGCATAAGGCTTAAGTTAAAGGAGGTCCCATCATGGAGCAATGCATGATGGGAAATTCCCACCCAGCATCTTTTACCAGAATCAGTGCTTTATTCATGGAGGGAAGAAAATTGGAACAGTATGGATGGTCACTTTTCAGAGGCAATGGAGAGAGGATTCCTGCATCAGGTGGATTCCAGGATACTATTAGAATGCCCAGAATCTAAGATTCTAGAATTCTCAGATTCTGACACACTAGTATCCATGATTCTAGAATCTAGAGGCTCAACGTTTAGAGTTTTATGAATCCAAGATTCTAACATTCCAGATTCCCCTGGATCAAAAAACTCCAGGATTCTAACATTATCTGAATTAAATCTAAGATATGACTAGATTTAAAAAAGACTAGAATTTTGGCTGGGTGCAGTGGCTCATGCCTGTTTTCCCAGCACTTTGGGAGTCCAAGGCGGGCAGATCACCAGGTCAGGAATTTGAGACCAGCCTGGCCAATATGGTGAAACCTCTGTCTCTACTAAAAATACAAAAAAAAAGATAATAATAATAATAATAATAAATAATAAAAAAATGACCCCGGTGTGGGATGTGGTGGTGCATATCTGTAATCCCAGCTACTTGGGAGGTTGAGGCGAGAGGATCACTTGAGCCCAGGAGTTCAAAGCTGCAATGAGCCGTGATCACACCGCTGCACTCCAGCCTGAGCAACAAAGCGAGACCCTGTCTCAAAAACAAACAAACAAACAAACAAACAAACACTCTGAAATTAGAATGTGTCTTCCAGAAAATGGTGTTATATAATCAATGGGATCTAATGGGATCTTTCCTCCTCCTCCTTTTTTTCTTCTCCTCCTCCTCCTTCTTCCACTTCTTCGCAGTTCATGAAATAATGGCACATCTTAAAAATGCTAGCATCTTATATTTGGTTAAATATATCGATTGGCAGATAGATAGACTGACAGAGAGAGAGAGGAGAGAGAAAAGGAGAAGACAGAGATGAAAAGGCAGAGACAGAGGGGTGAGGGAGCAAGTTTCAGAGAGAGTTCTGGGCCAGGTCATACCCTTGGGGCTGGACACGGCCCCCCAGCCTGAGATGAGACACTGCATGCCTGGGGAGACACAGGTCTGGCTGAGGTTGAGGGGCTGCACAGCAGGACTCAGACGTGCCTGCCTGGGCAGGCGGATCAGCATGATGTCATCATTGTGGTCATTGGCGCTGAGGTCCTTGTTGAAGCCAGGGTGGGGGAAGAAGTCCGTAACCCGGAACAGCTGCTCCGGACCCTCCCATTTCCAGAGGTGGTGCTCTCCAAGGCGGACCCACAGATACCTGCTGGGACAGGCCTCAGAGGTCAAGCTGGGGGAAAGGTAAAAGTCCTTTCAGCCCCAGCCCTCTTTTCCTGTCCATCAGGGTGCTGTGTGACCCTCTGCAAGCCACACACCCTCTCTGCACCCTCATCATCTATGTCTGGCCCAGGGTACTGTGATTTTAAGCGAGGCACACACCTCCTCTGGGTCCCTGGTCCCCACTCTGATGTTTTGTGTGTCTCCATCTTTGTAGCTCTCCCCACAAAGCCCCCGCTCCTAGTCCCAGGCTGAGTGAGCCACCTTCCTCCCTACTCACCTGGAGCCTTGGTGGTGACTTGGGTCCCTAGGAACGGTGTGGGCACGGGGGACCCCACCTACCACATAACAACCGCCCCACCCCTGCCCCCACAGGTCTGGTGGCTTCTGTGGGAGCGGCTCTGTATGTCTAAGTGGTGTGTGTGTATACGTGTGCGTGTGTATGAAAGGGGATGGGATATGGAAAATCCCCAAATTGGGGGTCATCTCTGGCCTCAGCTTTTCCTGTCTATCATATCCTTCACCCTTCAATGCATGTCTTCCTGGTGTCTAACCTTAAGCCCTCACCACAGTCTCAGCGCACTTGTTTCATTTCTGGTCCATGCCCTAGACAGCTGGGATCCTTTCGGGGATGACAAGTCCATTCCCCAGCCTCTGACCTCTGACATTAGGCAGCAGGCTAATGACTGCGAATTCAGGGTTGGGGAACCAGAAACATCTGTGTCTGTCTCTCTCTGTCATTCTTGCTGTCTTGGCTCTGGATCTGGAAAAGTAGTCCTCACCCCTACATCCCTTCATCCCCCTACCCTTCCCCTGCCTCTCACTCTCTTCCACCTTCATATCTCTGCATTTCTCCTGCTTCACTTTCGGCTGAAATCTGAACATCGTTCTCCCAGTCTGATGTATAGGCTTAAGTTAAAGGAGGTTCCATCATGGAGCAATGCATGATGGGAAATTCCCACACAGCATCTCTTACCACAATCAGTGCTTTACTCATGGAGGGAAGAAAATTGGAACAGTATGGATGGTCACTTTTCAGAGGCAATGGAGAGAGGATTCCTGCATCAGGTGGATTCCAGGATACTATTAGAATGCCCAGAACCTAAGATTCTAGAATTCTCAGATTCCGACACACTATTATCCATGATTCTAGAATCTAGAGGCTCAAGGTTTAGAGTTTTATGAATCCAAGATTCTAACATTCCAGATTCCCCTGGATCAAAAAAACTCCAGGATTCTAACATTATCTGAATTAAATCTAAGATTTGAACATAGAATTTTAATGTTCTAGGACAAAAAGACTAGAATTTTGGCTGGGCGCGGTGGCTCACGCCTGTAATCCCAGCACTTTGGGAGGCCGAGGCGGGCAGATCACAAGGTCAGGAGTTCAAGACCAGCCTGGCCAATATGGTGAAACCCCCGTCTCTACTAAAAAAAAAAAAAAAAAAAAAATAGCCTGGCATGGTGGTGCATACCTGTAATCCCAGCTACTCAGGAGGCTGAGGCAGGAGAATTGCTTGAACCCGAGAGGCAGAGGTTGCAGTGAGCTGAGATTGTGCCACTGCACTCCAGCCTGGGAGATAGAGGGAGACTCTGTCTCAAAAAAAAAAAAAAAAAAAAAAAAGAAAGACTAGAATGTCATCATTCTATAAATCTATAACCTTAGAAATTTAAGAGTCTGGGATTCAAATAGTTTAAGACTACAGAATTATCTGAATCTCAATATTCTAGGATACTGTGAATCAAAGATTCTAGTACTGTGAGTTTCAATATTCAATGAATCTAGAAAGCTCTGAATTTAAGATTCTAGGATCACACTAGCCATTATGGCTATTGAACACTTGAAATGTGGCTAGTCCATTTTGTAACAGGCTATGTGTGTAAAATACAGAACAGATTTCAAAGGCTTAGTACCAAAACAAAAGTAAACTGTATCGTTCATACGTATTTAAAAATTGATTACATGTCAAAATAAGTTTTTGGGTATGTCAAGTTAAATCTATTAGAATTAATTTTACTCATTCCTTATTTTTTAAATGTGTCCACCAGAAATTTAAACTTACACATGTGGCTGGCATCATAATTCCTCTGGGCAGTGCTGACCCAGACTGCTAAGATTCTAATAGTCTGCGAATCTATGATTCTAAAATTTGCTGAGGCTATTGCAGAATTTCATAAATTCAAGATTTTAGGATTCTACGATTCTGGATTTCTCTGGGTCAGTCTCGGATTCGAAGAGCCTAAGTTTCGAATCTTAGACTTCTCAAATGAGATATTGCTGGTCTCTAGAATTTTAGGATTTGGGAGGCTACCCTTCCTACTTCTAAGAGTTGAACTTGTGGTATCAGAAGTGGAGGCTCCGCACTTCTGGCCTAAAGCACCCCTCACCCTCTCCTGACCCCCAGCCTCTGTCCCTCCCCAGCATGGCCAGCCTGGGTCACTCACGGCTTGCGGCAGTGGGCAGCTGTGAGCAGCCAGCGGTCACTGATGAGGGTCGCCCCACAGAAGAGCCGAGTAAGGTGGAAGAGGCCGGCCTGCCAAGGCTGGGAGTTGGGGCGACATTCCTCGGCCCCGATGGCACGGGTGTCTGCCCAGCCATGCCCTGGGGTGGGGATGAGGGACAAAGGGGTCAGCGAAGAGCAGGCTGGGAGGGCAGGGAGAGGATGCTGAGAAGCCTAGAGGGCAGGAGGCAGAAGCCTGGGATGGGAGGGAAGAGCAAGGTGACCTTAGTACAGCCGTGAAGGGGCAGCCAGCCTGGGAGCCTCACCTGCCAGCAGAGAGAGCAGAGCACAGAGGAGTCCCAGCTTCATGACCCCTGGGCACCTGGATCCTGGAACGTGCACCCGGCGTCCAGTGCTTCTTTATGGTAAGCCATGCCATCTCCTTCCTCCTCCATGGGGCCGCCCCTGTGATTAATCGGGGTTGGGAAATGTACCTGGGGGAGGGGGAAGCCCTGGGGCTGTGACAGGGGCCTTGGGAGAGGAGGTAAGTGCAGGGGGACCCCCCTTTTGGGATGAACTGGCGGCTTGCTGGGCCAGAGCTTGACTGAATGGAGGAGGAGTGCTGGGGGTGTGGAGAGGTTGTGGGCACCTCCTCTGGGGTCTTCAGAGTGGGAGACCTCATTCCTCATCACCTTAGGCTACAAGATACAGAATCTTTTGTGTCCTGGAAAAGGAGGGAGATCCTTGAAGCCTAAGGTCCTGGGGTGCAGCAGGTTTATTTTGGATAAAGCAGTGGTGTGCAGAGACCAACCTCCCACGGCAGGCTGGAGGGATGTGCAGGGGGACCACCCAGAAAGGAGGCGAGGGGTGGAAGACAGAGTCAGGACTCAGACACAAGAGCAAAAGATACAAAGAGAGGGAGGTACAGGCACAGAAGGACCCAAGATGAGAGGAGGAGTGGGAGGAGGAGACAGAACACGGGAAAGATTGAGGGAAATCCAGGTGGAGTGAGGCAGAGACCACAGGCAGCTGCACAGGTTTACACACCTTGCAGAACCTTCCCTGCCCTGGGGATTTGGGCCTCTTCCCACAAGGACAAGGCCCTCTCCTAGAATGTTGAGAAATCTGGTTCCATCTGGATTAACCCACTCTTGTCATAACCTGCCCCCTTCCCCACGGCTCCACCACCCAAGGACCCAGGTGCCCAACCTTCCAGGTAGCAAGTGCCCTGTGCTCTCTCTTAATACATCCTGATCTTTGCCAAATCCTGAGAACATTTGCTATATATTTTTTTCATCCATCTCCCTGCCCCCCACCCCATTGTCCCTTCCATCACCCCATCCTCCCTGCCTCTCTCCTCATCATTCCTTCTCACCAGGTGGACAGCTTCTGGAGGGCTGGGCCCAGGTCTGACTCATCTCTGTGTCCCAGCATCACCCCGTTCCAGGCGGAACAGGGCTTGCAGAAGTCCTCAGGAGATGTTCATTGAATGAGTGAATGTCTTTCTCCATATCCTTCTTTTCCTGGTGAACTCCCACTCATCCTTCAACACCCAACCTCAATTCTCCCTCCTCCAGGAAATCTCTGAGATCCTCAGGCAGAGTCCATCTTTGCCTCCCCTGGGCACTTACGATCCCTTCCACTTTCTCCTGCTCACAGGCCTGGTTATGAAGCTGGGTCTGGGCTCCCCTTGAATGTTCTCTCACTGTGTCGTCATGGTTTGGAGCATGGACTCTGGAACTGAACCATGTGTGTCCAAATCTCAATGATTAGGTGTGATTAGTGATGAGGTGTGTGACTTTGGGCAAGTCACAAGACCTCTCTCAGTTGCTCCATCTGTTTTTTGTTTGTTTGTTTGTTTGTTTGTTTTCCAAAACGGAGTATTGCTCTGACACCCAGGCTGAAGTACAGTGGCGCGATCTCAGCTCACTGCAACCTCTGCCTCCTGGGTTCAAGCAATTCTCCTGCCTCGACCTCCCAAGTAGCTGGGACTAAAGGCGTGCGCCAAGACACCTGGCTAATTTCTGTACTTTTAGTAGAGACGGGGTTTCACCATGTTGGCCAGTCTGGTCTCCAACTCTTGACTTCGTGATCCGCCTGCCTCAGCCTCCCAAAGTGCTGGGATTACAGGCGTGAGCCACCGCACCTGGCCTGCTCCATCTGTTAAGTAGCAGTAATAACGAGGGTCGTTGGGGGGATTAAGCAAATTTACACACATGAAGCACAACAGTGTCTGACACATGGTAAATGTTCAATGTCTCTTCATCCCCTGCAGAAACCTGTGGTGCCTTTATCATAGCTCATTTCACCCTTGCCTGCAGTTGTCTCACTCCCTTTCCAGACAGGGAAGTCCTTGAGATCAGGGACTGGGTATCCACTATGTGCTAAGTGCCACCTTAACTGCTATTAAGAGCATTTTAGACCAAGCGCGGTGGCTCACGCCTGTAATCTCAGCACTTTGGGGGACCGAGGTGGGTGGATCACTTGAGGTCAGGAGTTCAAGACCAGCCTGGCCAACATGGTGAAACTCTGACTCTATTAAAAACACAAAAATTAGCCAGGCATGGTGGCGGGCGGCCTGTAATCCCAGCTACTCGGGAGGCTGAGGCAGGAGAATTGCTTGAACCCGGGAGGCAGAGGTTGCAGTGAGCCTAGATCGTGCCACTGCACTCCAGCCTGGGCAACAGAGCAAGACTCTCAAAAGAAAAATAAAAAAAAAATGAGCATTTTAATAGCTACCTTTATTGACTGTGTTCTCAGTGCCTGGTGTTAGGTGAACTTTGCATGTATATTATCTCATTTAATTATCCTTTTGTTGTTGTTGTTTTTTGTTTTTTGACACAGGGTCTCTGTTGCCAAGGCTGGAGTGCAGCGGCATGATCATAGTTCATTGCAGCCTCAACCTCCTGGACTCAAGTATTCCTCCTGCCTCAGCCTCCTGAGTAGCTAGGACTACAAGGTGTGCACCACCATGCAAGGCTAATTTTTTTTTTTTTTTTTTTTTTTTTTTTAGTAGAGACGAGGTTTCACTATGTTGCTCAGGCTGATCTTAAACTCCTGAGCTCAAGCATTCCACCCATCTCAGCCTCCTAAAGTTCTGGGATTATAGGAGTGAGCCACTGCGCCCAGCCTATCTCATTTAACTCTCACGGGAGTCTAATTAAGCAGGTGTCTCCATTTCACAGAGTGAAAACTGAGGAAGAGACAGCATTCAAGTAATTTGCTCAAAGTCATACAGCAAAGTGATTGAAATGCATTTCCTTCTCTACCTGGTGAACTCCTACTTATCCTTTAAACTCCTGCACAAATGTCCCCTCATTGAGAAGCCTTTCCTGACTCCTTCAGGCACAGCCTGTGGACTTGGTGTGGTGCACCCCATACCCCCTTCTGTTACAGCACTGATCTATTTGTGTTATGTGTTCACACAGCAACGGGGGTGACTTCTGTGTGCCGGGCACAATACAGGAGCTTAGAAAATCACAGTGAACAAATATCTGAATCACTGCCCTCACGGAATTTGTGGGGAAGGGTGACATAGACCATTATCAAGTAAACACAAATGAGATAATTTCAGGTATAATAGGTGCTATTAAAAAAAAAAACAAACAAACAAAAAACAGAGCATCGGGACTGGATGACCAAAAGTGGACTCCTATAGCCTGGGCAATTCAGGAAGGCCTCCCGGAGGAGGTGACTTTTGAGTGGAGACCTGAATGACAGGAATGTAAGACTGGCCTGTCTCCCTGACCTAACTAGCAGCTCCTTGAGGGTAGTGCCTGGTCTGATTCATCTTTGAGGCCTGGCATAAGACGTGGCTCGATAAACATTGTGGAGTGACTAAAGGGACGGGTGAGTTGCCTTTAATAATGAATCGAGTTTTCAAGTTTCCACCGACCTCGCTTCTGGTCTTTGGATGACAAACCCAGCTGATACGCCTGTCTGACATTTCCTGCGTGTGCTAATGGGGGCAGAATGGGAAAGAGGCCACGGAAGGGAGCTGTGTGCTCAGACCTTGTACATCAACCTCCTGTGGGCTCTGCAGGGTGGGGGACCTTGTGATCACCCCTACGTATGTCCCCAGCACCCAGCACTGGGCCTGGCACATAATAGATGCTCCATAAATTGGTAACTGAAAGGACAAACAAACAAACAAAAACCCCGTGCTTAATGGGAAATTTCTGTTGTGCCTATATTCAGCTAGCTTATGTTACTGCTTCAAAGTTCAGGATAAGCTGAGACACTCAAACTTCTTCTTTTTTTGAGATGGAGTTTTGCTCTTTTGTCCAGGCTGGATGGAGTGCAATGGTGCAATCTTGGCTCACTGCAACCTCTGCCCCCCGGGTTCAAGTGATTCTTCTGCCTCAGCCTCCCAAGTAGATGGGATTATAGGTGCCTGCCACCATGCCTGGCTAGTTTTTGTATTTTCAGTAGAGATGGGATTTCACCATTTTGGCCAGACTGGTCTCGAACACCTGACCTCAGATGATCTGCTTTCCTCGGCCTCCCAAAGTGCTAGGATTACAGGCGTGAGCCACCACACCCAGCGGACACTGAAGCTTCTATTAGCCTTACCTGGATTCTGTGTATTAACTCCCCTTCCCTCCCCCAATTTCAGGGAGAATCAAACAATTCCTCCTCCCAAGTTTTCAGGACGAAAATCTCACAGCCAATTAATAACAGACAAACCAAAGATTTTCCCCTAAATGTCAGAGGGAGGTTTCTTGGCACAAGCTGGGCAGTTGAGGTGGCAAGGGTTTCCCAATCTTCACTACCCCCTCGGCCCTCTGGTCTTAGAGGCTGGGATAGAAGCAAGGTGAGGTCCCTTGAGTTCAGTGGCCTCATGAAGGCAGAGAAGGTGCTAATGACTCAGGGCCAGCCTAGCTCGGAGGAACTGGTGTTGGGTGGAACCAGAAGTGGGAAACAGTGGGAGATGAGAAGGAAGTGGTTAAAAGGTGTTTCCTGGGACTTGGAACTAGGGTGAGGAAAATGATTCTTCCATCATCCCTAAGGGTTGGGGATGGAAGGTTGGGACTGGGGGCTACCCTGTGCACTTCTTCCCTGGACACACGCTTTCACCGGGACGTGGTCAGATCACGACAACAGGTAACCTTTAGTCAGAACTCACCACCCACTGTGTTAAGCCTTACATGACAATCACCATGAAGATTTACATACACATGTTATATCATAGTCTCCTCACAACATGTCTAAGAGGTAGGCACGTCATTGTTCCCATTTTGCAGATGAGGAAACTGAGGTTCAGAGAGGGCACTTGGCTTGCCCAAAGTCACACAGCAGGGAGTGGCAGAGGAAGTCAGGTTGGGTGACCCCAGTAACTGCTCTCAGAGGCTGGGTGATGACCGGCTTCCTGGCTTCTCTGGAATAAACCTTTGCCACCACTTCCTGCATTTCAGCTTCAGTACAGGCAGAGAATGGGGATAGGTGGGGGAATGAGGTGAGAGGGGAGATGTTTAGAGGTGTGGAGGGCGGCAGAGGTTTGAACAGTGCAGACAAGGGGAGAGTTCAGCCGACTGGGGAGGAAGAGGATGGACGATGGAGCCTCTGGGCATCTGGATCAGCAGGAGCATAACATCTGGATCAGCTGGAGCGTAGCATCTGGATCAGTTGGAGCGTATGACTTTATTGATCCAGGACATGTATTTGCAGATCTGGGTGTAGACAGCTGGATGCTGGGCAGAGCCACAGGGGTAAACACCCCACGAGAGGATGCCTTGGAGGGTCTCGTCACAGACCAGGGGGCCTCCAGAGTCACTCTGGGGGTGGCAGGAAGGAGAGATCAAATAAATGTGCCAACGTGAGAGCTGTCACTTTGGGATCTGGGGCAGTGGTGGGGAAGGAAGGAGTTGGGTTGGGATAAAGACGAGGATGGGATGGGGTTGGAATTAGGTATGAGCTGGAAGGTAGGAATGGAGGTGGACTTCAGGTTATGGGAGGTTGGGCTGGGGGATGAGAATGAAGGCACAGTGAGACTGGGGTTGGGATTGTAGTTCATGGAAGGTGAGGGGATGAAAATGGGCTTGGAGATGGGAATGGGGTGGGGTTGGGATGGAAATGGGATTGAGGATAGGGATGAGGAGGGGGTTAGGTCTGGGTAAGAGTTGGGGTCAAGGATGGGTTTGGGAATGGAGTTGGGGATCGGGCACAGGGTCTGCTCTTTTCCCATAACCTCCCTGTCCTCCCTCCCAGGAGTCAGAGACTCTCCCTGTTCAGACCCTACCTGGCAAGGGTCCTGGCCCCGGTCCAGTCCAGCACATATCATGTTGTTGGTGACCACGCCAGGGTAGAAGACCTCACACTCTTTAGGGCTCAGGATAGTGATGCTGGAGCAGGTCAGGCCCTTGTTGTACTTCACTGAAGGGAGAATATGCCAGTAATCCCTGGGTCCAGCCCCCAATCCTTGGGGAGCCAGGAGTCCAGATACAAGACCGTTTCTATCCTAAGCCCCAGCCCCTCCTCCTTCAGACTCAAGAATCCTGGCCCCAGCCCCTCCCCACTTAGACCCAGGAGTCCAGGCCCCCAGCCCCTCCTCCCCTCAGACTCACAGACCCAGGCATCTAGGACCCCAGCCCGTCCTCCCTCAGATCCAGGAATCCAGTCCCCAGCCCATCCTTCCTCAGACCCAGGGGTTCAGGCCCTCAGCCCCCTCCTCCTGAGGTTCCGGCCTCAGAGCCCCAGCTCTTGCCTCTCCGGGCGGCCGTGGTGCCCCAGCCAGCAACCTGGCACTGGTCTCCGGGCTGAGCACAGCGGTAGGGAAGCTGCAGGGCCCGGACGCGGGGCCCCAGCACTACGGGCCTGGCCAGCTTCAGCAACATGAGATCGTGCTCATCCGTTCGCCTTGGCAGGATGGGGCCTGAGCCCTGGTGGTACTTGGGATGGACAACAGAGCGAGTGGTCCGGCGGAGCTGCTCTCCCTGAAGAAGCAGCAGGTGGTCATCCCCTACTCGAGCCCACAGTGGCCTGGGGGAAGGAAGAGGCATGTGAAGGCAAACCCTTCATAGGGACTGGGAAAGCAGGTGGGCAGTGACGCAGGGCCTGGAGATAGGAAGAGTCTGAGGGAAGAGGGCCTTGTGGGAGAAGGGGACCTCAGTGGACATGGGGAGGAGGAATCAGTTGTTTGAGCTCTGAGGATCTGTAGGAATTGAGGAGGGCTGGGGGCCTGGACACCTAGGTAAGCCTTCCACATTTTCTTTTCTCTTTTTCTTTTCTTTGTTGAAACAGAGTTTCGCTCTTGTCACCCAGGCTAGAATGCAATGGCGCAATCTCGGCTCACTGCAACCTCCACCTCCCAGGTTCAAGCAGTTCTCCTGCCTCAGCCTCCTTCCTGAGTAGCTGGGATTACAGGCACCCACCACCACACCCAGCCTTTTTTTTTTTTTAATTTTTTTAAAATTTTTTATTTTTTATTTTATTTTATTTTTAGTTGAGAAGTGGTTTCACCATGTTGGCCAGGCTGGTCTTGAACTCCTGACCTCAGGTGATCCACCCGCCTTGGCCTCCCAAAGTGCTGGGATTACAGGCGTGAGCCACCGAGCCCAGCCCAACTCCACATTTTCTCTGTGGTAATACCCAACCCTTCCTCCTTCAACGGGGACTCACGAAGTGAACCTTTTCCTTTAGTTCTAAATTCCTGACCACACCGGACCCTGGCTTCTATCCGTTGCAGGCAACCACCTCCTCCTAGAGCTCAAGGAGAATCAGCGGGAGAGGAGTGACGGGCCCAGAAATGCGGAAAAGGACCACACCGCCCCCTGGCGGCCACAGCGCAAGCCCGGTCTCTCCTCCTGCTGGAAGGACACCGGGGACCGCACCTCCAGCTGTGGGAGTTCCGAGAGACCCCGCCCTGCCCGCTCCTCCCTGGAGGCCGCCTCCACAGCCCCCCGTGGCGTCCTCGGGGATGGATCTCCTCCTACTTGTTTCCGCAGTGCGCGGCCGTCAGCACCCAACTCTGGTCCACCAGGACACCCGCGCAGTGGAACGAGAGGCCGTTGAAGAGCGAGACCTGCCAGGGCTGCGAGCCGCGCGCGCACGGGGAGCCATAGGCTTCGGGGTCCAAGCGCGTGTCGTTTTGGGGGAGCAGCGCCGCCTCTGCGGCTGGAGAAAGAAAGGGGACGGAATCAAAGCACGGAGGGCAGGGTCTGGGTTTGGGGTTGGAGCTGGGCTGTGGCACTGGACTGCGTTCGGGGACGGGGGACGCAGCCAGAACGCGAGGGTGGTAGGGAAATATTGGGGGTTTCGCGTGCACCGAAGGGAATGGGAGGAGAAGAAGCGCGTGAAAGTGGAAGGAAGCTGGGATAGGGTAGCGTGGAGTAATGAGACAGAATAGGGTGGGTCTGGAGGGCAGGGACTGAACGCAGCGCGCCTGGAGAGCTGGCTAGAACGTCGCTGGTCGATAGAGGGGCGGGGATTGAACGCGGCGGGGAGGTAAGGGTGCGGGGATAGAACTCGGGGATCGGGGAGAGGAAGGGGTGTGAATAACAAAACGGGATTGAAAACCAGGAGAGGGGTGGGGCGCAGTGGTTTACGCCTGTAATCCCAGCACTTTGGGAAGCCGAGGCGGTTGGACCGCTTGAGCTCGGGAATTCAAGACCAGCCCGGGCAACACAGCAAGACCCAGTCTCTACAAAAACAAACAAACAACAACAACAACAACAAAAAAGTAGTCGCGGAGGCATGCGCCTGTAGTCACAGCTACCTGGGAGGCTGAGGTGGGAGGATCGCTTGAGCCCAGGAGGTGGAGGTTGCAATGAGCCGAGATTGGGCCACTGCACTCCAGTCTGGGCGACAGAGTGAGACCCTGTCTCAAAAAAAAAAAAAAAAAAAAAAAAAGCCGGATGTGGTGGTGCATGCCTGTGGTACCAGCTACTCTGGAGGCTGAGTATCGCTTGAGCCCAGGAGGTCGAGGCTGCAGTGAGCTCTGATTGGGCCACTGTACTCCAGCCACGGAGACAGAGCACTGCCCTGTCTCAAAAAAAAAAAAAAAAAAAAAAGAAGGAAAGAAAAAGAGAGAGAAAGAAAAAAACAAGAAAGAAAGAAGAAAAAATAAGAGAGAAAGTAAAACAAGAAAGAAGAAACAAACGAAAGGAAGGAAGGAAAGGAAGGAAGGAAAAGAAGAACGAAAGAAAGAAAAGAAAGAAAGAAAAAGAAAAAAGAGAGAGAAAGGGAAAGAGGAAGAAAAAAAGTGAGGGGAGAGGGCAAAAAGCGGTAAGGCAAGACTCAGGATAAAACACGGTGGTGTGGCCGGGAGCGGTGGCTCACGCTTGTAATCCCAGCACTTTGGGAGGCCGAGGCAGGCGGATCACGAGGCCAGGAGATCGAGACCACGGTGAAATCCCATCTCTACTAAAAATACAAAAAACTAGCCGGGCTTGGTGGCGGGCGCCTGTAGTCCCAGCTACTCGGGAGGCTGAGGCAGGAGAATGGTGTGAACCCGGGAGGCGGAGCTTGCAGTGAGCCGAGATCGCGTCACTGCACTCCAGCCTGGGCGACAGAGCGAGACTCCGTCTCAAACAAACAAACAAACAAAACAAAACACGGTAGTGTAAAATGGAGCGGGGCCGGGATGGGGCGGCGTAAGAGGAGGAGAAAGAACGCGGCGAAGAGTCCACGGAAGAGCGAGGATCCGGGTGGCAGAAATCGGACAGGGCCTGAGTGGGGCGGGTCACCCAGGGGCCGAGCCAGAAGAAGGGCCCAGCTGACTTGGGGGCGGGCCGTGCTCCGGAGCGCTGGGTGGGTGCTGGGGTCTCGGGGGAGGAGAGGTGCGCGGGGCTTGGTGACGGGAACACATTCTCCTCCCGCCCGTGCCTCCCACCGGCGCCTCTCCCCGCCCCCTGCCCCCGACCTTACCCCAGAGTTGCGCCATCAGCAGCGGCAGCAGCTTCGCCAGAGCCCGGGCGCCAGAGGCGGCGGAGAGGTGGAGGTGCGGAGCTCTCATGGCCAGGATCTGCTGGGGTGTGTGCAGGGGCGGGTTAAAACAGATGCTCCGTTAGAGACCCCCACCTCGCCGCGCTCATCCGCCCAGCCTGGGCCACCCCAGCCCGCAAGCACCCTTTTGACCTGCAGCCGATAACCCCAGGGGCTGGCAGACGGGAGATTCGGGCTGGAACAGCGGTAATGGGCACAATTACCCTAATGACGCCCCTCGCGGCATCTTCCCGTCCTCCCTGTGCCCGAGTGGAGCGCTCTCCGCGCCCCAGCTACCCTGGCTGCAGCCACGCCGCGCCCGAGGTTTCCCCCTCCTTCACGCGCGGGGTGGGGATCCGAGGCTCGGAGCCAGTGGGAGCCTCTTTCTCAACCTCACAGCGGGGGGACTTCCGCGTCCCGCAGGTGGAGAAACCGAGGCTCTAAGCCGGCTCCTGCCTGTGGCCCGGGGGTCCCCACCCATCCTCTCGCAATCCACCCCAACCCGGGTGGGGTGCAGGTAGCTTCACCTGGGAGTCGCCGATAGGAAGGAGGGAGGGGACCCAGACGTGCCTCTGCCCTGCCTGTGGTCTGCCGCTGGTATCCTCTGCCCAGGGACCCCTGGCGGGACCTTCCCTTTTAACCCCAAGGAGTCCGGAAGCTTCTCCACCCTCCCCTACCCCCACCCCCGGGCTCCCTCCCTTTCCCTCTGTCTAATTGTACCGTGGGTGAGGCTGGCACTCCTGGGTCCCAGATTCCTGCTCTGGGAGGGGCCCTGGAATACAGGCTTCTCCCAGTGCCCGAAACGCCCCCTTTTCATCCCTTTTGGAACTGGCTTCCGTGGGGATTCTCCGGGTCCCGGTGCCAAGAAGGCTTCCCAGGCGCGGGGAGAGGGTTCACGTCCCCAGCAAGGCTAGGGGTGGCAGGATGAGAGGCCACTGAGCAAGAGGAAATCAATGGGAAGTGCATACCTAGAGTGACAATGTGAGAAGCCAGACTGTGGAAGAGGAAGGAGGAAGGCCTAGAGATAAAGCAGGTTGAGTAGGAGGGACAGAGGCTGGCTTGAAAAGGGAGATTGTAACAAACCAAGGCTAAAAGAGCCAGAGAGAGAGAGAGAGAGAGAGAGAGAGAGAGAGAGAGGGAGGGAGGGAGGCGCCGAGGCTAAGAGAAACAGAAACAAGGAAAAAGGGAAACCCACGCCCACTCTGTGGCCGTGAGTGAGCTCTGTGTGTGTCCCAGTGACTAGCCCATGTGCGTGTTGGGGGGGGCTGTGGCTCTGCCTCATACCCATGTGTGGCCATCTCACACCCTCCCTGCCATCTGTGTGCCACCAGGTGACACACAGGCCCCTGAATCATAGGAGGTCAAAGCTGTGAGGGGCATCGGCATCACCTCAGCCAACTCCCTCATCTCAGGTGAGGAGTGAGAGGCTCAGAGAGGGCAGAGACTCACAGGAGGTCACACAGCAAGTCCACTTGACAACCAGAAGGCCCTGGTTCCACTCTGGGCTCCTATTGCTCATGCCAGCCACTTCTGCGAGGTGAACAGACCATCCCAAAAGATCCTGAGCTGGCCGGGCGCGGTGGCTCACGCCTGTAATCCCAGCACTTTGGGAGGCCAAGGGGGGGCGGATCACGAGGTCAGGAGTTCGAGACCAGCCTGGCCAACATAGTGAAACCCCATCTCTACTAAAAAGACACAAAAATTAGCTGGGGATGTTGGCACAGGCCTGTAGTCCCAGCTACTAGGGAGGCTGAGGCAGGAGAATTGCTTGAACCTGGGAGGCAGAAGTTGCAGTGAGCCGAGATCACGCCACTGCACTCCAGCCTGGGTGACAGAGCAAGACTCTGTCGCAAAGAAAAAAAAAAAAAAAGATCCTGAGTTCTGGATTCTCTCCGTGGGACATCCTCTTCAGAGGCCATCTAACTCAGTGCTGCTCAGCTGAACTTTCTGCAGTGATGTTTTATATGCACTAGCTAATCCAGCCACCACCAGTCACATGTGGCTATCCAGCCTTGGAGATATAACAAGTGAGACAGAGGAGTTACATTTCTGGCTTTATGTAATTTTAATTGGAAGAGCCAGCTGCGGTTAGTGGCTACCATATTGGCCAGCAGAGGTCTCCACTATCTAATTACCTATCATGGAAGTTGGAGAAAAACAATAAGCTCCTTTGGTTAGGTCTTAGTATGTGCAGGCTAACTGACTTCTTTACTTACTGTGTTATACTTTTGCATGCAGCATTTTACAGGAAAGGAAACAAACAGAGCCTTACTCCAGGAACATCACTTGGTAATTAAGAGATCGCCTTGCTTCAGATCCTTGCTCTCCTAGCCACGTGACTGTGAGCAAGTGACTTTGCTTCTCTGTGTCTGTTTCTTCAACTATAAAATAGGTATGAAAACAGTACCGACCTCACAGGGTTTTGTGAGGATTAAGTTGATACATTTGAAAGTGCTTGGAGGCCAGGCACAGCGACTCATGCCTGTAATCTCACCACTTTTGGAGGCTGAGGAGGACAGACTGCTTGAGCCCAGGAGTTTGAGACTAGCCGGGGCAACATACTGAGACCTCTGTCTCTACGAAAAATACAAAAATTAGCTGGGCTTCGTGGCATGTGCCTGTAGTCCCAGCTACTCTGGAGGCTGAGGGAGGACAATCACTTGACCCCAGGAAATTGAGATTGCCGTGAGCTGTGATTGTTACTGCACTCCAGCCTGGGCAACAGAGCAAGACTGTCTCCTAAATAGATTAATTAATTTAATTTCTTTTAATTAATAAATGAAAGCCGGGCGGGCGCGGTGGCTCACGTCTGTAATCCCAGGAGTTTGGGAGGCCAAGGAGGGCAGATCATCTGAGGTCAGGAGTTCGAGACCAGCCTGGCCAACATGGTGAAGCCCCATCTCTACTAAAAAATACAAAAATTAGCCGGATGTGGTGGTAGGCACCTGTAATCCCAGCTATTCAGGAGGCTGAGGCAGGAGAATTGCTTGAACCCAGGAGGTGGAGGTTGCAGTGAGCAGAGATAGCACCACTGTACTCCAGCCTGGGTGACAGAGCGAGACTCTGTCAAAAAATAAAATAAAATAAAAGCCATTGGATCAGGGTCTAGCACATAGTAAGCACTCAGTAGATTCACTCATTTAGCAAATATTTATTGAAACCTTGATATATGGCCAGGAGCTGTCTTTGGGGCTGGGGATACAACAGAGAACAAACCAGGTGTTGTCATTCCCAGAGTCACAATATTTCAAGGCAGAATTTGAATCCAGGTCTCACTGATTTCGAACCCCAGGTTGATTATTAAGTGACAGCATCTCCTGTAGTCCAGGAGGCCCAAAGAATGTTCGTAGAGGGTCTTGGCTTAGGGTTTCTTATTAACAGAGTGAACAGGAACCAAACACCAAGTGGAAATGGAGGGTGATGGGCTGTGGTGGGTGGGTCCAGTCTAATTGTTCTTCATCGTCTCCTGGATCCAGTCCACATATTTGCAGACTTTCGTGTAGACACCAGGCTTTCGGGTGATCGCACACGGATCCTGGCCCCAGGAGATAATGCCTTGAAGAGACTGGTTACAGACCAGAGGGCCCCCGGAGTCACCCTGGGCACGGGGAGAGAGAATGTCGGTCAGAGAAAGCGTTGAGCATGGTGTTAGCCAGGGAGGAGGTGGGGACGGTGCTTAGGAGTGGGGCCGAGACAGGATGGGTAGGCACTGGGAAAGGTGATAGGTTTAGCGATAAAGCTGGGATTATGGGTGGGATAAAGGATGGGGTTAGGCTCAAAAACGAGTTTGGGGATGGTTGGAGCTGGAAATGGTGTGGAAACGGGGATGGAGCTGAAGTTTGTGCTGAGGTCAGAAACGGGAACAGGGGAAGAGATGGATTGGGAGTTGCAGGGGTCGGCGGGTTGAGGTTGGGGATGAAATTGTGGATGTCGGTAAAGATGTCATTGAAGCTGGGGATGGGGATGGGGCTGTGGTTGGAGACCACACTGACCTGGCAGGAGTCCTTGCCCCCTTCCTGCACGCTGGCACACACCATGGTGTCTGTGATGTTGCCGGGGTAGGCGTTCTCACACTTCTGGTGCTCAATGATGGTGATGTTGGCGCATCGCAAGGTGTGAGGCAGGCGTACTGTGGAAACAGCGTGAGGGGCTGTGGGAATGAGCCCCCTGCCACCTCCCCTAATGCAGTGCTTGCTGTGATCCCGCCCCTGGGGGAATCCCTGTCCTTAGACGCAGCCAACTCACCTCTCTTCTTGTAACAATAGCAACAGCAATGCTATCCAGCTTTTTTTTTTTTTTTTTCGAGACAGAGTCTTGCTCTGTTGCCCAGGCTGGAGTGCAGTGGCGTGATCTTGGCTCACTGCAACCTCCGTCTCCCAAGTTTAAGCGATTCTCCTGCCTCAACCTCCCGAGTAGCTGGGATTACAGGCGCACACAACCACGCCCAACTAATTTTCACATTTTTAGTAGAGATGGGATTTCACCACGTTGGCCAGGCTGGTATCAAAGTCCTGACCTCAGGTGATCTTCCCACCTCGGCCTCCCAAAGTGCTGGGATTACAGGCGTGAGCCACGGTGCCCAGCCTGCTATCCAATAAATGATTTATGTCAGTTGCTTGATATACATTATCTCTAATCCAATCCTGACAGGTGGGTATAATCATTCTCATTTTATAGAGAAGAAAATCAAGATTCAGAGAGGTGAAGCTGCTTGCCTAAGGTCTTACAACCAGGAGGTTATGGATGTATGATTGCATATCCCGTCCGTCTGACTCCAAGGCCCCAACTTTTGTCCCCACCCCCCTATCCTGACGTTTTCCACACATCCTCTCAACTTATCCCACATCGTCACTGTGAACCGCATCTCTGATGCCCTGAACCCTTCCACAATCCTGACCACTCCCTCCTCACCACCCCCTGCCAGGTTCCCCTCTGGTGCTCCTACACTGGGGGCTGGACGTGCTGCCCCAGCCGGAAATGAGGCAGCTGGTGCCAGCAGTGACACAGCGTGAGGAGAGGGTGAGGGGTCGCACAGCCCAGGTGATGGAGACTGGCGATGCCATCTTCACCAGCATGATGTCATTGCGGTGGTCTTTGTTGGGGAGGCTGTTGTTGAAGCCGGGGTGGGGGAAGGACTCAGTGGCTGTCCGGGTCTGCTCACAGCCCTCCTCCTTCTGGAGGTTGTGCTGCCCCAGGTGAACTATGTAGCGGCTGAGGTGGGAGAGACAGTAGTTGGAGGAGGAAAGGTCGGGGGAGACATGGGTGGGAGAGGTGAGTGACACCTTTGAGGATGAAGAAACATCGCTCTGCTTCCAACCTCTTCCACGTCTCCCACCGAAGCCCCCTTCCCAGCCATAGCCCCATCCCAACCCCATTCATCCCCCCACCTTCAATACCAACTCGAGCCCATCAACCTTGCTGACACTACCCATCCCCATCTCTAATCCCCTTACCAGCACCCCTATCCCTGAGCTTCTCTCCATCCATCTCCCCATTCCCAGCCCCCCACCCCGGCACCGCCCCAGCCCCCGCACCCACGGCTTGAGGCAGTGGGCTGCTGTCAGGAGCCATCTGGGGGCGATGAGCGTCGCCCCACAGAGTAGCCGCGTCTTCTCGAACAGGGCTGCCTGCCAGGGCTGGGAGTGAGGCTTGCACTCGAACCCCTTGATGATCCTGGTCTCTCCCCCTACAAGCCCTGGAGGGGGTGAGAGCAAAAGAAGGGGCTCAGGAAGGAGAGGTGGTAGACCAGGAGGACTCCCAGAAATGGGGGTGGGGAGGAGAGAAAGAGAGTGGGTGGTCTGGGCCCTGGTCTGGTGTCCCTCTGGGTTGCCCTGGATGCTGGGGTCGGGTATTAAAGGATGAAAATACTTCCATAAGGTCAAATGCAGTGGCTCATGCCTGTAATCCCAGCACTTTGAGAGGCTAAGGTGGGAGGATTACTTGAGCCCAGGAGTTCTAGATCAGCCTAGGCAAACATAGTGAGACCTCCTCCCCCATCTCTACAAACAATTAAACAATTAGCCTGGCTTGGTGGCAGGTGCCTGTGGTCCCAGCTACCGGGGAAGCTGAGATGGCTTAAGGATCACTTAAGCCCGGGAAGTCAAGACTGCAGTGAGCCGTGTTGGCACCACGGCACTCCAGCCTGGACAATAGAGCAAGACTTTGTCTCTGGGAAAAAAAAAAAAGGAAATACTTCCATACTGGTTGGTCAGTAGCCCCTGTCCTGGGCGCTTTGAGTGACTGCTCCCCCAACTCCAGCTTCCTCAGCCCCTCCACGGGACCCTTTACGACCCCCTTGACCTCTCCTCCTTTGGCATTTAAAGGGATTATCTAGAAGGGCATCCAGGCCCTCATGACCACTGCTCCAGTTCAGGTGCCTTATGGGTTGTTCTGTAATTTGGAATCAGCCCTGTCACTGTCCAGACACAGAGGGTTAGGGGATCCCAGAGATTCAAGAGGGAGGATCCTGCCCTGCCCCCATCCCCTGCGTACCTGTTGCCAGAGCAAGCAGGATTAACTGCAGAATCCTCATGGCCTGGAGGGGGGAGGAGCGGGCCCCAGGTTCCTCTGGGAACAAGGAGGGACATGGGGCCGCATCACTTTACGGGGAAATCGGGAGGGGGGGGCTGGCTCATGCCCTCTCCTCTCTCCCTCACCTGCTCCCGCTCCCCACTTGGGAGAAACAAGGTTGGGGAAATCCCCTGTTTCTCACAGCACTCAGATCTCCAAACACTTAAAATATATCTTAGGTGTCTAGGGTGGCCTTGGAGAGGGCCTGGTCACAGCTAGAAGCTTCCGAGATACCAAGAACCATGTGGAAGTCGTTGGGAGGGGCTTTGAGCTGTCAAGCCATGGTTCGGCCCTGTTCAAGTCAGCCATGGGACCTCCCCGGCACATGTCAGAGGATGTTTTCCTTCTTGCCTTGAGAGCTGGCCAGGCCCCAGCAGCTTGGGGTGGAAGGACAAGGGGAACCAGACACCGTTCCGTAGCCACCCCTTTTTCATTGTCTTCGCAGCAGAGCGATATGGAGCCTTTGAGGTCTGCTGGAGGGGAGTAGGGGGCTCAGCCCCAGACAATGTCTGGGACCCCCATCACCCGGCTTGCTGAAGCCCTGTCCGCCAAACCCCTGCCCTTTTGAAGGACAGCCAAGCAAAGCTGGGCGGGGCTGGTCGAGGGGAGGGCCAGTGCCCTCCGCTGCCCTGGCCAGCGGGGGTGGGAGCAGAGGGCCAGCTCAGCAGCTGAAGCCATGGAGATTAGAGGTAACTGAGGCTGCGGACAGCCATCGGAGGTGAGAGGTGTAGAGAGAGGCCAGGAACCCCCACCCAAGCAGAGAAGGACAGAGCAGAGGGAGAAATGGGTGCCCGAGTGGGACAGGTGTCCTTGGGGAGGGCTGACACCTGGACGGGGAGGGGCAGCTTCCCTTTCCTCCTGGACTCACAGGCTCTGGGGCTGGGGCTCTGGGGGCCCAGTGGCGGCGGAGACGGCAGTGGCGGCAGCTACAGCAGGTAGGCTGGGTTGGAGCGCCAGGTGCCAGGCACCAGGCAGGCGGGCTGGCAGGGGGGCGGCCCTGGGCGGGCCCAGGATGACTGGCCTCCAAGCCCTGCCTTAATGCCCCGGGGCGGGGTGTGTGTGAGGGCCCTCCCCGGAGGCCTCTGAGGCACTGGCTGCCTGCCTGTGCCACCTCTCCAAGCCCCTCTTCTCCCTGTGTCTCAGCCTCCCTCTGTCTGTCTGTCTGTCTGCAGCCTTCCTTTCCCTGCCCTGAGTCTCTGAATCTGTGTCTCGTTCTATGTGTCATTCCCTGTCATTCAGTAATTCTGACTTTGTGTGATTTTTCTCTTTCTGTCCCTATGTGTCTGTCTGCCTTTCTCTGTCCTCGTCCCTGTCTCCATCTCCACTCTTCTCTCTCTGTCTGGCTCTGTGTGGCCCTTTCTCTAATTCCTTCTATCTTTGTGTCTCTCAGTCAGTCTCTCTGACTGCATCTCTGGCAATTTGTCTTGAAATCCCTCTTCTTCCATCTAATCTCCGTCTCTCTTTTTCCTCCCGTCCCAGCCACTCCCTCTCCACAGCCCCAGCCCAGGTGGGCCCCTGGCCTCCCCTAGGCCGCTCCCTTCTCCTTTGCAAGGAGAGGGGGGGTGTGCTGGGATGTCACACAGGTGGGGCTGCTGCCAGGCACAGGGGCAGGACCGGAGGGTGGGGGAGGCAGGTCAGGGCCTGTGGAAGCCGAGTCCAGGAAAGGGAACAGAGCCCTTGGCTGTGCTCCACCCCAGGGCTCCTCTGGGGCCTCGCTCCTCTGCTGACCCTTCCCCTGCCCGCTTCTCCCTGCCGCCCAGGCAGCCCGAGTCCAGCTGTTCACTTACTGGCTGCTGTGAGACCTCTGCCCGATGACTTCCAGTCCCGCAGCCACCTCAACCTCTGCATCTGCGGAACCCGAGCGCAGATTCCTGCTTCTCCCAGCTTGTTTGTTTTCAGTTAGGTCCCTTCCCTTGGCTTTCCTCCCCTCTCTCCCCTGACCAGGTGTGGAGCAAGGCAGGGGAGGGCCTAGGTTCTGACAGCAGCCAGCCCTGGCCTCAAACCTAGGTGCTTCCTCTTCCTACTACTATGACTACCCTTATGACGTGGGGACAAGGGACTCCACCCCTGCAAGGCTCAGTTTCTTCATCTGAGAGATGGGGGTGACAGACCTGCTTGCAGGGGAGGTTGGGATCAGGCTTCCAGGAGGGTCCACTTGGAAAGAGCAGACTGCGGGGGGGCTCAGCAAATGTGCCTCCGCTGGTATGATCACCCCTCACTCCCTCCCTCCTCCAGTTTCCCTTCAGTGCATTTGGGGAGATGGTCTCTCCTCACCTCTTGAGTCCCAGTGGAGACAGAATCCAAGGGGTGGGCAGGAGGATTAAAGACGTAGGCTGAGCTCTCCTGCTTTCCAAGCCTGCACTCCACCCTTCGTCTTATTAGAACAAAGCCACGTCCCACATTAAAGATACAATGTATGCTTCATTACAAGAAAGTAAACTGCAGTTGGCTAGTGGAAAGAATGCTACGTTTTATGGACATTGGATTAAATGGTCATAAATGTTGACTTTGCAGCTTTCATCTGGTATTTTGGAGCTAACAATTTTCTTTTTCTTTTTCGGGTCTTTTGTGGACTCTTGAAAAGCTTATAAGCTCTGGGCACTATTTCTATTATGCCAGATGAAGAAACATGTGTCTTATTTATATTGCTGGGTTTTTGTTTTTGAGACAAGGTCTCACTTTATTGCCCAGGCTGGAGTGCAGTGGCATGATCTCGGCTCTTTGCAGCCTCCACCTCCCCGGCTCGGGTGATCCTCCCACCTCAGCTTCCCAAGTAGCTGGGACTACAGGCACGCACCACCACACCCAGCTAATTTTTTGTGTTTTTGTAGTGACAAGATTTCACTGTGTTGCCAGGCTGATCTCGAAATCTGAGCTCAAGCCATCCTCCCACCTCGGCCTCCCAAAGTGCTGGGATTACAGGCGTGGGCCACTGCACCCGGCCTATATTATTAAAAGTAACTTTTTCTACTCCATTTCTGAGTAACTACTCAGGGAAGACCCTCATCCTATTTGAGCACTGGGTTTTTTGTTTGTTTGTTTTTGAGATGGAGTCTCGCTCTGTCGCCCAGGCTGGAGTGTAATGGTTCAATCTCGGCTCGCTGCAGCCTCTGCCTCACGGGTTCATGCTATTCTCCTGTCTCAGCCTCCTGAGTAGCTGGGATTACAGGCATGCGCCACCATGCCTGGCTAATTTTTGCATTTTTAGTAGAGTTGGGGTTTCACTATGTTGACCAGGCTGGTCCCGAGTTCCTGACCTCAGGTGATCCACCTGCCTCAGCTTCCCAAAGTGATGGGATTACAGGTGTGAGCCACTGTGCCTGGCCTTATTTGAGCTCTGTTTCTACTCCTATGAGATAGGGAAACTGCTGAGTCCTTCTTCCAGTCTCAACCAGCATGAGGACTTCAAATGGACAGACATGGCCCCTCCTTCATTTATATTTATTCCAGACTATTGCACACTTCTCTCACCCCGCTCGTGGGTCTTAGAAGGGCTGGCAGGAGTTAAAGTTCCAAGAAGTTCCCAGGCCAACAAGAGTGGAGCTAGGGGAAGTGATGGAGGAGATATTGGTGCTCTGAGGGCCAGAGGGGTACCCAAGTTAAGGGGTGGGGGTGGAGGTGGAGGAAACAGGTCAGTTGTTCCTCATGATCATCCGGATCCAGTCCACATACTTGCAAATATAGGTGTAGACTCCAGGGATGCCATCTTGTCCACAGGGCCCCACAGACCCCCAGGACACCAGACCTTGAAGGACTCCCCCACACACCAGGGGGCCCCCAGAATCACCCTGGAAGGGAAGAGAAGTACTGTCTGAACAAGGGAGACATCTTATTTCTGTTTTCCTCCCCAACCCTTCAACCCAGTCCTGGGCCTTGGGGAGGGCTCCAAGTCTGGTCATTAGACAAAAGAGTATAATCACTTTCCCGGAGGACAATGGCAATGGCTAACCAAAAGAGAAGAACCACTGTCTCTAGGGGCCAATCCCAGGGAAGAAGGGTGGAACTCCATAAAGGACAGAGGTTCTCTCAAGGACAATGGCTGGGGCCCTGACCAATGAGGAGAGAGAGCACAGTCATTAATGACCAATCTCAGGGGAGGCTGTCAAGACAACATAAAGAGTCGAGCATTCTCTCAAGGACAATGGCTGGGGCCCTGACCAATGAGGAGAGAGAACACTATTATCAATGACCAATCCCAGGGGAGGAGGGTGGGACTCCATAAAGGATAGAGGTTCTCTCAAGGACAATGCCTGGGGTTCTGACCAATGAGGGGAGAGAGTGCCATCAAAAATGACCAATCCCAGGGAAGGTGGGCAGGACTCCATCAAAAGCACAGAGTTCTCTCAAGGACAATGGCTGGGGCCCTGACCAATGAGGGGAGAGACCGCCATCCTCAAATCTCTCTCAGTCTGGGACAGCACCAACTGGAGGATGGTATGGGAAAGACTTAGAGCCCCAGAAACAGCTGGTTCCCTGTCTGGGCTCCCAGTCCTCTCCGTCTGTTTTGCTGTCTCTCTCTGTAACCCCTGCCCCATCTTTCCTTCTCTGTTCCCTTCCTCCCTCTCTCTCCCTGCCCCTCCCCCTCCTCCATTCCCCGGTCCTCCCTTTTACTCCCTGTCTCTCTCCCTCCCTTATCCTGGGCCTCTCCTCCATTATTATTATTATTATTATTATTATTATTATTAATTATTTTGTTTTGAGACAGAGTCTGGCTCTGTCGCCCAGGCTGGAGTGCAGTGGCGTGATCTCAGCTCACTGCAACCTCCGCCTCCCGGGATCAAGCGATTCTCCTGCCTCAGCCTTCCAAGTAGCTGGGGCCACAGGCTTGCACCACCACCCCCGGCTAATTCTGGTATTTTTAGTAGATTCAGAGTCTCACCGTGTTGGCCAGGCTTGTCTTGAACTCCTGACCTCAAGTGATCCGCCCGCCTCGGCCTCCCAAAGTGCTGGGATTACAGGTGTGAGCCTCCGTAACCAGCCTCTCCCTTCCTTTTTGACCCCGTCTCTCTGCAGCATCCCCTTTCCCTGATTCATCCTCCATCAGTTCCCCTCCTGCTTCCAGCCCCTCCCCTTCACTTCCTGTCCTGGTGACCACGCACGCTGCCTGCACTGGCTCACCTGGCAGGCATCCTGCCCCGGGACGCCGCCTGCACACACCATGTTGCTCGTGATTCTCCCGGGATACACACCATGGCAGGTGGCATGGGAGACGATGGAGAGGTTGAGGCACTGGAGCAGATCCGGGAATGGGTCTGGAGAGAGAACATGCGTGCTGCAGGGTCCCCTAAATCTCCCCACTTTGAGGCCACGTCCCTCTTCCCTGGATGTGGCCCATCCATGTCAATACCCCTGCCCCTCACCGACCTGTACTACAATCCCGAAACCTCCAAGTTACATATTTATGACTTAATTTCATATGAATCATGACCCCAGATGATTGACGGTCTCTTTGATCTTTGACATTTGACTTTGAGTGGCATAACTCAAGAACTTTCTTGTCTCTCCAGCGTCAGAGACAACGAATCCAGACCTGACCCTCTTCAATGCCAGCTACTGTGATCTTTGACCTTCTGTCTTATTACCTTATGATCCCAGCTTGATCTCATATCTTCTGTCTCCTGACCCCATGTCCCTGTCTTTACCTTAACCTCCAACCTCAGCTCTGCATCTTCCAAACCTCACTGCTTCCAACGCCAGTGTCCCCTGATCCTAGTTTATTGGGCCCCAGCCTCCATGACCCCAAACTTCGGGCCCCACACCCCAAACGCTATGACCTCCAATCTCAGATATGTGATTTTGGATAGAATCCCAATTTCCATCCTCAGATTTTGACCAGATTGTACAACCTCTGGATCCCATGACCTTAATTCTACGGTGACCTCTAACCCCAGACCCATGACCCACAATGCCCATATCCTATACATACATATATATATATATATGCCTTTTGCTCCAGTGTGATGACCTCTGACACACTCTGACCTCTGACCTCTGATCCCTGACTTCATACCCAGTCCTTTAACCCCTTTGGCTCCCAAGACCCCAATCCACCATAATCTCTGACCCCAAACCATGATCCTGATGTCCCATCCCACACCCTGACCCTTTACCCATCCTTCCTCTGAGGTGTCATGATTCGACCTCTCGCCCTGCATCCCAGACTTGTACCCATCCTGACCCCTGACCCCTGGCCCTGGGCCCCTTACTCCGTGGGTGGTTGGTGATGCCCCAGCCTGAGACGTGGCACTCGGTGCCAGCGGTTGCACAGTCATTGGGCAGGGGCAGGGGTTGAACGCTGCTGGTTACGCGGACGGGCAGGCGCAGCCGCAGCAGCCGGAGGTCGTGCTCGTGGCTCGTCGAGGCTCCCAGGTAGCCGGGATGGGTCACAGAGAAGCCGCTGTGCCGGATCTGCTCGGTCCAGTCGAGCTGGCTGAGGCTGTGTTCCCCCAGGCGCACCCAGTACCTGCTGCCGGTGGCGACGGCTGAGCGGGTGGCAGGCACGCAGTCCCCCACCTTGCACCCCTCCACGGACACTCAGGCGCTCCTGCCGCTCCCCACTGTTCTGCCCCTCACTGTCTGTCCTCTCACCCGCAACTCTCATTCTCCGAGTCTCTCTTACAGGCTCTTATTCCCAACCTCCATCACCCTCTTTCCATCTTGGGTGTTCCCTGTTTCTCCTACCATGTCCCTGCATCTGTGTCTCTCTCTCTCCTTTTTTTTTTTTTTTTTTTTTTCAAGACCGAGTCTCGCTCTGTCGCCCAGGCTGGAGTGCAGTGGCACCATCTTGGCTCACTACAACCTCCACCTCCCAGGTTCAAGCAATTCACCTGCCTCAGCCTCCCAAGTAGCTGGGATTACAGAAGCATGCCACCATGCCCAGCTAATTTTTGTATTTTTAGTAGAGATAAGGTTTCACCATGTGTGTCAGGCTGGTCTCAAACTCCTGACCTCAAGTGATCCGCCCGCCTCGGCCTCCCAAAGTGCTGGGATTACAGGTGTGAGCCACCGCGCCAGGCCTCTCTTTCTGATTCTCTCGGCTGGTGAAGCCCATGAAGGCAGGGACATCAGTGGACCTTGTTCACTGCCTTATTCCCACCGCCTGGCACGGAGCATGTGCCCTCCATGCTCATGCGTGGACGAGTGGGTTCATGATTGAACGAGTGGGTTGATGAATGGCCTCTCTGCATCCTGCTGCTGGCCCTCTCTCTCCCTGAGTCTCTGTTTCTTTGCATCTGATCTCCCCTTTCACAAAAAAAGTTCCAGGCCAGGCACAGTGGCTCATGCCTGTAATCCCAGCACTTTGGGAGGTCAAGGCAGGAAGATTGCTTGAGCTGAGGAGTTTGAGACCAGCCTGGGTAACATAGCAAAACCCTGTCTCTACAAAAAAAATTTAAAAATTAGCCAGGTGTGGTGGCGCAGGCCTGTAGTCTTAGCTCCTTGGGAGGCTGAGGTGTGAGGATCACTTGAGCCCAGGTGGTTGAGGCTGTAGTGAGCCAAGATAGCATCACTGCACTCCAGCTTGGATGACAGAAAGAGCAAGACTCTGTCTCCAAAAAAAAAAAAAAAGAAAGAAAAAGAAAAAAATTCCAGAACATCAGTCTACTGAGGCCCAGAGAGGTGCCAGGCATAGATTCTGAAGTTGCACAAAGAGTTTGGGTCATGTTGGCCGGGTGCAGTGGCTCACACCTGTAATCCCAGCACTTTGGGAGGCCAAGACGGGCAGGTCATTTGAGGCCAGGAGTTCGAGACCAGCCTGGCCAACATGGCAAAACCCTGTCTCTACAAAAAATACAAAAATTAGCTGGGCATGGTGGCGGGTGCCTGTAATCCCAGCTACTCAGGAGGCTGGGGCAGGAGAATCACTTGAACCTGGGAGGCAGAGACAGCAGTGAGCTGTGATCACGCCATTGCACAGCAGCCTGGGCGACAGAGCGAGACCCTGTCTCAAAAAAATAAAAAAAAGAAAAAGAAAAAGAGCTTGGGTGAGACCTGGGCCCCGGGCCCAGACTGGGTCAAGGAATGGCTGGGGTGAGTGGCAGATGTCATATAGGAAAGAAAGGGTACATGCAGGAATGGGAGAGGCAGGAGGGCAGGTTCCAGGACCCTCCCCGGCCCTCCACCCAACATACCTCACCCTGCCCAGCACCACCCCAGGCCCACTGCTAAGGAAGTTCCACTCCTGGTCTAACCTCAGACTCTCTTGTTGCAGGATCAGCTTCTTCCCAGTGGGCACCACCCTCCCTTGTGATCCTACCCCCAGCGCTTGCCTTCCCATAGTCCTCCCTTCGCCCACCCCAGGAAGGGACTTACCTGCCGCTGCAGTGAGCCGCTGTGAGGACCCACCTGTGGTCAATAAGGACACCCCCGCAGCGCAGGCTGGTGCCCTCAAACAGCCCCACCTGCCACGGCTGTGAGTTACGCCCACACTCAGTGCCATTGAAAATCTTCGGTGTGGCTGCCTGGCTGAGCCCTGGAGACAGACAGGGGCATGGGTCAGAGAGAGGAAGAAAAGATACAGAGATGGAGAGACACACAGAGTGAGAGAGAGAAACAGGCAGGAGAGAGAGAGGAGAAAGAGAGACGAGAAAGAGAGAGAAAGAGAGAGAGACCCAGTGATAGAAAAAGACCATGAAACATCAAAGACACCCAGGGAGAAAGATGCTTACACATAGGAGGGAAATGGAGAGACAGAGATTCAGAGAGGGACAGAAGGGAAGAGGGATCAAAAAATAGGGGAGACCGAGGTGAGCAGTACCCTGAGAGCTGCAGGTAAATGGAGGCACAGAGAAAGCCCCTCTCCTCCTCACCACCAGGCTGGGGGCCAGAGCTGAGATGGGGAGGGTGGTGGGGCCTCCTCATGGGGGTGAAGGGATCCAGTCGCAGTCCTGCCCTCTCCCTGCTCCGGGAGAACTCACCAAGAACACACAGGAGCAAAAAGATGCTGAGCCCCATGGTGGGTCACTTCCAAAGTCTGGGGGAAAAGGGGAATCTCAGAGGTCACCCTTTCCCTGTGCCCCCCACCTCTGCCCTCTCTGCTTCTCTTTGAAGGTCACCAAGGGGATGACCTGCTTGTCCTCTCTCTACCTGCTCCCCTGTGTGTCACTCCCTCATTGGCAGTCGCCTACCTCCTTCTCACCTTGTCTCTTTGTCTGCCAGATCCTCTACGTGGCTGTCACTGTTTGGCCTGTCCTCGTCGCTGCTATCTCTCCGTCCACCTACCTGCCTGTCTTCTCATGTGCTGGCCACTCCGCCAGCCAACTCTACCACTCTGCACCTGGCTCCTCAGCCACCTGTCATGTTGCTCAACCGGTCCCTTTCCTTCCATCTGTCGCTCCAGACAGACCACTGACAAAGCTCTTAACTCTCTTTGTCCTGGCCCATCCAGTTTCCGGGTTAAGGGAAGGGGACCACGAAGACAGGGGTGGGGCGTGCTCTAATTCTGCAGAAACTCTTCTCAGCTAATCACACTTAATTGAGCTTTACAGCTAAACGGAGTGGGGAAGGAGGAAAGGACCCAGGGTGGGAAGACCCAGCCCCACTCCCTCTCTCCTCTGCAAGCCCGTCAGCAGCCCCAGGACTGATGACTCAAGGTGACTAGGGAGCTGGGTTCTAATCCTGACTCCAGTGACAAAGGAGGGTGGGGAGACCTTGGACACCTGGGGCCCATCCCCATGCAGTGCAGGGGAGGGGCAGGGGGAAGGAGAGGCTGTGAAAGCAGGAGAGTGGACGGGAGGGGCAGGAAGCCCAAGCTAGAAAGAGTCCCAGAAAGAGAAGAAGAGTTGAAGGAACAGACTTCCAAATAGGTGATCAGGCAGGGGTAGAAGAGAGTTTCTGAACTGAGTTCATATATGTACATATGAAGTGGATCAATCTAATTCCATAAAGTTTTTCTTTGCTAAGAACTTCTATTGCTTAAATAAAACCCACAGAGAGAAAAAAAAAAGACACAGGGAAGGAGAAATGGTAGAAAGAGAGAGAGAGAATGAGTCACAGGACAAGGGAACTTTGTGCTGTTTTTTGTTTTTCGTTTTGAGATGGAGTCTCGCTCTGTCACCCAGGCTGGAGTGCAGGGCTGTGATCTCCGCTCACTGCAACCTCCACCTCTTGAGTACCTGGGATTACAGGCACGTGCCACCATGTCCGGCTAATTTTTGTATTTTTAGTAGAGACGGGGTTTCACCATGTGGGCCAGGCTGGTCTTGAACTCCTGGCCTCAAGCAACCTGCCTGCCTTGGCTTCCCAAAGTGCCGGGATTACAGGTGTGAGCCACCATACCTGGCCTCTGTGCTGGTTTATCTGAGTTTTTGCTTCATCTAGGAGGAATGGAAGGAGAGAAAGAAGGAGAGAGAGAGGGGACAGAGAGAGAAAATGAGAACAAAAAGGGAATTCGGCTCAGAGGAAGGGGGATTGAGAAACAAACCAAGAGAAAAGCAGTCAGGGCCAGGCGCGGTGGCTCACGCCTGTAATCCCAACACTTTGGGAGGCCGAGGCGGGCAAGTCACTTGACGCCAGGAGTTCAAGACCAGCCTGGTCAATATGGTGAAACCCCATCTCTACTAAAAATACAAAAATTAGCTGAGTGTGGTGGTGCATGCCTGTAATCCCAGCTGCTCGGGAGGCTGAGGCAGGAGAATCCCTTGAACGTGGGAGGCGGAGCTTGCAGTGAGCCGAGATTGTGCCACCGCACTCCAGCCTGGGCGGCAGAGCAAGACTCCATCTCAAAAAAAAAAAAAAAAAAAAGAAAGAAAAAGAAAAAAAAGAAAAGCGGTCAGACAGAGCGCACAAACAAACAAAAAAACCCAGAACAAAACAGAGGAGAGCAAACTCCCACCCTATGACTGTCTTTTAGTCCTTCACTTTCTCTCTGGGTCTCCAGTCTCTGTCCGTGTCTCATTTTCAGAATCACAGAACCTTAGCTTTTGATTTGCTCTTAGAAACGACCTAACTGCTTTAACTCATCATTGGTCAGCGCGACTGGCGTTGATAACGCTGGTCCCTACAAAGCCTCCTGCTGGCTGTTAAGAGCTTTCCTTCTTTGGGCAGAGAGGATAAAAAAGCACCATGACTGTCCTTTCTCTGGAAAGGACACACGTCACACGCTCACAGCACAAAAACGCCACTTCTTCCTTTTTCTGGTGTCAAGTTTTACAATAAACCTCAACTGAATAAGCAAAGAAACAAAAACAAAAATACCAACAACTACCCAACTCAACCTCTCTCTCTTTTTTTTTTTCTGTGTAGATTTTTAAGAGAATCAGGTTTACTGATGTGGAATTTATATCCAATAAAATTGAATACAAAAAATAAGGCGGGCTCGCTGATTTTAAGGAGCATTCATGCAAATTAAAAATACCATGTATATAGTTAGTAACAATGTATTGTGTACTTGAAAATTACTGACCGAGTAGGGTTTAAGTGTTCTCACTACAAGTAAATATAAGTATGGGGCCGGGCATGGTGGCTCGTGGCTATAATCCTAGCACTTTGGGAGGTTGAGATGGGAGGATGGATTGAGGCCAGGAGTTAGAGGCCAGCCTGGGTAACATAGTGAGACCCTGTTTCTACAAACAAAAACTAAAAAAATTAACCAGGCATTATGGTGACACAGGCCTGTAGTCCTAGTTATGTGGGAGGCTGAGGTGGGAGGATCACTTGACCCCAGGAGTTTGAGGCTGCAGTGAGTTATGATTGTGCCACTGCACTCCAGCCTGGGCACTCCAGCCTGCACTCCCGTCTCAAAAAAAAAAAAAAAAAAAAAAAAGACCAGCATGGGCAACATAGTGAGACCTCATCTCCACAAAAAGTAAAAAAAAGTTAGCCTGGGGGAGGGGCATACCTGTGGTCCCAGCTACTTGGCAGGCTGAGGTGGGAGGATCGCTTGAGCCCAGGAGGTGGAGGCTGCAGTGAACCATGGTCACACCACTGCACTCTAGTCTGGGTCACAGAGCAAGACCCTGTCTCTCTATAAAAAAAAATAATAATAACTTTTATTAAAAAATAAAATAAAATAAATTTGTAGATGAGGAATATTTTGCCTCCAGAACTCAACGAGGCCTAAAATGTTTTGGGTTTGTTTTAATGCTGTGGGTGCTAAGAGACTCAATAGCTGTTTCCTGGCAGTGTCTCAGCTGGAGGGGTCCTCACTTTACCAAATGATTTTCAGAAATTTAACCAAGGTGGGGCCGGGCGTGGTGACTCACGTCTGTAATCCCAGCACTAGGCCGAGGTGGGCAGATCACTTGAGACCAGGAGTTCGAGACAAGCCTGGTCAACATGGTGGACCCTCGTCTCTACTAAAAATACAAAAATTAGCCAGTTGTGGTGGTGGGCACCTGTAATTCCAGCTACTCCAGAGGCTGAGGCAGGAGAATCACTTGAACCTGGGAGGCAGAGGTTGCAGTGAGCCGAGATCGAGCCACTGCACTCCAGCCTGGGTGACAGAGTGAGACTCCGTCTCAAAAAAAAAAAAAAAGAAAAAAAAGAAAAAGATATTCAACCAAGGTGGGAGGCCTCATACTCTGTGTGGGGCACTGGCCCATCCCATTGTGTGAGTTCCTCTAGAGTATTTGTGAATCTAGAATTAGCGTATCCTATGGGCTTCCTTTGGACAAGGGTGTTTGTCACCATATGACGTCATGCCTGTGCTTTTGGAGAAACGTGGATGGAGCTGGGGTGTTGCCTGTGTTGCATGTCAGAACGTGATAGCCCAGAGTCTGGAACTTCAGCATGCTGAGTGCTTTGAGCTGAAGGAGATTGGAAGACCTCAGGAACAAGAGGTTCTCTCCAACCTCCTCCTGCTTTCCTCTCCTCTCCCCTTACTTCTCCTTTGAAGCAGTCACAGACACTAGAATTCCTTTTCCCCTGAAGACCCTCATGTGACAGGTGTCCTGCAGAGGAAGAAATGCAACACAGAAAGGCCCAGAAGAATCTGAACAAATGGGACCTGCTGGGATCCCCCCTCAATTTATGACCAAGAGATCATACCTGTTTTTTGGTTTTTGTTTGTTTGTTGAGTTGGTTGGGTTTTTTTGAGATGGAGTCTCGCTCTGTTGCCCAGGCTGAAGTGCGGTGGCACAATCTCGGCTCACTGCAACCTCCGCCTCCTGGGTTCAAGCAATTCTTCTGCCTCAGCCTACTGAGTAGCTGGAATTACAGGCACCTGCCACCACACCCAGCTAATTTTTGTATTTTTAGTAGAGATGGGGCTTTACCATATTGGCCAGGCTGGTCTCGAACACCTGACCTCATGATCCTCCCACCTCGGCCTCCCAAGATCGTACCTGGTTTTTCACATCACATGTCTACATGCCAACGCCTTCTTCATTGAACCTCAAAATGACACAATTTTCCCTGAGTTTTTGGGTCTTCATTTCTGAAGGCTTTCATGTCACATAAAACTGTTAAATCCACTTGTTACGCTTTTATCTCATTAACCTGTCTTTTGTTATAGGGGTGCTGGCCATGGACTTTGAAATGCATAAGAAAAAGGTATTGCGGGCCAAGCACGGTGACTCATGTCTGTAATCCCAGCACTTCAGGAGGCCGAGGCAGGCAGATCACCTGAGGTCAGGAGTTTGAGACCAGCCTGGCTAACATGGTGAAACCCCGTCTCTATTAAAAATACAAAAATTAGCTGGGCGTGGTGGTGTGCACATGTAATCCCAGCTACTCGGGAGGCTGAGGCAGGGGAATTGCTTGAACCCAGGAGGCAGATGTTGCAGTGAATGGAGACTGCGCCACTGCACTCCAGCCTGGGCGACTGAGCAAGACTCCATCTCAAAAAAAAAAAGGTATTGCACCTTTTCACTACTGCACCTGCAGTAGTGGCCAGGATTCAAGGTTCCCCAGGAGCAGCTGGGTCAGGTGTATTGTATCCTTTCCACGGTGAAGGCTAGCTGCAGCTGAGAGGCTGTTGAAATAGCCTTGGAACAGAGCATATCAGCCAAATCCAACGACGGTAACGTATTTGCCAGTTGCTGATTCTATGGAAAGTAATACTGGGTATGGGGGCCTTAATGGATATGTGATATTTTGTTTTGTTTTTGACACAGGGTCTTGCTTTGTCGCTCAGGCTGGGGTGCAGTGGTGCAATTATAGCTCACTGCAGCCTTGATCTGAGCTCAAGCAATCCTCTTGCCTCAGCCTCTCAAGTAGTCGGGACCACAGATGCACACTACCATGCCCAGCCAATTATTTCTATTTTTATTTTTAGTAGAGAGGAGGTCCCACTATGTTGTCCAGGCTGGTCTTGAACTCCTGAGCTCAAGCAATCCTTGATCCTCCAACCTTGGCCTCCTAGAGTGCTAGGATTACAGATGTGAGCCACCTCACTGGGCTGGTACATGATGTTCTGAAATACATATACATTGTGGAATGACTAAGTTGAGCTAATTAACATTCATCCTTCACATTCTTATTTTGTGTGCATGTGGTGAGAACACTTAAAATCTACTCTCTTAGCAATTTTTGAGTCCTGTAGTCCCCGCTTATCCAGGGAAAATATGTTCCAAGATCATGGAGAGTACCTATCGTAAAATTTAATTTATAAATTAGGCGTAGTAAGAGATGAACCACAATAATGAATAATAATACAATAAAACAATTATAACCATGCACTGTAATAAAATTATGTGTTATGTGGTCTCCCTCTCTCAAAATATCTTATTGTACTGAATTGTACCCACCTATTGTGGGACTGCGGTTGACCACAGGTACCTGCACTGCAGAACGGGAAACCTCAAATAAGGAGGGACTGCTGTCTATGGTACATTGTTATTAACTAGAGTTACCATGTTGTATTAATACAGTAAATCTCTTAAACTTATTCCTCTTGCACTACAGGTGCACACCACCATGTCCGGCTAATTTTTCAAATTTTTAGTAGAGATGAGGGTCTCACTATGTTACCCAGACTGGTCTCAAACTCCTGGGCTTAACCGATTCTCCCACTTTGGCCTCCTAAAGTGCTGGGATGATAGGTGTGAGCCACTGTGCCTGGCCATCAACTTCTTATAAAGTTAGATGTATGCTGGCCAGGCACAGTGGCTCACGCCTGTCATCCCAGCACTTTGGGAGGCCAAGGCAGGTAGATCACCTGAGGTCAGGAGTTCAAGACCAGCCTGGCCAACATGGTAAAACCCTGTCTCTACTAAAAATACAAAAAATTATCTGGGCATGGTGACAGACGCCTGTAATCCCAGCTACTCAGGAGGCTGAGGCAGGAGAATCGCTTGAACCTGGGAGGCAGAGGTTGCAGTGAGCCTAGATCGTGCCACTTCATTCCAGCCTGGGCAACAGGAGTGAAACTCTGTCTCAAAAAAAAAAAAAAAAAAAAGTTAACCATATGCTTATCATACAATTCAGCAATTCTGCTTCGAGATGTCTTCCCAAGAGAAAGGAAAACATATGTCCACACGATGATTTGTACATGAATATTCATGGAAGCCTTATTTATAATTGCTGGAAACTGAAAGCAACCCAAATATACAACTGGTGAATGGATAAACAAGTTGTGATATTCCATACTATGGAAGACTGCTCAGCAATAGAAAGGAATGAACTTAGGGCAGGGCACAGTGGCTCAAACCTGTAATCCCAGCACTTTGGGAGGCCGAGGCGGGCAGATCACCTGAGGTCGTGAGTTCGAGACCAGCCTGACCAACATGGAGAAACCCCATCTCTACTAAAAATACAAAATTAGCCGGGCATGGTGGTGCCTGCCTGTAGTCCCAGCTACTCGGGAGGCTGAGGCGGGAGAACCGCTTGAACCCGGGAGGTGGAGGTTGTGATGAGCCGAGATCGTGCCATTGCACTCCAGCCTGGGCAACAAGAGTGAAAGTCCATCTCAAAAAAAAAAAAAAAAAAAAAAAAAAAGAAAGGAAGAAAGAAAGAAAAGAAAGGAGTGAACATAAACTTGGATGGCGGTCTCACGATGTCACGATGTTGTCCAGGCTGCCAAGCAGTTAATCTAGACCTGACTTAACCCCTGGGGTCCTTAAACCCCATAAAGCCACCATTGCCATGGGGAAGGCCCCTAACCATGACAATACTGATTTGAAGCTCTCTGGAGGAAAAAAAAAAAAAATCAAGTATAAATATAAACAGAGTAGAGAGGACCCAATCTCACTCCAAAATATATCCAGTAATCATTAAAAAAAAAAAAGATTAAAAAATTTCAGCATTGTGTGGGTATACCACAACTTGTTTTTCCATTCACCGGTTGTTGTATATTTAGGTTGCTTCCAGTTTCTGACAATGATAAATAAGGCTGCTATGAATATTCATGTACAAATCATTGTGTGGACATGTTTTCCTTTCTCTTAGGAAGACACCTCAGAGTGGGACTGCTGGATTGTACGATAAGCATATGTTTAACTTTATAAGAAGTTGATAATACTGATTTGAGGCTCTCTGGAGGAAAAAAAATCGAGTATAAATATAAACAGGGTAGAGAGGACTCAATCTCACTCCAAAATATATCCAGTAAGCATTAAAAAAAAAAGATTAGCATTAGGAGATATACCTAATGCTAAATGATGAGTTAATGGGTGCAGCACACCAGCATGGCACATGTATACATATGTAACTAACCTGCACATTGTGCACATGTACCCTAAAACTTAAAGTATAATAATAAAAAAAAAAGATTAAAAAATTTCAGCATTGTATGGGTATATCACAACTTGTTTATCCATTCACCAGTTGTTGTATATTTAGGTTGCTTCCAGTTTCTGGCAATGATAAATAAGGCTGCTATGAATATTCATGTACAAATCATTGTGTAGACATGTTTTCCTTTCTCTTGGGAAGACACCTCAGAGTGGGATTGCTGGATTGTATGATAAGCGTATGTTTAACTTTATAAGAAGTTGATAATACTGATATGAGGCTCTCTGGAGGAGAAAAAGTAGAGTATAAATATAAATAGGGTAGAGAGGACCCACTCCCACTCCAAAATATATTCAGTAAGCATCAAAAAAAAAAGATAAAAAGATCTCAGCATAGTATGGAATAGTACAACTTGTTTATGCATTCACCAGTTGTATATTTGGATTTCTTCCAGTTTCTGGCAATTACAAATAAGGCTGCTATGAACATTCATGTACAAATCATCACGTGGACATGTTTTTCTTTCTCTTGGGAAGACATCTTGAAGTGGGATTGCTGGATTGTATGATAAGCATAGGTTTAACTTTATAACAAGTTGCTGGCCAGGTGCAGTGGCTCACACCTATCATCCTGGCACTTTAGGAGGCCAAGGTGGGAGGATCGCTTGAGCCCAGGAGTTTGAGACCACTCTGGGCAACATGTGAGACCCCATCTCCACAAAACATTTGAAAAATCAGCTGGTAATGGTGGTGTGCACCTGTAGTCCCAGCTACTCAGGAGGCTGAGGTAGGAGGATCACTTGAGCCCAGGAGATTGAGGCTGCAGTGAGACGTGACTGAGCCACTGCACTCCAGCTTGGACAACAGAGGGAGATCCTGTATCAAAAAACTCCTCGCAAACGAAAAAACCTGCTGGTCCCAGAGCGCTCCCTGGAACAGAGAGCTAATGCCTGCTTGAGACCAAGCAATAGTCACAGAATGAGATCCTTCCTCTGAGAGCTGATGGTGTCATTAGGATGCATGACTCAATTCAAGACACATAGAGAGGTCTGGGTCCAGATACATGAACCAGGACCACTGGAAACAGGGTTACAGCTTCTTACTCCAGTTCCTAAACAGCAGCTCTTGAAACTTCTGACTTAGGCTGCTTAAATCTGCAACAGAGGGTTCAGTAGGTCTCAGCAAATGCAGCATCCAGCTCAAAGAGCATGCCACCCAGCCGGCGGCAGTGCAGTGAGCAGAAGGCAAGAGGAGAAAGACCCTGGTGCTGGTGCTGGTGGTGGTCATCACCTAGACCCCTGCTCACGGCACCAACTCCACAGTCATCCCCACAGAGGCAGAACAGGACCCTTCGGTGAGCGTGTGGCATCATCGGTCTTGACATCCGAACCAAATTTCGGATGGGGAGATCCATCCCATTTTTTGCAGATGGCCACAGCATCAACCTTCAAGGCCCAACTCCAAAGTCCCCTCCTCCAGAAAGCCTGACTGGGGTTTCTTGCCTCCTCATTGCTCCTACGATTTTATCACTTAACTTCTTAGAATGAAAACTTGGGCTTGCTCATGGAAAAGCCAGACTGTAAAATATTTTAAAGAGGTTTATTCTGAGCCAATAGGAGTGGTCATGGCCTGAGGAACACAAGCTCAAGAGGTCCTGAGTAAGTGCACACTGAGTAGTTGGATTACAGTTTGGTTTATGCATTTTAGGGAGGCAGGAGTTACTGGCAAAGTCATAGATCAATACATGGAAGGCATACATTGGTTTGGTCTGAAAAGGCAGGAGATCTTGAAACATGGGCTTACAGGTTATAGGTGAGTTCAGAGATTCTTTTTTTTTCTTTCTTTTCTTTTTCTTTTTTTTTTTTTACATGGAGTTTCACTGTATTGCCCAAGCTGGAGTGCAGTTGTGCGATCTCGGCTCACTGCAACCTCCGCCTCCCGGGTTCAAGCGATTCTCCTGCCTCAGCCTCTGAGTAGGTGGGACTACAGCCCCCTGCCACCACGCCCAGCTAATTTTTGTATTTTTAGTAGAGACGAGGTTTTACCATGTTGGCCAGGATGGTCTCGAATTCCTGACCTTGTGATCCGCCCGCCTTGGCCTCTCAAAGTGCTGAGATTACAGGCATGAGCCACTGCGCCCGGCCTCAGACATTCTTTAATTTGCAATTGGTTAAAGGAGTAAAGCTGTGTCTAAAAATTCGGAGTCAGCAGAAAGGAGTGTTTTTAGTTAACATAAGGAAATCTGTTAACTAAACCACCAGGTCAGAGCGACCTGCACGGTGCATGACGTAACCCTTGCCTGGCATGGCCTCAGGTCCTGTGTATAACCTGGTATCTTGCTGTCACAAAGAGTTTGTCTCCTCAGCTGTAATCTCTATCTTAACATTAATGCTGGTCAGTTGTGCCAAACCCCAAAAGATAGAGGGTACGATGAGGCGTGTCTGACCTCCTTTCCCATCATGGCAGGGAATTAAGTTTTAAAGTTTTTTCTGGGGTCCCGTTGGCCAAAAGGGGGACCTTTCAGTTGGTGAGGGGCTTAGAATTTTTATTTATTTATTTATGTATTTATTTATTGAGACAAGGTCTTGCTCTGTCTCCCAGGCTGGAGTGCCGTGGCGTGAATACAGCTCACTGCAGCCTCAACCTCCCAGGCTCGAGTGACACTCCTGCCTCAGCCTCCCGAGTCGCTGGGACTACAAGCACTCGCCATCACGCCCGGAAAATTTTTTTTTATTTTTTGTAGAGACAGGGTCTTGCTATGTTGTCCAGGCTGGTCTCAAACACCTGGGCTCAAGCGATCCACTCACCTCCGCCTCCCAAAGTGCTGTGATTACAGGTGTGAGCCACGGTGCCCGGCCCGTTATCTCATTTAATTGTCCTCACAACCCTGCTAAATAATTTTCATGCTCTCTGCTCCAGAATGAGGAAACCAAAGCCTCTCAAATCACCAGGGACCGCCCTCAAGATCCTCTAACCAGCCAGGGAAGAGCTGGAACTGGAGCTCAGGCCACATGATTCTCCTCCGCCAAAGGGGAAAGACTGAGCTTAACTCGGTGGCTTCCAACCTGCTCCAGCATGAGGCCTCCATTTTCCCGTTGGAAATGATCGCCTAGGGTGGTCTCAAACTCCTGAGCTCAAGTGATTCTCCTCGCCTCAGCCTCCCAAACAAAGTGCTGGGATTATAGGGATGAGATACCATGTCTGGCCTAGGTTTTTATTTTTAGTTTACAGGTGTTAACGCAAACTAAATATGGCCTGAGAAGGACTCTGTACTTCTGTATTTGAGTCCTTGTGGATGAACTGTAACCTAGCTTAATAGGCAGGCAGAATCGAAAACCTAACTTAGTAGTATGCACCTGTTACATCTGCTAAGTCTTGGCCAATCCCAGCAGCCATACTTCAACCATTCATACACTGCTGAGTGTTCAAACTGTGTTCAAATAAGACATATGCCGAGCTGTAACCAATCCAGCCATTCTGTACCTCACTACCAATTTCTGTACATGATTTCTCTGTCTCTCTCTTTTTTTTTTTTTTTTGTCTATAAATCTTTGTCCACCACGTGGCTGCGCTGGAGTGTCTCTGAATCTGCTGTGATTCTGGGGGCTGCTCGATTCCGGAATTGTTCATTGCTCAATTAAACTCCTTTAAATTTAATTCGGCAAAAGTTTTTCTTTTATCACAGGCTTATATTCCCCACTGCCCTCAATAGCCTGGAAAGTTCCACGGGGGCCCAGCTACAAAGCCTCACCCTGGGGCACTGGCTGAGCTTGGCCTGACTCTCCAGGCTAACAAGGTGAAGTCCATGGGGCCATCGAAGATGCGGTTCCATTAACCAGGATAGGGTTAAATCACCAGCGATTTTCCCTAGTGTAGGTCCATTCTTCTGTAAGATGGAGAGGATGATATTCCACCCAGCTGAGGCCTTGGGAGAATGGAATAAAAGGACTTCCAGTGCTGTGCCAACCTGGACAAATGCCAGAAAGCCTGGTTCGTCTTTTGACAAAATCCCCCTTGATTCCCCATTTTGCTTTTCTCCCTTTCTTTCTTCCTTCCTTCCTTCCTTCTTTCCTTTCTTTCTTTCCTTTGTTTTCTTTCTTTCTTTTTCTTTCTTTCCTTTCTTTCTTTCTCTTTCTTTCTTTCTTCCTCTTTCTTCTTTCTTTTCTCTTTCTTTCTCCTTTCTTTTCTTCTTTCTCTTTCTTTCTTTCTTTCTTTCTTTCTTTCTTTCTTTCTTTCTTTCTTTCTTTCTTTCTTTCTCTTTCTCTCTTGCTTTCTTGCTTTCTTGCTTTTTGTGAGACAGAGTCTCACTCTGTAGCCTAATCTGGAGTGCAGTGGCTCAATCTTGGCTCACTACAATCTTCGCTTCTGGGGCTCAAGCGAATCTCCTGTCTCAGCCTTCCAAGTAGCTGGGACTAGAGGCATGTGCCACCACACTTGGTTAATTTTTTTGTATTTTTAGTAGAGACCGGGTTTCACCATGTTGCCCTGGGTGGTCTCGAACTCTTGAGCTCAGGGAGTCCACCCGCCTTGGCCTCCCAAAGTGCTGGGATTACAGGCGTGAGCCACTGCACCCGGCTTCTCCCCCTTTTTCAAGGCTTCTCCATCTCCTGGCTCCACCAGTTCTCTCCAAATTCTTTCCAGTGCAGGCTTCCATTGTTATTAAAATTCCCCTGGGCAAAAACAGGAAGAGGAGGGCAGGTGGCTGAGAAATCCCAGAAGGGGGAGGAGGGAGGGAACGCTGAGTAGCTCACCACCTGGCCGGCCTTCCTGAGTCGAGGTGGTGTTGATAGTCAGAATCTCCAGCCCAGCTATGTCATTATTTTCTGTTCCATAGGCAGGATTTGGGTGGCTGCCTCCTACTCTCCAAAATCCACAGGTGTCACTCAAGGCAGCTCTCCTGGCACTGGGACCTTGGAGACAGCCTCGTAGTTACACTAATAATAAGAGCAACAACAATACTGAAAAAAATGACAGCTACCACTTATTGAGTTCTCACTCTGTGCAAGGCGTTCTTCTGAGCTTTCCACAGGAGCTCAATTAATCCTCTCAAATGCATTCCACAGTCAGTGCTGTTCTTTTTCATTTTAAAAAGTTTATGAATACATTTGGGTAGTCCCTAATCCTCCGGTGGAAAGAGTTGAATTCGTTGGTGGCACATTTTCATTAGTGATTTGGAGAGGATCCCTCTTTTGTTTTCCTTATTTATTTTGTTCCCTTTTATTTCCCTTCCCTTCTACTATTGTCTTTATCATTGTGCACATTTTGCCGTTATCTTTGTGAACGTGTATCCTTTGCTATTGTTTTTATTATTGTGTATCCTTCGCAATTATTTTCGCTCTCTTGTCTCCTTTACAGTTATCCTCATTATTGTGTGTATTTTGCTGTTGTATTTATTATTGCATAGCCTTTTATTAAGTTGAAATTCACAAATCATAAAATTAGCCACTTAAAGTGGACAGTTCAGTGGCGTTCAGTACATTCACGACGTTATAGATCTTTTTATTAGTATATGTCCTTACAAATTGTGTGTTGTTTTGTGTGCATTTGAAATTCATATCAATGGTATTGTGGTACGTAGCTTATTCTTTTCTTTCCCCCCGCCCCCCGCGCACAGCTGTGCTTTTTCTGGCCGGGCACTGTGGCTTACGCCTGTAATCCTAGCACTTTTAGAGGCTGAGGCAGGCAGATCGCTTGAGGTCAGGAGTTCAAGACCAGCCTGGCCAACATGGTAAAACCTCATCGCTACTGAAAAAAAAAAAAAAAGCATAAAAAATACAAAAATAAGCTGGGCATGGTGGTGCCTGTAGTCTCAGCTACTCGGAAGGCTGAGGCAGGATAATTAATTGTACCTCGGAGGTGAAGGTTGCAGTGAGCCAAGATCACGCCACTGCACTCCAGCCTGGGCCACAGAGCGAGACTCTGTCTCAAAAAAAAAAAAAACAAAAAAACAAAAAACTATGCTTTTTCATTTTCTAATAATATATTATTTACATAAAATAAAATTCATCCACTTTAAGTGTTCAGTTTGGTGAATTTTGGAAATCGGGTGGAATCATGTAAGCACCTCCATAATCCAAACATAAACCAGCTCCTCCCTGTCTCCCTCCCTCACTGCCCTCATCCTTAAGCTGCCTGCCTTCTGCCCCTTTTGCAAAAGCTCCCCGCAGGTGACACTGACGGGCACTCTGCCTCTATGGTTTTGCCTTTTTTAGAATGTTGTATACATGTTTGTCTTCTTTTACTAGCATAATACATTTCAGATTCATCCATGTTTTTGCGCTGATAAATACACTCATGGGAAGGACATTGTTTTGGACTAAACTCTTGGACTAGGCCCTAGCAGAACAGACCAAACCAGAATGGAGTCCCTTGTGCTAATTGCCATGTAATCAAACTGTTTTTGAAAATAACAAACAAACAAACAACCAGGAGGTTTACAGTAAGGAATCAGAAGGGGCCCAGTTGACCTGAGCTGGCAGGATAAGAGAGTTCCCTCTGTCTTAACCCTATTAAAAACATAACGTTGGAAAGACCAATCCACGTATTATTCCCTATTTCTGTTTCCTTCATCCCTTTTCTGCCTATAAAGCCAAACTCTGCTCAGCTCATGGGAACACCATTCTATTTTGTGGAATGAGATACTGCCCATTTGTAGAATTGCAACTCACAGTCGATTAGATCTTGAAACTAAATGTGTTGTAATTTAGTCTTTTGACCGCATATCAAGAGTTCATTCCTTTCTATTGCTGAGCTGTATTCCGTAGTATGGGTATACCACAACTTGTTTAACCATTCACCAGTTGTTGTATATTTGGGTTGCTTCCAGTTTCTGGCTATTATAATACAAATAAGGCTGATACAAACATTTATGTATCAATCATTGTGTGGACATATGTTTTCATTTCTCTTGGGAAGACACCTCAGAGTGGGGATTGCTGGATTGTATGATAAGCATAAGTTTAACTTTATGAGAAGTTGCGGCTGGGTGCAGGTGGCTCACACCTGTAATCCCAGCACTTTGGGAGGCCGAGAAGGGCAGATCACTTGAGGTCAGAAGTTCTAGACCAGCCTGATCAACATGGTGAAACGCTGTCTCTGCTAAAAATACAGAAGTAAGCCAGGCATGGTGGTGGGTGCCTGTAATCCTAGCTACTCGGAAAGTCGGTGGGAGAATCGCTTGAACCTGGGAGGTAGAGGTTACAGTGAGCCGAAATAAATAGCACCACTGTACTCCAGCCTGGGCAACAGAGCAAGATTCTGTCTCAAAAGAAAAAAAAAAGAAGTTGCTGGCTGGGCACAGTGGCTCATGCCTGTAATCCCAGCACTTTAGGATGCCAAGGCAGGAGGATTGGTTGAGCCCAGGAGTTTGAGACCAGCCTGGACAACATAGTGAGACCCCCATCTCTACAAAAAATTTGAAAAATTAGCCAGGTATGGTGGTGTATGCCTGTAGTCCCAACTACTTGGGAGGCTGAGGTGGGAGGATGGCATGAGCCCAGGAGGTTGAGACTGCAGTGAGTTATAATTGTGCTACTGCACTCTAGTCTGGGTGATGGAGTGAGACCCTGTCTCAAAAACACACAAGCAGCAGCAACAACAACAACAAAAAGAAGTTGTCAAATGTTTTCTAAAGTGGTTGTACCATTTTGCATTGCCACCAGTAGTGTGGTGCCAGTTGAACTTGGCCCATATCTTTGTCAACACTTAGTATTGTCAGTCTTTTAAATTTTCACCATTGTAGTTGGTAGCACTATACCTTTAAGATTTGATTCCTGCTAAAACGGTGAAACCCCGTCTCTACTAAAAAAAATACAAAAAATTAGCCGGGCGTAGTGGCAGGCGCCTGTAGTCCCAGCTACTTGGGAGGCTGAGGCAGGAGAATGGCGTGAACCCGGGAGGCGGAGCTTGCAGTGAGCCGAGATCCCGCCACTGCACTCCAGCCTGGGCGACAGAGCGAGACTCCGTCTCAAAAAAAAAAAAAAAAAAAAAAAAAAAAAAAAAGATTTGATTCCTATTGCTGTCTCTAGTTTGTTACTTTTAACTGCTGCAAAGTCCTCCATGGGGGAATCCACCACATTCTATCATCCACTCCCCCATTAATAGGTAACCAGGTTTCTTCTAATTTCCACCACAGCAAAATACTGTGTGACAGAGAGCTTATATCTCTGCCCCTTTGTGATGTGCATAATTATTACCTTTGTGTAGACATCCAGAAGTGGAACTACTGGGTCTTAGGATGTACATATACTTAATTCAGCCAAGCAATGCCAAATTAGTTTCTGAAATAACCACACCAATGTACGTTCACACCAGCTGTGCACAAGCGTTCCTGTGTTTCCACATCTCTGCTAATACTTGGGGTTACTTAACTTTGAAATTTTCTTAAATCCATCTAACAAATGTAAAGCAATTGTTATTTGTATTTGTGTTTCTTGGATACCTAATGAGTGTGAGCATATTTTGTATGAGTTTTTTGAGTTTCCTTCTTTATAAATCTGTTCATATCCTTTGCTCATTATTCTTATTTTTTTTTTGCAGTACTTCCTTGCATATTTGGGTCAATATGTCAATCTTAAGTCAATAGTACAGACTGCAAATGTCACCTCTCAAGCTGTTACATGTTGATTTACCTTGTCCATTGTGTCTTTTGATGAACAGAAATCTTTAACTTTGATGTAATGAAATTAAACATTATTTTGCCTTTAGATTTGTCTTTCTGAAGTTTTAAAAAATCCTTCCTCAGGCCAGGCACAGTGGCTCACGCCTGCAATCTCCGCACTTCGGGAGGCTGAGGTGGGCAGATTGCTTGAGCCCAGGAGTTTGAGACCAGACTGGGCAACATGGCGAAACTCTGTCTCTACAAAAAATACAAAAAATAGGTGGGTGTGGTGGCATGCACCTGTAGTCCCAGCTACTTGGCAGGCTGAGAGATGGGAGGATCACTTGAGCCCAGGAAGTTGAGGCTGCAGTGAGCTGTGATTGCATCACTGTACTCCCGCCTGGGTGACAGAGTGAGACCCTGTCTCAAAAAAAAAAAAAAAAAAAAAAGAAGGGGAGGAGGAGGAGGAAGAAAAAGTCCTTCCTAATCCCCAAATCACAAAAATGTTATCTGCCATTATCTTCTTCTTTTTTTTTTTTTTTTTTTTTTTTTTTTTTTTTGAGACAGGGTCTCGCTCTGTCCCCCAGGCTGGAGTGCAGTGGCGCGATCTCCGCTCACTGCAAGCCCCGCCTCCCGGGTTCACGCCATTCTCCTGCCTCAGCCTCCCAAGCAGCTGGGACTACAGGCATCCGCCACCACACCGTATAATTTTTTGTATTTTTAGTGGAAACGGGGTTTCACTGTGTTAGCCAGGATGGTCTCGATCTCCTGACCTCGTGATCCGCCCACCTCGGCCTCCCAAAGTGCTGGGATTACAGGCGTGAGCCACCGCGCCCGGCCTCTGCCATTATCTTCTATTAACTTTGTAGTTTGACCTTTTGCTTTTAGGTCTTAAAGCCATTTGGTGTTAAGCACCATTGTTATACGTACTTGAGTAATGGGAAAACTGAGGCACACAGAAGGTGAGTAATTTGAAGACTATACAGTTCAACAAGTGACAGAGCTAGTATTCAAACCGAGGCAGCCTGGCCCCTGAAACTGTGTTCCGTAGCTACTGTGTCATGCTGCTTCTCCATTGACCAGGATCGGTGATTCAGAAGTTGCTGTGTGCAGAGCCTTTAAATGCCAATCTTTCACTCTGTCCTCCCAACAGCCCTGAGCAGTAAGGCCTGTTATTACCAGATTAAAGAACTGAGGTTCCCAAAAGATAAAGTGGCAAAACCAGATCTTTCAGACTCCACCCTTTGTGTTTTTGAACACTAAACTATAGTCTCCCCTGAAATAACCAGGAATCACGCAGGAATCATCCTCAACATTCACCCTCACCCCCACAGACACAGTTGATCCTCATTATTCATGAAATTTGTATTTTCAAATTTACCTGCTTGATAAAATCTGTGGGTAGCCCCCAAACCAATACTCTTGGGACTTTTGCGGCTGTTTGCAAATATGCAGAGTGGTGAACAATTTGAATTGCCTGAGGTGCATGCTCCCAGCTGAGGTCGATTAAGGCGATGCTGTCCCTTATTTCAGCTCTCATTCTGTAAACAAGTGTCCTTTTTGTGGTCTAGTTAGTGCCACGTTTTGCACATTTTTGTTGATTTCGCTGTTTAAAATGCCCCCTCAGGACAGTGGTAAAGTGCGTCTAGCATCCTAAGTGCAGGAAGGCTGTGATGTACCTTATGGGAAAACACACAAAGCTGGGTGCAGTGGCTCATGCCTGTAATCCCAATACACTGGGAGGCCAAGGTGGGAGGATCACTTGAGTCCAGGAGTTTGAGACCAGTCTGGGCAAGAGAGTGAGACCCCATCTCTACAAAAATAAAAAAGAAAATTAGCTGGGCATGGTGGTATACGCCTGTAGTCCCAGCAACTCAGGAGCTAAGGCGGGAGGATCACTTGAGCCTAGGAGTTCAGAGCTGCACTGAGCTACGATTGCACCACTGTACTCCAGCATGGGCAACAGAGCAAGATCCTGTCTCAAAAAAATAAAATGAATAAAATAAATTTTGAAAAATTTAAAAAGAAAATACACATGTTAGAGAAGCTTCATTCAGGCATGAGTTACATCGCCATCGGCTGTGAGTTCAATGCATGTATATTAAGCTGTCTTTAAAGAGAAACACACCTAAAACAAGGTTATATATTGATCAGGTGACAAAAAGATTGTGACCAGAGGCTCGAAGGAACCTATATTTCCCCCCTAGAAGCAATGCTTTAATAGTTGCTAATTCAGTGTTAGAGGTGACTTTATAGAACGTAAGTAACTACTGTGAATAATACGATTGATTGTATTGCCGAGTTTCCTCAGTGTGACTGCAAAACGCTCATTCTAATCCATCTTCATCTCTGTTGGCTGAGCCATCATCTTACCCACTGATTACTGCAGTAGGCTTCAGGTTCATCTCCTGGCTTCCAATACTCCCTCCTGGTACCTTGTCTCCACCAGTAACCCAGCAACCAGAGTGATAATCCGATTTCAGATATTCCTCCCCTGTTGACACTCTCCAGGAGCTCCCCCACTACAATGGGAGAAAGACCACCTCCCTGACTACAGCTAAAAAGATTCCGAATATTTGGCTCCAGCCAAATCCTCCAGTCTCATTCCCTACCCAGTCACTCGTTCATCATTACTGTACAGTCATGCTGGCCTGCCCTCAGATCCTGGAATAGGCTAAACTCAAGGACGTTGGCCCAGTGGTTTCCTTTTTCAGAGGTATTTCCCCCATTCTTTGCTAAACTGGCTCCCTTTAACCCTTTGGCCACATGCCACCTTCTCCGAGAAGCCCTTCTTGATCACCCTATTCAAAACAGCCTCCTCCTTTATTCTCTAACACAAATCCTTGCTTATATCCTTCATGGAAATGATTGCATTTGTTATTATCATCACACAGAAATCATCACAATCTGCAGTTATTTAGTTTGTGTAGTTGTTTCTTTTCTTTCTTTTTGAGACAGGGTTTCAGTTTGTCACCCAGGCTAGAATGCAGTGGCGCAATCTTGGCTCACTGCAGCCTCCGCCTCCCGGGTTCAAGTGATTCTCCTGCTTCAGCCTCTGAGTAGCTGGGATTACAGGCGCCTGCCACCACCAGCTAATTTTTGTATTTTTAGTAGAGACGGGGTTTCACCATGTTGGCCAGGCTGGTGTTGACTCCTGACCCCAAGTGATCCGCCCGCCTCAGCTTCCCAAAGTGCTGGGACTACAGGTGTGAGCCTCCATGCCTGGCCATAGTTGTTTATTTTCTATAAATTCTCAGAGAACAGTTTATTTCCACTTGAGTGTCTAATAAACAGTTCAAGACAAAATTTCCTCATCTCTGCCCTAAAACATGTTCCTCTCAGTTTCTCGCATTTTTGTAAATGAAAGCTCCATCCTTCCTGTTGCTCAGGCCAAATTGCTGGAGTCATCTTCGACTCTTCTCTTTTTCTCACATTCCCCCATCTGATGTTGGCAGATATGGTCCAACAGTCCCATCAAACAGATCCAGAATCTGACCTCTCGCCTCCTCTACGGCCATCACCTTGGTCCAGGAACCGTCACCTTTTGCCTGGGCTAATGCAGTCCCTTCCTCGCTGGGCCCCCTGAGTCTGTTCCCCATGGAGTAGCCAGAGGAATCCTGCGCACATTGAAATCAGTTCAAGTCCCTCCTCTGCTCAGAGCCCTCTCATAGCTCCTGGCTCCCTCAGAGGAAAACAAAGTCCTCGTCGTGCCCCACAGGACCCAATGCAGTCTGCTCCGTTCATTCTCTGCCCTCACCTCCCACCCTCTCCTCCTTGCTCACTCAGCTCCAGCCACACCAACCTTTTCACTGATCTTCAGACACACCAAACAGGCTCCTGCCTCAGGGCCTTTGCACTAGCTGTATCCCCTGCTCCAGCAGCTGCTCCTCAGATATGTGCTTTGCTCCTTCCCTTCATCCTTTCGGTCTTTCTTTAAATGTTACCATCTCAGTTAGGTCCTCTTCCCTGACCATGCTGTTTAAATTGCAATGCCACCCCTTCCACATATACAACCCTACATTCCCAATTCTTAATCCTTTCTTCTACCTCTTCCTCTTCCTCTTGCTCTCCTTCCCCTTCCCCTTCCCCTTCTCCTTCTCCTTCTTCTTCACAGGGTCTTGCTCTGTCACCCAGGCTTGAGTGTACTGGCACAATCACAGCTCACTGCAGCCTCAAACTCCTGGGCTCATGCAATCATCCTGCCTCAGCCTTCTGATTAGCTGGGACTACAGACTTGTGCCACCATGTCCAGCTAATTTTTTAAACTTTTTTGTAGAGATGGGATCTTGCTATGTTGTCCAGGCTGGTCTTGAACTCCTGGTGTCAAGCGATCCTCCCACCTTGGCCTCCCAGTGTTGGTATTACAGGCATGAGCTACCACATATGGCCCTTGTTTCATTTCTTGCTATGGCTTGCAGCACCACCTGACAGCCTATTTCTTTATTCATTGTTATGGAGACTTCTTGAAAAGAATGTAAGTTCTACAAGGGCAGAAGTTTTTATCTGTTTAACTCATTGGTTATCACTTGTCTCTGCAACAGTGCCTGGCTCTTGATAGGTACAAATATTTGTTGAGTAAATAAACTATATTTAACAACACCCAGGAGAGTGCTTGCACATAGTCAACACTGAAGAAATGTCTCCTGAGGAAAATAAATCAGTGCAACACTTTTTTTGGACACTCTGCAAATTCGAAGGGCTGTTATTAACATTCTAAGGTAATATTTTATGGGAACCATGCAAATAATAATAGTGATAAATGCTTGACATTTATTCTTGTAATAATGTTACAATTAAAAAAAATTATGAACCCATTTTACAGATGAGAAAGCACAGAGACTGTGAGTTTTATAACTTGTCCAAAGCAAGGATTTGCACTACATTTTAGGGTCATGCACAAAGATGTAACAGCAAGGGACACTGACCAAGGATGTTCATGGAGGGGATACAAGACGGAATATTTGGTAGACAATAAAGTTCAGGCAAGAAGACCCTTTGGTATACTGAACCCTATAACTCTAGAGACTAGGGTGCCATTGATTCAGAGAGGGAATGTTGGCAGAGGTGGGGTATTGGAAGAATGTGGGATGTAGGTTGGGTTGGGACTTCTGAGACACCCATAACAGTGTGAGAATGAAATATTCTGAGGATCCAATGTTAGCTGTGGTGAGTCACAGAGGTACACAGAATGTTGTCAGGGCAGAAGATTGTGGGCATAAGAGAATATTTTCAGGATGAACTATCATGGGAGTCTAGAGCCTTCTTGAGTGCAAAAAATAGAAGGTCTAGGATACTGGCATTGAATAAATACTTGAAGAGTTAGAGGATGTTGTCAAGGATGGTCCATTTATAGGACATATATTGTTGAGATGGGCTGATGGAAATATTTAAGAATGTGCCACAGACAGAACGTTCAGGTGGTGATCTGGGCTCATAGAAGCCACACTGATGAAGTTGAGAGACCTGGGCCATTGTCTGGGTTGGGACATTCAGGTTGTTGAGATGTTTCAGGGATGCAACATCTGGGAGACTGCAAGCCTGGCAGTGCCTGAATGCTTCTGAAACATGGAATGTTAGCTGAGATTGAGCATTTTTCAGGACATGGATCACTGGTTCAAATGGAACACTGGGAATAAGGAGCAGAGAAGGGCTAAGCAGACCATGTGAGGAAGTCATGGTGACAGGATGGAAGCCGGTACATTTCTCAACTTTTATTGTGGGCCCTTCAACCATTTTTGCTGCTGGGTTTCATATTTTCGGATTGTTTCACGGATCCACAGGACGTATCTTGAGACACGGGTGTAGACACCAGGCCGGTCAGGTTGCCCACATGGGAAGTCTCCCCAGGAGACGATGCCATACAGTGTTCTGTTACAGACCAGGGGGCCCCCAGAGTCACCCTGAGTTGGGGAAAGAAAGAGAGAGAGAGGTGGGTCCTTGCTGGGGCTAAACAAGGCAGGGACAGGGAGGTGTGGGGAGAGAGTGAAAGATGGAGAGAGACACACACAGAGAAGGAGACTCAGAGAGGCAGAGTCAGACACACACAGTGTGAGAGAAAGCAATGAAGACAGTGAGAAACAGACAAGAAGACAAACACAGAGGGACAGACAGCAAGAGACAGAAATAGGGACAGAAAGACAGAGATAGGCCCAGAGAAAGAGAGACACAGAGAAATTTCTGTGTTTTTCTCTGTTCCTCAGTTTCATTAAAATGGTAACAACTTACTTCATACCCATTTTTGTTTCCCTGGTACTAAATCACCCCCTGCCCCACACCAGCTGACCCTGCTCCTATTTAAGGCTCATTTGTGTCTCTCACTATTGAGTGAACCCATTCATATCTGGGCAGGGTATGCAACACACGTGTAAGTCTATTTCTCTTCCTGGGCCCAAGGCAGACATCACTAATCGATCAAGGCACATATCATTAATATAGTATCATACTCTTTCTCACTGAATCCAATCTCAACTTCTTTATTGATGAAGGCTATTTTTTGCTCATGTAGTATCCATTTCCTCTTATTTTTAAAAAATTAAACATTCATTTTTAAATTTTTATTTATTTATTTATTAGAGACAGTGTCTTGCTCTATTTATTTCTTTTTGTTTTAGAGACAGGGCCTTGCTCTATCACCCAGGCTGGAGTGCAGTGGCATGATCATACCTCACTGCAGCCTTGAACTCCTGGGTTCAAATAGTCCTTCTGCCTCAGCCTCCCGAGTAACTAGGACTGCAGTTGTACTCCACCACACCTGGCTAATTTAAAAACTTTTTTTTCTTTTTGTAGAGACAGAGTCTCACTATGTTGCCCAGGCTGGTCTCAAACTCCTGGGCTCAAGTAATCCTCTCACCTCAGCCTCCCAAAGTGCTGGGATTACAGGCATGAACTACTGTACTTGGCCATTTCCCCTTATTTTGGTAACAGCCTCTCCTGATTTTTTCATTTGGGGAACTGCCCTTCTCCACTTCCAATCCATGCAGTTTGTCCCTGCCCCTCTCCAGCACCCACAGTTAACTATGTGACTCAGGCTTGGCCCATCAGAGAATCCCACAGCTCTGGTGGAGTGATGGCTCAAGACACATGACTTAGGTCAGCCTAGTGAGAATCATGCTTAAGACTTTTGTGTGAACTATTGGAAAAGAGAGGTTCTCTTTCTAATAGGGTTGCCTAGAGGGTAGGATGTAAGCTCAAAGCTGCTGGGGCCATCTTGTCATGGGAAGAATCTAACCGAGAATGAAGCCAAAACAGAATAAAGAAGAGCTGAGAGTTAAAAGAAAGACAGAATTCCAAACACACAATTTGCATACCTGGATCCATCTGTGCCTAAAGCCAGACAACCTGGATTTTCAGTTACAAAAGCCTGCATTTTGTTTAAGCCAGTTTGAGTTGGTTGTCTATCACTCACAAGTGAAAGAATACCAACCTTTATGCATCTCAACACAGGGATCTTGGCAGCCACTCAGTCAAAGCTGGGGCTTATGATGAATTATTCCTGCCATCCCTGGGTACCCCTTTTTGTCTTGACCTCCTATGTGAGGGGACATTGTATCTTATAAAGATTGGTTCCCCTAAGGCTGGAAACAAAGCTTTTTCCCCAGCATCTGTCACTTCCATTCTGGCTTTCTATCCTGTCCAAGGCACCCACCAGCCTCCCGGCCTCACCTCACAGGAGTCTTTGCCACCCTCTTTTGTGCCGGCACACAACATGTTGTCAGTGATCTTTCCTGGGTAGACTTGACGACACTCCTCATCTGAGCGAAGTTGGATGTTGGCACATTGTAGAGTTTTGGGGTAATTCACTGGGGAGAAGAAAGAGAAGGTCTAAGGTATCCGACCTGGATAGGATATGGGATGAAGGTGAAATAGGCGAGTTGAATGGGTAAAGAGTAGATAGAAAATTGAGATGGGAAGAGAAAGATGGGAGAAGAGATGAGCACCTATCTGGGTAAAGCAACGGAAGTGACAGAAATATGGAGGGACATGGGAGAGAGGCGAAGGGAGAGATGAGGAGAAAAGTGGAGGGAAGGACAAGGAGGGAAGGGACAAGAGAATGGAAGGTTGATAAGGAGAGTGGTGGAGCCAGCGGTGGGGAGAGAAAGTTGGAGAGAGGGAGTTGGAATAGGGAGATGGTCAGAAATAGAGAATTAAAGATGGGAAAAGCAGGAACAGGGATGGGAAGAGTTACGGGAGAGTTGGATAGAATGGTAGGAAGAGAGACAGGGCATGTTGAGGAGAAAGATACAAACATGAGGCTGGGAGAGAGTCAGGGATTGCTAGGGAGATGCAAAGGGCTCTTGTCGGTATATACATCAACTTTATATTCACATATATAATGTATTATACTTACTAAGTAATGATATAGAATTAATTATTACATTGAATTATTAGACATTTCATTAATAACCATATTTAATATATTAAACATTTTATAAATTATAGAAATATAAACATTTTATATGTATGATTTATATATTATAAATGATAAAATTCATTTACAGTATATAAATATATAAATGTATACATTTATAAAATACATTTATAATATATAATTTAAATATAGATTATATATAATATATACATTATGCAGAAATACATATTTAAAATACATAATTGATAAATTTTATAATTTATAAAATACATTTAATTTGTATACTTTTTGTATAATATATAATTATATTACTATATAATACATAATATACATCATATAATATATTCATATATTAGATCTATTTATATTTCTATATATTCATGAATTTATATACTCATATTTTTATATATTCATGAATTTATATTTATATAAAGGATACAGCTAACTTTAAATATATATATTTATTTACTTATTTATATTTTTATATATAAAGGAACCTACCTCAGACCTTCCCTCCCATCTCTGCCCCTGTTTCCCCAGCCACTCCTATGGGGCCTCAGGCCACCTGTGTGGGTGCATACCCTGGGGGCTGGTGGTGGTGCCCCAGCCAGACACCCGACAGGTGGTGCCAGGGGTTAGGCGGTTGTTGTGGGAAAGGGGCAGGGTTTGGATGTAGCCTGTGAGCTGGACCGGGGACTGCAGCTCCAGAAGCATGATGTCATGGTCGTGGTTCAGGTGGGTGGGGCTTCTCCGGTATTCAGGGTGGGGGATAGAGTGGACAACTTCCCTCACCTGCTCACCAGCTTCCACACGCCCTAGGGCGTGCTTGCCTAGGTAAACTTTGAGCCCCCTGTGGGTGCAGAAAGAAGGTGGTTAGGAAAGAAGATGAGCCCATTTCCATCCCCATCCCAGCCCCAACCTCTTCCCATCCCCAACCTAACTTCTTCTCCATCCTACCTTCCTCATCTCCAAATACATCTCCCCCATCCTCAACTTCAATCCCATCCAAATCCCCTACTTTGATTCTATTCCCATACCCAATCCCCATATCTCAACCCCAAACCTCATTCTCACTCCCATGTCCATCCCCAACCCTAACTCCAACTCCATCCTCAAATCCAACTCTACCCCATCCACAATCCCAGTCCCATTCTCATCCCTACCCCATGCTCCCCCGGCCCCCACATACTCCTTTAGACAGTGTGCGGCAGTGAGGACCCATTTGGGGTGGACCAGGACTCCCCCACAGAGTAGCCGCCCTTGCACTAGTAGGGCAGCCTGCCAGGGCTGAGAGTGGGGGAAGCAGGTGTAGCCACCTGGGAGAAACCCACTGGTCCCATTGGTGTTGAGAACCTTGGAAGACTCCTGGGAGACACCTGGTAAAGAAGAGAGATTGTTAGAAAACTGGGATCCAGGGGGCAGAGGAGCCCTGGGGTTGTGGTTTCTGGGTTTGGGGTAAGGGTCGGATTATTGCCCTGGGTGACCAGGAACTGAAGATGAATTTGCCGACCTATGGCAGTTGCTATTCTTGACCAAGTGGAGATGAATTAGGGCAAAGGGGTGACATTATTTTCTCAGGAAGTACCAAATCCTCCACTGGGGGTTAACAGAAGAGTTCACAAAATGAGGATGTTGCTGATAGGTAAGCAGGAGCCTGACTTTCTCTCCACATGCATTTTTTATATCATTCTACCAGAAGATGGATTTCAGGAGGTAGAAGTGAGACTGACCTACACATCCACCTAGGCAATATCTATCCATCAATCTATCCAATCATCCATCCCCCATTCATCCTATTGATTTGTCCATCCGTCTACTCATCCATCTATCCATTCATCCATTTAGGTAGTCATCTAACCATCTATCCATCCATCCATCCATCCATCCATCCAACCATCCATCCACTCATCTGTCCCTCCATCCACTGGTCCATTTATTCATCCATCCATCCATCCATCCATCCATCCATCCATCCATCCATCCATCCAATCCAACCATCCATCCATCCATCTATCCATATATCCATCCATGCATCCATCCAATCATCTTTCCACCCATCTCTCTATCCTTTCACTGCATATATACTGGTTGCCTCCATGGCTTTAAATACCAGCTATAGGCTAATCATCTCCAGCCCTGAACTCTTCTTTAAGCTCAAAACTCAAACACTGTTGATTTGGATGCCTTACAGGCATCTTAAGCTTTGTATTCCCAACTTGATTCTTCTCAATCAAAACTGTTCGCTCCAGTATTTCCCACCTCAGTGCTCAGCCCCAAACCTGGGAGTCATCTTTGCTTCTCTTCTTTCCTTCATCACTCACAACCAGTTCCTATTGGTTTTATCTCCCAAATATCCAGTTATCTCCACACTTCTGCCACCATCTTGGTCCATGCCCCATCTTCTGTAGCCCAAATGACTACAACATTAACCTAAATCCTTCCACTTTTACATCCCTCCGATCCAGTCTTCTCAAAGTAGGCTGAGGACTCTTCAAACAAAGAAAGTCAGATGTTGTTCCCAGGCTCAACTTTCTTTAAAATAAAATCCAAAAAGCCTTCCCAAGGTGTGCAGGACTCTGTGCTGTCTGGCCCTTGCCAGCCTCTTTGACCCCATCTCCAACCTCTTTCTTCTGACTTCCTCTAGTCCAGCCTCATGGGCCTGTTCTTCAAACACACCAGGCATTTAAAGAAAAGAAGAATTTAAATCATCTTGGATGCCCCCATACTAGACATTTTATACTTGCTATTTCCTCTCTCTGCACAGTCCTTTCTCCAGACCTATGTTGTTTAATATGGTAGCCACTAGCTACATGTGGCTATTTAAATTTAAACTAATTAAAATGAAGTAAAACTAAATTAAAAATTCAGTTCTTAAGTCACACCAGCCATATTTCAAATGTTCAATAGCCTGAAGGGGCTAGTGGATAATTGGACAGCACAGATATAGGATATTTCATATATACATATATGGAATATTCTACTGGATGACCCTCAGAATTTAGAGGTTGTATGTCTGGGTCCTTCTTAATTCTGAGAGGTCAGCTCAAATGTCTCCTCTTCAGAAAGGCCTTCCCTGACCACCTGGTCTAATGTTGACTCTCCTGGTCCCGACTCCTCCCCCATTACATTCTTCCAGTTGGTCTTCATCAGAACAATGATTGCTATTCATTTCTCTTCACATTTGTATGTATTCGTTTTTAAAAATCTCTCCACTTTGACTGTAAGCTCCATTGACAACAGGCACCTTAACTGCTTTATTCAGTACCATATTCCCAGGACCTAACACAGCGCCTGGCACACAATGGGGGCTCAATAAATAAATGCTGTGTGTGCCAGGCACTGTGTCTGGCATTGAAAGCACAGCAGGGGTCCGTGGGACAGGGAGAATCCAATCCTGAACATGCATGCCATTTTGTGACTGTGTGACCTTATGCAAATCACCAGCCTCAGTTTCCCCAGCTGTCAAGTAGAAAAAGTAATAGTTCATCTCTCATTGCGCAGTTGAAGAATTCAAGATGATCCTGCATTTCAAACCGTGCAGCACAGCAGGTGGCATGGAGAGCACTCAGTCAGTGGGAAATGTTATTATTAATTATTAGCTACAACAGGAGGTCCCTCTGCCTCCCTAGCTAGTTTCCCCAACTACAGGGCAAGCAGTTGGATTAGCTCAGTGGTTTGCAGTTAGGGACAGAAGTTGTCGGTGAGCACAGGATCATTTTAGATGGTAGAGAGATGAGATTTAAGTAACGTTAAATCGCACACTCAGACGCTGAACCAGCATCCAGTTCTCTTTTAAACCTGATTTTGTCAAGGATAAAGTCTCAGGATGGTGCTAATATGGTTTTAACACCTCCCTAATCCTCACTGAGCTCACTTTTCAAAGCCAGGAGGACACAGAAGCCTCATCAGGCCACCTAACATTTATTACACTGAACCATCTGCAAAAGTTGTTTTAGGAAGGTCAAAAAGGGTCAAGTATCAGCAATTTCAGGTGGTCCAACCCAATAAACATATTATTTTCTTTTCATTGTGCAGGATTTATTTCCTTCCTTACCTTCTATTTATGACAAAGAATTCTATTCTCTATTCAGGACAGTAATATAAAGTTGAACATGCTTTTGTTTGAGTGAAAAAAGAAGAAAAAAAGCTAACTTTAAGCAAATGATTAGGTCAAAAGTTATAAAAATGGTTTTCAGAGCCTCAAGTCCAGGATATGGACAGGGAAAACAACCTTGATTAGGATTCTGACTCAGGCATCGCCGGTGTCATTGGAGCAGGAGCCTTCTGTCTTTGAGTCCTAGGTTTCTCTGCCATGAAATTGGAGTAATTACAATGCACCTACCTCGCCAGGTTGTTGAGGACTCCACAAGGCGTAGCGTGTGGGTCTCCTAGCCTAGGGTGTGGCACTCAGGAGTGGCACGGGCATGAATCCAGGGAGTGTCGCCAGAGGAGAAAAGCCACCCCACCTTCAGGCCAAGGATGGTGCCAGGTGCCAGGCACCCACAGATCCCTCCTTTTTCAGGTCTTGGCTCAAGGGTCAAGCCCTTTGGGAAGGCCTCTGGTCGGGAAGCCGCCATTACATCTCTAGGCCCCTGGCTTGGCTCCTTGAAGTCTTCACCTCATGTCAAGATAATTATTAACTAATTATTTGGATAATTGTTTGAATAACATCTGCGTCTGTCCCCGCTAGACTCCAGGTGCTGAGAGCAGGGACTGTGTCTCTGCTTGTACAGCACCCAGCACAGTGGCCGGTGTTTAATAGCTGTTTGTTGAATGAATAAATGATTCATGAACGGGGTTTCCAGAGAACCTGCCTACAACGGCAGGGAAAGATGGGAAAGATCCATAAGGATCTTAAGGACTACCAATTTGGGGTGAGGTCACATAGGTTTGGGGTCAACCCAAGGATTAAAATAACAATCTAGAAGGTTCTGGAAGGGGCTGAGTATGAAGACAGAATACTAGAGGCCGGGCTCGGTGGCTCATGCCTGTAATCCTGGCACTTTGGGAGGCTGACGCGGGCTACTTGAAGTTAGAAGTTCGAGACCAGCCTAACCAACATGGCGAAACCCCGTCTCTGCTGAAAATACAAAAATTAGTTGGGCGTGGTGGCGGGCGCCTGTAATCCCAGCTACTCGGGAGGCTGAGGCAGGAGAATCGCTTCAACCCGGGAGGCGGAGGTTTCAGTAAGCCAAGATCGTGCCACTGCCTTCCAGCCTGGGAGACAGAGCAAGGTTCCATCTCAAAAAAAAAAAAAAAAAAAAAAAGGAATACTACTAATAAAGTAATAACGGCTAAGTGGCTAACTTTCAAGTCCCTTCTACCTGCGACATACTGAAGGCTCGACGCATTACCTCGTTTCAATATTCACAGTGACCTTCTCTGGTAAGCACTTATAGATTAAGCCCATTTTCCAGATGAAAACAATTTAGGCACAAAGCAGCTGCTAGGCTACTGGCTCAAAGCGGCAGCGTCAGGACGCGAACCCATGTCTTTCAGCTTTCCAGAGAGGACAGGAAGCCTTGAACGCGGGAGGGGCTGCTGCGAGGGTATTTTGGGAGGTGAAGGGTCTGGGGTCGGAGGGCCAACCTCAGCCGGGAAACCAGGTCACCCAGGGACAAGCAGGAAGAGCTCTGAGCTGTCCCCACTGGACCCGGCCCCGAGTGGGCGGGGGGCGGAGCTCGCGGCTCCCACGCCCCCTCCCCCTCCGGCCTGACCCCTCCTACCATTGTCCCGAATGGCCGCCGCGCCTCCACCCCCGCGCATTCTTACCTCCTGACAAGGCCAAGGTCAGGGAGGCGATCACTAGGGCCAGGGGCCACATGGCTCCGGGATCGGGAGGGGAGGGCAGGGCGGGCGGGGCCTGAGGAGAAGGTGAAGGGGGTGTTGAGGGCGTGCCCGGAACCTCCGCGTCTGAAACCTCTCTGCTCCTGAATGTCTCCTCGCCTCATTCACTCTTGACAGCCCTGACCCTGGAATCTGCCCCCCGCCTCCAATTCCATCCTTGGTGGGGGTGCAGTGGCGAGGTGGGAGGAACAGTGTGCAACCTCCTGGGGCTCCGGCGTGCAGCCCCTCACCCCAGGAAGCCGTCCCTCCTCCCCTGCCCTCTGGCGAGCTGGGTGGTCGGTGCACTCTCGCCCTTTTCCTCCAGAGTCTGCCTTCCATTCTACCCCTCTGGGTCTGTCCACACGCTTGGTATTAGCCCAAGTTCTTATCTGTCCGCGCCCTTCGCCTCTCTCCGTCTCTGCAGGTTTCTCTCTAGATCTGAGACTCTAGCTTCACTCTCCCTCTCCCTGACTCAGCTGCCCTTCTGCTTTCCCCATCCTTCCTATCCCCTCTTCTCTCCCCTCCCTGCCCTCCTCCGCTCCCCGCCCCCGCCCCAGGCAGACCCTACCTGAGTGAGGGGCCCACGAGGAGCGTCAGCCGCCAGCTGTCTAGAACTTCAGCCCCGAACCATGGCTTTTAACCCCTGAACTCCCTCCCCCAGCTCACTCAGCATTTCCTGGTCCCTGGCCTCCCCCTCTCCACCCCCAGTGGCTCAGCGGGATGTCTCCAGGCACCCCCGACCTGGGCTTGGCCCTCTGCTTGGGGCGGAGCTTCCAGGACGTGCTGGGACCTAGGTCTGACCCCGCCCAAGGCAGAGTTGAACCCACTGTGAACTTTCAGGCCTCAGGACCCAAAAAAGGGTAAGGGGAAAGCCCATTTCCTTCCCCCTACCCCGCTGAGTTCCATGCCCATCCCTAACTTCAACCCATTCTGCACCCAGTTTTCTAACCTCTTCTCCAACCCCATGCATAATTCTTAATAGGCAGTCAGCCCCCAGATGGCCGTGTTCTATCAGATTCCCACCTCCCTATCCATCCCTAACCATACCAAGTACTCCAGCCTGTTCCTCAACCCCAGTCCCATCTCCAACCTCATCTCAGGTTTAGCTCTCAACACATCCAGGTTCCAATTCCCAGTCTCATCTCAACCCTTTTTCTTTTGAAAGACACAAGGACACCCACAATTATCCCATCATCCTGCCTCCCTGCTCCCGCCAACCACCGGACACAAGAAGGAAATCATCAGCTGGGTGGATAGAAAATCAGCTCCCTCGGACTTGGATGGGGGCAGAGATGCGACCTGAGAAAGCAACATTTTCCAGAAATGGCCTTTTAGGAGCAGGGCCAGAGGGGGTGAGGGAGTCCACGGGGACCTAGGTGGAGAGGAAAAAGCAGGAGCCGGAAAGCTTTGAAGACGTGGATTGGGGGTGGGGGAGAGGAAGGAGGAAGGGGTGGTGTTTTGAGAATGAGTAGGTGTCTCCAGGAACTATGACTGGGTGGAGCCCTGAGTTAATCCTAGGGGGTGGAGGGGACAGGATTAGGGATTAAGGACTGAGGTGGGGTCAGAATTTGGAAGAAAGCCAGGGACGTGGACCAGATGAAGTTTGGAAAGAGTGAGAGAGTGGAGGTGTCACAATGAGGATAAAGAATAGAGATGGATGGGGCGAGGGCTCACATGGAAACTTGTACAGTCCTTATTGATGGAGTTCAGATTTGGATGTGGAGATCAAATCTAGTGTCAAAGGGTAACTTTTAAAACATGGTCTTACCATGACTCTCTGACATATATGAAATGAACATGTGTCAAAGATTGTATCTTGACTCATTAATAAATGGCAGAGCCAGTAAGATGTTACAAAGAGCCATATGCACAGAGACAACGAGGAATGCTGAAATGAATTTACAAATAGATGCAAAACTGGCTATTCCACACTGGGAGGAGGAGGGAAATCCATTGTACTTCCACCTGGCAAAATTCATGTAAACATTTATGGACAAGAATTATTTGCATTGCTCTCAGATACCTACAATTTAGAGTCATAAAGTGGCTCAAAGACAGGAAAGGGTACAGAGACCTCATAAAATCAGATAACCCATCTAACTTTGCATTGGCGACACCTCAGTGTCCAATGTTGGGTCCATTTCAAAGTATTTTGCTAAGAAGAAAAATATGGCTTAATATAGGAAATCAGTAGAGTCTATGGTTAAGGATGGGCCTGATGACAACATTAGGAATGCAATGAGTTTGGGGAGGTGAATGAAAATTGGATGAGGATGGGTATAGAGTTGGAGGTGGTAGTTGAGCTGGTTTTGGGATAGGATTAGATTGTAAGATGGGAGGTATCTAGGGATAAGTTGGTGTTGGGGTACTGTTGGGTTGGGGCTGAAGATGGAACCAAGATTGAGGTTTTGGATGGGGAAATGTTAAGATGTGGTTGAGCTGGGGTAGTGGGTTGACATGGGTGATGAGGACTGGCCATGAGGTTGAGTGTCTATGATGCAGTAGGTTTTGGTGGGGGTGAGCTGGGTCATACCCCACCTCTCAAGGTGAAAGAAAGGTCACTGTCTTTCTCCACCCTGGACTTCTCCCACCTCACAGGGCGGGGTCTGAGTTCACTTTTTGAGTGGAATTGTGTTCAGGTGGTGTGGCTGGAGGTAGGATGCCAGGTTAAGTGCGGCAACCAGCTTATGTGGGAAATCGGGGTACTTGTACCCTCCTGTGACCTGGGTCCATGCTTCCAGAGAAGCCTTTCTCACTTGGGAAAAGCTGGAGCCTGGAGTGAGGGTGGTTGGCCTTGTTATTTGCTGAGGGGTGAGTGCCAGGTCAAATTGATGTTAGGGGTTATGATTGGCCGAACGCGGGTTGGGTAGCTCTGGTTGAAGTGAGGTCATGGACCCACTGAGGGCTGGGCACCTTCCACCCCCTCACTTGATGAACAAGCCCACGGCTGAAAGTCACACACAAACTGGACCAAATCCAAGTGCGCTTCTGTCACAGGTGCAGGTCTTTCCTCCACCACAGAGAACCGGGCTGGAGAAAGAAGAAGAAAGGACCCGAAAAAGAGATGGTGTTCCTAGTGGTTCTGACCTCAGACTCTGGAGCTAGACTGCCTGAGTTCAGATGATGTGACTGCTCTGTGCCTCAGCATCCCCATTTGTAAAATGGCACAATCAATAGCACTTGCCTTATGGAGAAGGGTTAACTGGATTAATACCCAAAAATGCTTCGAAGAGAGTGTGGCATGGACCAAGGGCCACAATGCTCCTGTTAAATAAGTAAAGCTTAAGATGGAGGCATCTGACGGTTCCAGGAGGCCCCTCCCTATCTTGGCTTCAAAATGGGATTCTTTGTCAAGCAGGAACTGGAACTTCTGGTTGGAAGTGCTAGCTGGGATGAGAAAGTAGGCCCCACACCCAGGCCCAGAGGAGGGGCCCCAACGCAAACATGAAGGGAGGGGAAGACTGAGAGATACAAAGGGCTAAATACACAGAGACAGAAAGATGGGGCAGGTGGGAGAGGACAGAAAGAAAATTCAGAGGACAGAGGCACAGAGATAGAAAGAGAGAGATGCCCAGTGAGAAGCAGACTCTTGGTGAGAAAGAGGCACAGAGAGTTGAGAAACATGGATTCTTCTTTAGAGCTGGATCCGTGTTATTCAGGATGTGGCTCCAGTCATCATGCATCCCAGGCAGCAATAACACATCGCTTTCATCCATCAGAATAGCAAAAATTAGAAAGGTCGGTCTTGCCACCTACCTGCGTGCCCACATCCTCTGTCTCCTCTCCCATTTCTCTAGATGAACAGTCTGCACCTGCAGCTAAGATAGATGCCTCCACTGGTGCTGGTATCCTGTCCTCTCTTGCCTTCTGGAGGGCATTGCTCCAGCCAGCAGTTCTCTGTTCTCTTTCCTGCAACATGTTTTCCTTCTTCTCCAAGGAGCAGCCCCATTAGCATGCAAATATACTACAGTTTCTCCCATCTCTCGTTAAAATTTGAAAACCAACCAACAAAAATTTCTCCCCACTCTCATGTTCTCCTTCAGCTCCTGGCCCATTTTCTGCTCTGTACAACTGCAATCCTTCCCTAAAAAGTTGGCTAAGCTCACTGCCTGCAATTCCTGTCCTCCCGTCCTCCCTGGAGCCCACACTATGAAGGCTTTCTCTCCCATTGCTGTACCAACCATGCCCCTGTTTAGGGCAACAGTGACCTCCACGGTACTGAATCCAAGGGCCGTCTCTTCAGGTTCATCTTACTGGAGTTATCAGCAGCATTTAACAAGTGGACTACTCCCTGTTTCTTTCCTTGGCTTCTGGGACACTATGCTCTCCTGGTTTTCCTCATCACTCACTGGTTGATTCTCATCCGTGTCTGGAGGTGGTTTCTTCCTGTCTCCCCAGTCTCTACATGGTGGAGCACCTCAGGCTTCGGTCCTTGGCCTTCTTCTCTCCTCTGTCTATATTCACTCCCTCGGTGATCTCATCTGGTCTCGTGGCTTTAAATACCATCTACATGTTGACGACTCCCAAATTTATGTCTCCAGCCAGGTCTGACTCTCAAACTCTCCACTTAACATCCAGCTGCCTACTCAACATCTCCATGTTCAAAACCAACTTCTGTTCTCTGCCCTTCCCATGTTCCAAACATACTTCTCTTGTGGGTCTTGGGCTTCTCAGCGGATGTTCACACCATCCTTTTCATTACCTGGTCAATACTTCAGTCTCACCGTCGAATCCCTTTTCTCACACCATACATACATTTTGTTACCAAATTCCATCGGTTCTATCTTCAGGGTGGATCCAGAATCTGACTGTTTCTTACCACATTCCATCTTTGCTACCCTGGTCCCACTCAGCCTGCATCATCTCTCACCTGGATTACTGCAAGTTTCCTATCTGGTCTCTTTGCTTCTGTCCTTGTCCTCCTACACTCTAATTTTAATGCAGCTACCAGAGTGACCTTTTAGAATGTAAGTCAGAGCAGGTCACTTTTCTCAAAACCCTGCAGTAGCATCCACTGCACTCCAAGTGAAAGTGGCATTTCCTTCTGGTTGGCATATAAGGCCCAAGATCTTCTCTTCTCTTGTCCCTCTAATGCTGGGCATGCTTCCATCTCAGGGCTTTTGTGCCTGAAACCCTCTTCCCCCAGATGTCTGCATGGTCCCCTGTATTCTTGCCATCTTCTTCATGAAGGCCCTCTTGACCACTGTTCTTGGGAGTCTCCAGGACAGTTTCAGTGATTCACTAGAAGGACTCATAAAACTCAGAAAAGTTGTTATAGTTTTGGTTTCTTACAGTGAAAGGACACAGATTAAAATGAGCAAAGAAAAAAGGTGCATCGGGCAGAGTCTGGGAGAGACCAGGCATGAGCCTCCACCTGTCTTCTCCCAGTGGAGTTTGTGGACAGTGCATAATTCCCCCAGCAATAATGTATGACAACACGCTGGAGCATCGCCAGCCAGGGAAGCTCACCCAAGCCTTGATGTCCAGGGTTTATATTGGGGGTTAGTCATATCGACATGACTGCCTGTTTGTGTGGCTGACCTTAGCTCCAGATCCTCTAGAGGTCAAATTGATACAACATGTCCCTAGGTCCCCACCATAAGTCACATTGTTATAGATTATCTGGCATGGCTCAAGCCCCAGAGAGACAAAGACACTGTTACTTAGCAAGATATTCCAAGAGCATAGAGGTTATCTCCCAGAAGCCAGGCAAGGGCCAAAAGTTTCACTGTAGTGTGCAGGGTTTGGACAGTCCAAGCCTGCTGGGTTGTACAACCACCCAACATAAAATTGCAACTCTCCTCTGACATTCTCTATCCTGTTACTCTGCTTTATTTTCTTCTATGGCATTTATTCCCATCTGTCAGGCGTAATGTTTTACTTATTCATTTGTTTCTGTCTGCCTCCCCTCTAGAATGTGAACTCCCTGAGGAAAGAATTGTTCAAATATTTTGCTCCTAGAACAATACCTGGTACACAATCAGATTTAATGAATATTTGCTGAATAAATAAATGAACTATGGGCATTAAATATTTACTGAATGAATAAATATGTGTTACAGGCTGAGAAAATGGGGGTTGTGACCAACTCAGTTTACCACTCGAGGCTATATGAGCAAACAGAAAACTGTTCTCATGAAAGCAGGATGTTGGAAAACTGACAACTGCATCTGCCACCAGAAAAGGTGCTGAGGGCAGTCACGCCTCAAGCACAGTGTTCCTTGTGATTATCCGAAAGAACATCTGAAGCCTGTTGTACAAAGAAAACAATTATATGTACCTGTGATTAATCAAGCAGCTGATCAACCGTTACCTCTCCCTCCCTGCTCTTTCTACCTAATATAAATGAAGGGCTGTAGAAGCTCAAGGCTGCCTTTGCTCACCAGAAGCAAGGAGCTCCCTGACACATTCTTTCAAAACAGATCTCTTGTCTTTATTTCTGCATTCGTCCCCCTTCATTCACTTCCGTAGGAACCGTCAGTGACAAATATGGATATTGTTGAAGGTGTGGAGAGGGAAGAAACCTAATTTTTTTTTTTTTTGAGATGGAGTCTCTCTCTGTCACCCAGGCTGGAGTGCAGTGGCACGATCTCGGCTCACTGCAACCTCAGCCTCCCGGGTTCAAGCAATTCTCCTGCCTCAGCCTCCTGAGTAGCTGGGACTACAGGCACCCACCACCACACCCGGCTAATTTTTTTGTATTTTTAGTAGAGACGGGGTTTCACCGTGTTAGCCAGGATGGTCTCGGTCTCCTGACCTCATGATCTGCCCGCCTTGGCCTCCCAAAGTGCTGGGATTACAGGCGTGAGCCACCGCACCTGGTCGAACCCTTCTTTGTTAGACAAAAACTTGCCAGTATTCGGTGAAATTGATTAAGAATAGGCCTTTAGGCCCCTTGGTCCCACTCCTGTGTGAATGGTCAAGAGGAGTCTTGTATAGATACATAAGTGGCACGCTCAAAGTGAAGGGAACCTAGGTGTCCATCACTGAAGGACTGGGTTACTAAACATGGTGGATGTGTACTATGCAGCGGCGCTTCTCAAATCCTAACATGCACTGAGTGCCCTGGCAATCTTGTTATATATAACGCAGATTCCGATTCAGTTGGTCTGGGTGAGATCTAAGACTCCAGTTCTAATAAGTGATTCAGAATTGCTATTTTCTGCACCACGCTATGTGAAGCAAGGGCAAAAACCAGAGTAGTGCTGTTCAATGGGACTTCCAGTGATGAGATGCAAATAATTCTATCTATAATATATCCGTGCTGTCAATATGGCAGCCGCTAGCCACGTACGGTTATTGAAATGTTGTGAGTATGACTAAGGAATGGAATTTTAAGGTGCATCTAATTTTAATTAATTTTAATCAAAAATTAAATGGCCACACCAGTTGTGGCTAACGGCTACCATATTGGACAACATATGTCTAGAAGACTCTGGGGCAGTTAGAAGCAGTGAACTAGATGAGCAAATAGTGATGCAGATAGATTGTTACAAGATGATTTGACGAAATCAGATGACGTATTTAATAATACAACCTGACCCCTCACCTACACCTACCTTCCTTCACACACTATTTAATTGAATGTAAAATACTGTTGATTATATTGCACTTTATTTTGTAGACCACTCAGAAAGAAAAAGAAGTTGCCAATTAAATTATGAGGTGTAAGACATCATGCTGAATTAAGATGTAAGATGCTTCCTAATTTCAGAGATGTGAAAAATATGAAAAGAATGTGTCTTTAAATCAATAAAATATAATGTTCAACCACCATAGCTGGAACTTTGAGTTGCAAATAAAATTAAAGTAGTCTTTAAACTATTTTTATTTAGCTTTATAGAAGGATGCAGGTTGAGAATTATAGCATGAGTTATATCATGTCACTGGGTGCCCAAATCTACCCAAGTACACAACTTCTTTTCTCTCCTTTTTCCTATAGGGCTTGTATGGCTGCTAAGTATTAAATCCACAGTGTGTGTTTATCACCTTGACACAGAAGGTGCAACCTCCACAAACTGAGACAAGGACACTATAAGAAAAGAAAATTATAGGCCAGTATCTCTGATGCATATAGATGCAAAAATCCTCAACAAAACACTAGCAAACTAAATTCAGTAGCATATTAAAAACATCATACACCATGATCAAGTGGGATTTATCCCTGGGATATAAGGACGGTTCAACATGCACAAATCACTAAGCATGATATACCTCAACAGAATGAAGGATAAAAATTATATGATCATCTTAATAGGTACAGAAAAATCATTTTGCAAAATACAATATCGTTTCACGATAAAGACAGTCAACAAATTAGGTATAGAGAGAATGTACCTCACACAATAGAGGCCATATATGACAAGTCCACAGCTAACATCATACCCAATGGTGAAAACTTGAAAGCTTTTCCTCTAAGATCAGGAAAAAGACAAGGATGCCCACTCTAGCCATTTCTATTCAACATTAGCACTAGAAGTCCTAGCCATAGTAATTAGGCATGAAAAAGAATAAAAGACATTCAGATCAGAAAGAAAGAAGTAAAATTGTCTCTGTTTGCAGATGACATAATCTTATATGTAGAAAACCCTGAAGAGTCCACCGAAAAACTGTTAGAACTAATAAATGATTCAGTAAAGTTGTAAGATACAAAATTTGGTTGTGTTTCTACACCCTAACAATGAATTATCAGAAAAAAATTGAGAAAGCAACTCAATTTACAATGGCATCAGAAACAATAAAATGCTTAAAAATAAACTTAAGCAAGGAAGTAAATAATCTGTACACTGAAAACTATAAAATGCTGATAAAAAAAATTGAAGACAACATAAAGAAATTGAAAGATATCCCATATTTGTGAATTGGAAGAATTAATATTTCTAAAATGTCAATGCTAACCAAAGCTATCTACATTTTCATTTTAATCCCTATCAAAATTCCAATGGCTTTTTCTCACAGAAGTAGAAAAAAAATCATAAATATGGAACCATGAAAGACCCTGCAATCTTGGGCAAGAAGAACAAAGCTAGAGACATCTTATTGTCTGATTTCAAAACATAATACAAAGTTATAGTAACCAAAACAGCATGGTACTGGCACAAAAACAGGCATATAACCAATGGGACAGAATAGAGAGCTCAGAAATAAATCCATGCATTTACTGCCAACTGATCTTTAACCCAAAGGAAAAGGATATTCTCTTTAACAAAAGCTGTTGGAAAAACTGGATACCTGCAAGGAGAAGAATGAAATTGGACTCCTATCTCATGCCATGTACAAAAATCAACTCAAAATGGGTTAAGGATTTAAACATAAGACCTGAAACTGTAAAATGACAAGAAGAAGACATGGGGAAAAAACTTCTTGACATTTGTCTGGGCAATGATATTTTAGATATAACCCCCAAAGCACAGACAACAAAAGTAAAAATAAACAAATGCGATTGCATCAAATGGAAAAGCTTCTGTGCACCAAAGGAAACAACCAACAGATAATGATCAACAGAGTGAAAAGACAGCCTACCAAATGGGAGAAAATATTTGCAAATGATGTATCTGATAGAGGGTCAATATCCAAGATATATAAGCAATGCAAAAATCAACAGCAAGAAAACAAATAACCCAATTAAAAAATGGACAAAGGGCCGGGCGCAGCGGCTCATGCCTGAAATCCCAGCAATTTGGGAGGCTGAGGTGGGTGGATCACCTGAGGTCAGGAGTTCGAGACCTGCCTGGCCAACATGATGATACCCTGTCTCTACTAAAAATACAAAAATTAGCTGGGCATGGTGGCAGATGCCTGTAATCCCAGCTGCTTGGGAGGCTGAGGCAGGAGAATCACTTGAACCCAGGAGGTGGAGGTTGCAGTGAGCTGAGATCGCACCACTGCACTCCAGCCTGGGCAACAGGGAGAGACTCTGTCTCTGAAAAATAAAAAAGGGCAAAGGCCCTGAATAGACATTTCTCCAAAGAAGACATACAAAGGACCAACAAGTATGTGAAAAGGTGCTCACTATCACTAATCATCAGGGAGACACAAATTAAAATCACAGTAAGACATCACCTCACACATTTTGGAATGACTAGTATAGAAAAGGCAAACAATAACAAATGCTGGCAAGGATGTGGGGAAAAAAAGTGAATCCTTGTACCCTGTTGGTTGGAGTGTAAGTTGGTGCAAGGAAATGAAATTGGCATCTCAAAGTGATATCTGCACACCCATGTTCATGGCGGCATCATTCATGATGACCAGGATATGAAAACAACCTATGTGTCTGTTGATGGATGAATGGATAAAGGAAATGTAATATATTAGTATCAGTATAATTTAATATTATTCTGCCTTATAAAAGAAAGAAATCCTGTCATTTGTGACAACATGGATGGACCGGGAGGACACTGTGTTAAGTGAAATAGGTCAGACACAGAATGACAATTACTGCATGATCTCACTTACATGTGAAATCTAAAAAACTCAGACTCTTAGAAGCAGAGAGTAGAATGGTGGTTACCAGACACTGGAGGATGGGGTGGGAGGATGAGGAAAAGGAGGGAGCCTCTACTTCCCAGCAATCTTTCGTGCATGTCCCAGACCTGCCACCTTAGGGTTCCCCAATACTGTGCTGTCCCCATAGAACATAAGGTGAGTACAACATTCTATTTTAGCTATACTCTGCAGTATCCAAGCACAGAACTTTGAGAAGACAGACACTAAGATCATGAGGTCATTCCCAGGCAGACCCATCCAAGGGTGCCTGGTAAAGGTTTAGCAATGACTGTCCGGCAAAGCCCTATCTATAGTGTTTTTCAATTTCAGTGCAGTAAATACTTCTTCTTTGGCTATTGTCAAGCTACTGGTGCAGACAGAGTTGGGGAGTTGGAAAGAGGTGTGCAGAAACTCATCATTACAGACGTAGTACAAGAGACATATCTCACTCCCAAGCATAGGTATTAGTTGAAATAATTAGCAACAGTTGAGTTTTGAGTATTTACTGACAATTTTTTTAATCAATTATGTAATTATACGCTTATGTAATTTAATTTTTAATGATGGCTGCATTTAGCAACTGGTTCTCGAAATTCCTGAAAATTTGCTGGTAGACTCTTGCGAGCATGTATGAGCTGGCCCTGGCACACATTGGGCCTGCCGCCCAGCCCAAGTTTATTGACCTCGTTACTCATAGGGACTCTGCTTTATTTTAAAATTATGTTTATGGCTTCTTGTCTGTCATCTCCTGCTAGAATATAAGTTCTGTGAGGGCAGGGATTCTGACTGGCTTGCTCACAGTTCTTCCTCCAGCACCCAGAACAATGCCTGGTGTATAGCAGGTGCCTAATAAATAGACCAATGCCTGGCCCGTAGTAGGTGCTCAATAGCTGTTGATGAGTGAAAGTAAGAAAGAGAATGAGATTCCTAACACAATGGTTTCATGTAAATTAGAAACAGTACACTGTGACACTGCCTTGTTTTCCAAGGATGCAGGGCACTCAAAGCCATTTATGTCGGTGCCTGTGGGGAGGGAGGGGAGCAGAGCCAGAGATGAAGAGTGGAAATAAATTAATAAAATGAGAGAAGGGCTTTGCCTGGGCAGGAACTGAAGCCTGTGATTAACTCAACTCTCCTCACCTGAGATCTGATTAGGAAAATGAGGACATCTTCATTTGCATAGAATTTTCCAGGAAACAAGGCACTTAGTTCCCTACCCTGGACCACAGGGGCTCCAGGGAGGAGGCTGGTAGAAGGCAGTCATGCTCAAGGTCACTCTGCAGGGCTGAGGTGTTTCCGTCTAGAAACCTGATACAGTGGGGTGGACGGGGGACTCCCAAGGAAAAACACGCAAAGAGGGAGGCAGCCACTTGTCAGTACACAGCTCCTGGCTTGGCATGGTGGGGCCACTGTGTACATGTTTCTTGAAGTCATTAATTGGATGGATAAGGCTGGGCGCGGCAGCTCACGCCTGCAATCCCGGCACTTTGGGAAACCGACGTAGGCGGATTGCTTGGGGTCAGGTGTTCGAGACCAGCCTGAGCAACACAGGGAAACCTCATCTCTACACAAAATTTAAAAAGTAGCGGGGCATGGTGACGGGCACCTGTGGTCCCAGCTACTCGGGAGGCTGAGGTAAGAGGATCACTGGAGCCCAGGAGGTCACGGTTGCAGTGAGCTATGATTGCGTTACAGCATTTCACCAGGAGACTGAGCAAGACCTTGTCTCAAAAAATAAAAAGTAAACACATGGATGAATGAATACAATTTAGGATGATTCCATTTTTATTGTCATTATTTATTCGGTTTTTAGAGACACTAAGCGTGTTAAAAATTGTCGTCTTTGGAATACAATGCCGGTTTAAGGGGTCTGTGCTCCTGCCCTCTGTGCCTCCGGTCTTGAGTAGTGATGGTGACACAGCAAGGGTGGGGGCTTGGTGGGGAGAAAACGCCTGAAGCAACTGCTCTGGGAAAGGAGAGATCAGAGCCGGAGTAAAGATCAGGATGCTGGGGACTGGGGCTCCTGGGTCTGAGGGAGGAGGGGCTGGGCCTGGACTCCTGGGTCTCAAGGAGGAGGGGCTGGGGGACTGGGGCTCCTGGGTCTGAGGGAGGAGGGGCTGGGCCTGGATTCCTGGGTCTGAGGGAGGAGGGGCTGGGGGCCTGGACTCCTGGGTCTGAGGGAGGAGGGACTGGGGCCTGGACTCCTGGGTCTGAGGGAGGAGGGGCTGGGGGCCTGGACTCCCGGGTCTGAGGGAGGAGGGGCTGGGGCCTGGACTCCTGGGTCTGAGGGAGGAGGGGCTGGGGGCCTGGACTCCCGGGTCTGAGGGAGGAGGGGCTGGGGGCCTGGACTCCTGGGTCTGAGGGAGGAGGGGCTGGGGCCTGGACTCCTGGGTCCTGAGTAGAGAGAGGAGGGCCTGGGCAGCTGACGAGGTCCATCCCACCGTGAAGACCATCATTTGTCCCGCATCGTTTCCTCAATCCAGCTTCTGTACTTGCACAGGTTGGTGTAGACACCGGGGTAGCCAGGCAGGGCGCAGCGCTCCATTCCCCAAGACACGAGGCCCTGGAGCTGTCCTCTGCACACCAGGGGTCCCCCAGAGTCACCCTGAGGGGGAGGAACAGAAATGGAGACACTGATGGACAGGTAGCCAGAGCCACCATGGCACAGAGAACCCGAGAAGCAGACACAGGGAGACAGGCAGAGACACTGGTGGACAGTTAGGGACACAGTCCTGCCCCAGCTCTGAGGTCTCAGCCCCGGAGGTCGGGGCACTTCCTTCCCTCTCCGCTGGGTCTGGCTCTGTCTCTGTGTGCACCTGCCTGTCCCTTGAATCTCACCAGGCCCCTCTCTGTTCGCTCCAACTGTAGAACATTTGTGTGTCTCTCTTTTTCTATTTCCCCATCTCTGCCTCCCTCAAGGATGCATTAAGATTTCTAGAAGCCTCAGCACAGCCTTTCCCAGACCCATATGAGCAGAGGCCACTCTGCGATCTTTCCCCAACCTGCCTCATCCCATTCCACCAACTACCCTAAGAGGGTTACTCCCACCTGACAGATGAGGAAACTGAGGCATGAATGCTCTGAGTCCATTACCCAGGGGGCACAGGGCTAGGAAGCAGGGTGGCCTGGCTATCGGAATCTCTCTGTGCCTGCGGTTCACTCTCTTCTGAAGACCTCTGCAGACTTCCATGCTCCTGACATCATTTGCTTAAATCCCAGTCCCAAATAATCCCTACCACAGCTCCCATCCTGGGCCTTACCTGACAAGAGTCCTTCCCGCCCTGGGGAACTCCTGCACAGACCATGCCAGGCGTGATGGTTCTAGGATAGGCCTTCTGGCACACCTCATCCGGGGAGATGTTGATGTTCACGCATTGCAGAGAGGCGGGGTACCTGGCTGGGGGACACTGCAGGGTTATAACTGGGTCTACCCTCCCATAAGACCCAAGGGTCCAGGCCCCCAGCCCCTCCTCCTTCCGACCCAGGAGTCCAGCCCCAGCACCTCCTCCCTCAGACCCAGGAGTCCAGGCCCCCAGCCCCTCCTCCCTCAGACCCAGGAGTCCAGACCCCCAGTCCCTCCTCCCTCAGACCCGGGAGTCCAGGTCCCCAGCCCCTCCTCCCTCAGACCCAGAAGTCCAGGCCCAGCCCCTCCTCCTTGAGACCCAGGAGTCCAGGCTCCAGCCCCTCCTCCCTCAGACGTATGAGTCCAGGCCCAGCTCCTCCTCCTTGAGACCCAGGAGTCCAGGCCTCAGCCCCCTCCTCCCTCAGACCCAGGAGTCCAGGCCCAGCCCCTCCTCCCTCAGACCCAGGAGCCCCAGTCCCCCCAGCTCCACCTCCTGGAGACCCAGGAGCCCAGGCCCAGTCCCCTGCTTTCCAAGACGCAGGAGTCCTCACCGATGGGGCTGGATATAGTTCCCCAGCCTGACACTCGGCAGGAGGTCCCGGGGCTGGCACAGGCCTGGGTGACCTCAATGGGCCTGACTGCCCTCCCGATCCGTGCGGGCTGCTGTAGCTGCAGCAGCATGAGGTCGTTGTCGTGGGTCCGGGAGTTGTAGTTGGGGTGCGTCACCTGACGAACCACGCGCAGCACCTGCTGGGTGGCCTCCCACCTCCTCAGGTTGTGCTTGCCCAGGGCAACCTGAAGGATCCTGGCCACGACCCCCAAGAGAAGCGCTGCTCAGGGTCTGAGCCAGAGACTCCTCCCCACCCTCCAGCCCGGTTCCCTGGCCGGGTGACGAGTCTTCCCCGAGGTCTAGCCTGCTTCTCACTAACTGCAGGCCGAGCATTCTTGGCCTCCTGTGCCCTTCCCCATGGCCAGGGCATTCTCTCGGCCCAGCCCCAGCTGCCTCTCCTTCCGCTCTTGGGCTGGGCTCCAGCTCCTGGCTTGGGAAGAAGGTGATGATTGGGAGAGCTTGGCTCCGTGCCAGGGTCTGTGCTGGGCTCGGTGCATTGAGTCCTAAGCGAAACTGCGTTATGAGTCTAGGCTCTAAATCGGAACTGATATTCCGGAGTAGGCACCATTCTGTTTCTAGCCTGGGTTCTGAGTTCTAGACATCTTAAACTTTTGACTCTATGCTAAGATCAGGATTCTAGATCGAACCTGGATTATGACTTGATTTATTTATTTATTTTTTTTTTGTGATGGAGTCTCGCTCTGTCACCTAGGCTGGAGTGCAGTGGCACGATCTCAGCTCACTCTCGACCTCCAACTCCCAGTTCAAGTGATTCTCCCGCCTCAGCCTCCCAAAGTGCTGGGATTACAGGCGTGAGCCACCGCACCCAGCCTCTACAGGTCTGTTTCATATTGGATTATAGGGCTCTTGGTTCTGGACTCTGGCCCTAGCCCTTGACCTCAGGTTGGGCTCTGGGTTCTAGTTGGAGCTCTAGGTTATGGCCCGGATCCAAGATTCTAGAGTCTGGTTTGCATTCTGGCCTTTATATTCTAGACTCTGGCCTGAGCTTTGATCTCTAGGTTCTAGACTGACCTGTTTATGGCATAGATATGGCTTATAGGCATTTTGACCTCTTGGCTGGGGTCTGGGTTGTAAGTTCAGATCTAGAATTTAGGAGGGGTCTAGGTTTTATATGGGGCTTCTGATTAGGATCTGCATTCTGGGATTTATTGATTGATTGATTGATATGGAGTTTCGCTCTTGTTGCCTAGCCTGGAGTGCAATGGTGCGATCTTGACTCACTGCAACCTCCGCCTCCCAGGTTCAAGTGATTCTCCTGCCTCAGCCTCCCGAGTGGCTGGGATTACAGGCATGTGCCACCATGCCTGGCTAATTTTGCATTTTTAGTAGAGACAGGGTTTCTCTATGTTGCTCAGGCTGGTCTCGAACTCCTGACCTCAGGTGATCTGCCTGCCTCAGCATCCCAAAGTGCTAGGATTATAGGCATGAGCCACCGCACCCGCCACATTCTGGGATTCAAACACTGGGTTGAAGTCTGCTCATAGCGGAGCTATAGACTAGACTCTGAACTAAACCTTGGGTGTGAAACAGCCTCCAGGTTTTGCCTCTATTCTTAGAGTTGTATGTTCCAGCTGTGAGCAGCGTTCTAGTTCTGGATTTATGGCTAGACTGCAGGTCCTGAACTGGGCTCTGAGTTCTACGTAGTGTCCTGAGTTTCTGAATGTAGACGGGGTCCTGAATTCAGCCACCAATCTGGAATGGGCTAAGCTTGGTCTCGATGTAATGTGTGGCCTCTGGAAGAATCACTGGATCAGATGTTCGGTTCTCAGCAGGTCCATGGGTTCCAAGCTGCCCATCTGCTTTCAGAACCTATGCTGAGTTCGAGATTTATGGAGGAGCCCACATCCCGAGCTGTGTTTTTGTTCCAGGCTCTTCTCTAGACCTCAAACCAGGAGCCAGCCACTACATTGGGTTCTATACAGAGATCCAGGTTCTCAGCTCAGCTCTAGGGCTTTAGACTCTGGAATTCACTAGGTACAGGGACAGGGGAGGGGGTCACTTACGGGCGGCCGCAGTGAGCAGCAGTGATGACCCACTGGCCTGAAAGCAGGGCGCCTCCGCAGAGGAAGCGGCGCCTGGGACCCGCCAGCAGGGCCGCCTGCCACGGCTGGGAGCTCCGGGTGCACGTATGGCCACCAATTATCTTGTTCTCATCCTCTTGGCTCTGTGTCATGGCTAGGAGTGGACAGGATTGGGTGGGGAAAGTAGATGAGCAAACACTCTCCACTCCACAAGTTTGTAGGATTCCAAAACTGACAAATCCCCTTCCTTTTGGTCTAACCCCTAAACTGCCCGCCTCTATCTGTCCCACCCAGGGTGAGACATGCCCAATATTGACCCCGTTATTGCCCCAGCACGGAGAGCTTTCTGACTCACCTCCCAAGTCACCTCCGTAGCATCTCTTATTTTGTGCCGTGGCCACCTTATCCAGGGCCTTGCTACATCTACGACCCTTAGCTCTATGCTCCCATAATTTCTGTGATCACTTCTCGAAATATGCCACATTTCCCCCCAATGAGTCCTTCCCCAACACATTCAAGGACCTCCCTGTCTCCTCCCCAACGTTCCCACTCAGTGGGACCCCAAGGATCCGCCATCTCTTGCCCCACACTTGCCCCCATCCACCTCACACACCCATGCCACGATCCCGCCACCCCATGCCACGATCCCGCCATCCCATCATCCTTCTCCACCTTCCCTCTGACAACAAAACATCTTTCTGACATTGTTTCTTTCCTAACACAGTCAGGTAGAGCCCCGTGATCTTTCTGCTATGACCCACTCAGGACCTAATAGTTCCCTAAGATTCCTTATGTATTTTGCACCAGACCTTATAAACACCTCTCTCCCCGGCCCCACAATTCCCTAGCACCTCCACAACTAGGAATTTAGGCCTCCAGCACGTTCCCCCACCATGACCCCCAAACCACTCCCTGCTCTTTCTTATGAGGTCACCATGAGCATCCAGGGGCCCCAAGGACCCATCCCCATCTCTTCTCAGAGTCTCCAGGGGACCCCCTTGTGTCATACCCAACCGTTCTCTTACCTATAGCCAGGACTTGAAGTGCTGTCAGCAGGAGGAACATTTTAGGGGCTGAGGGCCAGGTCCTGTCAAATGCAGAGAAAAAGTGAGAGAGAAGGAACCTTCAACAGAACCGGGGGCTGAGAGGCAGAGACAGCAAGGGGCACTTACCCAGAGCCCAAGACCCTCAGGGACATGAAGACACAGCAGAGAGGTAGGGACCAGAGACGAGGGGGGCGGGGCCTGCAGGCTCTGCGGGCGGCAGGTGGGAGGATGTGGAGCAGGGCACAGGTCCCTCCTTGATGTCTTGATGAAGGAAGGAGGGGAGGTGTCTCTCTTCCTAGTCACACTGGCAAAGCCTTTTATCCCTGGTAAGGACAGCTGGCCCTGCCCCCACCTCCCGCCGCCCTGCTTCTGACATTTTTTTTTTTTTATTGCCTAGTTCCCATTCCAGGACTCCCTGATCCCATCCCCTCCCTCCCCTGTCTGGCCAAAAAAGCAGCCACAATTGTTCATGAGAACCCGCCCAGGGAAGATGCTATAATCTAGAAGGAATCCTGGGAGGGGACCCCAGGGCAGGGTGGGCAGGGGAGGGTTCCCAGTTGCTGGAGGTGGTGGATCTAGTGGTGGAGTCAGGAAACCAGGGTGGGGAGTGTCAGAGGAAAGGGCACGAAGGGGCTGAGAGAGGGAGGAAGAGATGGACTGAGAGAGGGAGTCACGGGAGGAGGGAGAGAGGGAGAGAGAGAGAGAGAGAGAGAGAGACAGAGAGAGATGGAGAGAGAGAAAGACAGAGAGACACACAGACAGAGAGAGACAGAGACAGGGTGACGGGGGGGAGAGAGAGAGAGAGATGGAGAGAGAGACAGAGAGAGAGCCAGACAGAGAGACACAGAGAGAGAGAGAGAAAGAGAGAGACAGAGACAGAGTGACAGAGAGGGGGAGAGCAAGAGACAGAGAGAGACTGGGAAAATGAATGAGAAGATATGACAGTGGAGAGAGAGGAGTCCAGGAATACGAGCACAGAGGCAGGTGTGCTCATGAGAGAAGGAACTGAGGAGAGAGCTGGAGAAACCGGTGGAAGTTGGATGTGACAGGGAACAGAAGAGGCAGACGGTGGGAAAAAAACAAGACAGAGGAAGAGGGAGACACAGAGACGCAGGGAGAGAGGGGTGTGGAGAAGTGGAGATAGAAAAGCAAAAGACGGAGGGAAGAAGGTGGAGATAGAATGGAAACAGACACACAGAAAGAGAAAACAGTGGAGAGAGAGGAGAGAGGCCGAGACGCCCCCACCATGCGGCACTCACCACAAACACACACAGAACAACAGCGATGATGATGAAGGCAGTGCGGGCATGAGACGTGGAAGAGAACGGGACATGGTGGGAGAAAGAGGATGGGACAGGCAGGCCGATGGCAGAGGGGAGACGGGAAGGATGGGCACCTACAGGGGATGGGGACAATGACAGAGGAGACGGAGGCCTAGATGAGAGATGGCAGCGCCAGGGAGAGATGGAGAGGAGGGGTGGGATAGAGGACGGGCAGGAGGTGGGCGGGAGATACCTGGACCTGGAGCAGAGCTGCCCACCTTGCTTTCTCACTTTCGACTCCTGAGAGATGGGGGAGCAGAGGCCCCAGCAGGGAGCAGGAAGGTTGGTGCCAGAACTGGCATTCCCCAGCTTGGGATCTGCTAGGTGCAGAGACAAAGTGAGAGCTGGAGATGCAAAGAGAGAGTGACAGAGACCCAGAGAGGGGGACAGAGACCCAGAGGGAGAGGGAGAGAGACCCAGAAAGAGAAGGGGACAGAGATTCAGAGACAGAAGGACAGTCTTAACAGACGGGGTTGGAAATTCAAAATAGGAGACGGCAGAGAGCAGGAGAGACAGAGTGAATGAGATGGGGAAGGATTCTGGCCAGCCTGCAGGGGGGTTCTGGAGTTGGGGGGGTTCCATCCTCATTTGGGGGAGGGCCTACCCTCCTCAGCCCCTCCCCTAGCCCCTTAAATTCCCCAGTGCTTGTGTCCGTCTCTGGGCCTGGGCAGCCCCGTACCTGGACCACGTGGTGACTCAGGAGGCTGCTTGCCTCCCTTGGCTACCCCAACTGTTCCCCGGCCTCAGCCTGACTCAGCCTCCCTCCACCTCGGCACCCCCCTAGGCTGGCTCTTTGAGCTGGAGCTTGGCCTGGGTCTGTCTGTACACCTGGGGACGCACTGTCTGGGCACCTGCATCTGGAGCCACACACCCATCTCTCCCCAGGTGCCTTTCTGTGATTCCTGAACTGTTTCTGTTTAACTATGGGCCTCCCTGCTTTGAGCTGAAGGCCTTGGGAAGCCTTCCCGGCCTCCTCTGCCTTGGTTCAGGCTCGGCATCAACACAAGAACCCCCTCTTTATTTTTAAATTTTTAAATTTATTTTATTTATTTATTTATTTTATTTTTTTTTCTTTTTTTCTTTTTCTTTTTTTTTTTTTTGAGACAGAGTCTCACTCTTTAGCCCCGGCTGGAGTGCAGTGGCTCAATCTCGGCTCACTGCAACCTCTGCCTCCTGGGTTCAAGCGATTCTCCTGCCTCAGCCTCCTGAGTAGCTGGGGCTATAGGCACCCACCACCATGCCCCGCTCATTTTTTTGTATTTTTAGTAAAGACAGGGTTTCACCATGTTGGCCAGTCTGGTCTCAAACTCCTGACCTCAAATGATCCACCCTCCTTGGCCTCCCAAAGTGCAAGGATTACAGGCATGAGCCACCACACCCGTCAAGAACTCCCTCTTTTAAGAAAGGGTTCTCTTGGGACCCAGGGATGGGGTGGCAGGAGGGAGCTGCTCTGTGGTGACGAATCAGCTTTGCACTGGATGTGGCGGTGATTACACGATTCTACACATGAGATAAAGAGACACAGAAGCCCACGTGCACACACACACGTGCAAAGAAATGCGTGTGAAAAATGAACGCGCAGTGTGATCTGTAGTCTCATTAATAGTTTGGTTTCTGTGTTGATTTCCTGGTTTCCATTCTGAACGACAGTTACACAAGGTGTCGCCACGGGGAGAAGTAGGTGAGGGAGATTCCCTATGCTGTGTGTGTAGCCTCCTGTGAGTCTGTAATTATCTCAAAGGAAAAAGTTAAAAATAAAACAGAATTTCCTAGTAAACACAAGGTCTCCCTGTTCCTAAAAAGAACACCCTACTTAAGCAGAAGGCCTTGGTCAACCCCCAGGAGCCTGGGAGTGGCTCCTTCATGCCACTCTATCCCTGAGATCCAAGAGAATCCTTTCTTTAAAGGGTGGCAGGGGGGCAGGTGCTGTGGCTCACGCCTGTAATCCCAGCACTTTGGGAGGCCAAGGTGGATCACCTGAGGTTAGGAGTTCAAGACCAGCCTGGAAAACATGGTGAAACCCAATCTCTACTAAAAATACAAAAAAACTGAGCTGGGCATGGTGGTGGGTGCCTGTAGCCCCAGCTACTCAGGAGGCTGAGGCAGGAGAATCGCTTGAACCCGGGAGGCAGAGGTTGCAGTGAGCTGAGATTGTGCCACTGCACTCCAGCCTGGGTGACAGAGCGAGACTCTGTTGCAAAATAAATAAATAAACAAACAAATAAATAAAGAGGGGGTTCTTGTGTTTATGCAGAGCCTGAGCCAGGGCACAGAATGACTGGAAGGCTCCCCAAGGCCTTCAGCTCAAAGGTAGGGAGACAGCTGGAGATGCAGCTGATGAGGCCCAGTTCACCGCCGGTGGCTCCCAAGGACTTGCCGTCCCCAGCCCGGACCTCAGCACCTGCCGTGCCGTGGCCAGGTTGCTGGGCCCTCTTCCCACCACATGCTAGGTTCCCAGGGTATCTCGCTCACCACTCCACCACCTGCTTGGCACGGTCTTGTTTGCTGTGCCACGGGCATCGATAAACATCTGATGAATGAATGAACACAGAGCCTCAGTCGCTGCTCCTCTGTGAACTCACGGTCTGGTGAAACAGGCCAGCGGGGCAACAGGAAACTCCATCTGGTGTCACGTGTGCTCCCCTGGAGGAGGCTGAGGGGCTGGATGGAGCCTCAGGTGTGGGAAAGGGTTCCAGGAGGAGGGGCAGTCTTAGCAGGTTCCTGCAGATGAATAGGAGTTTGCCAGGGAGGATGGACAGTGTGTGGAGAGGGTAGGAGGGAGGTGAGTGGTTTCGAGTAGGGATGGTGGGGCAGGAGGATGGTGAGAGAGCTCAGAGCGTAGGAGAGAGGAGTGGCCAAGATGAGCAGGGCCCTGGTGCTGCAGGGGCGAGAATTTTACTCCGAGGGTGATGGGGGATGGTGGCATGATCCTGAGTAGGGGAGAGCAGAATCCTTCGGGATACTCAGGTCTGGAGCTCAGGAGAGTGATGGGGCATCACGGCACGGATGGTGCTGGATACCAGCGGTGTGGAGCCCACCTAGGGAGAGGGTATACAGTGAGAGGACCCCACTGAAGACTCACAGCTCAGGGGGTAAGAAACAGTTATGCCAGGGGTAGGAGTGATTGAAGAGCTAAGAGGGACACCAGGAGGGAGCAGTGTCAGGAAAGTTGAGAGCTTTTTTTTTTCTTTTTAAACAGGGTGTCACTCTGTTGCCCAGGCTGGAGTGCAGTGGTGCAATCACAGCTCACTGCAGCCTTGAACTCCTGGGCTCAACCATCCTCCCACCTCAGCCTCCTGAGTAGCTGGGACTACAGGCACGTGCTACCACAGTCAGTTAATTTTTGTATTTTTTTGTAGAGACAGGGTCTCACGATGTAGCCCAGGTTGGTCTCCAACTCCAGGGCTGAAGTGATTTGCCTGCCTTGGCCTCCCCAAGTGCTGGGATTACAGGTGTGAGCCACTGCGCCCAGCCAGAGAGCATTTTTTAAACGAGGGAGTGGCAGGGGCGGTCAGATGCCTCTGGAAGGAAGATAGGTGATGGGTGATTTTGGAGAGAAAGGTTTTTTGTGGTGTGGTAGGGGTGGAAGCTGGGCGGAGCAGAGGAGACCATAGGTGCGGACAGCTCTTGGGTGTGAGGGGAGGAGAAGGGTGGTTGATACTGATGGCTGTTTATAAGAAAGGAAAACCTGGATGGCACTTGGAACAAAAACAATCACTCACATGTATTCTGTGCTCAGCACAGCCAGGGACTGTGATGAAACCTTGGTTGTTTTTTTTTTTTTTTGAGATGAGTCTCAGTCTGTCACCCAGGCTGGAGTGCAGTGGCAGGATCTCGGCTCACTGCAACTTCCGCCTCCCAGGTTAAAGCAATTCTGTTGCCTCAGCCTTTTGAGTAGCTGGGACTATGGGTGCCCACCACCATGCCTGGCTAATTTTTGCATTTTTAGCAGAGACGGGGTTTCGCCATGTTGGCCAGGCTGCTCTCAAACTCCTGACCTCAGGTGATCCACCCGCCTCGGCCTCCCAAAGTGCTGGGATTACAGGCGTGAGCCACTGCGCCCGGCAGATGAGACCTTTTAAAAAATATTTAAATTTTAAGAAAATTTTACAATTTTTTATTGTTGTAAAATAAACACAGCATAGGCCAGGCGCAGTGGCTCACGCCTGTAATCCTAGCACTTTGGGAAGCCGAGGCGGGCAGATTGCCTGAGCTCAGGAGTTTGAGACCAGCCTGGGCAACACGGTGAAACCCTGTCTTTACTAAAATACAAAAGAAATTAGCTGGGCGTGGTGGCGCACGCTGTCGTCCCAGCTACTTGGGAGGCTGTTGCAGGAGAATCACTTGAAACCAGGAGGCAGAGGTTGCAGTGAGCCGAGATTATGCCACTGCACTCCAGCCTGGGCGAGAGAGTGAGACTCCATCTAAAAAAAAAAAAAGCACAAAATCAAGCATTTTAAACATTTTTAGGTACAATTCAGTGGGATTCAGCAGATTCGCATTGCTGTGTAGCCATCACTACTCTCTAACTCCCCCAGATGTTTTCATTGTCCTCAAATTCTGCACCCACTAAATGATAACTCCCTGCTTCTCCCTTCCCCAGCCCCTAGCAACAATCATTCGACTTTCTGTCTCTATGAATTTGACTACTCTAGGTCCAGGTACCTGACATAATAGGAATTGGATTTTTTTTTTTTTTTTTTAAGAGATAAGTCTTACTCTATCACCCAGGCTGGAGTGCAGTTGGTGCAGTCATAGCTCACTGCAGCCACAACCTCCTGGGCTCAAGCGATCCTCCCACCTCAGCCTCCTGAGTAGCTGGGACTACAGATGCACACCACTACACCCAGATAATTAAAAAAATATTTTGTAGAGATGGGGTCTCACTGTGCTGCCCAGGCTTGTCTTGAACTCCTGGGCCCAAGTGATTCTCCTCCCACCTCAGCCTCTCAAAGTGCTGGGATTACAGGCGTGAGCCACTGCACCTGGCCAAAAGGAATCATATGATATTTGTCCTCTTGTGACTGGCTTATTTCACTCAACCTAATGTTCTCAACACTCATCCACGTTGCAGCATGTGCCAGGATTTCTTTCCTTTTTTAAGGCTGATTGCTATTCCACTGTGTATATAGACCACATTCTGTTTAACCAGCCAAGTTCTTTATCTGGGTTAGTGTCTTCCCTTTCTTTTCCTCCCTCTTTCCCTTCATCTCTCCCTCTTCTCCCATCTGCCTTCCTTTTCTCCCCCACCTCTTTTCAGCAAATATTTATCAAGCACCTACTATGTACACCCTCATAGTTCTAGGGGATACAGCAATGAACACAATAGATACCCCTTCCAAAAAAATCTTTGCCCTACTGATCTGTATATTCTGGAAGAAAAAGAAAGGAAATAAATACGATATACGACATTACAAGTTATGAGGGTCTATGAAAAGGTGGCAGCAAGGGCTTCCCTGCAGTGGAAGGGGTCTGTAGGTTTGGGAACTGCAAGATGGTCAGTGGGGGGCCAAGTGGGTGAGGGGAGAATAGACAGTGAGGATAGTGAGGTCATGGAAAGTCTGGACTCCTCGGGAGAGGCACTAACTTGTCCCCATTTTACAGACAGGGAAACTGAGGCTGAGAGAGGAGGTGGCTTGTCCAAGGTCCCACAGCTGGTAGGTGCAGGAGGTATCAGAGACTCCAGGACTGTCCGAACCTCCGCTCCACACTGTAAACTCTTCCTTCTGTTGTCTCCCAAGGCCACTAACAAGTTCATTTGCACACCGATGTGTGTGTCCAACACGATTTGAACACATTTCACGAGAATTAACTTGCTGACACCTTCCCGTAGCCATGGGAGAGCTCATGAGTACCTCCGGTATTGTTACTCCCCTCATTGTACAGATGGAGGAAGCCAAGATGGAGATGCTCGGCCACGTGCCAAGGTTACACAACGCTGAACGGGGGCGCCGTGATTTGAACGCAGGTGGAGAGCTCTCAACCACCTCACGAAATGTTCAAGAACAAAGGAGTGGATGGTGCAACCAGCGATGTGGTGGGATTAGCCCCAGACATGGGGAAAGACTCCTCTTACATTGTTTCGGGAAGGAAGAAGGAAAGGGCAGGTCAGGTGCGGGTAGGGTGTGAGCCCGATGGCAGGAAGTCGAGGCTGGTCCGTCCTGTGGCTTGTTTCTTCCAGGGAGACGTCAGTCGGCTCATCTCAAGGGGCCTTGGTGGGTGGGGTTGGGAAGGCTGAGGGTGGTGGTGAAGGGGCCCAGGTGACGCTGAGGATCACATGTTTTAAGGGGCACCCTCTCAGCAGTTGGCGGATTTTTTTTTTCCTCCAACTTCCTGGATGTAGACAAAGAGAAGGCGCCTGCAGGACTGGGTGATGGTGGGAGGGATGCTGGGACTGGGGAGCTGAGGGTCGCCAGGGCAGAGGGGACTCTGGGGTTGCCCTTGAACTCCTGGGCTCAAGTGATCCTCCTCCCGCCTCAGCCTCTCAAAGTGCTGGGATTACAGGTGTGAGCCAGTGCACCCGGCCAAAAGGAATCATATTATATTTGTCCTCTTGTGACCGGCTTATTTCACTCAACCTAAAGTTCTCAGGGGGTGGAGACAAGGGGTGTTGGTGGGGAGGCTGCCTGAGGAGGGTCAGACGTCTTTGAGGTGGAAGAACAGGAATGGCGCAGACAACCATGCACAGAGGCAGGGGAAGCTGTGGTCAGGGAGTGGGAATGTGGGATTTTGTGGTTTCAGAGGTGGAGCTCTTCCAGATAGAGATAGAGGCTGGGTGTGACTGTGGGAACGACGGCGGGGGAGGTGGTCTCTGGCCACGTGGAGGTAGTGGGATGCAGAAGCTGGGGTGTCCTATCTTTGGAAGCTGGGGGGTCCTCTCTCCTGAAGCTCCCCACTCCATGTGTCAGCCAGTACCCGTCTCTCTGTCCACTTATCATAGCAATGGGGCAGGTCACCAAGGGCTTCACATACATCCTCTCACATTTAACCCTCGTGAAAGCCCTGTGGGGTGAGGGACTCTTATTACTACCACGTTATAGATGAGGAAACCAGGCCTTAGACAAGTAACTTGGGCAAGTGGCACAGCCAGGCCTCGAACCCAGATCATTTGGCTGTTAAACACCATGTCACCCTGTCTGCAAATCTGTTTCCATGTCAGCGAGGGTGGGGAGTTCTGTTTGCCTTGTTCCCCGATGGGTCCCCAGCTCCTAGAACAGCCTGGCATGAGTGTGCACACAGTGAATTGTCGTGGGATGAGCAGACAGACCCCCGTCTCTGTCTTCCCTTGGGTCCTGATAGGCTCTTGGTTGGCAACTTTCCTAGTGTCTACCGTGTGCCATGTCTCCCTTAATTCTCCCACCAGCCCCATGAGACACGATGACACTCATTTTACAGATGACGAAATGGAGAGAAATGAGGTCAGTTGTCTAACGTGGCATGGAAGGGCTGGGATTTGAACCCGAGCCAGCCTGACTTGATGCCTCTCTGCTTCTGATCTCATGTGTGTCATTGATGATCCAAACTCTCTCCGGGTAATCTCTCAGACCTTTCCGAGCCAGCACTGAAAACTGCTTTGTGCCAGGCGGCCTCTGTGTGCAAACCTGGGGGCCCCTGATGCTCGGCTGATGGACAGTGAACATCCCTGCCCCCCATCCCACCTCTATTACCTCCCATTTATTTCTTTTTTTTTTTTTTTTTCTTTTGAGACGGAGTCTCGCTCTGTCACCCAGCCTGGAGTGCAGTGGCACGATCTCCACTCACTGCAAGCTCCGCCTCCCGGGTTCACGCCATTCTCCTGCCTCAGCCCCCCGACTAGCTGGGACTACAGGCGCCCGCCACCACGCCCGGCTAATTTTTTTGTATTTTTAGTAGAGACGGGGTTTCACCGTGTTAGCCAGGATGGTCTCGATCTCCTGACCTCGTGATCCGCCCGCCTCGGCCTCCCAAAGTGCTGGGATTACAGGCGTGAGCCACCGTGCCCGGCCCCTCCCATTTATTTCTGTTTAAGCTCCACGGTGTACCCCAACCTTCCCCCTGTGTCTCCTCTAAGTTAGTATCCTCTCCCCAGGTGCTTGGGTCAAAGACGCTTGGGAGCGTCTCTGATTCCTCCCTCGCTCTCACCTCCCATTTTGGCAGTTCCTGTCACTTAGCTCCAAAGTACACAGTAAAGAATCCACCCACTTGTCTCCTCTCAGTCGCCCTCTTCCAAGTCACCCTTATCTCCCACCTACACAGGTGCAAGAGCATCCAAACTGGTCTCGCTGCTTCCAGCCTCGACCCCCAACCCCTCCCTCCCTCGCCCTGCTAAGTCCATTCTCTACTCAGCAGCCAACGTCTTCTTAAAACAATATCATGTTAAAACCTGCTTAAAACCCATCTGTGAGTGCCCACTGCAATTATAATAAAACGCAAATGCCTCCAAGGCACTTGGTGTCTGGCTTCTGTCCATCCTTCCAACCTCATCACTGCATTGTGTACTGTGCCTCTGCCCCCTGGAACTTCTTCCATCTTCTCAACATTGGGAGGCGCCTTCCCAACTTAGAGGCTTGGCCTTTGCTGTTCCCTCTGCCTGGGACATGCTTCCCACCACTCTGCCTGTGATCTTCCTTCAGATTTCAGCTTAAAGGTCATCTCCTGACCACCTTCTCCAGAGCTGGCATTCCCTTCCAGTTTCCATCTCAGCTTCTTGTGGGTTTCCTTCCTACACCTTATCTCAATCTGTAATTGCTCTATCGGTTTGCTTCCTTGTTTATTATTATTGCTGGTTTTCTTCCTCTCTATGGTGTTTATTACTGTCGGATGTCTCTCATGTTTTATTTATTTACTTTCTTACTCTTACGTCTACTCTGTCTCCCACGACTTGAATGGCAACCCTGACAGTGCAGGGATTTTCACTGTCTTTATCTGCCTCTATGCCCTGGCACATAGGAGGTGTTCAGTAAACCTTTGTGGAAGGAAGAGGCATCTCTTATTAGAACTGAGGCTTCACGAGGGCAGGGACCTTGTCTATCTTGTTGCTGAATCCCTGTTGCCACGTCTGCCACCCGGCACGTGGCAGGGGCTCTATAACAGGCTGAAGGAGGAAGATCATCTCAGAGCCTGTTTAGAATCTCTGCTTTTCTCCAGAATCTCTGCACTCAATGTCTCCACCTCCTCAGACCTGACAGCGATCTCCAATGACCCAGCCCCAGGAGAGCACACAGGTGGAAGATGGGGAAGCCGGTCTTTCTGAGACTGGGCTCCAAATCCCTGCAGTGGGGAGAATGCTTCTGACCTGATGGGATGAGACGCTGGCGTTTCGCCCCACTGCCACCTTTAGTTGTGTTTATGTAGAGGCTGTGTTTGCCAAGGCCACAGGCCACAGCAAAAGTCCCTTTGTCCCCATGAAGACTGGGGCCTCCTGTTTAGCTAAAGGAGCGTCTGTGTTCACTTGGGCCTCCAGCCTCAGCAGCTCCCTGCCCCTGCCCTCCATATTTACCAAGCCTTCCTCCTCCAGCAAAAGAATTTCCCGGGTTTACCATGGCCACCGGCATATGTGGCGAACATCTTTTTTGTTTGTTTTTGTTCAGTCTGCCTGGAAGAAATGTCTCTTGGATTTACACTGCCTTTGAGAACACGTAGGGCTCTTCGCCCTTAGGAAACACACCCTCAGCATTGAATAGGGTTCCCAGCTCTTGGTGAGGACTTCTTAAATGGCCCTCACATCCATTCTCACCATCCTGACACCCTCGCCACTGCCCCAGTTTTGGCTACCAAATCCATTCCCAGACCTTTGTCCCAGCCCTCTCCCTGGCCTCCTGGCTGAGTCTTCCCTACTCCAGTCCTTCCTGGACACGGCCCCAGAGGGATCTTTCTGACACCCAGAGCCGGCCCTGTCTGCTCTCGCCCTCCCTAAGTGCCCCATCCCGGCCAGAAGAATTCCAGTGCTTTATGGAGGGCTGGCCACCCCCTCCACCATCCTGCACAGGGAGGAGCGGCAAAGCCTCGCAGGGACTTGGGGCTCCCATGCCTGCAGGCCTCTGTGCCTGCCATTCTCTCTGCCTTGCACATTTGTCCCCATCTCGCCCTTTCCTGTGCTCATTCTTACTCATCTCCAGCTCCCGGTTTACACATTACCTCTTTCAGGAAGCGTTCCATGACGCACCGCACTGAGTTAGAAGCCCCACCTCAGGCCTCCCCTGTGTCCCTCCTAAGCCCCACGGTGGCACATATCCCTCCGGATCTTGACTTGCCAGTATCCCTGCCCGCCTCCGCTGGCAGACAGGGAGCCCATTGAGGGCAGGGACTGGGGCTGACTCAGCTGCATTGCCCCACCGCCCTGCGCAGGGCCCGCCAGCTCCAAGGAGGCGTCAGGAAATGTTTGCTGCATGAATAAAGGGGTGATCAGTATCCCTCCTTTACTCAAATATCCTCCATGGCTTCTGCAGTGCTTAGAAACAAAGCCAAGCCAAAGTCGCTTCTCCCTCTCACCTCTCTCCTCCACCTGCCCCCTCTCCTTTTTCCCTCAATCTCAGAGTCTGCACTTGCTGTTTCCTGCCAGGAACACTTTCCCAGAGACCCTCCACCCCTGTGCTCTCTGCCTCACCCTGCACCTTTCCCTGAATATCTCCTCCTTGAAGCCTCCCCGTCCCTCCTACTTAAATAGAAGCGATTATCACGATCCAACATACCATATATTTGACTTATTTTTCTCGTTTTTTTTTTTTTTTTTTTGTATCTCCCTTGAGGGCATGGTTTTGTTCTGTTCACTGCTGTCACAAATCACCTGCTCAAAAAGTATTTGTTGAGTGGATGACACAGGGGTCTTGAGGTCAAGGAGTGTCTGGTGTTTATACGGGGCCTTAAGATCTCTGCCAACCTGTGTCTCTCACCCTTAAGGACTGGCTCAGAGACCAGCGGGCAGGTGGGCAGAGACAGCTGAGCTCCCAGTCGGGGCTGGGGAGGGGGAGACCTGGCTTTGATGTCAATGACCACCGGATGCACAGGCGAGGTCACAGCGACCCCTTGTGGCCAGAGACGAAAAGAGCACCTCCCCCCCGCCCCGCTTTTTTTTTTTTTTTTCTTTTTTTTTTTTGAAACGGAGCCTGGCTCTGTCGCCCAGGCTGGAGTGCAGTGGCCAGATCTCGAGATCTTGGCTCACTGCAACCTCTGCCTCCAGGGTTCAAGCCTCAGCCTCCTGGGTAGCTGGGATTACAGGCACCTGCCACCCCGCCTGGCTAATTTTTGTATTTTTCGTAGAGGCAGGGTTCCATCTCAAATTCCTGATCTCAAGTGATCTGCCTGCCTCAGCCTCCCAAAGTGCTGGGATTTCAGGCGTGAGCCACCACACCTAGCACCCCCAGCTCTTCAGAGACCCCCATGAGGAAGGCCGCAAGCCCAGGCTAAGAGGGACGGCGAGCACTCACTAAATGCCAGGCGCTCTTCTAAGCACTGATATGTATTTTTAACAATAACCACAGGACGGAAGTACCATTCCTCCCCACACTGTACAGCCAAAGAACCTGCTCAAGGTCACACAGCATTCCCGGCAGAGCTTGGTTCTGAACTCAGGCAGTCTGGGTCTAGGAAGCACATTGCAAACCTGCGCGGTCCAGTGGAGTGCCCACAGGTCCCATGTGGCAGCCGAACTGTGGGGAGTCTGGATTGAGATGGGCCGAAAGTGTAACATACACACCGAATTTTGAAAACTCTATATGAAAAAACATGTATAAAACATCTCGCTTAAGTTTTAACAAACTGATTACATATTAAAATTATAATATTTTGTATAAGTGGGTCAAATAAATTTATTAAAATATCACTTGTGTCCCTTCTCTAAAAATACGGCTATGAAAATATTCTAAATTATACATACGGTTTGCATTTTCGATTGGAGAGTGCCTTAAACCACAAAAGAAATCTAATCCACTGCCCACCCCACCCCATGCACAGGGACAAACTCCAATGAACAGAAGGGAAAAGGTCCCTTACCCAAAGCCACACAGTAAATCACTGGCACGTCAGCAATAGGAACCTAGGTCCCCTGGCTTCCAGCAGGTAGCCCAGCAAAAGTGTCCAGAGCTCCAGCTCCTTTGCTGATTTGCTGCAGTGTGGCCCTGGGCAACTTACTTCACCTCTCTGGGCTGTAATTTCATCCTTTATGAAATTGGTGCTGAAGGAACCAACCCAAATGCCCATCAATCAACGAGTGGATAAAGAAACTGTGGTGTATACGTATACGATGGACTACTACTCGGCCATAAAAAGGAATGAATTAACAGCATTTGCAATGACCTGGATGAGATTGGAGACTATTATTTTAAGTGAAATAACTCAGGAATGGAAAACCGAACATCCTATGTTCTCACTGATATGTGGGAGCTAAGCTATGAGGGTGCAAAGGCATAAGAATGATACTATGGACTTTGGGGACTTGGGGGGAAGAGTGGGAGGGGAACGAGGGAAAAGAGACAACAAATACAGTGCAGTGTATACTGCTCAGGTGATGGGTGCACCAGGATCTCACAAATCACCACTAAATAACTTATTCATGTAACCAAATACCACCTGTACCCCAACAACTTATGGAAAAATAAAATATTAAAAAATAAAAAATAAACTTTTAGATTCTTCTACATACCAGTTAAAAAAAATTGGTGCTGAAAACCCATTCCTTATGTCACTGAGCTAATGAGGAAGGCAGGCACACTTGGCACTAGGACTGGCACACAAGCGTCATCCTATACAATTGATCTTGATCATCTTGCACCCCCTACAGCTCATTCTCCTCACAGCAGCTGGAGTAACTTTTAGAAAATGGAAATTGGACCCACTGTTGGGACCAAAGCCCTCCAAAGACCTACCATCACTCTTAAAATACAAGTCTTTCTTGCCAACAGAAGACCATGCACGGCCCATCCCTGCTTAGTGGCTCGTTTCATCTCTTGCTATTCTCCTCCTCACCCACTCTGTTCCCGCCACACTGGACTTGCTGTTCCTTGCACTTGCAAGCTGATTCCCACCCCTCCAGGCTTTTGCACCAGCAGTTCCCTCCACCAGGAAAGCTCTTCCCCCAAATGGCTCCATGCTTTGTTCTTTTGCTTCTGTAGGTCTGTGCATAACGTCACTTCCTCCAAGGCCCTTCCTTCCCTGACCCCTGTGGAAACAAGCTCTTCCTGTCTCTCTCTCTCATCATTTTTTTTTTAATTTGTAGCATTCATCACTACCTGACATTACATATTGATGTGCTTGCTGTCCGTTTCTCCCAGACTGAACTTCATGAGGGCAGAGACTTGTCTCCTGTTCACTGCCATGTTCCTAGAACCCAGAGGAGTGCCTGATGCAAAGGAGATGCTCATACACGTTTTGAGTGAATCATCTAGTCCTTGGCCTCCAGCCCAAGTTTGGGTGGCCACACAGTGAAGACAGGACTGAGAAGCAGGGGTTTGGGAGAATACTAAGCCCTGGGTTGGGTGATGGGAGGAGAGAATTGAGAAGCCTTCTAGGAGGACCCTGGAGGATCTGAGCAGGGTGATGGGAAGAAGGGGCATTTCTGACAAGAAGCCAGCCCAGCAAGTCCTGGAGGTGGGACTGAGAGCACCATCTCCCCGGGAAGTTTGAGATTCTCACAACCTCCCCGTACCTGTACAGGACAGCAACCCTGAGACCCGGCGCCCCCTGGTGGTCAGACAGTAACATGAACGACCAAGTCCAAGTGGTCACCATTTATTGAGCACCTCAACTTCTCTGATCTTCCATTTCCTCCCAGTGGTGCCTTGATGCGGGGGGGATGGGGGGGCGGGGGGGAAGGGGGCTGATTATATTTTCATAGGAGAAATGGGACATGAAAGAGGCTAAGTCACCGACAGGCTCACACAACCCTGCCTCCAGAGTCCAAGGTTTGGGGAACGCATCCAACCCCTCCTCACCCGTGACAGAGATACCAGGAGAGATTCGAGAGGGGATGGGTGGGGGAGGACCAATTCCACGACCTGTGATATTCGAGAGCTTTGGAGGGAGCCCTCGGTGTGACCCCTTCCGACTGGGTGTCTTAGGGCCATTTACCACTTCAGGCTACAGCCAGTGAGACCGTGGTGGAGACGAAATGAGGGTGCAGTGCGTGCTACACACGAAGCGCTGGAAGGGAGGCATCGTGACGGCGGCTGTGAATGGCGTGTGTCCATCAAGTCACGCTCCGCTTACCCCACTGCGGGCAAACAGGAAACATCAGGAATCTGATGCTCAAGGAGGGTCAGGACCATGCTGAGCGCACCCAGAACCAGCAGAGGCCCTGGGCAGGAGGTCCCCAACCAATCCCCACTCGCTCAAGAATCACACGGTGTTCAGCCCCCTCCTCCCTGAGACCCAGGAGTCCACGACCCCAGGCCCTCCTTCCTCAGCCACAGATGCCTGGGGTCCCCAGTCCCACTTCTTCTAGGCTTAGTCCTGGCCCTCTCCTCTCTCAGACCTAGGATGGTCCCCCAGCCCCCTCCTCCCTCAGAGCCTGAAGCCCAGTTCGAGACCCTTCTTCCCTGAGACCTCGAAGTCTGGGGTCCCAGCTTCTTCAGGGTTTCAGGTGAATGGGCCCCCGTCTCCTTCCCAACCCCACATGGAAGGCCAGGTAAGGTAACGGGTTTATTCACAGTGTCATTTACAGGCAGCCCCCACCCCGCGGCATCAGATCCCGGCGGGAGGCCCGAAGTCGCTAGAAGGTGGGGACGGCCTTGGAGGCGGGGGGCCGGGCCGGATCCCCGGGCGTCCCCGGCGTCGCCTCCTCGTCCAGACCCCGGCGGCCCTTGCCGATGGCCAGGCGGGGCCGGCCGCGGTTCAGGCCGTCCAGGAGCGCGCAGGCCTGGCAGAGCGCGCGGCTGGCCAGCGCCCCACAGCGGGAGCAGGCGCCGGGGCGCGGGGGCCGCGCGGCCGGGGCCAGCGCCAGGCGCTCGGCCGAGTGCACGAGGTCCAGCACCGCGGACGGCCGCGCCGCCTCCAGGCGCTTGAGCAGGTCCCGGGCGTGGCCGCGGAAGGCCTCGGGCGCGTAGACGCACTCCTCGGAGAAGTAGTCGAGGCGGCGGAAGTGCGCGTACAGCACCACCTCCTTCTGCGAGGCGAACTGCAGCGGGCGGCAGCGCGGCAGGGCGCCCCCCTCGCCGGGAGAGCCCAGGCCCCCGCCCCGGGCCAGCCGCCCCGCGTCGCCCCGTAGGAAGTTCATGAGCACGGTCTCCGCCATGTCGTCGGCGTTGTGACCTGGTGGGGAGAGAAGGGAGCGGGTGAGGTGGGGCGCGGAGGGCGCTGCTGGCCAGGGAGCCCCCCGGGGAACCAAGGGTCCACCAGGACCCAGAGAGAGACTGGGAGGAGAGACCCACGGAGACCCAGGGCACAGTGGGGCCGCCAGGACCCAGAGAGAGACGGCGACGGGGAGAGCAAGCCATGGAGACAGACCCCCAAACATGGTGTGACAGCCAGGATCCAGAGACAGGGAGGGGGAGAGAGAGCCATGGAGACCCCTAGGGCACTGTGGGCAACCAGGACGCAGAGAGAGACGGGGAGGGCAAGAGCGAGCCATGGAGACCCTCCGGGAACCGTGAAGCAGCCAGGTGCAGGCTGCAGGTGGACACAACAAAAAATCAAAGAGAAACATAAGCTCCCCTGGCGCAACTTGGGCGTGCCTTCATGTACCACCCGCCTACTGCATAGCGGACCTTATGCTAGTTGCCCTTTCATATAGGGAGTAAAAGTGCATTATGCTGCTAATAACCTTATCAGCCTCAGTTAAAACCGTAATTCAAACTGTACACAAAAATCAGAAGGCATTTAAGGCATTTAACCGAGATTCTCAGGAGAGCTGGAGGGGTAGGCAGGCTGCTGTCTCCCCCACCGCCTAGGGAATCCATGGCCTAATTCTGGGAACCTGTTAATATGTTTGGTTGTAGGACAAAGGGGAATTAAGGTTGCAAGTTGAATTGGGGCTGCTAATCAGCTGACTTTACAATAGGGACAGAATGGTGCGTTATCCAGGTGCGCTCAAGGTAATCACAAAGACCCTTAGAGGGGAGGAGGGAGGCAGAAAAGGGAGAGATAGGGCCATGGAGACCTTTGAACATAGTGGGCAGCCAGGACCCAGAGAGAGATGGGGAGGGGAAGCCTGAGCCATGGAGCCCCTCTGGCACCATAGGACAGCCAGGACCCAGAGACCGGGAGAGGGAGATGGGGCCATGGAGCCCCCTGGGCACTGTGGTGCAGCTAGGTGGTGGCTGGAGGTGGACACAGCAGGAATTGAGAGGGGAACACACACAAGCTCCCTGGGGAACTTGGGGATACCTCATTTGCCACCCGCCTACTGCATATGGGGGGTGTGAGGGCAGAGGCAAGGTTAGAGTGATGCAAACGGTGTAGGACTCAAACTGCCATCCTTGGCTTTGAAAATGGAGGAAGAGCCGGGCACAGTGGCTCATGCCTGTAATCCCAGCACTTTGGGAGGCTAAGGTGGGAGAATCACCTGAGGCCACGAGTTTGAGACCAGCCTGGCCAACATGGCAAAACCCCCATCTCTACTAAAAATACAAAAATTAGCAGGTCATGGTGGCAGGCACCTGTAACCCCAGCTGAGGCATGAGAATCTCTTGAACCTGGGAGGGAGAGGTTGCAGTGAGCCGAGATCACTCCACTGCACTCCAGCCTGGGCTCCACAGCAAGACTCTGTCTCAAAAGAAAAAAAAGAAAAGAAAATGGAGGAAGGGACCATCAGCCAGGAATGTGGGCAGCCTCCGGAAGCTGGAAAAGGCAAGGAAATGGACCCCCTTGCCCCAGAGCCTCCAGGAGAAAGGCAGCACTCTTGACACTTTGATTTTAGCCCGGTGAGACTTCCCAGACTTCTATCTACAGAACTACAAGATAATAAATCTGTGTTGTTTAAAGCTGTGAAATTTGAAGTAATTTGTTACAGCAGCCAGAGAAAACAACTGGTTCTTGACACAGAGCCTCTGACAACCCAGACTGTAGTTTTTTTATGGTTTTTTTTTTTCATTTTGTTTTATTGTGCGTGTGTGTGTGTGTGTGTGTGTGTGTTTGAGACAGGGTCTCACTTTAGTGCCCAGGCTGGAGGACAGTGGCACGATCTCAGCTCACTGCAACCTCTGTCTCCAGGGCTTAAGTGATCCCCCTGCCTCAGCCTCCAGAGTAGCTGGGACCACAGGTGTGTGCCACCATGCCCAGCTAATTTTTGTATTTCTATACAGACGCAGTTTCTCCATGTTGGCCAGGCTGGTCTTGAACTCCTCTGAGCTCAAGTGATCCACCTGCCTCGGCCTCCCAAAGCGGCTGGGATTACTAGCATGTGTCACCACCCCTGTAATCACTGCAGTGTTTTTGTGTTATCTTTGTTTAGAAGTAACAGTGAGAAATATTTACACACTGGTCACCATGAAATTGAAGCTAAACTTGTTCTGTGTCTTGTCAAGTTATACTTGAGTCTATATCAGTGGTTCTCAATCTGGGATGAGTCTGCCCTCCTTCCCTCCCCCAGAGACATTTGGCAATGGCTGGAGACATTTCTGTGTGTCAGGTTGGGGGTGGGGCACTACTATTAAATAGCATCTAGTGGGTAGAGGCCAGGGATACTGCTAAAATCCTATAACACAGAGGACAGCTCCCTAAAAACAAACTATCTGGCCCCAAATATCAATAGGGCTGAAGTTGAGAGGCCCTGGTCTATATGGTAAAAAACCTCCAAGAACTTGGCTCTAATTGTGTTTGTAGTAATGGTTACCTCCCAAAGACCTGCCAAGCCCTGTGACCTTGAGATTGGGCATGTTTGCTACTGCAAACGACATCTCGTTGAATGTTTATTGACTTAAAGTTGTAAACCACATTAATTAGGGGAGACTGGATTTGCTCCACACCTTGTCATTACAAACCCACTTAAGAGCTCCCAGTTTTGTAATAATTATTACAACAATTATTATACTACGCCTTTGAAAATGGAGTGTATAAACAAAGGGTAGAAATCACCTTGCAAGTCAGGGATTTTTCTGGAAGGCTTCATTACTTTTGGAAGTACAATTAATAAGTGATTCTATCAAATTAACTTTAAAATCCGAGGCAGCCTCTCATTCTTTTTTTTTCTCCCCCAGCTGGAATCTTGCTCTGTCACCCAGGCTGGAGTGCAGTGGCGTGATCTCGACTCACTGCAACCTCCGCCTCCCGGGTTCAAGCAATTCTCCTGCCTCAGCCTCCCGTGTAGCTGGGATTACAGCCGCCCACCACCACACTCAGCTAATTTTTGTATTCTTAGTAGAGACGGGGTTTCACCATGTTGGCCAGGCTGGCCTCGAACGTTTGACCTTGTGATTCCGCCTGCCTCAGCCTCCCAAAGTGCTGGGATTACAGGTGTGAGCCACTGTGCCCGGCCGAAGCCTTTCATTCTTTCCATACACTGTCTGCTCTTGTATGGTAAGGATTATTCTTCCCATTTTCAATCACAGAGATCTAGGGATTTCTCCAAAGTTACTCAGTAAGGAAAGGGCCACATCAGTGAATGAAGCTCAGTAAGCCTTCCCCAGAGCCAGTGGCCCTACCTAGCATGGTGGCACATGACAGCCTCAGAACTACTTTTGCCTTCATATGCTTTCAGTGTGCTGATTCTCTCCAACCATCATCTCTCACCTCCATCACCGCAGCTGGCTTCCCACTGACTGGTCTCCTCGGCTTTGTCCCTGTCCCTCCAACCCAGGTTCCTCGCCATGGCCTGGGTGAGCTTTTCAAAGTGAAACTCTCTTCATGTCACTTTTACTGGTTCCGCCACAGCCTACAGGGTAAGGCCTGACCTCTTCCACCTCTCCAGCCTCCCCTGCCCTTGCTTTCTGGGTTCCAGCCACACTGGACTTCTTGGGGCAGCCCAAATTGGCTTTTCACAGGCCAATAACCTCTCCCTAATTCTTACCCGCTTTACCTCTTCACTGTGAGCCTTCAGATTTCAAAACCGTTCCTTGACCCCACTCCCTCCACGTCATAGGGTTCTCTGTGTGTACACATAGTCCATAACATGTCCATACATGGTCAATAACATGTATAATGTTTATAATTTTGTACCTGATAACCATGCAAAGGTAGGAACTTGTGCGTAACTGTATTCTCAGCCCTAGCCTGACAATGATGATGATAATAGCATGTATAAAATGTGTAATCTATATTATATCATACGGGTTATGTAACATAACTATAATATAGATAACGTTATACTTCTACTGACTCATCTAATTGTCATAACAAGTTTATGAGCTGGGTACCATTCATAGTCCTGTTTTAGGGATGGGGTGAAACAGAAGTACAGAGTGGTTAAGAACTTTGGTATGGCCACAGTTGGGATCCGGCATATAGCAGAAACTTAGCATCTGTTTGTTGAAGGAATGGATGAAAAAGACAGAATAAAAAAGTTATCTTCCAGCACTTTGGGAGGCCGAGGTGGGTGGATCACGAGGTCAGGAGATCGAGATCATCCTGGCTAACATGGTGAAACCCCGTCTCTACTAAAAATACAAAAAATTAGCTGGGCGTGGTGGCAGGCACCTGTAGCCCCGGCTACTCGGGAGGCTGAGCCAGGAGAATGGCGTGAATCCGGGAGGCAGAGGTTGCAGTAAGCCGAGATCGCACCACTGCACTCCAGCCTGGGAGACAGAGCGAGACTCTGTCTCAAAAAAAAAAAAAAAAAAAAAGTTATCAAAGAGGAGAGGCCAACCAAGAAAAGGAATTAAGAGATGGAGATGCTTTTTAGAGAAAGAGCTGGATTCTGAAAGGTGGACCATAAGAGATCAAGCATGTTAGAAACATTTAAAAATAAGTAAAGGACCAGAGATCTCCAGAGATTTTCACCTCCCACCCCTTTGGCAATCTGTGGAGACCAAGACGGTGGCCAAGACCCAAAAACCTTTGTGATCACTGCCTGGCCCCTCTGTCTCCCCAGCGTCTTGAACCTTTAAAGGGCCCCAGCCCCAAACTGCAGCATGCGCCCTTCCGCACCTCCGTACAGGGATCCTCCCATTAAGCCACCAGGGTCTCCTCGCCGCCTTCTGGAGCATGCGCCTGAATCCCCTTTCAGGTCCCGCCTCCTCGCCTGTGCATTCGCCCCACTGCCTCGGAGAGTGCCGCTCTGCGGCCCGTACTACGCTCACCTGTCACGATGTGCGTGGCTCCCACGCGGCGCGCCCCTTCCTCCAGCGCCCGGCGCCGCAGCACTCCACAGAAGGTGCAGCAGGAGCGGCTGCGGCCGGAGCCGGCTGTGCTGCGGGCCACGGCGTCCATCGTCCAGCCCCCAAAGAGGTCTTCGTAGGCCACGACCGTGAGCGGCAGCTCCCAGCGCGCCGCCTGGCGCCGCACGGCCGCCAACGCCGCGTCCCGGTAGCCACCGATGCCCTCATCGACGGCCACGAGCTGCAGTGAGATGCCCAGGCGCGGCGCCAGCGCGCGCAGCACGTGCGCCAGCACCGTGGAGTCCTTGCCGCCCGAGGCGCCCACGGCCACCACCGCGCCGGGCGGCAGCAGGCGGCCGGCGAGCACCGTGTGCAGCACCTCGGCCTCGAAGGCGGCGCAGAAGCAGGCACCGCACAGCGCTTGGCCCGAGAGCGGACGGCGGAGGGCGGCGCGTGCAGCATGGCAGGAGGCGCACGGCGGGGCGGGCATTGCGGGAGGGGTCGGCTTCTCCTAGACAGGGAGAGAGAGGAGGTGGGTTACATATGGATTCCGGATTGCAGGGTCCCTGCCATCGGGGAGATTGTCTGGATTGCACCTCTGCCCGGAATAGACCAGGGAGACGTGTGCGCGAGTGGAGTAGCTTCTTCTAGCGCTGGGGATAGGATGGTTATAAATAGGTCCGGTGTAAGGAAGCCACTGCCTTAGGGAAGGCTTCTTGGATTGCACCCATTATGCAAGAAGAAGAGAAGTAGCTTAAGAAGCTGGCTTCATGGGTAAAGAGAGGGAGCGACAAGCAGGTTATACCCAGGATTAGGTTGTGTCCTCTCCAGAGGGATGGGGGTGTATATTAAGGCCCATTTGTCACAACCTCCAGGGAGGCCACCCTTGTTACAGTCCTGATCAGGACAAGGTAGGTATCATTGGCCTGGGCCACCAGGGCTGTTAAAAGCCCTTGGGAGGTGAGGGGTTTTTGACTCTAAGGGCAGAGGGAGGCCAGGGGACTGAAGCTCTGTGCAGCGGGAGGTGGAAAACAGGAAAGGCCAACTGATTGCACTTTGTAGGGTGGGATACGGTCTCCAGGAATGGGTTCTGATTGCATCCTATGAAAGGCAGGGTGATCACCTTCTCCAGGGAACACAGGCAGCCTGGATCACACCTCTCAGGAGACCAGCTGGGGTTGCACACATTTTGAGGGTGAGAAAATGGGTGGGCCTCCAAGATTGAACTCAACCCTGCTCTGGTATCAGAATGCCCCACAAGCTTCTGTGCTCTCACCAAGACATGGATCGGCCCATCTTTGACCTTCATCTGTTATCTTTCCTACTTCATTCTTCCCCACCCAGCCTAGACTCCAACCCTCCAGTCAAATCCTGGTCCTGCCTGCCTGGTGAACCCATAAAAACTCCCCAGGCTCAGTTCTCCTCCCCAAGCCACCATCACCTCCAGCCTGGACTACTGTAGTCACCTCCTTGCCATTCAGAGCAGGTCACGCTGCTTCTAGGATTTACCACAATGTGTGGAATTATTTTATGTGACTATATATTTACCATCTCTAACTTCTATGAGGGCAGAGACCAGTACCACTCAGATGTCTAATAGGCATCTCAAAACCCAAATTCCTGATTCTTCTAACCCAGCGTGCTTCTCCTGGAGTACAGGGCAGCTCCATCCTTCTAGCTGCTCAGGCCAGGAGCTTTGGGGTCCAGGACCCTGGACTGCTCTTTCTCTCACTGCACTTGTCATGCTCCCAGTGGGTGGCACCAAACTGCAATGCCAAGTCCGGACCTTTTCAAACTCCAGGTACCTAAATGAAATTTAGCAAATCCTGTTTGAATGTAGTTTCAAAACAGCCAAACACTTAGGACCGTCTCCACGGCAGCACCCTAGTCTGGTCTGTCTCTCTCCTGGACGGCTGCATGGGGCTCCCCACAGGTCTCCTGCTCCCGCCTTGCCTCCTCTACAAACACTCCTTCACATAACAGCCAGTGGGATCATGCCCTGAATCTTCTCAGCATCCTCCCCTGGATCCCATCTCACTTTAGTATAATAACTGCTAATGGCCGATGAGGCCCTACATGTGTGGCTCCTTGTTTCTCCAACCTCCTCTCCTTCAGCCTTGATGTCGTTTACTCTGACACCTGAGGAATACTCCTGCTCCAGATGTTTGCACTGGCTCTCCCCTCTGCCCTGAGTACTCTTCCTGCCACTGAGCCCAAGAAGCAGCCCTTAGGACTCATCTGCAGTGACCGTCGGGAACATCTGTCACAGGTGAGCAGCAACTCTTGGAATCTTTCTTCCCCCGACTTTTGACTCACTCCTTCTGTGCTCCTGGATTTCCTGCTCAATTCTCTTTTGGGGACGCCTCTTCATGTCCTCAGGTCCTGCCTAGCACCCATCTCTTTCCATTTTTTAAAGATTTTTAATTTAATTTAATTTAATTTTTTGAGATGGAGTCTGGCTCTGTTACCCAGGTGGAATGCAGTGGCACAATCTCGGCTCACTGTAACCTCTGCCTCCCAGGGTCAAGCGTTTCTCCTGCCTTAGCCACCCGAGTAACTGGGACTACAGGCGTGTACCACCATGCCTGGCTAATTTTTTTTTTTTTTTTTGTATTTTTAGTAGAGATGCGGTTTCACCATGTTGGCCAGGCTGGTCTTGAACTCCTGACCTCAAGTGATCCGCCCGCCTCGGCCTCCCAAAGTGCTGGGATTACAGGCGTAAGCCACTGTGCCCAGCTTCTTTCCATTCTTATGAGCGCCTCTGAATCATGATATTCAGATGTCCCTCCTGGCTGGTCCTCCACATGGCTGGGGCACCTTAAAGATGTTCAGACCCTAAGCGCCCAGACAACCTATTTCTTCCTCGAAAGGCAGAAACCTGTTCTTGCCCATCTGTTCCCTCTCTTCTGAGAGCAGCCACCACCTTTCATCCAGCCCATCTGCAGGACAGGACGTAACGTCACCCTGGACTCATCTCTCCTCACCCCCTAAATCTACAGTCACCCAGTCCTGGGGGGTCCACGTCCTGAGGAAGGGAGACGCTCGCAGGGGACAAGGCTGCACAAGTTAGCAGAGCCTCATAGGCCATGATGTGGAATTTTAGGTTTATTCAGGAGGAGATGGGAGCCTTGGGAGGTTTTTGAACAGTAAAGTGGTATGATCTGGCATGTTTTAAAAGGATTCCTAGACTGGTCAACATAGCGAGACCCCATCTCTAAAAAAATAAATAAATAAATTAGCTGCACCTGGTGGCACAGGCCTGTAGTACCAGCTACTCAGGAAGCCAAGGCAGGAGGATCACTTGAGCCCAGGAGGTCAAGGCTGCAGTGAGCCATGATCGCACCAGTGCACTCCAGCGTGGGTGATAGAGTGAGACCTTGTCTCAAATAAAAAAAGTGGGATTCGTTTGGCTGCTGTGTGGGGAGGACTGTTGGTTGTCAGGGACAAGGACAGAAGGCTGGAGGTCAGCACACTAGACAGGAGTGCTGGCAGTAGAGGTGGGAAGAAGTGAAATTTTGGATCTATTTTGAAGGTGGAGCCCACAGGACTTGTATAAGACTGATTGGAGTGGGGACTGGGGCAACGACGAGAGAAAGTGATGAAGGGTAACTTTGAGGTTCTGGCCTGAGCATTGGAGGGACGGTGGGGCCATTTTGTGAGGTGAGAAGACCAGGAATTCCATTTGGCCACGTCAGGTTTGACATGCATGTTAAGCGTCTTCCCTCAAAGACTTTATGGACCCTCGTCACTGAGTCGAGCGCCTCCACCAGGGCCCTCAGAGCTGCCCTGATCCTGACTAGCTGTCACTGGTGACAGGTCTGTCTCTCTGCTTCAAGGCAGGGACAGGGTTGGTCTGGTGCCCTCGCTCCCGCCGCCCTGCGCAGAGTCGGTGCTCAGTAAGTATCTGTAGGATGAGGGAATAATAAGTGCTCCCAGAAGAGAGGCCGCGGACCCCAGGGATGCCTCTGGATTGCAGCCTTGTCAAAAGGACAGATAATGTGTGGCATGGGGGCGGGGACAGGCAGATAGTAACATAGGGGCGGGGGCAAGCAGATGGTCTTATCCTGTCTTGGGGAAGGGAGTGGCCCGGTAAGAGACAGGCCGGACCGCAGCGTTCAAAGTGGGAATCCTGGCTACAAGGCCTCAGGGACACGGGCGCTGGGAAATCACAGAGGCCTTACGCTCGAAGAGACCCTCAACCCTCCCACGGCACCGCAACAAAGAGCCGGAGTCCACATGCCGACCCACCGCAGGAGGAAATACTCACCCGGGCAGAACTCAGTGCTGGGATGCCCACACTGCCCACCACGCGGAAGCCTGGCCCGGAAGTGACTCCGAGACTACCACTCCCATAAGGTCTTGGGGCTTTCTTGCCTAGAACTCCCAGAAGCCCATGCGACACTTCCGCTGGATGCGCCTACGGCTCCGGGGTCCCGCTTGGCCTACAACTCCCAGAAACACTTGCATTGCTCTTTCTGCCGCTCCCAAAATACACTGCTCCCCCTCCCCCCGCGTTTACTTTCTGCGCCTGCGCGCGGCCGCAGGGAGCGGCGGAGCTGCGTGTACTGTTGTCATGGCAGCGCGCTGTCACCCGGCAGGTTGCTGGATGGGCGAAGTAGTTGTATTCTGATTAACTGATTTTGTGGGATTATTATAGGATTTTAAGGGGATTACAGGGCCTATGATTTCTGCCCTTTGAGGCGGGGTTGCGGGTGGGAATTGAAGGTGGAACTGCAGGGGTTGGTCGCTAGTGTAAAAGGCGCAGATAGCGCATGCGTAGAGCAGACTTCGAGGATTGGAGTGGAACTCCGCGCGCACGCGGGGGCTGTCGTGATGCGCGTGCTGGAGACCCAGACTCTAAACAGAAGGATCCAAAGACCCTTCTCACCTAACCCAGGAGCCCAGAGGCTCAGAGACTCAGACCCTTGAGACTAAGGGGGTTAAAAACGCAGACCCCTGGCACCAAAGCACCTGAGAGAACCAGTAGACCTGGAGACAACCGTCTGCACCCTAGACACAGGGATCTGGAGGCCTCCACCCTCCCCACAAGGCCCAAGGGTCTTGAAGACCCCGGTGACTCAAATACCGGGGCACAAGGAGTTTAAGGACTCAGATATCTGAGACCCTTGAGATCCAGGTCCCCAAACCTAGGTCCTCGAAAAAACTGAGGCTCAAAATTCCTCTAGACGGCGCGGTGGCTTACACCTGTAATCCCAGCACTTTGGGAGGCCGAGGCGGGTGGATCACGAGGTCAAAAGATGGAGACCATCCTGGCCAACATGGTGAAACCTCATCTCTACTAAAAATACAAAAATTAGCTGGGCGTAGTGGTGCGCGCCTGTAGTCCCAGCTACTCGGGAGGCTGAGGCAGGAGAATGGCTTGAACCCAGAAGGCAGAGGTTGCAGTGAGCCGAGATCGCGCCACTGCACTCCAGCCTGGCCACAGAGTGAGACTCTGTCTCAAAAAAAAAAAAAAAATCCTCTAGATTAAGGGACCACCAGAGCCTTAGACTGAGATGTGGAGATGTGCAGAGAGCCCCAGGATGTGTAGGTCTACGGCCGGTGATGACGTGAGAAGGAACCCCATGCACCCTGTAGCCCATTTTTTTCCCCCATAACAGGAAACCATGATGCCTTCCTTTCATATTAAATGAGCTCCGTGAGGTCACTCTTAAGCCTTATCATGGGCCAGTTCTGTTCATCTGTGTGCGTTGGTTCATTTGTTGAATTTATTTCCTGAGGTCTCCTTGTGCCAGGCTGCCCCTGGGCTAGGTTTAGGTGACACAAATGAATCAGACTTGGTTACTGTCCTCTGAGCATCCCCCACCCCTTACACCACCACCCTGTCCTCCTGGTGGGGGAGACAGGGACTTAGTCAATATGGAGTGATAAAGCTTGACATGGAAGTGTTAAGAGCCTTGAAAGCTCAATTTCAATCACTGCCAGCCAGGGTGTCAGAAAAAAAAAAAATTCAACAAAGGCTGCTATGTGCCATGCATCATCTCAGTTTGTTCATCTGTGAAAGGGGGGCAATAATAGCCTGCCTCATAGGATTTATGCGAAGTCAAATTGAATTAACAACACCTCTAAAGAATTTAGAACAGCTTCTGGCACATAGTATGTGCTCAACAAGTGGTTATTATTCTCATCTCAATTCTCATAACATTAAGATTATATGTTACATATGAGTTGGGTACAACTGTAATTCTTCTTCTTCTTTTTTTTTTTTTTTTTTTGAGATGGAGTCTCACTATGTCACCCAGGCTGGAGTGCAGTGGCGCGATCTCGGCTCACTGCAACCTCCACCTTCTGGATTCAAGTGATTCTCCTGCTTCAGCCTGCTGGGTAGCTGGAATTACAGGTGCGCTACCACACCTGGCTAATGTTAGTATTTTCAGTAGAGACGGTGTTTCACCATAGTGGCCAGGCTGGTCTCAAACTCCTGACCTCAAGTGATCCCAAAGTGCTGGGATTACAGGTGTGAGTCAGCATGCCCAGCCTTGTAATTCTACTTAGGTGAGGATCTTGAAGCTCAGTGATGTCACTTCCCTGGACTGCCTGACTCTACAGCAGGGGTTGCAAACCTTTCCTGTAAAGGGCCAGGTAGCCAATATTTTAGGCTTTGTGGGCCACAGGGTCTTTGTGGCAACTCTGCTGTTGTATGTTGAAAGCAGCCATTGATATAAGATAAGCAAGTGAGGGTGGCTGTATACCAATAAAACTTTATTGATGGACACTGACATTTGAATTTCATGTAATTTGCATGTGTCAGGAAATATTCTTCTTTTGAAGAATTTTGAAGATTTTACACCATTTAAAGATGTAAAATCATTTGTAGCTTGTGGGCCATGTAAAAACAGGCAGCAGGCCCGATTTGGCTGGTGGTCTCTGGTTTGTAGCTCCTTGCTCAAAGCCTGTCTCCTTAGTCTCCAAGCTGTGCTTGCTCCTGGAAGAGGTGTGAAGTGTGGCAAAGGAGGTTGAGAATTTGAGGGTCGAAATGGCCTTTTAATACAGAAGAAATCGCCTGAGCAAAGAAAGATCTTGTGGCAAGAAAGCACAGGGTGCCTTTTGTTTGAATGCAATTTATGTTATCTAATCAGGTTATGCACTTAAATGCTATAAAATGGAAACAGTGCATAGACTCTACAGTGAAGTCTCCCTGTCGTCTCCCCCCACCCACCCACTGTCTAGTTCTCCTCCTCAGAGGCAGCCTCTGTCCTGCAACAATGTGGGAGTGCATGCTGAATCGGGGTGTATAGAGTTTCCCCATTCTCCTCTGTGGGACCAGGATAAGAGTGGGATATTTGGGGCTCCAGAGATAGATGGGAAAAGAGGTGAGGTCAGCCATGAGAAGCCCTCTCACTCCCAGCCCTCTGCTGTCTGGTTTCTTTCCTGTCTCCCCTAACACAGTCTCCCGATCAACACCAGTGGCCTCTTTATTGACAAATAAAGGTCTAACCTGGGCTCTACCTACTTCTGAGTCTCTTTGCCCTGACCACAAAATCTACCCTCCCTGGTCCTCTTTCTGGCCAAACCATGTCAATCAACTTGCCAGGAGCCTTGTACTCCACAGCGCTGTCATTTCTCTGCAAACTCCCCAGGTGAGCTCATCCACTCCTGCCACTCCCGCAACTTCCGTCTCTGCCCTGATGCCTCCCCACTTTCCTGCATATCTCCACTGCATCCCGAGACTCGGACCTGCACAGTTAGCCCCTGGTGGTGGCACTGGCATGCTTCAGCCTCTAGGTGAGGATCCTGAATCACTTCGCTGACTCTTTTTCTCACCCACTGCTCCCCATTGTTCAGTGAAACTTGCCAGTTTTGCTTCTTGAAAGTTTCTCAGACCATTCCCTTCATCCTTGTGGCCCTGCCTTGGCTCAGCTCATCCTTTTTTTTAAATTATTCATTTATTTATTTATTTTTTTTGAGATGGAGTCTCACTCTGTCACCACAGCTGGAGTGCAGTGGCATGATCTCAGCTCATTGCAATCTTCGCCTTCCAGCTTCAAGCAATTCTCGTGCTTCAGCCTCCGGAGTAGCTGGGATTACAGGTGTCTACCACCATGCCCAACTAATTTTTTTATTTTTAGTAGAGACACAGTTTCACTGTGTTAGCCAGGCTGGTCTTGAACTCCTGACCTCAAGTGATCTGCCTACCTCGGCCTCCCAAAGTCCCAGGATTACAGATGTGAGCCACTGCGCCGGCCGTTTCTTGCCTGGACTCTCTCACCCCAACCTCTAATCCCTTCATTCCTGAATCCTCCCACACTAGCCCCAGATTTAACCTTGTCTCTCCCCTTCTCGAAACTCTTCCATGGCTCCCCATTGCCATCAGGCTTTCCATTGTCAAACCTCTGCAGACTGCAACGGAGGTGCTGCATGATCTGGTCCCTGCACACCCTTCCAGCCTCAGAATGCCTTGCCATCTCCAGGTCATCTAGCTGCCATCCTAAGCAATCCGCGTCTGGTGGAAGATATGGTGGCTGGGCTCAGCTGTCTCTCTCCAGCTCTGGGAGCTTTGGTTCCTGCAGCATCAATGTGCATCTCTGAGGGCCATTTCCTATATCTGGTGCTTGTTACTGGCAGCACTTGCTTCCCCACCCCTCGAAGGGCTAGAAGCTTCCCTGGGTAGAATTTCTGCATGAAGAGAGTTCGTTCACCCGTGGAGCCTACTGAGGAACGGGATTTTTGTCTGTGGTTGGTTGGTTTGTCTGTTTTCATTGTAGTGTATCAAACAGTCCTTATTTTGCCCTAAGTCCAGCTCTGTCCCACTGCCTTCTTGTTAGTTTTTGCATCTCCTTACTAAATGGTAGGTCTGCCTGGGTTCCCACAGCAGTGCTAATAAACTTTGTTGGCCAGAGGAGGCACCAGGAAAGACTCTCTGTTGGCAACACTCTCTGAAGGGCCCTCTGTTTCTCTTTGGCCTTGTCTCTCGTTCTCCTCATCCCAGGAGCCTTTTATGTGAGTTTCCACAGCTCCTCCTCGCACCCTCTCTTCTCTCTGCACTTCTCGTGGCTCCCCCCGATGTCTTGCACACCATGCTGTTCATCCCAATCTGCTCTGAGCCCCAGACAACCACATTTCCCCCCTTCTCAGTGATGGAACCATCATCATTATCCAAATTAGGATTCTAGGAGTCAGATAGATATTTCTCTATCACCTACCATATCCTGTTTGCAAGATGTCTTGCAAACTTCCCTTCCTGGAATAGGCTCACTTCACTCCCCCTTCAACATCCCCATGGCCTCTGCTCCTAGTCATTTCATCCTCTTCCTCTTCTGCTCAGACCTCCACTCTGTTTTCCTCTCCAACTTCTTGGCCTCCACTCTCCTCCTCTCCCTAAAGTCTCCCTCACATCACCCCAGAGGGATACCTTCTCCCACCAAGAGCTGACTCTGCCCCTCCCCCTTGCTCTTAATCCTTCCATGGCTCCCCAGTGCCCTCAATATAAAGTCAAGACTTTTTTTGATATGTAAGCCTGCAAGATACGGCTTGCAACTATTCTTCCAGAGTCATCATGCCTTGATACCTACCTCTGGGGTCATTTAGCTGACTACCTGCCCCACATTTGGACGTCTCTGAACATTTGTCACCTGGTAGCCCAATCCTTAAGAGGGGAGAAACAGGCCTGCCAGTCTTGCCCTTCCCCTTTATCTGTTTGTGCTCAGCTCTGGGGCCCTGGAAAATGCTCCTCACTCCTCATTCCCAGGGCAAGTCTCCATCTAACATGTAGTAATAGGTGAAGACATTTTTGTCTATTTTGTTCAACAAGAATCATACCTGACATATAATAAACTCTCAATATATGTATTCAAAAATTAAAAAATAAAGCTGTTACTTGTGAAATCTCTGCCTGTAGCCCAGGTCTTTGTTCTGACCCCAGCACCCTCCTAATGGCCCCGTTGTCTGTGAAGGCATTTTCAATGCTCTCCACTGTGCTAGATGGTGAGCCCATAGGGACAGAAATTGGGTTTGTTCTGACTCCTAGAGTGACTTGGTAAATATTGTTGATATAGGATAAGGCTCAGAGAAACCTCTGTCTCAGTTTGATAGGACCCCGAGAAACAAAACTGGCAAGTTGGAGAATCTAGCTCCTTTACAGCCAGCAGCAAGTGAGGCTACTCTTTGTCCTGGAGGGAGACATTACCCCATCCCTCAGGGTGGCTCCCTGCAAACACAACCTGAGAACTAGGCCAGGTAACGAGATCTCAGACCATCATGTTTTGGGCAATACCCAACGAGATGTGTAGGAGGACGGGAGGCTCATGGAGATCTGTCCTTCCCAACAGGCTGCCCTACTCTTCTTAGATGATGTGGGAAACTGCAAAATCCTCTCATCAAATTCTCTTTTACCAGCATACACAAAGATTCCATCACTTGTGATCGACGTCTTAGTCAGTAAGTCTGGACCATTTTGACTGGTTTCCAGTCAGAAAACCAGGAGGATGTGGTGAACAGAGAAACCCCAGTACTCACATTTCACTATTCTTTGCTTTCTCTCTTCATGCTTTGTTTGAAGAAGTTGCAAAATGAGATGACTGGAAGAAAGGGACATGATAGCTAAATAAAGCTTCCTTTTCTTGGTCAGGCACTATAAATCTATTGCACTTTCTCCTGTCTAACAGAAGTCAAACTTTTCTTTTTTTTGAGATGGAGTTTCACTCTTGTTGCCCAGGCTGGAGTGCAATGGTACCATCTCAGCTCACTGCAACCTCTGCCTCCTGGGTTCAAGCGATTCTCCTGCCTCAGCCTCCTGAGTAGCTGGGATTACAGGCGCCCGCCACCACACCCAGCTGATTTTTGTATTTTTAATAGAGACGGGGTTTTACCATGTTGGCCAGGCTAGTCTCGAACTCCTGACCTCAGGTGATCCGCCTGGCTTGCCCTCTCAAAGTGCTAGGATTACAGGCATGAGCCACAACACCTGACCTTACTATTGTAAGTATTAGTTCTAAAAACTGGCGGCCCCTCCTCTGAGTCCCTGTCACTCCAGTTCTCAATCTCTCTCCATATGGCTCAATGCTCTCCTGGAATCATTGTCCCTTCAGGTCCCCATTAGGATCTTCAGTCTTAGGCCCATTTTTTCCCCCTATAGTTTTTCCTATAGTCTCATTATCCTTAAGTGAACAGGAACAACAGGACATCCAGCAGAGTCCCTGAGGATGAACTGGGAAGCAGAGAGGAAGAACATAAGAGAAGCTCGGCCTACTGATGACAGAATCTGTTGCTCCCCAAATCCTTTTCTCTTGGGCAAGCCAGACCTTCCCACCAGCCCATGTTATATGGCTGCCCTTTTGGCTCGAGGCTTAGGTTTCATGCTCGTGGGGTCAGACCCCTCTGCAGAGCCGGGTAATACCTGAACTCAGGAGCTGATGGTGCTGCAGTTCCACGGACGGACAGCACCATCCCTGCTGCCCGGGGCTTACCAGGTCCACCCTGTCTTGGGGGGACAGCTATGACTTTGTGTGTGGCCCCTCCTTTATCTGCATCCCAGAAAAATTCTTTCAAGATAAGGTTGGAGGGAGGAGAGAGTTCACTATATCACAGCACATAAAGGATCGGGGCAGATACACATTTCTAGGTCCTCACCCTACAATCCTAGGGATGTCACCTCAACTACCCTGATGTGTGATGTCTTCTGAAGCTCACGTGATCACCAGCCCAATGTCTCCTGTGGTGGTGCAGCAGGGTGGGTGGGGGAGCCAGGATTCCCAGTCCCTGTGCCCAACACGGGGTCCAAGGAGGGTTCAGGACTTGGGATACTTAGCGCCTGGTTCCTGGGGACCAGACTGAGGAGGGGACAGGAGGAATTCCTCAACCCGCCTTCTTTGCTGTTTTGGTGACTGTAGAAGGATGCAGGGCCACCACCCCACTTCACCTCCTACACCGATGTGGGAACTGTTCTATTTCTGTACCAGACACTCCAGTTTTGTTGTTGTTGTTTGTTTGTGACGGAGTCTTGCTCTGTCACTCAGGCTGGAGTACAGTGGCGCCATCTCTGCTCGCTGCAAGCCCTGTCTCTCGGGTTCATGCCATTCTCCTGCCTCAGCCTCCTGAGTAGCTGGGACTACAGGCACCTGCCACCACATCCGGCTAATTTTGTTTTTGTATTTTTAGTAGAGACGGGGTTTCACTGTGTTAGCCAGGATGGTCTCGATCTCCTGACCTCGTGATCCACCTGCCTCGGCCTCCCAAATTGCTGGGATTACAGGCGTGAGCCACTGCGCCCGGCTGAGACACTCCAGTCTTCTAGACATCATTGCCTTTCAAGGAAACAGCACAGGTAAGAATCTTCCTTCTTCGGGGCTGGTTGGAAATGGGGTCGCTGCCCACCCACATCAGAGGTGGATTCGAGGCTCATATGATGGGAAAGATGAGATTTGACAGGAGAAGCTCTCATTCCACCACAGTCAGGCTTTTGCCCACAAACCTTCATTTAAAAACCATGGTCAGTCCAAGATCACCACCACCATTCTCTCAGACCTCACAAGTTGAAGCCTTGGAAACTGAGAAATGGTAGCATCAGCACCAAATACTCAAGAGGACAGATGCCGGTGGGGAATCCCAATCCCCCAGGCTTCTGTTCTGGACCTGGAGCCTGAGACCTCTCGGGGGAAGGGGCACCTCAAACACTTGTTCTTGTGGATCGACTGTGTCTCTAGTTAATAGATTACAAGTGACTTTATGCAAATTTGTTAGTATAGGGAAAGAAATGCAGGCTTTAGAATAAGAGAAACATGGATTCTATACTGATTCCTCCACTTACTAAGAGGTTGAAAATGGGCAAGTCACTTTACCTCTCTGTGCCGCAGTTTCCTGCTTGTAACGTGAGAAATAACAAGCCCCAGCCCACAAGGATGGCGTGGCACATGCCAATCACCATACCCAGGTCCTGGCACAAGGGGCGGGTTCTGTGTGTGCTGGTTTCTTACCCCTTGAATAGTAAGGTCCTGGGATCAACTTGTCCTGATGCTAGGACTGCAAGTTCCCCAGTGCATTAAATGAATGCCCGACATTTAAATAAAAGGAGATGAAACTTCATCAGCAATGTCAAAACCAGCAAATGAATAAAACATCGCACCACACACTTCAAAAGGGGATCAAGTAGGAAGGACACTGAAAGATGTGGGGTGGCACTAACAACTTTCTCCCCCTGAATGGTGGGGAGGAGTCCCCAGAAGCAGCTATGGAAGAAAATTTGGGCTGAATTAACCCTGAGAATTTTCCAAGATGCCCCCGCCCCCATATGCACATGTGCCCACTCATACGAGTAGACAAAGCTGGCTAAAATAAACAAAAAGAATTCCAGAGAAGAAGCCTTACATACTACTGGGGCCATATCAGAGGATAACCAGAAGTTAACATCTTTTAACACCCTGTTTTGAGTTGAGGTTATTGAGAAATTCCACTCTAAACAATACCCAACATAAGTGCATATACATACCAGAAGACATGTTCATAGCAGACTCCTCATAATAGCCCCAAACTAAAAATAATCTCAAAGTCCATCTAAAAATGAAGAGTTATGTAGTGTTCAGTATATGCACAGAATGGAGATCTTTCAGCAGTGAGAATGAATGAATTATTGACAGGTGAAACATCATGGACAAATTTAACAAACAGAGATTGAGCACAAGAAGCCAGATACAATGGCCGGGCGCAGTGGCTGACTCCTGTAATCCCAGCACTTTGGGAGGCCAAGGCAGGCGGATCACAAGGTCAGGAGTTTGAGACCAGACTGACTAACATAGTGAAACCCCATCTCTACTAAAAATACAAAAAATTAGCTGGGCATGGTGGCGGGTGCCTGTAATCCCAGCTACTTTGGAGGCTGAGGCAGGAGAATCGCTTGAACACGGGAGGCAGAGGTTGCAGTGAGCCGAGATCGTGCCACTGCACTCCAGCCGGGGGGACAATGCAAGACTATGCCTCAAAAAAACAAATAAGTAAAAAATAAAAAGAAGAAGCCGGATACAAGAGTACACACTGGCCGGGCGTGGTGGCTCATGCCTGTAATCCCAGCCTTTTGGGAGGCTGAGGTGGGCGGATCACAAGGTCAGGAGATCGAGACTAACCTGGCTAACACGGTGGAACCCCGTCTCTACTAAAAATACAAAAAATTAGCCGGGTGTGGTGGCAGAGGACTGTAGTCCCAGCTACTCGGGAGGCTGAGGCAGGAGAATGGCTTGAACCCAGGAGGTGGAGCTTGCAGTGAGCCGAGATCACGCCACCGCACTCCAGCCTGGGCGACAGAGCGAGACTCCTTCTCAAAAGAAAGGAGTACACACTGAAAGTTACATAAAAACACAATACAGACAAAACTAATCCATGATAATAGGAGTTATACTGGTGACTTTGCAGGCGGGGTAATACCTAGGAATGGGAACTGGTGAGGCTCCTGGGTGTAGGTTGTTGTTACAAAAATGTATTCATTTCATAGACATTGATCAGGCATACCTTTATAATTGGAACAGCTTTCTCCATGTATGCTTTGCTTCAAAATCTTTTATTTTAAAAGACTATAAGAGGAAGCTGGACACAGTGGCTCATGCCTATAGTCCCAGCAATTTGGGAGGCTGAAGTGGGAGGATCACTTGAGGCCAGGAGTTTGAGACCAGATTGGGCAACATAGTGAGATCTCTGTTTCAGGAAAAAAAAAAAAATTAGCCAGGTGTGAGGGTGTGCACCTGTAGTCCCAGCTACTGGGGAGGCTAATGTAGGAGGATCACTTGAGTAGGTCAAGGCTGCAGTGAGCTGTGATCGTGCCACTGCACTTCAGCCTGGGTGACAGAGCAAGACCCTATCTCAAATAAAAGACTATAAGAGAATACTTCACATATATATTTGCTAATTAATTTTAAAATTTACATAATATAAAAAGATTATTGCAAAAATATAAATAACTGGGACTGTCTCAAGAAAAAAAAAACCCAAATAGTTCTATTGTCTTAGTCCGTTTTGTGTTGCAGGTTAAAGGAATACCTGAGGCTGGGTCATTTATAAAGAAAAAAGGTTTATTTGGCCCGTGATTCCGATGTCTGGAAAGGTTTGAGATTGGGCATCTGGTAAAGTCCTCAGGCTGCTTCCAATCCTAGTGGGGGATGATGGAAGAGGGGGCTGATGTGTGCAGAGATAACATGATAGGAGAGGAAGCAAGAGAGAGGGAGGGAGGTGCCTGACTCAGAGCTTGAGCACCGACTCACTGGCAGGCAGGGGCACTCATCTATTCCTGAGGAATCCAGCACCATGACCCAAGCACCTCCCATGAGGCCCCACCTCCAACACTGGGATCAACTCTCAACAGGTTTGAGGGCACAAACCTCCAGACTACAGCACTGATATTCATATAGGAATTCATTCAGTAGCAAACACTGATTTCCAGGGAAGAAATTCACGGGTAAGTTCTTCTGAATATGCAAGGCAGAAATATTTCCAGGTTTTCATGAGCACTTCCACATGTGGAAGTCTTTCTGCTGGCGAAAGACACATTCGCCAGCAAACTCTGAGGAGTCTTTTGCTTTCCCTAGACCTCACTGAATTCTGCACAGCAGGGAAGAGGGGAAGGCTGATCTCAGAAAACCTCCCATCTCTGGCAGTGGTGGGTCTGACACTGCACTTATGTGCACGATTACCATTTTGTCCAAACCCCGTGGCTTCCTGTTGGGGTTTACCCTTGTTTCTCCCAGACTATTCTTCCCATACGGAGGGACTCTTGTGACCAGACTGTCCTGGGGCAGTGCCTGGTGCTCATGGCTCAAGGCACAGTTCTGCTGGGGCTGGTGCTGCTGCCATCCAGGTGGTGAGAAAGTAAGCAGACCCAGAGGGGTCCTGAGCGGGGAGCGGGGTCAGTGTCTGAGCCTCTCCTTCTCTCCCCAGGGGCTTTGGCTTAGGATCCAGGAGATGGCCTTAGAGTGCAGGAGCTGGTGACGGTGCAGGAGGGAATGTGCAGGCATGTGCTCTGCGCTGTTTTCTACCCCAAGTATTACTGGGCAGGATCCGGCCTAGCTCATGGTTACTGCCAACAGGATGAAGCCACTCCTGGAAGGAACACTCCAGTGGCTACAAACAACCCCAAACAATTGCAGGAGAAGAACCAGGGCCAGTTCACCTCGTTGGTCATCCCCAGACCTACAGCTGCTCCCTGAACCTCAGAGATGCCAATGAGGCGGATACAGGGACGTACTTCTTTCAGGTGGAGAGAGGTTATTACATGAAATACAGTTACGGAAATGAGAAGTTGTTCTTGCATGTGACAAGTAGAGGAAAGTCCCAGAAAAGGAGCTCTTTCTCCTCATTCGGGGTCATGGGAAGCATTCAGGGGCCCTGGGGTGGGGCTCTGGCACAGGGAGTGCCCCCACTCCCAGAAACAGGAATCAGCCCCTTTCTCTTTTCTAGTGCTGACCCAGCCACCTGAGATCCATGTCCAGAAGAGCTGCAATCAGGTGACCCTGGAAATCTGACTTGCACCGTATCATGGGCCGGTGAGAAGGGAACCCCACCAAATTTCTTCTGGATAAGAGAAGCCACCAATTTTACAGTCTCCAAGACCCCTCTTCCCGACCAGTCCTCAGTTCTCAGCCTTATCCCACAGCCATGTGACCATGGCAGCAACCTCACCTGTCAGGTGAAGTTCCTCCGAGCTGGTGTGACCATGGGGAGAACCATCCAGCTCAATGTCTCTTATGAGTGGTGGATCAGGACCCCCATGCCCAGGGCCCTGAGAACAATGGGTGTCAGGAGGGAAGGGAGGTCAGAATCAGGAATTCTTTTTTTTTTTTTTTTTTAAGACAGAGTCTCGCTATGTCACCCAGGCTTGAGTGCAGTGGCGCAATCTCTGCTCACTGCAGCCTCCGCCTTCCAGGCTCAAGCGATCCTCCTGCCTCAGCCTCCCAAGTAGCAGAGACTACAGGTGGCACCACCATGTCCAGCTAATTTTTAAATTTTGGGCAGAGATGGGTTCTCACTGTGTCACCCAGTTTGGTGTTGAACTCTTAGGCTCAAGTGATCCTCCTGCCTCGGCCTCCCAAAGTGTTGGGATTACAGGCGTGCACCACTGTGCCTGGCCAGAGTATGAGTTTTTTTGTTTTTTGTTTTGAGATGGAGTCTCGCTCTGTCACCCAGGCTGGAATGCAGTGACATGATCTCGGCTCACTGTAACCTATGCCTCCCGAGTTCAGGTGATTCTTATGCCTCGGCCTCTGGAGTAGCTGGGATTACAGGCACCTGCCACCATGCCCGGCTCACCCTTGCCTGGCTCAGCTTTGAGCTCTGTCTTGATGCCTCTCCTACTTTCTGCCCCTTGATCCTCCTCTTATGCATGGCGTCTCTCTTCCCCCATTTACCCCATTCAGGATGCAGCACTTCCTCCAAATGTCACCCTTTTCATCCACTGTACTCATGAGCCAGTGGGTGCTGTAACTTCCCTTCCTGAACAATGTCTCCCGTCATGCCCTCCTTGCTTAGTCCCCTGTCCTCCATCAGCATGACCAGGCCCTTTGCTGTCTTTTTTTTTTTTTTTTTTTTGAAGATGAAGTTTCGCTCTTGTCGTCCAGGCTGGAGTGCGGTGGCAGGATCTCGGCTCACTGCAACCTCCGCCTCCTTGGTTCAAGTGATTCTCCTGCCTCAGCCTTCTGAGTAGCTGGGATTACAGGAGCATGCCACCATGCCTGGCTAATTTTTGTACTTTTAGTAGAAACAACTTTTCACCATGTTGGTCAGGGTGGTCTCGAACTCCTTGACCTCAGGTGATCCAACCGCCTTGGCCTCCCAAAGTGCTGGGGTTACAGATCTGAGCCGCCGCACCCAGCCTCTTTGCTGTCTTGATCATTGTTCCATGCCCCTCCCCAGCCTCCCATCTTCCCTTCATGCTGTGCCCCTGATAGCACAAGCCCAGAAAGACCTTCCTGTACCCAGTACCAGCCCCACCCCTTCCTGGCCCAGAGTCCCCTGTGACTCCTCGGCACCCTCAGTCTAAGCTCCTCAGCTGGTCATGCCCCAACACCTCCATGTCCCCTTGGAAGACCCCAGATATATGTGCAGGTCTCTTCATCTGCCAGACTGTTTCAGAGCCTTTGCACATCCCTCGTCCTTCACTTGTGATGCCTGTCTGTCTTGCGTCAATATGACCCACTCCCCCTTCCAATCTCAGTTCAGCCTCCTTCCCTCCAGGGTCTGTCAGCTAGCGTGGACTCCGGGATTTGTGTACATAAGAGCATGAGCCGGGCCAGGCTTGGTGGCTCACGCTTGTAATGCCAGCACTTTGGGAGGCTGAGGTGGGCAGATCACGAGGTCAGGAGTTCAAGACCAGCCTGACCAACATGGTGAAATCCCGTCTCTACTAAAAATACAAAAATTAACCTGGCGTGGCGGCACATGCCTGTAATCCCAGCTACTCAGGAGGCTGAGGCAGGAGAATCGCTTGAACGTGGGAGGCGGAGCTTGCAGTGAGCTGAGATCACGGCACTGTACTCTAGCCTGGGTGACAGAGCAAGACTCCATCTCAAAAAAAAAAAAAAAAAGCATGAGTCAAACAGTCATGTGTCTTCTGTCTCATTCCGAATGGGAGGTAAGGGAGAAACCGACCTCTCAGCACCACTCTTCCTGCTTTCTCTGTTTTTTTCGTCCAGCCCCAAAGACCCTGAACAATGGTACACCACTGCCTGTCCTGGAGGGAGAGTCCCTGTGGTCTGTGTGGCTGACAGCACCCCACCTCCCAACCCCGCCCGGCTGAGCTGGTCCTGAGAGGGAAGAACACTGAATTCCTCCCAGCTCTCAGCACCCGGGGGCCTGGAGCTGCCTCAGATAGGGGCTGGGACGGAGGAGCATTGACCTGTTGGGCTCACCACCCACTGCGATTTCAGCACATTTCCCTGAGCCTCTGTGCAGAGTGAGTTGCAGGACAGCTGCTGAGGCAGGCAGCCTAGTCGGGTGTTTGGGCTGTCAGAGGGGTGGAGGCCTGGGAACAGAATCTCACACGCTTCTACCCTTTCCCAGGAAGCCCCTCTGGCTACAGATGTGTGAGTGAAAAGCAGGAGGGCTTCTGGCCCCTGGTTCTCACCTGATCAGGGGGCCATCCTGGGCACTGGCTTCCCCCCAACCCCCATGGCCTCACCTGGAGCTACTACTCCAGGTGAGCAGGCCTGCTCTTTTCTAGGGAAGCCGAAGGATTGTTCCCCGAGTTCCAGGTGGGGCTGAGCTGTCCTGTCCCGCCTGAGTTAGAATTGAAGTGGCCGATGCTAATCTGAGGCCCGTGTTGGCTCTGCAGGTGTGGAGGGCCCCAGGGGAGCAGTGCTGAGAGGCCTGACTGAGCCCCTCCTGCTCAAGACAGAACTCAGATGTGGACACCCAGCCCTGCAGAACAGATGCAGGACAACACTGTCAGCCATGGCTCAGCCCTTCTGACCATTGCAGTTGAGATGCTGCAACTTCCCAGGGAGCGACTGGGCAAACATGGGGGCCTGAGGTATTCACGGCAACGTGCACAGATGATAAAACTACCTAGAAAAGCATGGAGACCATTAGCGTTAAAGTGAGGCTGGGGCTGCTTCAGGAGGAAGTGGGGTGTGGCTGACAGGAAGTGGGGTAACAAAGAGGAGGTGTTGCGGCATCCCCAGTGTTCTGTTTCTCTAAGCATGTTCATATGTGTAAACCGCTGAGATTTTTTCTTGGGGGGAAGACATTTTTATCTATATGGCTTATATTTCTCCCAAAAATATTTCTAGAAAACTGACATCGGTCTAAGGAGGCTCCACCACACAGGATACTCCCAGTTCCTCCCAGCCCAGCCACACAGTTACAAAAAATCTTCTGCTGAATTCAGGTGCATGTTTCTTCTCCCATGAAATCCTGCCCATCGCGGAGGGTGCATGCCCCGGGGCTGGTGTCCTCACTCCACATCTCCTGTTCACCGGGACCCCTGGGAGCAGAGCTTGCAGAAGCAAAGCCCCAGGGCCAGCTGATCCCTCATGTTCTGGAGTAACCAGGGAAGTGTGGCTGAGCGAGACATCGGTGGTGAAGAAACCCTTCGTGGTGCAGTGAGGAAAGGAGAAATATCTTCCCTTTTGAAATCTGCCCCTTTTCTTCCGAATTTCCTCCCTTCCAAGCCCCACAGTACAACAGTCACAGCCTCAGTTTCCCAGACCTCCTGCGAGCCAGGCTCCCCTCTGTGTCCTTGGCGTGTATCAACACATAGAATCCTCACCTCCACAGCCCCATGTCCCTCTGCTCAGTCCTCCTGAGATTGAACCCCTGACCTACGGGAGAGTGACCCCATCCTGCCTGTGCCCCCCAACTGAAGCTCCTGCCGTGGACAGCTCAGACGTCAGGAGCCTCCATGTCTCCCCTCCGCACAGTGACCCCTTGGGGACAGTGTCCAGCTCTGCTGTGTTGACCTCGTTGTGCAGAAAGGGGGTGCCCACCTCGTGCTTGCTTGGGGGGGATGAGAGGCTGCCTGCTCACCCCACCTGCACCCCCATCTCTCATGGCCCCAAGTCCCACCTCTGAGCTACGCAGATATCCACAGCCTCTGACTCAGGGGTCTGGCCAGATGGGACTCATTTTCACCCTGCAGAAAATGTCACCTAAGGGGAAGGGCATTGAGAGGGAGGCAGGAGGTGGGGTGGGCCCTGCATGGGGTGGGAATCTGGGTGAGTCTGTCTCCCGCTCTGGCCTCAGGGACCCAGGAGTGAACATGGGGTGGTGGACGGTGGATCTCCCAGGGCTGACCCGGGCCTGACAGTGTCTGGGTGTAAAGTTCCTCCTCTGAGGAGGTCACTGTTCCGACCTCGCCCCTGTCTTCCTGTAGGGCCTCCTCTAAGTCTTGAGCCCGCAGTTCCTGAGAGAAGAACCCTGAGGAACAGACGTTCCCTCGCGGCCCTGGCACCTCTAACCCCAGACATGCTGCTGCTGCTGCTGCCCCTGCTCTGGGGGAGGGAGAGGGCGGAAGGACAGACAAGTAAACTGCTGACGATGCAGAGTTCCGTGACGGTGCAGGAAGGCCTGTGTGTCCATGTGCCCTGCTCCTTCTCCTACCCCTCGCATGGCTGGATTTACCCTGGCCCAGTAGTTCATGGCTACTGGTTCCGGGAAGGGGCCAATACAGACCAGGATGCTCCAGTGGCCACAAACAACCCAGCTCGGGCAGTGTGGGAGGAGACTCGGGACCGATTCCACCTCCTTGGGGACCCACATACCAAGAATTGCACCCTGAGCATCAGAGATGCCAGAAGAAGTGATGCGGGGAGATACTTCTTTCGTATGGAGAAAGGAAGTATAAAATGGAATTATAAACATCACCGGCTCTCTGTGAATGTGACAGGTAAGGCACAGGCTCCAGGAAAGGCCACAGGGAAAGGTCATGGGGGCGGCAGGGAAAGGCTGGGATGGAGCCCCTGCCCCAGGAGAGGGCTTAGGGTGAAGCGAGTTGGCTCAGGGCAGGAGCTGGACCAGAGCCTGAGCTCCCCCCAGGGCTGCACCATGGATCCTCTGACCTGATCCTGAGTCCCCCTCTCTTCACCAGCCTTGACCCACAGGCCCAACATCCTCATCCCAGGCACCCTGGAGTCCGGCTGCCCCCAGAATCTGACCTGCTCTGTGCCCTGGGCCTGTGAGCAGGGGACACCCCCTATGATCTCCTGGATAGGGACCTCCGTGTCCCCCCTGGACCCCTCCACCACCCGCTCCTCGGTGCTCACCCTCATCCCACAGCCCCAGGACCATGGCACCAGCCTCACCTGTCAGGTGACCTTCCCTGGGGCCAGCGTGACCACGAACAAGACCGTCCATCTCAACGTGTCCTGTGAGTGCTGGGCCGGGACGCCTGGGTCCCTGATGGGGTGAGCGTCAAGCCTGGACACTGGGTGCTGGGTCCCGGAATCTGGGCTGGTGGTGGGGTCAGGAGGACACTGGCTCTGCCTTCCCTGTTTATGCGGCTCCTGGGGACAGACAGGGCCAGTGTCCCCAGCCCTCACAGTGATGCGGGTCTCCATGTCTTTCTGTCCCAGACCCGCCTCAGAACTTGACCATGACTGTCTTCCAAGGAGACGGCACAGGTAGGATGGAGCTCCCTCCCTGGGGCTGGAGGAGCAGGGCCTTCAGGTCAGGATGGGGCTGGCTTATTCCTCAACCTGGACTCACTTTGGCAAACAGGGATGTCCTTGTGGGTGAACTCAGGGCCCCTCTGTATCCTTAGGCCCCAAGGCCACTTGTTCCCATCCTCCCATCACCTCCCTTGGACTCCCCCACACACCCCCCCCTCAGCCTCAAACAAGAAGAGGGTGGCATTCACACAGCAGGACCAGGCTTTGAGGCTCCTTCTCATGTATCTCCTGAATACATCTCCACCCTTATCTGTTTATTTCTGATAGTTCTGATCTAAGTACTTCTGGACAGGTGATAAATGTCCATGGGCAAAAATTCAAATTGCAGAGCAAAGGCTCTCCTCCGATGCCTGCCCCCCTCCCCAGAACCAACCACTGTCCATCCAGGCTGCCCTGAGTCTCGGTTTGTACACCTGGAGGATCTCAGAGGTGGTTTGACGTCCGTAGTGAGACTGTCCGCACCCTCCTCTAGGGCTGTGTGTGAGTCCACTGCATGGATGGACTCTGATTTTGTGGCATCTCCTAATGGAAGATCACGGCACTAATTTCATCCTACGGCAGGATAGAACAATCTTGTATCTACTTCCACAGGAATATCTAAGCCTGTGGGTTAAGTTCCTAAAAGCAAAATGTAGCTACATTATATGTTCTTTCTTATTTTGAAAGATAAGCCCAAACTGTTCTCGATGAAGCGGGGAGAAGTTTACATTCCCAGCAGTGAGTGGTGAAAGTGTGTGTTTCCAGAACTTCAGTCTATGTCTGTGTGTCAGTTGCTGTCATCAGTCTCTTTCTGTATCCTTCCTTTTTCTCCAGATCTATGTATCTCTCTGACCCTCTGTCTCTTTTTCTACAGTATCCACAGTCTTGGGAAATGGCTCATCTCTGTCACTCCCAGAGGGCCAGTCTCTGCGCCTGGTCTGTGCAGTTGATGCAGTTGACAGCAATCCCCCTGCCAGGCTGAGCCTGAGCTGGAGAGGCCTGACCCTGTGCCCCTCACAGCCCTCAAACCCGGGGGTGCTGGAGCTGCCTTGGGTGCACCTGAGGGATGCAGCTGAATTCACCTGCAGAGCTCAGAACCCTCTCGGCTCTCAGCAGGTCTACCTGAACGTCTCCCTGCAGAGTGAGTGCACCAGTATGCTGGGGAGGGGCTGGAGAGGAGAACACACCTCCTCCACCCTTAGTAACTGCTGAGCGTGGACCTTCAGAGAGGAGCTCCGCTCTGGTCTGTGCTCAGCTGTGAGGTCTGGAACTTCCCTGGGACCCACAGCACCACTGTCCTCTTCCTGCCAGGGAAGGGTTGTGGGGTGGGGAGAGGGCAGGAGTGGATCTCAGAGGGGACAGGATGGGGCCGGACAGGTGTGTTTAGGGAGACAAGCGCCTTTCTTTGCAGGGCTGAACTGGAGTCACACAACTGAGATACTTGCTTTGAGCATCAAATTAAAAAAAAGAAAAAGCCCAGCAAGTCAGCAATCAAATGAAATCATATTGCAATGCAATAATCTTTTAAAAAAAGTAAAAATTGAATGCAAAACAAATTCATTAATGGATAAAATATTAAAATTGTGAAAAAAAACCCCAAAAGGAATGGCTGGCACTTGCACGCCTCACTGGCCTCAGGAAGAGTCTCTCCATGTCCTGCTCTCTCTCATTCCTGTTCTTTGTGTCTGGAAAGGGGAAGTGGAAATAGAAGTCTAGGACCCTACAGGAAGTGGGAGGAGAAGAGACCCAATTCTCTATGATATATCACAAAAATAACTCCCATCTGTCAACAGGCAAAGCCACATCAGGAGTGACTCAGGGGGTGGTCGGGGGAGCTGGAGCCACAGCCCTGGTCTTCCTGTCCTTCTGCGTCATCTTCGTTGTGTAAGCATGGACCCTAGAGAGGGAGGGAGGGAGAGCCCTGGGGGAGGACAGGCTGGAAGCTGGATCCCTGAAGCCAGAGCTGGAGGGACCTGGATGGGTCAAGAGCTTGGGGCAAGAAGGAGGTCACAGGTGCATGGTGAGAATTCCATGTGGGCCTGTGTTTGAGGAGCTTTGAGTCTGTGGCAAACCTTGGTACCCACTGTCCAGGAGAAGAGAGCCTCTGTTCTCAACCTTGGGGTCTCTAAGACTGGACCACTGCTTTCCCACCTCAGTCACCCCTGCAGTCCCTTAATAGGAAACACATGGGGGTACCTGGTCTGCCCACCGCACCCCAATCTGACCACACTGAAAGGCTCTCTGGTCTCTTCACTCAGAGTGAGGTCCTGCAGGAAGAAATCGGCAAGGCCAGCAGCGGGCGTGGGAGATACGGGCATAGAGGATGCAAACGCTGTCAGGGGTTCAGCCTCTCAGGTGAGTGATGTGGACTCTCCACAGCCAGCATGTAGCCTGGACACCTCCCACAGGATGACCCCCAGGACTAATCAGCTGGGCGTAGCCAAAGTTACCTCCTCTCTGTTCTTCCTTTCTTCTCTGTAGCCCCAAATCACAATGTTTGGTTGGTTTCCTCCCCTAAGAACAGCTTTTATTGTCTCTGCTCCCTATCCTGACCCTTCATTGCTGAGGCCTGAGGATCTCTGTCTTTTGTTCCCTCACCTGTCTGCCTGTCTCCTCTCCTTTCCTGCCTGGGGGGACTGTCCAGAAGACATCATCGTCCAGTTCCTCTGCATTTGAACAGCTGTTCCCCCACCCCTCAATACCGTTTAGAGCAGAAGCCAGCAAATACTATCTGTCAGGGACAGATAGAAACTATTTTCGGCTTCATGGGCCACACAGTCTCATTGCAGCTCCTCAAATCTGCTGTTGTAGCAAGAAAGAAGCCATATACCCTGTGTAAACAAATGAATATGGCTGTGTGCCAATAAAACTATTCACAAACATAAAGAGTGGGCTGGATATGACTCAGATACTGTAGTTTGACAACCCCTGATCTAGAGTAAAAATCCCAAACTCTATAGCCTGCAGCAGTGCACATTCTGACTTTTTTTGTTTTTTTTTTTTTTTGTTGTTGTTGTTTTTGAGACAGAGTCTTGCTCTGTCGCCCAGGCTGGAGTGCAGTGGTGCGATCTCTGCTCACTGCAACTTCCACCTTCCGGGTTCAAGCCATTCTCCTGCCTCAGCCTCCGGAGTAGCTGGGACTACAGGCGCCTGCCACCACGCCCAGCTAATTTTTTTGTATTTTTAGTAGAGACGGGGTTTCACTGTGTTAGCCAGGATGGTCTCAGTCTCCTGACCTTGTGATCTGCCCACCTTGGCTTCCCGAAGTGCTGGGATTACAGGCGTGAGCCACTGTGACCGGCCACATTCTGACCTTTTAAGCACCTACCTCTCCACTAGGGCAAGAACAAGGGTGAAGTGAGTGAGGCTGTTGCCTCAAGTGCATTTTTTCGTTTGTTTGTTTTTGTTTTTTGAGATGGAGTCTCGCTCTGTCACCCAGGATGTAGTGCAGTGGCACAATCTTGGCTTACTGCAACCTCTGCCTCCTAGGTTCAAGCGATTCTCCTGCCTCAGCCTCCTGAGTAGCTGGGATTAAAGGTGCACACCACCACACCTGGCTAATTTTGTATTTTTAGTAGAGACAGGGTTTCACCATGTTGGCCAGGCTGGTCTCAAACTCCTGACCTCAGGTGATCCGCCTACCTCAGCCTCCTGAAGAGCTGGGATTACAGATGTGAGCCACCGCGCCCCATCCTCACTGTCTGCTCTGACTCACTTCTCTCTCCCATGTCTCAGGGGCCCCTGACTGAACCTTGGGCAGAAGACAGTCCCCCAGACCAGCCTCCCCCAGCTTCTGCCCGCTCCTCAGTGGGGGAAGGAGAGCTCCAGTATGCATCCCTCAGCTTCCAGATGGTGAAGCCTTGGGACTCGCGGGGACAGGAGGCCACTGACACCGAGTACTCGGAGATCAAGATCCACAGATGAGAAACTGCAGAGACTCACCCTGATTGAGGGATCACAGCCCCTCCAGGCAAGGGAGAAGTCAGAGGCTGATTCTTGTAGAATTAACAGCCCTCAACGTGATGAGCTATGATAACACTATGAATTATGTGCAGAGTGAAAAGCACACAGGCTTTAGAGTCAAAGTATCTCAAACCTGAATCCACACTGTGCCCTCCCTTTTATTTTTTTAACTAAAAGACAGACAAATTCCTACCTCTCTGTACCTTGGTTTCCTGCTCTGTAAAACAGGAATGAGAAGCCCTACTTGCAAGGTTGTGGTCACCATTCCAGGAGTCACATCCCGTTAGAGCTCCTGGCACAGGTGTATGCCGAGCACTGATGGATCGCTGTGCTTTGAACACAAAGGTCCTGCTGGGAACCTCTCCTGATTCTGGTGGCAACTAGTACTTATATGTCTGTGTCACTTGCCTGCAAAATAGCGATTCTGCAACTTTCCAGGAAATAACCTCAGCCTGCAAATCAGGTCTAGGTAGCATCTGGATCCTGCCCACCTCTTCAGCCTCATCTGCCCACCCTGTGACTGCTAGGCCGCCTTACTCTCTGCAGTCTACGTATTGTGCACAGTCCAGTGGGAATCTTTAGGACACACTGAGCTCTCTCCGCACTGCTCACAGCCCATCCATGGCTCCTGGATCCTGAACCTCCCATCACATCCTCTTCGTGACATCACTCTCCCACTTCAGTCCACTCCTCCATCTTCACCACTTAACCCACTGGTCCCTCTGGTCTTTTCCAAATCATTTGCAACATGCCCTGTTGGTTCATACCTCAGTCCTTGCACACTGGGGACCCTCCTCCTAGAACGCCCTCCTCCTGGGCCTTCTTCTGTCTCTGTCTTTGAAAATGGAGTTCAAGGATTGGACTTCTGGGTTGAGCTGAGGGAGAGAGTGAAGCAGCAGCTCATGATCTCCCTCCTCTAAAGCCAAACCCAGGGAATGAGAAACGTTTCCAAAGGGGCACAGGATCATCTGGCAAATTAAACAACATGATCCAAAAAAATTTACCTACATGCAGCACCCGAACGAGGAAAGGGACATCTCACAACAATCACTTTATGCAGTAGCCCTGATAGGAAGAAATCAAAGGACTGGAGGAAGCACTAAAACTTCCCTAAATCTAGACTCTTGCCCATTTACGGCAGCATCAAAAAACCGTAAAGTACCAAGGAACAATTTTTTAAAAATCATGGCCGGGCACAGTGTCTCACGCCTGTAATTCCAGCACTTTGGGAGGCCGAGGTGGGCAGATCACGAGGTCAGGAGATCGAGACCATCCTGGCTAACATGGTGAAACCCTGTCTCTACTAAAAATACAAAAATTAGCCGGGCGTGGTGGCGGGTGCCTGTAGTCCCAGCTACTCGGGAGGCTGAGGCAGGAGAATGGCGTGAACCCGGGTGGTGGAGCTTGCAGTGAGCTGAGATCGTGCCACTGCACTCCAGCCTGGGAGACAGAGCGAGACTCCGTCTCAAAAAAAATAAATAAATAAATAAATAAATAAGTAAAAAATCATATCCGAGCTGGGCGTGGTGGCTCACGCCTGTCATCCCAACACTTTGGGAGGCTGAGGAGGGCAAATCACTTCAGGTCAGGGGTTCAAGACCAGCCTGGCCAACATGGTGAAACCCCATGTCTACTAAAAATACAAAAATTAGCCAGGCGAGGTGGCGTATGCCTGTAGTCCTTGCTACTTGGGAGGCTGAGGCAGGAGAATTGCTTGAACCCGGGAGGCGGAGGTTGCAGTGAGCTGAGATTGTGCCATTGCACTCTAGCCTGGGCGACAGAGCAAGAGTCTGTGTCAAAAAAAAAAAAAAAAAATCCTATGCTATGGTTTGGATATGGTTTGTTTGGCCCTGCCAAGCCTCCTGTTGATATTTGATGCCCAGTGTTGGCGGTGGGGCCAAATGGGAGGTGTTCAGGTCCCGGGATTGGATCCCTCATGAATGGCTTGGTGCTGTCTTCAAGGTAATGAGAGAGTTCTCACTCTGTTACTTCCTGTGAGAGTTTCTCCAAGAGCTGGGTGTTAAAAAGACATTGGCACCTCCCCTCCCCAGCCCGTGCTTCCTCTCTTGCCGTATTGTCTGCACATGCAGACTTCCTTTTGCCTTCCACCATGAGTGGAAGCTTCCTGAGACCCTCACCAGAAGCAAAGGCTGGTGCCAAGCATTTTCTATGTGGTGCAGAACTGTGAGCCAAATAAACTGTGGGGGGTGCACGGCAACATATTCAAGCTTATGTACAAGGCATTTGAGGTCGAGGCATGGAAAAATACTGAGGCACCGTGTGCGTGTTGTTTGTGCATGAGATTGAAACTCCTTGACCCTGAAAACAGGGCAAGGAACGGAATGTGTGATAAGGAGCGCGGAAAGCAGCCTCCTGAGACTGTAGTCTGAGTGTTTTTACCAGGCCATATGTGTCTCATGACCCGACCGCAAAAGGCCATCTGGTGGACATTTTGGTTTAACAAACCCTTTCGAGAAACACTTGGCGGACGGATTCTGGGGCGGCACTCTTTCAGAGATGCTGCTGCCGCCGCATCCCGCTCAGCTGGAATTGTCTGAGTGCTTCATTCTTGGCGTTCACTGCAGCTACAAGCTGTATAAACCTCTTTTCTTTATAAATTACCCAGCCTCAGATATTACTCTATAGCAACACAAATGAACTAAGATAACACGGAATGCTTCTGTACTGATGAATATAGAACATTTTTGAGAGACTTAAGGAAGGCCCAAATGAAGGAAGAAATATATCACGTTCATGGATTAGAAGGCAAAAATGGTTAAAATGTCAGTTGTCTGCATATTGATTTAGGTAATCCCTGTCAAAATTCCTATATATATATAAAATATATGTATATGTGTATATGTATGTACATAAGTATAGATGAGTGTATATGTATGTATATTGTAAATATAAGTTTATATATATACATATATAGTTATAAATTGATAAGTTGGTTCTGAAATTTATATAAACACATAAAAACCTAGAATAACCAAATCATTGTGATAAGAAACACATTTAGAGAAGGCAGACTTTAACACTAGAGTAATACAGAGAGTGTGGTGTGGACTAGAGTACAGTCTACAAATGGACCCACACATATACAGTCAACTGAATAGCATCAAGTCTATTCAATTGGGACAGGAAAGACTTTTAATAAATGTTGGTAGGTGGTCGGGCGCGGTGGCTCACACCTGTAATCCCAGCACTTTGGGAGGCTGAGGTGGGTGGATCACTTGAGGTCAGGAGTTCAAGACCAGCCTGGATAACATGGTGAAACACCATCTCTACCAAAAATACAAAAAAAAAAAAAAAAAATTAGCTGGGTGTGGTGGCAGGCAACTGTAATCCCAGGTACTAGGGAGGCTGAAGCAGAATTGCTTGAACCCAGGAGGCAGAGGTTGCAGTGAGCCAAGATTGTGCCACTGTACTCCAGCCTGGCGACAGAGTGAGACCCCATCTTGAAAATAAATAAATAAATAAAAAATAAATGTTAGCGGAACAAGTGAAATTAGGGTTGGTAAAAACGAGTGTTGAGCTGTTTCTCACATCACACGCAAAAAATTAGCCTGAAGCGAATCATAAACCTAAAAGTAAAAGCGGAGACTATAATGTTTGTACAACTGTGCTGTTTGATATGGTAACCACTAGCCACATGTGGCTACTGAGCACTTGAAATGTCCTACATTTAGTGAGAAAATAATATAAAAATCTAAGTAATTAATATTTAAAATTGATTACATGTTTCCATGTAACGGCATAATACTCATCAATATATAATAACAATATATAATACATGCAATAGCTTGAATAAATTTTGAAAACATCTTGAGTCAAAGAAGCCAGATGCAAAAGAATACATGCTCTGTAGTTTCACTTATATGAAGTTCAAGAACAGGCCAAACTAATCTACAAAGACAGAAATTCATAACAGTGACTGCCTCAGGTTGGGAGTGGGATTTGGGGATTAACGTGAATGGCACACAGGGGAACTTTCTGGGGTCCTGGGAATTTTATTTCTTTCTTTTCTTTTTTTTTTTTTTTTTTTTTTTTTTTGAGAAGGAGTCTAGCTCTGTTGCCGGGCTGGAGTGCAGTGGCTCACTGCAACCTCCGCCTCCAGGGTTCAAGCGATTCTCCTGCCTCAGCCTCCTGAGTAGCTGGGATTACAGGCACGGGCCACCATGCCCAGCTAATTTTTGTATTTTTAATAGAGATGACCACCATGTTGGCCAAGACCACCATGTTGGCCAGGATGGTCTTGATCTCTTGACCCTGTGATCCAACCACCTCTGCATCCCAAAGTGCTGGGATTACAGGCGTGAGCCACTGCGCCCAGCCAGTCCTAGGAATAGTCTATGTCTTAACTGGGATAGTAATTATGTGGTTATGAATCAAAACACATTGAATCACGCAAATAAAATCTATGTATTTTACTGTATGTAAATTTACCTTTCATGAAAGAGAAATTAAAAACTCTTAAATGATGAAAGCTTTTGGTTCCCTCTTTTTTATTAGACTAGCTAGTGATCTATCAATCTTATTTGTTCTTTCAAAGAACCAACTTTGGGGTATACTGATCTTTTGTAGGAATTTTCGTATCTCAATTTTATTCATTTCAGCTCTGATTTTGGTTATTTGTTTTATTCTGCTAGCTTTGGGGTTGACTTGCTCTTGTTTTTCTAATTCCTCTAGGTGTAATGTTAAGTTGCTAATTTGGGATCTTTCTAACTTTTTGATATGGGTATTCTGGTACATTGCATCTTTACTTTCCTGGATGCTAGGACCAAACTGGACTAGAGTAAATTACGTGGTTCCTTCTGTCCCAAAGAAAGATGTATTTTTAACTCAGGAGCTACATCAGCCCCATCTGGCTACATTAAGCATCCCAGTCTCCTCTGCGTCTCATGCTGGACTCTATGCAAAAGGGACAGCCAGCGAAAGCATTATTGATATGTCAATATTGAGATGTGAGAATTTGATCCTGTCATTATGTTGTTAGCTGGTTGTTATGTAGACGTGATTGTATAGTTGCTTCATAATGTCAGTGGGTTATACACTTAACCACTTAACACCACTTTCTGTGGTGTCATGTAACATTCTTTCACTTCTGTGTTTGGCACTCACTTAAGGACCTCTTATAAGTCAGGTCCGGTGGTAATGAATTTTTTTCAGTTTTTGTTTGTCTGAAAGGGATTTTATTTATCCTTCGTTTATGAAGCTTAGTTTGGCAGGGTATGAAAATCTTGGCTGAAATTTGTTTTCTTTAAGAATGCTGAATATAGGCCCCGAATGTCTTTGGCTTATATGATTTCTGCTAAAAGCTCTTCTGTTAGCCTGATGGGGTTCCCTTTGTACATGACCTGCCTCTTCCTTTTAGCTGCATTGAATATTTTTTCTTTCATGTGAACCTTAGAAAATCTAATGACTCTGTGTCTGGGGGATGGTAATCTTGTACAGTATCTTCCTGGGGTTCTCTGAATTTCCTGAATTTATATGTCAACCTCTCTAGCAAGGTTGGGGAAATTTTTGTGGATGATATCCTCAAATATGTTTTATAAGTTGCTGCGTCTCTCTTTTTCCAGGATTCCAGTGGGCCGTAGGTTTGGTCTCTTTATATAATCCCATATTTGTTGGAGGGTTTTGTCATTTTTTTTAATTCTTTTTTTAAAAATTTTTGTCTGATTGGGTTGATTCAGAGAACTGGTCTTTGAGCTCTGAGATTCTTTTCTCAGCTTAATCTATTCTGATGTTAATACTTCCGCTTGTATTATGAAATTTTTGCAGTTTTTCAGCTCTAACAGATCAGTTTGATTCTCTCTTAAAATGATTATTTTATCTTTCAGATCTTGAATCATTTTATTGGATTTCCTACATTCCTTGGACTGGGTTTCGAGTTTCTCCTGAATCTCCGTGATCTTTGTTGCCATCCAGATTCTGAATTCTATGTCTATCATTTCAGTCATTTCAGACTCATTAAGAACATTGCTGGGGAGATAGTGTGGTCACTTGAAGGTAAAATACTCTGGCTTTTGGATGTGTCAGATTTCTTTCACTGGTTCTTCCTCATCTGTGTGGGCTGATGTTCCTTTAATCTTTGAAGTTGCTGTTCTTTGGATAGGGCTCTTTGCTTTTATATTCTCTGATGCCCTTGAGGGTTTCACAGTGGTATAACTTGGGCTTAGACAACTGCATTTGTTTCTGGATGATTTCAAGGGGCCCAGGCTCAACTCAGCACTCCTGAGCTGCATGCTCTAACTACAGGGACCTGGGACCTGGCCCATGGCTTTTTTTTTTTTTTTTCCTGGCCCTTCAAGGTTAAGCACCTCCTATGCTGGAATGGCCAAGGTGTTCCGGGTCCACTGGCAACAACGCTCCAATAGGGGTTGCTGACAAAGCATTTTGGCAGGGTGGCCATGGGTGATGGGAGTTCCTGCACGTGGTGTGCATCAGCTGCAGGGTGGCCGTGGGTCTTGCAAATCTGCTTGCTAATGTTATGCCTAAGATCACGTTATAAAAGACTAACTTGTGCCTCATTCTCTCTCTCGCTGTCTCTTGCTTTCTCACTTTGATGAAGCTGGAGGCCATGTTGTGAGCTACCTATGGAAAAGCCCATGGTTTCATAACAAAGCTGATTGAGTAGCAAATGTTATTTTCCAGGCAAAAAAATTAAGTGGTAAGTTCTTCTGAATATGCAAGGCAGAAATAATTCCAGTGTTTCATAAACTCTTTCAAGTATGAAAGACATATCAGCCGGGGTGACTCTGGGGAGTTTTTTGCTTTCTCTGTTCCTCACTGAGATCTACATGGAAGGGAAGGGAAAAACACTCGTCTCTAAAAACCTCCCACCTCTGGCACCCATAAGTCTGAAGTTGCACTTATGTGAGGAACTACCACTTTGCCCCTACCCACTGGCTTCCTGTTGGGGTTACTCTTGTTTTTCCAAGCCAGTTCTTCCCACGCCGAGGGAACTTATGATGAGACAGCCCCAGGAAAGTGCCTGACACGTATTCCCTGGGCTGCCCCTTCCCTTCCACATGCTTCCTGAGTGAGCACGTCCACCTTGTGGCTCAGCTGTGAGCCCTGCCCTGATGTCTCCCCCACTTTCTGCCCCTTGAGCCTCTTCTTGGACATGGTGCCTCCATCCCCCACCCCCGACTCTTCAGTTATCCCAGTCAGGACCCAGGACTTATTCCAGTTGCCTCCTGTTTTCAACCACCCCATGCATGAGTCAGGGGTTCCTGTAAACTTCACTTCCCCAAAAATGTCTGCCATCATGCCCTTCCTCCTCCCTCCATTCCCTGTCTCCTCCCCTCTATCTGCATGGCCAGGCCCTTTTCGGTCTTGACGATTGCTCCATTTCCCACCCAACATCCCGGTCTGCAGCCTCTCGCCTCCATGCTGTGGCCCTCGCAGCACAAGCCCTGAAAAATTTTCCTGCATCCAGAGCTGACACTGCCTCTTCCCTGCTCAGGGCCCTCTCTGGTTCCCTGGAACCCTCAGTCCAAGCTGTTCAGCTGATCATGTCCCAGCACCTCCAATTTCCCCCTGGAAGACCCCACACATATTTGCAGGGCCCTTCATCTGCCCGGCTGTCTCATGGCCTGTGCTTTTTCCCCTCCACCTGAGGTGCCCTTAGCCACCTGTTAATATGACCAACTCCCCCACTAGTCTCAGCTCAGCCTCTTTCCCTGCGGGGTCTTTCAGCTTTTTGAACTCCTGGATTTGCATTCGTGAGTATGTGTCACACAGTCAGGTGTCTCCTCTTTCTGTTTTTGTGGGGTTGTGGGAGAGACAGCCTCTCAGCTCCACCCTCCCCGCTCTCACTGTTTTCCTCACTCAACCCTGAAGACCCTGAGCAATGGCACCTCGCTTCCTGTCCTGGAGGGTCAGTCCCTGGGCCTGGTCTGTGTGACTGACAGCAACTCCCCCGCCTCACTGAGCTGGTCTCAGGAGGGAAGAACACTGAATCTCTCCCAGCTCTCAGCAACTGGGATCCTGGAGCTGCCCCAGAAAGGGACTGGAGGTGAAGGCGACCTCACCTGTGAGGCTCAGCACCCACTGGGCTCCCAGCACATTTCCCTGAGCCTCTCTGTGCAGAGGGAGCTGCTGGACGGGTGCTGGGGCAGGCAGCCTGGTCAGGTGTTGGGCTGTGAGAGGGGCCTAGACCTAGGAACAAAACCTCACCCTCTTCTCCCCACTCCCAGGAAGTCCCTCTGGGTGCAGATGTGCGAGTGAAGATCAGGAGGGCTCCCAGCCCCTGGTTCTCACCTAATCAAGGGGCGCTCATGGGCACTGGTTTTTCCTTCACCCGTGGCCTCACCTGGGGCTACTACTCCAGGTGAGCAGGGCTGCTCTTTTCTAGGGAAGCCGAGGGATTGGCCCCCGAGTTCCAGATGGGGCTGAGCTGTCCTGTCCCGCCTGAGTTAGAATTGAAGTGGCCGATGCTAATCTGAGGCCGGTGTTGGCTCTACAGGTGTGGAGGCCCCCAGGGGAGCAGGGCTGAGAGGCCTGACTGAGCCCCTCCTGCTCAAGACAGAACTCAGATGAGGACACCCAGCCCTGCGGGACAGATGCAGGACATCACTGTCAGCCATGGCTCAGCCCTTCTGACCACTGAGATGCTGCAACTTCCCCTCCTGGGAGGGAGCGATTGGGCAAACACTTACCCTTTGCTGGAAATCTCAAGGCACAGCACGGGTGCTCACAATCTGAATACAGAACGAATGAATGAATGAATGAATGAATGAATGAAATGTCTTTCCTTATCTCATGTGAGAGACTTGACAGTTCTTTCACTCTCCAAGTAACATCAGCTTCCCCTGTCCCAGCCCAGTCTGTCCTGGGCAGACAAGATTAATTAAGTGGCTCCTGGGCAGACATTGGTGCAGGAGACAGGGCCCAGGAGACCTGTGTGATTTGGGCAATTCGCTTTCTATCTCTGTCCATTCATGCTGCTACAACAAAATACCATAAACTGGCCAGTTTATAAACAACAGAAATTCATTTCTCACAGTTCTGGAGGCTGAGAAGTCCAAGACCAAGGTGCCAGCAGGTTTGGTGTCTGGAGACAGTTTGCTTCCTCATAGATGGTGCCTTTTCCTTATGTTCTCATGTGGTGGAAGGGCTGTGCAAATTCCCCTGGGTCTCTCAGATGAGGGGACTAATCCCATTAGACTAATCCCAGAGTCCTCATAGCCTAATCGCCTCCCAAATCATTATACCTTCTAATACTATCACATGGGGATTCAAATTTCAACAAATGAATTTTGAGGTGACATATTCAGACCATAGCACTTGTCACTGTGGACCTTGATGTCTTCCTCTCCGAACTGTGGAAGTGGGAGTAGAGGGCTTGTCAGCTCCCCTGGGTCATATGTGGTTCACAAGTTCCTCCTTTCTACAGATTCTGTGGCTTCCTTAAGTCTCTCCTTCCCATTTTTTTTTCTGATTTTAATTGCAAACTGGGGACTGTGGGAAAGAGATGGGCCATGGTCTAGCCCTTCTGAGGCAGGAGGAGCATAGACCAATGGGGCAGGAGCATAGCAAAGAGAATTAAAAGTTGGATAAAGGGCAGAATAAGTAAAAGCAGAGAGCAGAAGCAAGGTGAGGGGACGGGTGAGCAAGAAGCAAGAGGCAGAAGTTGAGCAGCCAAAACAAAAAGTAAGATAGAGAAGTGAGCAAGGACACCCGTGGCCAGCAGGATCTGGACCAAACCAGTAAGGGGCAGTTCTTCAGAGCTATGCATGTGCATTAGAGAGAAAAAGTATCCTTAACATGACCCTGTATGATAATCAGCTCATTAAAGTTCATGCATATGGACTGCATATTATCCATGTACTTAAAATTATGGGATGGGTCAAAGTAACTAAGCAACATACTTAACCATCAAAAAGGCAGGCACTGGCCAGGCGCGGTGGCTCACGCCTGTAATCCCAGCACTTTGGGAGGCCAAGGTGGGCGGATCACTTGAGGTCAGGAATTCAGGACCAGCCTGGCCAACCTGGTGAAACCCCATCTCTACTAAAAATACAAAAATTAGCCAGGCATGGTGGCGGGCGCCTGTAGTCCCAGCTACCAGGGAGGCAGAGGCAGAAGAATCGCTTCAACCCAAAAGGTTGAGGTTGCAGTGAGCCAAGATTGTGCCACTGCACTCAAGCTTGGGTGACTTCGTCCCCACCTCACCACCACCCCTTCCCCCCGAAAAAAGGCAGACACTGGATAGAGATTTGGCAGCCTTGGGAAGCGAAGAAAAACAAAAAAACAAACAAACAAACATAAAAAGACCCAAAGTAATGCTGATCTCACCTCATAGAGATCAGTTCGCTCTCCCTCTCCAAGAGTGTGATACTGTGCTTAATAAACTGCTGCTTCTTGCTTTGCTGTCTGTGTGTGTCTCATCCAATTCTTTGTTTAAGACACCAAGAGCCTGGAACTGCATGGCACCATCCGGTAACACTTCTGCCCACTGAGATACTGCAAATATCCTTATGGGGAGAGAGTGGCTGGGCAAGGAGGAGGCGCCCAGGAGGCAGATTGGTCTGCAGGATGAGATACTAGCTGCAAATGCAGGGATTGGAGGTGAGGGCGGGGAGTGGCTTCGGACGCCCAAACCCAGCATCTTCCTCTCTCAATCGTTACAGCCAAATGATCTCTAGGTTATGGACAATTAGGGGACAGTGTGGGCTGAGCAGATCAATGCAGTTGTATGGAAGAAAACAGACTGGGATTTTCTATGTATACAACATCTTCAGGAAAACCTACGTGAAGTTAGAATTTTCAAGGCAGCATGTGCCGATGATAAAACTACATAGAACAGCAGGAAGACTATTATCATTAAAGTGAGGCTAGGGGCTCCTTCAGGAGGGAGCGGGGGCATGGCCAATAGGAAAGGGGAATGTAAGGGTGAATGAATTAATAAAATCTCTTTCTTCATTTCAAGGGACAGACTTGACAGTTCTTTTGTGTTCTAGTTCTTCAAGGGTGCTTATTTTGTGTGAATCACTGAGTTGGTTTTTAGGGGACACTTTTATGTACATGTCTTGTGTTTCTCCCCGCTCAAAAAAAACTGTTTCAAGAAAAGCTGGCCTGGATCTAAGGGGGCTGCAGCTTGCAGGATTTTTCCCACTTCCTCCCAGCCCAGTCACACAGTTTAAAATAATCTTCTGTTGAAGTCAGGTGCGTGTTTCTTCTCTCAGAAAATCGCGCCCATCACTGAGGGTGGACGCCCCGGGGCTGGTGTCTTTGCTCCACGTCTCCTGTTCACCTGAACCCCTAGGAGCAGTTCCTGCAGGAGCAAAGCCCCAGGGCCAGCAGACCCCTCACACTCTGCACTAACCAGGCCTCATGAGATAGCAGTGGTGAAGGGAAATGTCCTTGTGCTCAGAGAGCTGTGAGGATGGGAATAGTGTCTGCTCTTTTCATATTGATCCTTTCCCTTATGACTTTCCTGTCTACCAAGCCCCACAATACAACAATCACAGCCTCAGCTTCCCCGGCCTCCTGCAGGCTGGGCTCCCCTCCGTGTCCTTGGCGTGTATCAACAGGCGCAATCCTCACCTTCACAGCCCCATGTCCGTCTGCTCGGTCCTCCTGAGACTGAACCCCCGACCTAGGGGAGAGTGACCCCACCCTGCCTGTGCCCCCCACTGAAGCTCCTGTCATGGGGAGCTCAAACGTCAGGAGACTCAGTGTCTCCCCACCACACAGTGACTCCTTGGGGACAGTGTCCGGCTCTGCTGTGTTGACCTCATTGTGCAGAAAGGGGGTGCCCACCTCGTGGCTGCTGAGGGAGGGATGAGAGGCTGCCTGTTCACCCCACCTGCACCCCTGTCTCTCATGGCCCCGAGTCCCACTTCTGAGCTACGCAGACATCCACAGCCTGTGACTCAGGGGTCTGGGCAGATGGGAGTTATTTTCACCCTGCAGAAAATATCACCTAAAGGGAAAGGCATTGAGAGGGAGGCAGGAGGTGGGGTGGGCCCTGCATGGGGTGGGAATCTGGGTGAGTCTGTCTCCCGCTCTGGCCTCAGGGACCCAGGAGTGAATGTCGGGTGGTGGACGGTGGATCTCCCAGGGCTGACCCAGCCCTGACAGTGTCTGTGTGTGAAGTTCTTCTTCTAAGGAGGTCACTGTTTTGACCTCACCACCGACTTCCTGTAGGGCCTCTTCTAAGTCTTGAGCCCGCAGTTCCTGAGAGAAGAACCCTGAGGAACAGACGTTCCCTCGCGGCCCTGGCACCTCCAACCCCAGATATGCTGCTGCTGCTGCTGCTGCCCCTGCTCTGGGGGAGGGAGAGGGTGGAAGGACAGAAGAGTAACCGGAAGGATTACTCGCTGACGATGCAGAGTTCCGTGACCGTGCAAGAGGGCATGTGTGTCCATGTGCGCTGCTCCTTCTCCTACCCAGTGGACAGCCAGACTGACTCTGACCCAGTTCATGGCTACTGGTTCCGGGCAGGGAATGATATAAGCTGGAAGGCTCCAGTGGCCACAAACAACCCAGCTTGGGCAGTGCAGGAGGAAACTCGGGACCGATTCCACCTCCTTGGGGACCCACAGACCAAAAATTGCACCCTGAGCATCAGAGATGCCAGAATGAGTGATGCGGGGAGATACTTCTTTCGTATGGAGAAAGGAAATATAAAATGGAATTATAAATATGACCAGCTCTCTGTGAACGTGACAGGTAAGGCACGGGCTCCAAGAGAGGCCAAAGGCAAATGTGATGAGGGCTTTAGGGCACGGCTGAGACGGGACACATGTCCTGGGAGGGGGCCGGGGGTGATGGACTCAGGAGAGGAGCTGGACCAGAGCCTGAGCTTCCCCAGGACCGCACCTTGGATGCCCCTCCTGATCCTGCAGGCCCCTCCCCTCACCAGCCCTGACCCACAGGCCTGACATCCTCATCCTGCCTCTGACGCTGGCATTGTGGCATGTGGGGCCTTATGACTCCTTGTTTTGGGGCCTGTCCTAGGCATGGCCGGGGTTTAGCACCATCCCAGGCCTCTCCCCACCAGATGCCAGAAGCACCCACTCCACCCATGCAGTGAGACAATAACAATTATCTCCACACATTGTTAAACGTCCTGGGGGGTTAAGTCCTCCCCAGTTGAGAGCCTTAGGTCTACACAACCCCGTGACTCTCTCAGGCCAGGCCAGGGAGGAAGCACTTCCTGGCGCAAACCAAGGGCAGCAGAGGCACCTGAGCCTGGACAGGGAGACTCAGCACACGGCCCCTCCATCTCTCATGCCCTGAGGTCCTCGGAGATCCACATTTAGATGCTCAAAAGACAGGAGGGACCTCCACGATGGTCCAGAGGCCGGGAGGGCAGGACCTACGTGTCTGGTGCAGGCCCTGGTGCTCCAGGGAAGCCCGGAGGTAGGAGGTGGGACACGGTCTCTTCTCCTCCCTGGGTGGGTCTCTAGGGTCTCTGAGCTTCAGGGTTTCCTTCACTCTGTGCAGAGGGAACCAGTTCCTATAGCATGTGGGTTTGTAGTTTCTCTTTCGTGCTGGGTTGAGGTCTCCAGCTCCTCTCCAGCCCCTCTCCAGCCCCCTGTGGGTCCCACAGCCCTGCCCCTCCTCTCCCTCCCACTTCTCTGCTCACACAAGGAGCCCAGGAACCCTCTGTCTCAGAGATGCTGCTGCCTCTCTTGTGGGCAAATGAAGAGAGGGACAGTCGGGGCTGGGCTGAGCCTCATTTCCCCACAGCGTCCCAGGCCCCACTGTCAAGATACAGGCTGGAGGTGCTGGAGTTGGTGATGGTGCAGGAGGGCTAGTGCGTCTCTGTGCCCTGCAGTGTCCTTTAACCCTATTACAACTGAACTGACTCTAGCCCTGTCCATGGATGCTGGTTTAAGAAAGGGATCAATATACAATGGAATAATCCAGTGGCCACAAACATCCCAAATGGAAAAGTGCAGGAGACACGGGGCCGATTCCACCTCCTTGGGGACCTGAAGACCAACAACTGCTCCCTGAGCATCAGAGATGCCAGGAAGGGGGATTTGAGGAACTACTACTTCCAGGTGGAGAGAGGACAGATAAGATGGAATTACAAAACGAAGCAGCTCTCTGTGAATGTGACAGATAAGGCACAGGCTCCAGGAGACACCACAGGGAAAGGTCATGGGGGTGGCAGCGAAAGCCTGGGATGGGGCCCCTGCCCTGGGAGAGGGCTGAGGGTGAAGCGAGTTGGGCTCAGGGCAGAAGCTGAACCAGAGCCTGAGCTTCCCCCAGGGCTGTACCATGGATCCTCTGTCCTGATCCTGAGTCCCCCTCTCTTCACCAGCCTTGACCCACAGGCCCAACATCCTTATCCCCGGTACCCTGGAGTCTGGCTGCTTCCAGAATCTGACCTGCTCTGTGCCCTGGGCCTGTGAGCAGGGGACGCCCCCTATGATCTCCTGGATGGGGACCTCTGTGTCCCCCCTGCACCCCTCCACCACCCGCTCCTCAGTGCTCACCCTCATCCCACAGCCCCAGCACCACGGCACCAGCCTCACCTGTCAGGTGACCTTGCCTGGGGCCGGCGTGACCACGAACAGGACCATCCAACTCAATGTGTCCTGTGAGTGCTGAGCCAGGACGCCCTGGTCCCTGATGAGGGGGGGACGTCCCTGAGGGCAGAGGATGGGGTCAGGGCTCGACACTGGGTGCTGGGTCCCAGAATCTGGGCTGGTTGTGGGATCAGGAGGACGCTGGCTCCGCCTTCCCCATTTATGCAGCTCCTGGGGAGACAGGGCCAGTGTCCCCAGCCCTCACAGTGATGCAGGTCTCCATGTCTTTCTGTCCCAGACCCTCCTCAGAACTTGACTGTGACTGTCTTCCAAGGAGAAGGCACAGGTAGGATGGAGCCCCCTCCCTGGGGCTGGGGGAGCAGGGCCTTCAGCTCAGGGCAGGGCCAGGTCCCTCCTCATCCTGGACTCACCCTGGTGATATGAGACTCCCTTGTAGTTGAACCCAGGCCTCCTCCCCATCCTTAGCCTCTGTGGCCACCTGAGCACCTGTCCTCTTCCCCCCACTCCCCTCAGACTCTTGCACACACACCCTCCTCAGCCCTGCAGCCAGGACAGGGGGAAATACATATAGCAGGAGCAGCCTTTGGGCCTCTTATCTTCCATCTCCTGAATATGCCACCTAACTCGTCTTTTTATTTTACCCAATAGTTTTGAGCTACGTTCTTTTGGATACATGCTATAATCACGTGGGCAAAAATTTTAAATTCACAGTAAAATGTGTCCCCAGAATCAACCAGGGTCTGTCCAGGCTGTCCTGAGCCTTGGTTTGTGCACCTGGAAGATCTCAGAGGTGGTTTGATGTCAGCAGTGAGACTGTTTGCACCCTCTTCTAGGGATGTGTGTGATTCCACTGTCTGAATAGTCTCTGATTTTGTGGCATCTCCTAATGGAAGATCATGGCACTAATTTTATCCTACGGCACGAACACTGCAATGAATAATGTTGTATCTACTCCCACAAGGAATATCTAAGTGTATAGGATAAATTCCTAAAAGCACATTTTACCAGTGTCATATGTTCTTTCTGATTTTGAAAGATATGGTGAAGTTGTCCTCAAATAAAGGTGGGCAAGTTTACATTCCCAACAGTGAGCGGTGAACATAAGTATGTCCCTGCACCAGCCTACATCACTCTCTGTTCCATTCCCCAGTCTCATTCTGTATCCTTCCTCCCTGTTTCAATCACTTTGTCTCTTTGAACCTCCAACTTTTTCTCTACAGCATCCACAGCTCTGGGGAACAGCTCATCTCTTTCAGTCCTAGAGGGCCAGTCTCTGCGCTTGGTCTGTGCTGTTGACAGCAATCCCCCTGCCAGGCTGAGCTGGACCTGGAGGAGTCTGACCCTGTACCCCTCACAGCCCTCAAACCCTCTGGTACTGGAGCTGCAAGTGCACCTGGGGGATGAAGGGGAATTCACCTGTCGAGCTCAGAACTCTCTGGGTTCCCAGCACGTTTCCCTGAACCTCTCCCTGCAACAGGAGTACACAGGTGGGTAAGGGAGGGGCTGGAGGAGGAGAACACACCTGCCCCACCCTCATGGGCCACCCACTGCCCCTGAGCTTCAAGGGGGAGCTCAGCTCTGGTCTGTGCTCAGCTGTGAGGCCTGGAACTTCCCTGCAACCCAGGGCACTGCTGTCCTCTTCCTGCCAGGAAAGGTGTGTAAGGCAGGAAGAGGGGAGGAGTGGGTCTTGGAGGGGAGGAGCTGGGGCCTGGACAGGTGTGTTTGGGGAGACACGTGCCTTGCTTTCCAGTGCCTGGACTAGGGTGACACAAGCAAGGCACTCACTTCTGGGCACACGACTAAAAAACAAAAAATAAAACAACTCAGCAAGCAAGTGAAATAATATTGGATGTGATTATCTTTATTAAAAACTAAAAATTATTGCAAAATAATTTGACAGTGAATACAAATCAAAATTTCAAATACAGGCAGGCTGTGCTTACCACTCTCATGCCTCAGTGACCTCAGGAGTTGTCCCTTCCTCCTCCCTCCCATTCTTGCCCTTTGTTTCTGGGAAGGGGGATTAGGGTACCCAAGTTGGGGGCCTTATAGGAAGTGGGAGGAGAAGAGACCCAGTTCTTGGAGTTGGATCACCAAAACAATTCCAATCCATCCTCAGGCAAAATGAGGCCTGTATCAGGAGTGTTGCTGGGGGCGGTCGGGGGAGCTGGAGCCACAGCCCTGGTCTTCCTCTCCTTCTGTGTCATCTTCATTGTGTGAGCACTGACCCTAGGGAGGGAGGGAGAGTCCTGGGGGAGGGCGGACTGGGAGCAGGATCCCTGAAGCCAGAGCTGGAAGGGACTGCATGGGTCAAGAGCTTGGGGCAAGAATGAGCTCACGGGTGCGTGGCAAGAATTTCAAGAGCGCCCTTGTCTGTGGGGCTCCACATCTGTGGTGAACCTTGGGCCCCACCACCCAGGAGGCAGGAGCCTCTGTTTTCAACACTGGGGTCTCTGGGACTGGACCACCCTCCTCCCACCTCAGTTACCCCTCCAGCGCCCCAACAGGAAATACAGGGCAGGGGTTGGTCTGCCCACTGCACCCCGATCTGACCACACTGAAAGGCTCTCTGGTCTCTTCACTCAGAGTGAGGTCCTGCAGGAAGAAATCGGCAAGGCCAGCAGCGGACGTGGGAGACATAGGCATGAAGGATGCAAACACCATCAGGGGCTCAGCCTCTCAGGTGAGTGATATGGGCGTCTCCACACCCAGCATCCAGCTGGGACATCTCCCACAGGATGGCCTCCAGGATTTCTCTGCTTATCATGGCCAAAATTATCTCCTCATCTCCTCCTCCTTCCCACCATCCAGCTTCTCCTGCAGGATTCCCCATCTTGCTGACTGCATGACAGTCCCTCCTACCTACTTTCTCTCGGGCCAGGCATGGAGGAGGAGTTATCTCCTCTCTGTCCTCCCTTTCTTCTCTATAGCTCCACATTCACCAAATCTTGTCCATTTTTCCTCCCTAAGAATGGCTAGCATTGCTCCCACCCCCACCAATCCTAAACTCTCTCAATGCTGAGGCCTGAGGATCTCTGTCTTGGACTTCCTCACCTCCCTGCCTCTTGTGTCCCCTGCCCTGATGGGAGGAATCATTCAGAAGCCATCACTGATCAGTTTCTTTGCATCTGGACAGCTGTTCCCACCCCCAACACTGTCTAGAGCAGAAGCCAGAAAATACTATCTGGAAAGGCCAGATAGGAAATATTTTTGGCTTTCTGGCCTACACAGTCTCATTGCAGCTCCTCAACTCTACTGATGTAGCAGGAAATCAGCCGTAGACCATGTGTAAATGATTAGCTGGCTGTGTGCCAGTAAAACTTTATTTATAAAAACAAGCTGTGGGTAGAATTTGTCCCAAGGGCTCTAGTTTGACAAGCCCTAACCTAGAGAAAAAGCCCAAACTTCATAACTGCAGCCCTGCACATTCTCGTCTCTTAAACATCTACCTCTCTAGCAGGGCTGGAATTAGTGTGAGATGAGTGAGGTCCTGGCCTAGCATGCAAAATTTAAGAAGGTGCCAAAAATCTCAGTAATTGTGATAGTTTTAAAAAAAACTCTTATTTTAGGTTTGGGGGTACATGTGCAGGTTTGTTACATACATAAACTCTGGTCAGAGGGGTTTGTGGTACAGATTATTTTGTCACCCAGGTCCTAAGCCTAGTACCCCACAGTTATTTTTTTCTGTTCCTCTCTCTCCTCCCACCCTCCACCTTCAAGTGGGCCCCAGTGTCTGTTGTTCTCTTCTTTGTGTTCATGAGTTCTCATCATTTAGCTCTCACTGATAAGTGAGAACATGCAGTATTTGGTTTTCTGTTCCTGTGTTCGTTTGCTAAGGATAATGGCCTCCAGCTCCATCCATGTTCCCACAAAAGACATAATCTCATTCTTTTTTATGGCTGCACAGTATTCCATGGTGTATTTGTACCATATTTTCTTTATCCATTCTGTCATGGATGGGCATTTAGGTTAATTTCATATATTTGCTATTGTGAATAGTACTACAATGAACATTTGCTTGTATGTGTCTTTATGGTAGAATGATTTTTATTACTCTGAGTATAAAACCAGTAATGTGATTGCTATGTCAAATGATAGTTCTGCTTTTAGCTCTTCAGGAAATTACCATACTGCTTTCCACAGTGGTTGAACTAATTTACACTCCTGCCGACAGTATAAGTGTTCCCTTTTCTCTGCAGCCTTGCCAGCCTCTGTGATTTTTTTTACTTTTTAAAAGTAGCCATTCTGACTGGTGTGAGATGATATTTCATTGTGGTTCTGATTTGCGTTTCTCTAGTGATCAGCGATAATGAGCTTTTTCTCATATGTCTGTTGGCCAAAAATGTCTGTTCATGTCCTTTGCTCACTTTTTAATGGGGTTGTTTTTCTCTTGTAAATTTGTTTAAGTTCCTTATAGATGCTGGATATTAGACCTTTGCCTAATGCATAGTTTGCAAGTATTTTCTCCCATTCCGGTTGTTTACTCTGTTGATGGTTTATTTTGCTGTGCAGGAGCTCTTAAGTTTAATTAGATCCCATTTGTCAATTTTTGCTTTTGTTGTGATTGCTTTGGCATCTTTGTCAGGAAATCTTTGCCTGTTTATCCAGAACGATATTGCCTACATTGTCTTCCAGAGTTTTTATAGTTTTGAGTTTTACATTTAAGTTTTTAACCCATCTCGAGTTGATTTTTATATGTGGTATAAGGAAGCAGTCCCACTCAATCTTCTGCATGTGGCTAGACAGTTATCCCAGCACCATTTATTGAATCAGGAGTCCTTTCCCCATTGCTTTTTTTTGTCAGCTTTGTTGAAGATCAAATTGTTGTAGGTGTGTGGCTTTATTTCTGGGCTCTCTATTCCGTTCCATTGGTCTATGTGTCTGTTTTTGTACCACTACCATGCTGTTTTGGTTACTGTAGACTTGTAATATAGTTTAAATTTGGGTAACGTGATGCCTCCAGGTTTTCTTTTTGCTTAGGATTGCCTTGGCTATTTGGGCACTTTTTTGGTTTCATATGAATTTTAAAATTGTTTTTTCTAGTTCTGTGAAGAATCTCATTGGTAGTTTGATAGAAATAGCATTGAATGTATAAATTTCTTTGGGCAGTATGGCCATTTTAATGATTTTGATTCTTTTTATCCATGAGCATAGTATGTTTTTCCATTTGTGTCACCTTTGATTTATTTGAGCAGTGTTTTGTAATTCTCATTGTAGAGTTCTTTCACCTCCCTGGTTAGCTGTATTTCTAAAAATTTTATTCTTTTTGTGGCAATTGTGAATGGGATTGTGTTCCTAATGTGACTCTTGGCTTGGTAGTTCCTGATGTATAGAAATACTAGTGATTTTTCTATATTGATTTTGTATCCTGAAACTTTGCTGAAGTTATTTATCATTTAAGAAGCTTTTGGGCTGGGACTACGAGGTTTTCTAGATATAGAATCATGCATCTGCAAAGAGGGATAGTTTAAATTCCTCTCTTCCTATTTGGATGCTCTTTATTTCTTTCTCTTGCCTGATTGCTCTGGCCAGAATTTCCAATACTACGTTAAACAGGAGTGGTGAGAGAGGGCATCCTTGTCTTGTGCTGGCTTTCAAGGGGAATGCTTTCAGCTTTTCCATATTCAATATGATGTTGGCTCTGCGTTCACCATAGATAGCTCTTATTATTTTGAGATATGTTCCTTTAATACCTAGTTTACTGAGAGTTTTTAACACGAAGCGATGCTGAATTTTATCAAAAGCCTTTTCTGCATCTATTGAGATAATCATGTGTTTTTGTCTTTAGTTCTGTTTGTGTGGTGAATCACATTTATTGATTTGTGTATGTTGAACCAACATGAAGCCGACTTGATCATATTGGATTAACCTTCTGATGTGCTGATGGATTCAGTTTGCAAGTATTTTGTTGAGGATTTTTGCATCAATGTTCATCAAGGATATTGGCCCGAAGTTTTCTTCTTTTGTTGTGTCTTCGCCAGATTTTGGTATCAGGATGATACTGGCCTCATAGAATGAGTTAGGGAAGAGTCAGTCTTCCTCCGTATTTGGGAATAGTTTCAGTAGGAACAGAAGGAGGCTCAGATCTGACATTTATTGTGTGATTGAAGAGCCTTCCAGGCAGAGGGAGGAGCAAAGCAAGGCCCAGGCACAGGAAGAGGAAAGGAGAGGAGCCATGGGACATCTGTGTGATTAGACAGAGGGAGGCAGGACTGAGAGCAGGAAATGACTTTGGAGGAGTTGAGCCTATGTGAATTGTGTCTGACTGCACAGGCTACTGTGAGCATTTGGAGAGTTTTGAGCAGAAGGACATGATCAGACGAGATTGGGTCCGTTCAGGGTGGTATAGCTGTAGACCAGAAGAACATGATCAACTTTCATTTTCATGGGATTCCTCTGGCCACTGTGTGCAGAAGAGACCGTGTGTGTGGCAGGGGAAGGAGAGAGCATAGGAGGTAGACAGGAGGCTGGTGAACATCCCAGGCAGAAGGTGGTGTTGGCTGGAACCAAGATAGCAGCAGTGGTAGACATGACTGTCTCCCAGATGAATTCTGCAGTGGAACCTACTGGGATTTGTTAATGAATTGGAATTAGAATGTGAGCCACAGAAAGGGAGCAAGAATTACTTCCAGATTTTTGCCCTGAGCAGTGGGAAGAATGGAGGTGCCAATCATTGAGGCTGAGAAGATTGCAGAAGAAATGGATTTGGGAAAGAAAAGGAGGAGTTCAGATTGAATAGGTTGAGTTTTGTGTGTCTTTGGACAAGAACGCGGGGGTTTGAATTATACCACTGGATCAAAGACTATAGTCAGGAGAAAGGAGTGGGCTGGGGGTACAGATTTGGGAGTCATTAGCCTATTGATGGCATGAAGCCAACACAGTGGATAAGATCACAAGGCAAAGGTAAAGAAGAAAAGAACCCGGGGCTGCTCTGATATTTAAGGTCAGGGAGACCTGAAGCAATTGGCAAAGAGGTTGCCAAGAAGGTGAGGTGGACCCAGAAAAGCATGATGTCCTATAGTTGAGTCAAGAAGGCCTTCTGTGTAGGGAAGGTGAGCAGCTGGGTCCTCTGCTGCTGAAAAGTCCAGGAAGGAGAAGACTGCAAGGTGGACATTTAGACTCAGCCACTTAAGTGGTAGTCACAGTGACCTTGATAGTAGCAGTGCTTAGACTTGGTATGTGTGTGAATATTAATTTGAGTAATCAAGAGAGAATCTGGCAAGCAAAATCACTGACAGTTCCATGGAGCATCTTCTGCACAGGGGAGCAGCAGGGAAGGGCTGCGATGAAGGAGGACCCTCCCAGGCAGCCTCTGTCACTCTCTGCTGTGTGAGTCTGTATTAGTTTCCTGTGGCTGCTGTGACAAATTACCATGCATTTCCTGGCTTCCAACAACACACATGGATTAAAGTTCTGAAGGTCACAACCCCAAAATGGGTGTCACTGGGCCAAAATCAAGGCATTGGCAGGCAGGGCTGGTTCCTTCTGGAGGCTCCAGGGGAGGATGCAATTTCTCACCCTTTCTGGCTTCTAGAGGCACCTGCATTCCTTGGCTCAAGTCCCTTCCTCTGTTTGCAAGGCAAGTAGCCTGGCATCTTCCAATCTCTCTAAGCCCTCCTCCTTTCACTTGTAAGGACTCCTGTCATTCCACTGGGCCCACCCAAATAATCCAGGATAACCTCCCCATGTCAATATCCTTAACCTAGCTCCATCTGTAAAGTCCCTTTAGCAATGTAACGTAACAGATTCACAGGTTTCAGGGGATTAGGGTATGGACATTTTGGGGAGCAGTTATACTTCTTATCAGAGGATATAATTTCTTTGACTGAGTTGTCCTCCCCATACCACCGAACTGTGAGCTTCCTAAGAGCAGGTGCCCCATCCAAATCAAGGCCCTGTAATTCTCTCTCACTTAGCCTCTTCCTGCCCATCTTATAATTCACACATAGATATTCGTTTGTTTGACAGTCATTTTTGCCAAATTCCCTCAATTAAAAAGTGAGTTTCAGGAGGTCAGGGCCAACACCTACTGTGTCCACCACAGTCCATCCAGCACCCGGATCAGGGCTTCACACACAGAGGGCCCCAGCAGGACTCCAGGCTTTGGGGTCAGAAGGAAGGGACTGGATTGGGTCCCGGCATAACAGGGAGTTTGGGTACGCTACTTTCTTCATGGAGTTGTTGCGGGAAGTTAATAAGATTAATAAACACCAAACAAGTTGCTCAATAAGTGTTAAATATTGCAGGAAAGTATAAATGAAGGAGATTTCTATAAAATGAACGTGGGATAGAGGCAGGAACTCATGAAGTTTAATTCTATACAGAGGAATATATCCGAACCAACCAACCGATCAAACAACTTGTGACTCTCCCTGCCTTATCCTATTTCCACTGCTCTGCTCTGACTCTCTTCTCTCTCTCCATTCAGGGTAACCTGACTGAGTCCTGGGCAGATGATAACCCCCGACACCATGGCCTGGCTGCCCACTCCTCAGGGGAGGAAAGAGAGATCCAGTATGCACCCCTCAGCTTTCATAAGGGGGAGCCTCAGGACCTATCAGGACAAGAAGCCACCAACAATGAGTACTCAGAGATCAAGATCCCCAAGTAAGAAAATGCAGAGGCTCGGGCTTGTTTGAGGGTTCACGACCCCTCCAGCAAAGGAGTCTGAGGCTGATTCCAGTAGAATTAGCAGCCCTCAATGCTGTGCAACAAGACATCAGAACTTATTCCTCTTGTCTAACTGAAAATGCATGCCTGATGACCAAACTCTCCCTTTCCCCATCCAATCGGTCCACACTCCCCGCCCTGGCCTCTGGTACCCACCATTCTCCTCTGTACTTCTCTAAGGATGACTACTTTAGATTCCGAATATAGTGAGATTGTAACGTGTTTGTCTCTCTGTGCCTGGCTTATTTCACTCAACATAACATCCTCTAAGTTCATCTGTGTTGTTTCCAATGACAGAGTAATGTACTGAATAATTCAAAATAGCTAAAAGAGAGGAGTTTAAATGTTGTCACCAAAAAAAAAAAAAAAAGATAAAAATTTGAGCTGATGGATGTGCTAATCATGCTGACTTGATCGTTCCATGGTGCATCGAGGTGCGGGAGCCTCACGGGGGCTGCGTTCAGGTCGCTCAGGTACTCAGGGCAGGACTGGAATTTAATCCCTGCCTGATTCTGAGGTCTCTTCTCTCACCCGGCACCCAGCACTGAGTGAAGCAACCACTGACTGGGCACCCCTTAGCCATAAGTTTGCAGCATCTCCGTTGACTCCATGGCCTCTGGTGAAGGAATCCGAGAACCTGGACACACAGGAGCTGAGAAAGGAGGCGCCTGAAATTACAGCCCAGCTCTGCGCATGGCCTGCCCCAGCCTGCATAGCTCTGATCAGCAGATAGAGCTTCCAATGGCCATGCTGCCCATGATTTCATCCCCAGGGCCCTGGTTGGGTCTGCAGACCTCCGCCAGGAGCCCCCATCTCCGGACCTTGGTGTGACTGGGCTGGGTCCCTCTCTTGCTGGTCCCCTCCAGAGGGACCCTGGACCCTTTCCAGCCTCACAGGCCCTATGGAGACCCCAGCCCTTCTCCATCACCTTCTCCTCACCTGCTTGCCCCTCTGGTCTTGTCCTCGGGTCTGAGGACATGCAGCCTGATTTGCCCTATGGGGAGAAATCAGGGAAGAAGTCACATCTCAGGTCCATAAGAAACACGGGAGAGTCCTGGGTAGAGAGGTGAAGGGGCCCAACTTCCTGCCAAGTCCAAGCCCAAGCCCTCCCCATGTGGGACCCTAGGAGGTAGAGGAGATGGTCTGCGGTCTTCACCTCTCCACTGAGAGTCCTCAACATCCTCATACTTTTAAAGATTTCCAAGGGCACAGGAGGCAGACGCCATTGTGTGGGGGAAAGAGGCCGGGTGAAGCTGAGGAAGGAGTTGACACTGTTGGCGCAATTACCAGGGGTAAGTAACAACAATGATGGAGTTAATAATAATAATTTATTTCACACTGTTATGTCATGCCATAAGACGTGCCATCAACTCTGGAAATTAGGTTAGTTATTATTACCCCTGGGGGCAGGGAGAGCAGCTTGTTTATCTTTTGTTATTAGAGGCCCAAGAATCAAGCCAAGAGCTTGGTGAAATTTGTGGGGAGTAGAGATTTGTCATGGTCATGGAGCTATGACAAAATCCCGTCCCATCCCTGCATCTTTCTAATTCCTCATCTTGGAGGGAGCTGAGGGGAACAGTTGAGGCCACAGGCTGTGGGTTCGGCCTGCCCGGGCTTGAATCCCACCTCTTCTGTGGGTTAGCACTGAAGCCTTAAATAAAATACTCAAACTCCATGGGGCTTAGTTTTCTCACCTGTAAAGTGGAGGTGAGGCTAATCACATTCACTTTCTCCATAGAGAGACAGTGAGGGTCAAGCAGGTTAGAATGGTGGTGGGCACATGGTAAGTGCACAGCTAATGTCCACCACTCTTATCCCCCTTATCCCCCTGTGACTCACCCTGACTCTGATCTGAGGACTCCAGAGGATTCATAGAGGAGGCATCTTTGGACCCAGACCTGAGAGGACTGGGAGATTTCACCCAGAGGTTGTGAGCATGTCATGGCAGGGTGGAGGTGGCACTCCTGAGGGTGGGCACTGCCTAGCAGGGCATGGAGGCAGGGAGATGTGCAGAGCATGAGCCTGGACGGGAGCTGCTGCACTCACGGGGGGCCTGGATCCTGACGTCCATGTACATGATCAGCTGTGTCACGGGGTTTTCCACAGTGCATTGGTAAGTGCCCATCTGCTACCAGGCCAGACTCAAGAGATACAACTTTGCATATGAGAAGTTTAGGAAGGAGCTGTTGTGGATCCAGCAGTACTTGAGATCTGGGAAAGAATAGGAGACACACTCCATTTCCACCTGGGAGCCGATCTCAGCCGTCACGATGCCATTGAAGGCATCAGGATTGCCCCTCAGCAGCAGATAGTCAGGCCCATCTGCAGAGACAGGGAAGGAGGCCTGAGGCTGTGTTTCTGACCCTTTGGGGTCCTGGGTACCACCTCATGAGGTCCTCCTCCAGCCAAGAGGTTCCCCACTGTGCACCCTGAGCTGACCCCTAGACCTGCCCCAGGCAAGGCAGCTGTGCCAACAACAATAACCATAATAAGAGCACCTGCCATGATCAGGGACCTACTAGGGGCCAGCCCCATGGTAGCCCTTTACCTCGTAATAAAATCATTGGAGTAAAAGCAAACACATGGGGCCTACTGTGTGCCAGACACTGTTCTAAGCTCTGTGCCTGTCCCCACATTTGTTGAATTCCCAGAACAACTCATGTGATTGGTTCCACTATTGATCCATTTTATAGATGGAAAACAATGAGGCTCGGAGGAGAGGATTAGGACTTCATGACTGCAACTGACACAGAAGGATTGAGCCAGTCTCAGGGCCTGGGGGCAACCGCCCTGAGCAGCTGAAGCCTCTGGATCCTGGGTCTTGGTTCCAAGCCTCTGACCTGTAAACAGCTGTATGGAGATCAGAAATCCTTCACGCTTCAACCCCAGCTTCCACACAATGGGCGCCATAGCCTGTGCATTAGGAAATCTAACACACCACTAAAGTGTTTCCAGAAGGAGATGTAAAGGTGATTTTAGAAGTGTGATTATTTTTTTCAGGTGAAAGATGTGGAAGAGTTTGATAAACTCTGTGAACACACCTGGAACACTGGAAGAATCTAAGTGTTGATGTATTTATAAGCTCAGTAGATTAGATTTCCAAGAGCTGTCCGAGAATTTGTGAGGATCTTGCTGGGTTGTGAACTTGCCCCAGTAGGCAGCTGAAGGGCTATAAAGAAAAAAGAATGTATGGAATGTATAACTGACTCTTTAAATCAAACTCTCTGTTTAAGGGAGCACAGTCTGTTCAATTTCAGTAAAAGAGAGTGACAGTGACTATAGTAAGTTTACAAGAAAAGAAGAAAGAAATCAATGAGTGGAATTTGAAGGGTCAAGGGGTTTGAACACTTAATAAACTGAACATCAATTTAAAAAATAATTGGTTTTAAGTAGTCCCCTATTTACACAAAAGCAGACCTCAGCAAAGGCACACTGACCATTTCTAATCTGAGAAGTGAGGACTGGGGTCCCTATTTCACATTTGAGTGCATCAGTTCTGAGTAGTGAGGGCAGCTCCCAAGTCCACAGAGCTCAAGAGCTGGAGCTGATTCCAACCCAGACCAACCTGGCTGCAGGCTGGCCCAGGATGTCTCTGGCCTAGTCCCATTTGCAGATCCGTGGTGAGTCCCAGAGGTGGACTTGTGTGGCAAAGAGCTGAACCCTGCCAAAAAGAGGCCTGGCCTTTGCTCTCAGCTACTGGGAGGGAACCTCTAAGTCCCTGGAATGTCTCACCTGATTAGAGTGTCTTTGTTTACCTGAAAGCCTTGGACTTCACCAAATAGTCTAATAATATAACTAACGATAGGACTTTGGGTCACTGGTATCAGCTCTATCTGTGGAGCAGCTGAAACTAAGGTCAGCCATGTAGACAGTTATCCACATCTATGTGACAAAGCCACACCAGGACATCAAGGCTCAGGTGAGTGTCCCTGGTTGGCAATGCTCTATGCATGTTGTCACATGTCATGTCAGGAGGAATTACCACAGTCTATGATTCTACTGGGAGGGGACAACTGGAAACTCCCCATTCGGAATTCCCTGGACCCTGCCCCATGCTCTTCTCACCTTGGCTGACTTTAATCTGTATCCTTTTGCTGTAATGAGACATCACATGAGGATAACAGCTTTCAGTGAGTTCTGAGTCCTACTAGTGAACTATCAAAACTGAATGTGGTCAGGGACTCCCCAATGTGCAGCTGGCATCAGAAGTGAGGGCAGTCTTGTGAATTGCTCCCTAACTACTCAGGACTGCTGGATTAAAGGCTGTGCAGGTCGTTTGAGGATAGAAAGGATTCCTGGCAACACTGCCTGGTTTGAACCAAGCACTGCCACTTACTTCCCATGTGATCTCAGTTAAGTTGCCTCCCTCCCCTAAGCCTCTTTCTACACCTGTAAAATGAAGATATGAAATGTTTCCTCTTCATAGGGCTGTTGTGATGCTTAACTTCAGAAGCAAGTGGAGAACGTAAAACGTGGAATCCTTCTTAGCTAGGCTCTTGTGTCTGAGGTCCTTATTACTAAGGAAAAAGAGGGAATGAATACTGAGAAGAAACCAGCAACCACGGCCACAGAGAGCATCTCATCAGCTCTATTTGGCTGCACCAACATGGAGCACTCCTTTTAGACACAGCATTGTGCCAAGTCCCTGCAGAAACATGTCCCTCCCTCCATCTAGACTGTGCACGGCCAGTGATGCCTGGTCTGAACAGTCAGGATGAATATGGCAGAAGTGGCTTCATTCAGACAGAGTCCGTGGCATGACCCTGACTGTCTCATGCAATGAGACCCTCATGAGGACCCTGCTCTCAGGAGGGGGGTGTAGGCTTGGAGGGCACCTCGACCTTCAGGGACTCACTTTCATTCTCTCAAGCAAACCCCAGAACTATACCTGGCCCATCTCATCCAGGATCCCCCATGACTTTGAGAATCTTGTCTGAAACCCTGTCTCTCCAGTCAGGAGTGGTAGCACCCAGTGCTCACCTAGGGGCAGGAGGCAGCTTCGGGAGCAGCCCCCCAAAGCCTTTAATCTCTTTCTGGAGCTCAGCTTTGTACCTTCTTATCAAGAGAGCAAAACGTCACAGTTCCTCCCAGGGCAAAGTTTTGCCTGGCACAGCCAGAGTGGACACTAATGAACAGTGACTCCTTCCTGTCTTTCAGGCTTGAAGATCACAAGGAATGTTAACCTGGGATCTTTGAGGAGCTATACACAAGGTAGATTTCTGACAGGTCCCTACCCGCGTCCTTGCAGCGCTGTGTGAGCAAACCCCATCACCCCCAAATGCATCACACCACCAGGGGGAGCCATGGAGTTGCACGATGCATCAGCACTAATCTTTGTCTACAACCTCCTGGGGGAAGGGATAAGAAGTGGATAGAAAAGGTGAGAGGCAGGAGCCCCGAATCAGCTTCCAGAGAAGATGGAAGTGAAATGGAGAAATAATAATAATGACATTAACAATAGCAATAACATTACTAATAACATTAAATAATAACTACTTCCTGTAGTTATCATTCCTGTTCGGTGAGATTGTAAATCTTGACATAGGTTAGTCTCTGAATGGGTGGGAGTCAGGTGTCAGGAAGCATTTGGGGGTCAAAGAGGGTGGAGAAGATTGGTGCAGTGATCCCTGCAACTCTCTGGGTGAGCAGCAGGGGGCGCCCTAACCATGGCAGAGACTGTTGAGTTGGTTGCACAGACATAACCAAGTGTCATGGGGCAGTGGGAAGTCCATGGACTCTGTCTCAGAAGGAGAATTACTTGATCTCTGTGTGCCTCAGTGTCCTTATCTGCAAAGTGGACATCAGAGCTCCTACCTTTATGAGCCTGAGAACAAAAACCAGGGAGAATAAATGAACAACCACAGCAGCAACAACAAACAAAAACAAGAGCCAAAACCAAGTAGCGAGATGGGCCTTTCTATCATCTGACCCTGAAATCCAGTCACATTTAAAACCAGGTCTACCCCTCAGATTTCCCAGACAACAGAAGTCAATGCATTTTTTCCCTTTGAAAGTGAAAAACAAACAAACAAACAAAAAACATGCTGTAATATTGGAGGGAAACAATTATGGGGTTTTTTTGTGTTTTTTTTTTTTTTGAGATGGAGTCTTTGTCGCCCAGGCTGGAGTGCAGTGGTGTGATCTCGGCTCACTGCAAGCTCTGCCTCCTGGGTTCACACCATTCTGCCTCAGCCTCCCGAGTAGCTGGGACTACAGGTGCCCGCCACCACACCCAGCTAATTTTTTTGTATTTTTAGTAGAGACGGGGTTTCACCATGTTAGCCAGGATGGTCTCAATCTCCTGACCTCATGATCTGCCCGCCTTGGCCTCCCAAAGTGCTGGGATTACAGGCATGAGCCACCGTGCCCAACTACAACTATGATTTTTATATGAACATTAATTCCATTATGTGGTTCCTTGAGGTTGCCTGATGTACACATTGTGGGAAAGGCCATGAGAGCTGCTACACAGCCCTTTGGAGATGGCGATCATGAAGCCAGCAAATGGTCAAGGGCTGTGAGTCTTCAAAAATCTGTCCTGATAAGTGATGATGTCATCTCCACATGCAAACCTGTCTCCAGAGAAGACACAATCCCATCCACTCAATGCTGCCGATCCTCCTAAACAATTCAAATGGGCTTTTTGCCCAGCAAGAAAGGGATTTTTGTATGTACATTCATGTTCTCTTTCTTATTCATCAGAAGTTATTTTTCTACGCACCTCACATTCTCAATGATAACTAAGAGAAATTCCTTGTTTGATTAACTCACACTCTATACCGGAACATTTGTGCATCTCACAACGGTTCCCTTAGAGCCCACCTTTCCTTTTGAGTTTAAACCTTCCTTGGAGTAATCAGAATAACTTCCAAATAGGAAAGAATGAAAGAGACTATGTTTATTCATTTTGTACACTCTTAAAACATAAATTGTATTTTTGCTAGCTGCAGCTAAGACTTTTATTTTAAAATGGGGCACTAACTTTCCTTCCTCCTACATTAAAACATTTCAGAAAAAAACTTAAAATCTTAAAAATAATTTTAAATACTGGGATAAATTTCTTTAAACATAAATTTCCAATACTTTCTAAAAAAGGTCATATCTATTTCAGAACTCTAATATCACCAGAACCCCAGAGAACATCCCCCAAATTTTTAGGCATAAAAATTCTCTTGTTTTTCAGCAGACACTTGATCAGTTTACCTGCATCCATAACCTTGGATATGGATTCATATGTCAGAGTCTATAAGCTGGAACATTAAATACAAAATTGAAATGATTTATTTTCTTCTAGCTGTTCCAAAAATAAAGCATACAAAAACTTTAAAGTCACAAATGTAAACTATTGTCAGAACAGAATGTTAAACATTTTTTCATTATTAGACATCATTATTAAATACAAATAAGTGATGAATAATATAGAAAATAATACTTATTGTTTAAGAGGCATATATGTGTGATGGAAATAAAAAGTCTGCATTCATTTAAGTTAGGTTACATTTATTTGTGGACACAAACAGGCCCACGTATGAGAGGAGAGAAAGGCAGAGGAGGGGAGCAGAGGGGAGGATGGTGCAGACTGGGTGGGCCCTGCTGGCCACACAGGAACCTGGAGCCTTTAGGCAGAGCAGAGACTAGACTGGACTTTCACTCTAACAGAACCCCTCGGCTTCCCTGGACAGAACAGGCCCAAGTGGGTCATGGCAGCCACATAGAAACTGGAAAGGTGCTTGCTGGGTCCTCCAGGAAGAGGGATAGGGGCTTGAACCAGGGAGGCAGGGGTGGCGTAAGGATATGCTTTTGGATGTGTGTGGAAGGTCGTGCTCACAGAGTTTTCTAATGGATGTGGTCAGCGAGGGGAAGGCAAGACCAAGGATGAAGCCAGAATGTTCCCCTGAGCACCTGGAGGGAAGGAGCGGTGTCCATAGAGGACTTCAGAGGGGAGGCTTTCAGGGGCGATAATTCTGAGAATCTCCCTTACATCCAAATGGGAACAGAACAGAGACAGCTGAATGCAAATGCCTGGAGTTCAGGAGAGGGGTCCAAGCTGAAGATGTTTCAATGCACAGCTGGAGTAGTGATGACCACAGATGAGGTAAGGAAGGGGTGAAGACAGGCAGAGAGGAGGACACACATTTGTCATTGGTGCTTTCATGACAACATATGTTATCTTCAATCTTTTTGATAATAGTCACCCTAACAGGTATGAGGTGATGTCTCATTGTGGTTTTGATTTGCATTTCCCTGATGACTGGTGATGTTGATCATTTTTTCTCTGCCTGTTGACCATTTCTGTGTCTTTGGGGAACTCGCCATTCAAGTCCATCATGCCTTTTCAAATCAGATTATTTGTTTTCTTGCTGTTGAACTCAACTTGTTTGAGTTCCTTATATATTCTGAATATTAACCTTTTACCACATGTGTGGTTTGCAAATATCTCCTCCCTTTCCATAAGTAGTCTGTTCACTCTTTTGTGATTGTTTCTTTTGCCATGCAGAAACAAACTAAAACAACTTTTTAGTTTGATGAAATTCCATTTATCTATTATTGCCTTTGTTGCCTGTGGTTTGGTGGTGTTAACTTAAACATCACACAATTACCAATTTGGAAGAAAGAGCTTTATTTCTTATAAAGGATTACAGCCTGCAAGGTGGCCATCCAGACAGGCTGGGAAGCAGAGCCTGCAGAAGAGGCTCAGAGACAAGCACTTTAAGGGAGGGAGGAGAAAGACAGGAATTTAAGCTGAATGGGCTGGCCAAGTATACATATTCAACAGGTTACAGAAGGAGCTTTGAATATTCATGAAAGGGTTTTGACCCAAGCATATTGAACAAACACGCATGTTACATGTAATCCATGTTCACCTTAGGGTAGAGACTTACCATGTAAACGTATTACAATTAGGCCCTATATGTCAAAAGGTCTTTGGAGGACACAGCAGCCCTCAAGCGCGCAGCCTCTGTAAAACCTGCCATAACCAGTCCATGCTCCATGTTCTTATCAAGAGAAAGTTACTGAAATCAGTCTTTTGTCCAGTCACAAGGGTGTGGGGTCAGTGTCTGCTGGTGAGCTGTATATTGTTTTAATATTACTTATATTGAGACCAGTGCTTGCTTAGCTACCAGAGAAAAATAAACATATTGTGGCAGTTAGAACATAGTTTATTCTCTAAGTGTGGGGGTGTGTAATTTAACCCCTGCCTGGCATGGCCTTAGGTTTTGTATATGATTTGGTATCTCATTGCCACAGAGTCTGTTCTGCCAGTCTTATGATCTCCATTTCCATATTAAGGTTAATCAGTTGCTGCATCTCAACTGCAAAAGGAAGGGGCTATAATGAGGTGTGTCTGACCTCTCGTCCCATTGTAGCAGCAACTCAGTTTTTAAGATTTTTCTGGGGTCCCCTTGGCCAAGAGGGGGTCTGTTCAGTTGATTACAGGGCTTAGGATTTTATTTTTAGTTTACAGTATCTAAAAAAATCTGAGCCCAGATAATGTCAAGAAGCTTTTTCTCCTGTTTTCTTCAAGGAGTTTTACAGTTTCAGGCCTTACATTTCCATCTTTAATCCATATTGAGTTGATTTTGTTTACGTCTGAGATAACTGGCAATGGCAGCTTTGATGAACATGTGTGAAAGGGTGGGGGACTTGATTGGAAGCTCGTTTGGAAAATAACCGAAGAAAGGAAGGTAGGAAGAGTGACGACAAACAACCTCTTGAGGAGTTTTGCTGCAAATGTTACCCACCCTTGGAGGGGTGAGTTGGCCCTAGTGGGTCCTTTCTCTGCCCCCTGCCACTTACGCCAATAGAATGAGACCAGAATCGGCAAAGCGGAGAAGAAACTTTATTCATTGATCAAGAAATGGAGAAAGGGAGTTCATGTGCAAAGCACCTTCTCCCAGGGGTTGGTAAAAGGGGATCTTAAGGGCCCTTAGGGCAGGTAGTTGGAGACTGAGGCGGGCAGATCTGGAAAAAGGTGGGTTCCTTCAGGAGGGGCTGAAGTGTGCACACTCTTGTGTTTTCTTTTGTACTTGGCACCTTCTGTGCCTAGCAAGGCATAGTTCTCGCCCCTGAGTGGAGATTTTAGTATGGTAATGAAGCAAGAAATCAGGTCAAGGCCTGCACTGAGGCAGGAATCCAGGTCCAGGCAGCACGTCTGGGCTGAACTCATCCCCTGGCTGGTTCCTGTTGCTGGCTCCCAGCCTTTGTTTCTGGCAGCAAGCAGAGCTGCAAGCACAGGTTAGTTTCACAGGTTTTGGGGCTTCCTGAGAGAACTGAGGTCATGTTGCAGAAACACAAAAAGGAACAGAGAAATGGATCTGGAGAAGAAGAATTTTTCTCAGTTCTTACCCACAATCTCCCAGAGGTGCTCAAATTCATAGACAAAGAAAGTAGAAAGTTGGTTGCCATGGGTTGGGGGCAGGATGGGATAGGAAGTTATCATTTAGTTGGTATAGAGTTTCAATTTGGCAAGATGAAGAAATTTCTGGAGATCAATGATTAATAATTGCATAAGAGTGTGAATGTACTTAGTGCCACTTACCTGTGCACTGAAAAATGGTTAAAATTGTAATTTTTTAATGTATATTTTAACACAAATTTTAAAAAGCACTAAATATTTGATCAGCCTCCTCGCCAAATAAGAAAAACTGATGGCAAATAATCACATGAAAGCATTCTCAACACCATTTGCTGCTACGAAATCACAGATTAGAACCAGAATGAGGTAGCAGTACATACCTATTAGAATGGCTACAAAACAAAACCCAAAGAAATTTTTTTTTAAATCCGGATAATACCAAATGTTAATGAAAACGTAGAGCAACCAGAACTCATATATTCTGCTGGTGGGAATGTAAAATGGTACACCCACTTTGGAGAACAGTTTGGCAATTTCTTATAAATTCGAACTTACACATATGACCAAGCACCCGACTCCTAGGTATTTACCCAAGAGAAATAAAAAAACTAGTGTCCACACACAGAAATCTGCATGTGAATATTTATACTAGTTTTACTTTACAGTCACCAAAACCTAAAAACAATATGAATGTTCACCAGCCAGTAAATGTATACAAAATGGGGATCTATGAAAACAGTGAGGTATGAGTCAGCAATTTAAAAACAACACCCCATCACATGGACGAGCCCCAAATGCATTAAACCAAGTGAATGAATCCAGATTTTAAAGGCTACATTTTGAATGATTCCGTTTATATGACATTCTTTAAAAGGCATATCAGTAGGGTAGAGAATAGATTAGTGTTTTTACAGGAATTAAATAGGGAGGGACAGTTGCCTACCAAGGAACATCAGGAGGGAATGTTTTAAGTAATGGCACTTGGTAGTGTCTTGACTGTGGTTGTGGGTATATAGCTACATACATCTGTCAAACCTCAAATAATTGCATATGAGAAATACTCAGTTGATGAAATTGATGGTACCTAAATTCAAAATACACTAGAGATGACACTACGCTCTCACTAGAATTGTTAAAATATAAAGACTGACAATACCAAGTGTTAATAAAGGTGTACAGCTACCGGAATTCTGGTGCATGGCTGGGAGTAGTGGTAAAAGTCAAAGCCATTTGGATAACGATTCTGCAATTCCTACAAAAATTAAATATGCAGGTATTATTTGAACTAAAAATTCCACATCTTGTGTATAAATGAGTATAAAAACATGTCTATAAAAAGACTTCTACTTGGATACCTATAGAAAAAACCTGGAAAATCTTAAACGTCTATCAATAGGTGAGTAAATAAAAGATAATACTACTTAGCAATAACACATTGTGAACTACAGGCATATACAACAGCTTGGCTCAGTTTCAAAAAATGATTGCTGAGTGACAGAATACAGACACAATTTTTTAGTATATTTCTAGGAAATTCTCAAGTAGACAAACTAACTCACCATGACAGCGGGTATATTGATGATTTCCCAGCATACGCGATGGGAATGGTGAGCTGCAAAGAAACATGGAAAACCATTAGAGTGGAAGAAGTGTTGTGTATCTTGACTGTGGCAGTCACAGCGGGGCTGCATACACTTATCAAAACTCACTGAAATGAACATTTCAGGTGTGTGCATTTTATTTCATGTAAATTATGCCTAATAAAGTTCACTAAATACATCCAGTGAAATTCACATCTTCATATTTAACATTCTGACCCATAAATACAATATAATTTGCTTTACTATTAAGACCAAATTATTGCATTCCTATTATGTGCTACATTCTTATTTTTAGAAGAACTTACAAGGTATTATGTTACTTATTAAAGACTCAATTCCTTATATATTAAGAATGCAAATGGCTGTCTACATTAGCAAGGACAAATGAACATTTACCTAGATAATACTGTTACAAAGATTTTACTAATATATGGTACCAAATATTATTATGCCCTGGATTTTGAGGATTTGCCAGATGAGATGGAAAATCATGTCACTGAACCTAAAATTATTTTTATCTATAAACAGAATGGGCCAGGACATTTAGTTGTGTGCTTGTCAGGAAGGTGATAGCTGGGTACAGTCAAATCTGTGCCACAGGATCTAGGAAGGCAGATTTCCAAATCTCACATAAGAGATCAGCACGATCACATTGTCTGAGATTTTTTTTTTTTTTTTTTTTTTTTTTTTTTTTGAGACAGAATCTAGCTCTGTTGCCCAGGCTGGAGTGCGTTGGTGTGATCTCGGCTCACTGCAAGCTCTGCCTCCCGGGTTCATGCCATTCTCCTGCCTCAGCTTCCTGAGTAGCTGGGACTACAGGTGCCCGCCACCACACCCGGCTAATTTTTTTGTATTTTCAGTAGAGACAGGGTTTCACTGTGTTAGCCAGGATGGTCTCGATCTCCTGACCTCGTGATCCACCCGCCTCAGCCTCCCAAAGTGCTGGAATTACAGGCTTGAGCCACAGCGCCTGGCCTGTCTGAGACTTCTGACAAACAAGAGGGAGCAAGAGGGTTAGGAAACCTGTGAAAAACTAAATTCCAACAAGACAATTAATGCCCAAACAAGCAACTCACGAAAGACAAATAGTCATAAACATAAAAACTAAGCCTGAAATTTTAATTTTGTCTGTATATTCCCCTCATATTATCGGAAAATATTGTCTTTGGGCCACATGTAACTGTGAGAAGCACATTTTTTCATGAAAGGAAATGCTAATCTCTATGATGAGGACCTTAAAAAAATCGCTCCTGCCCACACTACACTGAGAGGCAGCATTAACCGAAAAGGAGTTTCTTCTACACTGGTTCATAGAACATGTGTCCTTCTTTATGTTTTACGTGAAGATGCTGCATGGTTCTTATTTTGGAGGTGTCATTGAAACTGCAAATCTGTATACTATTTATCAGGGAAAAATTCTATAGTCACATTTCTTTAAAAATACCCAATATGCTACCATGACACATGGCAAACTCATCAGTGTCCGCAGCTCTAAAGCCAGACAGTGTGTGTGTGCTAAGGACATGAGGCTATGGATAGGGACCATCTCAAGGGTAGGGGCCAGGTCAGTGCTATCTCTTCTTCTCTCCATCCCCACCTACATACAGATGCTCACTATATATTTGGTGAATGAATGAATGGCTGTCACCTTCACTGCACCTAGGACCACTCTTCATTTTTTCAGTCCCAGACACTCCCATAGACCCTACAGAATCCTACATCCTGCAGGATCGACTATCTCATGGCTCAAGATGAGGCTGTGACTGTCTGGGGCCAGAAGTGACCAGTTCCCAGACGTAAACAATGGTTCACAGAAAAACACTTCAGAGTGAGAGGGTTTTAGACACAGGTGTCCCATGCTTCAGATGTCCCCAGAGGTCCTGGTCCAGGCTCTGGCATTGGACGGAAGACCCGAGGTGGGAGGCAGGAAGTGGTCTCTGCTCCTTCTCTGCTCCCCTCTGGGCAGGTCTCTGAGGTCACTTGGCTTTGCAGTCTCCCTCCACTCTGTGCAGAGGCGGATGACCTCTGACCACGTGTGGGTTTGAGGTTCCTCTTCTGTGAACTGCCAAGATCTCATGCTCCTCCCCACAGCCCTCTTCTCTGCTCACACAGGAAGCCCAGGAAGCCTCTGCCTCAGAGATGCTGCCGCTGCTGCTGCCGCTGCCCCTGCTGTGGGCAGGTGAGTGGCCCTGGGGAGAGGGGCCGTGGGGATGAGCCCATCTGACCCTCATGTCTCCACAGGGCCCTCGCTCAGGATGCAAGATTCCGGCTGGAGATGCCAGAGTCCGTGACGGTGCAGGAGGGTCTGTGCATCTTTGTGCACTGTTCGGTCTTCTACCTCGAGTATGGCTGGAAAGATTCTACCCCTGCTTATGGCCACTGGTTCCGGGAAGGGGTCAGTGTAGACCAGGAGACTCCAGTGGCCACAAACAACTCAACTCAAAAAGTGCAGAAGGAGACCCAGGGCCGATTCCACCTCCTCGGTGATCCCTCAAGGAACAACTGCTCCCTGAGCATCAGAGACGCCAGGAGGAGGGACAACGGTTCATACTTCTTTTGGGTGGCGAGAGGAAGAACAAAATTTAGTTACAAATATTCCCCGCTCTCTGTGTATGTGACAGGTAAGGCACGGGCTCCAGGAGTGGCACAAGGGGAAGGTTATGGGGGCCACTGGGAAGGGCTCAGATGGGACTCATGTCCTGGAATGGGGATGGGAATAAAGCACGTCAGGCTCAGGGGAGGAACTGGACCAGAGCCTGAGCTTCCCACAGGGCTGCACCTTGGATCCCCCTCCTGATCCTGCGTCCCCACCTCTGTCCACAACAGCCCTGACCCACAGGCCCGACATCCTCATCCCGGAGTTCCTAAAGTCTGGCCATCCCAGCAACCTGACCTGCTCTGTGCCCTGGGTCTGTGAGCAGGGAACACCCCCCATCTTCTCCTGGATGTCAGCTGCCCCCACCTCCCTGGGCCCCAGGACCCTCCACTCCTCAGTGCTCACGATCATCCCACGGCCTCAGGACCACGGCACCAACCTCATCTGTCAGGTGACGTTCCCCGGAGCTGGTGTGACCACGGAGAGAACCATCCAGCTCAGTGTCTCCTGTGAGTGATGGGGCCAGGATGCCTGGGTGCCTGAGGGTGTGAATGGGGAGAGGACCAGGAGAGAGGAGGTCCAGGACTGGGGCCACTTGGTGGCTGTGTCTTGGAGGCCTTGCTGAGTAGGGGAACTAGAAGGATCCAAGCTGTCAATTGCCATTTCTGCGGGCTTCTAGAGGAGCGCCTACCTTCATCTCACTCCCACCCCAACTAAATGAGAAATCCTCTCTTGCTGGCTTAGATCCTCTAATGAACCCAGTGATTGAAGCCTCCCTAGAAGACGGCACAGGTAGGACAGAGTCCCCATCTGGAGGCTGGAGGAGCAGGGCCTTCAGCTCAGGGAAGAGCTGGGCTCCTGCCTCATCCTGACTCACCATGGTAACCAGAGACTCCTTGTTGGCCAACTCAGGGACCCTCCCTATCCTCAGCTCCCATGGACACCTGAGCACCTGTCTGTAGGGACCAGCCCCACAGGGTCGGTAGGTTTTTCTCTCATGTTTGGAGACGAGGGAGTTGCAGAAATAAAGACACAAGACAAAGAGATAAAAGACAGCTGGGTCCGGGGGACCACTACCATCAGGACACGGAGACCGGTAGTGGCCCCGAATGCCTGGCTGCGCTGTTATTTATTGGATACAAAGCAAAAGGGGCATGGTAAAGAGTGTGAGTCATCTCCAATGACTGATAAGGTCACGTGAGTCACGTGTCCACTGGACAGGGGGCCCTTCCCTGCCTGGCAGCCGAGGCAGAGAGACAGAGAGAGAGAGACAGCTTACACCATTATTTCTGCTTATCAGAGAATTTTAGTACTTTCACTAATTTTGCTACTGCTATCTAAAAGGCAGAGTCAGGTGTACAAGATGGAACATGAAGGCGGACTAGGAGCCTGACCATTGAAGCACAGCATCACAGGGAGACGGTTAGGCCTCCAGATAACTGCAGGTGGGCCTGACATGAGTCAGGCCCTCCACAAGAGGTGGAGGAGTAGTCTTCTCTAAACTCCCCCAGGGAAACGGAGACTCCCTTTCCTGGTCTGCTAAGTAGCGGGTGTTTTTCCTTGGCACTGACGCTACCACTAGACCACGGTCTGCTTGGCAACGGGTGTCTTCCCAGATGCTGGCGTTACCGCTAGACCAAGGAGCCCTCTAGTGGCCCTTTCTGGGCATGACAGAGGGCTCACACGTCTTCTGGTCACTTCTCACTATGTCCCTTCAGCACCTATCTCTGTATAGCCTGGTTTTTCCTAGGTTATAATTGTAGAACGAGGATTATTATAATATTGGAATAAGGAGTAATTGCTACAAACTAATGATTAATGATATTCATGTATAATCATGTCTATGATCTTGATCTAGTATAACTCTTGTGGTTTTATATATTTTATTACACTGGAACAGCTTGTGCCCTCAGTCTCTTGCCTCGGCACCTGGGTGGCTTGCCACCCACACCTGTCCGCAGACTCCTCCACAGACTCCTCCAAACACACACCCCTTGGCCCCACAATAAGGACAGAGTGATATTCATACAGCAGGACTAGCCTTTGAGCCCCTTATCATCTACCTCCTAAATACTCCTCCAGCCTCAACTTTAAATTTTTCCCAGTAGTTTAATGTACTTCTGGACAGGTGATACAATCGCATGGGCAAAAATGCTAAATCCATAGCAGAGTCTGTTCTCAGATGCTTGTCCTCCTCCCCAGAATCAAAGAGTGTTCATCCTGGCTGCTCTGAGCCCTGGTGTATTCTCTGGAAGGATCTCAGAGGTCGTTTGGTATCAGCAGCACAGACTATCCTCACTCTCAGACTGTGTAGTGTTCCATTGAAGAGTTGGATCCTAATTCTGTATATATCTTCTTGAAATGGAATATCATGTTTCTACCAACAGAAACAAAGGATTGAACAGTCTTCTATCTACTTTGCCAGTGTATGTCTATGTCTGTGGAATCAGTTACTTAAAGCAAAATAGCTGGGTCTTACGTTCTTTCTGATTTTGAGAGATATGGCCAAATTGTTCTCAGTCAATGGTGGATATGTTTACATCCCCAACAGCATGGGGTGACAGTGTTTTCTTTTCTTTTTCTTTTCTTTTTTTCTTTTTTTTTTTTTGAGACTCTCACTCTGTCACCCAGGCTGGAGTGCAGTGGCGTTGTCTCAGCTCACTGCAACTTCCGCCTCATGGGTTCAAGCAATTCTCGTGCCTCAGCCTCCCGAGTAGCTGGTAGACTACAGGTGCCTGCCACCACGCCCGGCTAATTTTTTGTATTTTAGTGGAGATGGGTTTCACCATGTTGCCCAGGGTGGTCTCCAACTCCTGAGCTCAGGCAATCTGTCTACCTCAGCCTTCCAAAGTGCTTGGACTACAGGCATAAGCCACCGCACCCAGCCGAAAGTGTGTCTTCATCAACCCAATGTGGAATGAAAGCTTTCGCTTTTTGCCAGTATTAGGTGAAAATTGTTATCTCCATATAATTTTTTTATTTATATGCACTTTTTAATTGAGATAAAATTCATATAACATTAAATTCACAATTTGAATCATTTTAAATTATATGCTAAACTGGCTTTTAGTCACATATTGTACAACCATAACCATGATCTAATGCCAGGACATTTTCTTTACTTCAAAAATCCACTCTGTACCCATTAAGCACTCACTTCCCATTATCCCCTCCTCTGGCAAGCACTAATCTGCCTTCTGTCTCTACAGATTTGCCTATTTCGGACATTTCATATAAGTGGAATCACACAAAAAACAGCCTCTTGTGTCTGATTTTTTTTTCACATAACGGAATGCTGTCAAGGTTCACCCCAGTACTATGCATGAATACTTCATTCTTTTTGAAACCTAATATCCCATTGTATGGAGAGACCATGTTTTGCTCATTCATTGTTCAGTTGATAGACATTAGAGCTGTTCACACTTTTTGACTGTTACTAATAATGCTGCCAGGAACATTCATGTACAACTTTTTGTTGGAACCTATGTTTTTATTTCTCTTGAGCATAGCCCTAGGAGTGTAATTTTTAGGTCATATTGTAACTCTGTGTTTAACTTTTTGAGGAAATGCCAGACTGTTATCCAGTGTCAGCACCACTTTACATTGCACCAGCAATGTACAGAGTTGCAAATTCTCCATATTCTTTTGAACATTCTCGTTTTCCTTTTCTAAAAGAACTATGGTCTTCTAGTGCATGTGAAGTAGTAATTCATTGTGGCTTCAATAGGCATTAAGATACTGATAAATGGTATTGAACATATTTTCATAGACCAATTGATATTTGTATCTTTTTGGAGAAGTTTTCACTCAAGTTCTTTGTCTACTTTTTAATAGGTTAATTTGGGTTGTTTGTAATTTGAGTGGTTTGTAAATTACATGCCCTTTATATATGCTGGATACTACACCCTTATCAGATCTGTGCTTTACAAATGTATTTTCCCATTCTGTGGGTTGTCTATTCACTTTCTTGATAGTGCCAATCAATGCAAAATAGTTTTTAATTTTGATAAAGTCCAAATTATGTATCATTTCTTCTTCCAACTGCTGGACAGTCAGGGAACAGCTTAGAATGAGCCCTGGGCTGATGTGATACCACATCCAAGGATGCAGGAAGGATCTGAAGAACCAATGTCCAAGTTGTCTTGGGAGAGGAAGGACATGGTTTGTGGTTTAGCAGGTGAATGGGCCTCATCCCACCTTTTTGCAGGGAAATCAGGAACCGTGGAAGAGGTGGTTGTTTTGGCCGTGGGGGTAGTGGCTGTGAAGATCCTGCTTCTCTGCCTTTGCCTCATCATCCTCAGGTAAGCACTGCCTGAAGACCAAGGACAGGCATGGGGAGGGCAGAGGACATGATGCTGAATCCCAGAATCTCAATCCTGGGGGTATGCAGACAGTTTACGTGGTCCTGGGGCCAGGCTGGAGGCTGAATTGGTGGTGAGAATTACACATGGGCCATTTGTGGTCAGTTTGTGTCTGTCCCAACTGAGGGCCAAATGCCAGGATGGGGAGCTTCCTGTTGTCATCAAGGAAGTCTAGACCTGCTCTTCCTCCCTGTGATCCCTCCAGCCTCTAGCAGGGCACAGGAAGTTGAGTTGGCTGCCCTTTGCTCCCTTCATGTGGCCACACTTACAGGTCCTTGTCTCTTCACTCAATGTCAGTTTCCACAAGAAGAAGGCGGTGAGGGCAGTGGAGGTTGAGGAGAATGTATATGCTGTCATGGGTTAATCTCTCAGGTGAGTGATGTGGGCCTCTCACTCTTCAACATCCTGCTGGATAACTCCTCCACAATGGCCTCCAGGATTGCTCTGCCCATCATGGCCAAAGTTAAGCCAACTGTCTTCCTCCTCAAACCTACTTTTCCTGGGATGTGGGTTCTTCATCCTGCAGATGACAAAGAGGCCTCATCTCTAAAGTCAGAACCTGGGTGTGGGTCTCCATCTTGACCCCCCTCCCTTCTCTAGATCCCATAAATTACTAGCTCTTGTCCCTCCTTCTCCTAAGCAGGGCTCATCTTGATGCCCTTTTCTCCATCCTGACCCTGGTCATTCTTGCGGCCTCACCTCTTCCCTGATCACTGAACCCTTTTCACCTCCTGCCTCCATCTCTCCCCAACACAGGCCTCCAGACTGTACTTCCAGATGTCTCCTCATCCAGTTCCTCCACAGTCTGAATGGCCATGTTTCCTCTTCATTGCTGGAGAATGAAGTGCAAATGCCACTGCCTGGACTGAAGGCCTTTCACGATCTGTCTTCTGCTGGACTCTGCTCCTGATCCCCCTTCTCCTTGCATCACCCGAAGTCTCCCTACACCCACCAGGCCAAGCCCTCTGTGATTCTGAGACTTTGCATGTGTAGTTACTTCTCCTGAAATGGCCTTCCTCCCCATTCCTGCCAATCCAGGTCCTTATCATCCTTCAGGTTGTCTTAAATGTCATCCAGGTGTGTGTATTTTTATGTAATCCTTGTATGATATTAAGCGGAGATGTGGCATTTGTTCATTAATTTGTAGACATATTCAGTAACCATACTGAATACATATAATGACTATGTGCCAGCATTTCCGTATGTGCAAGAAGTTCATCAATAGATATAGACTCAAAGAGCTCTGTCATCAAGCTGTTGTTCTGAAGAGCAGAAGGATACAAATAAAAAGAAATAAGTAAAATATTTTTTCCCATGTTGGATAGAGATATTTGTTTAGAGAAAAATAACACAGGGAAATAAGCACAGACTATACTGGGAAACAGTTTCTATATCTGATAGTGGAAAGAGGTGACATTTAGGCAAAGACGTGAAGGTGCTGAAGAGGCGGGCTCTGAGTCTGAATAAGAGAAAAGCATCCCAGGAAAAGGATAAGGGGAAGAGCAAGTGCACTGCTCAGAGGCAGCAGCAGGCCTGGGGGTTGTGGGCTCAACCAGAGCCCCATGTCTTAGAGCAGAGGAAGGGTAAGGAGGGAGCAGCAGGAAGGAAGCTGCAGACTGCGTGGGGTGCTGCAGCGCGCACAGGAGCCTGGAGCCTTTGGGAAGGGCAGAGACACAACTGGACTCTCACTCTGACCTCAAATGCCTGAGTCAGAGCAGGCCCAAGTGGGTCATGGCAGCCACAGGAAGACGGGGAAGGCACTGCTGGGTCCTCCAGGAGGAGGGATGAGGGCTGAGCCAGCGAGGCAGGGTGGGGTGAGGACATGTTTTTGGATGTGTGTGGAAGATCAAGCTAATAAGGATCACAGGCTAACTATGTGTTCAGTGAGGGGAAGGCAATACAAAGGACGAGGCCGGAATGTTCCCCTGGGCACCTGGAAGGAAGGAGCTTTGTCCATAGAGGACTGAAGAGGGAAGGACTTTCCTAGAGAATGATTAATTCTGAGAATCCACCTGACATCAGAATGGGACTAGGAGGGAGACAGCCGGATGTAACTGTCAGGAGCTCAAGAGAGGGGTCCAGATTGGAGATGTTACAATGCACATTCAACAACTTGGTTCAGTTTCCAAAAATATTACTGCTGAGATGAAAGAATACAGACACAAATGAGTACATTTCTAGGAAATTCTCATGTGGACAAAAGTAACTCACCATGAGAGAGAGCATATCAATGGTTACCCAGCACAGGAGGTGAGAATGGTGAGCTGCAAAGAGGCTTAGAAAAAGCAGAGTCATGTGGGATATGAGAACTGAGCACAGGTGGGTAGGAAATGTAGGAAATGAAGTTGGAGAGAGATGGAGGCTACAAATATTGCAGTGTCCTGAGTCCATTATACTTATTTATGCATTTGAGCAAAAGAGTGAGATGAAATGACACTTACTTTAGTGGGGTCACTCAGGCTGCAGTGTGAGAAAGTATAGATGAGAGGAGACCAGATTAGTGGATACAGAGAATCCAGTGAAGAGATGACGCAGACATAGTCCTGGGTAAGGATGATGAATCTCATGTGGAGAAGTTGGGTTCTGGACACATCTTGAAGATGAAGCCAATAGTATTTGCGAATGGAGTGACGGAGTGCACGTAGGGTAAGAGCAAAGATAGCTCGTGGCCTCTGCTTGATAGGTGCCACAGATATCACAGGTGAGTCCACAGATATCATAGATGTCATGGATATCCATGAAGACATCCATGACCTCAATAATATCATGGAGAGTCTGATTACACCTCCATAGATGTCACAGATGCCCACAGGTGCCAAAGATGATGCCCATGTGGTTACCCAGAATGGAGACTTAAATAATTTAACTGCCAACAACTAAAATTGCCAACCCTGCAGGAGGAGAATATTCTTAAGTGTAGATCAAATATTGTTTTGGTTACTGTAATTTGGAGGTGGTCCCGAGCCACCCACGTAGGGATTGTAGGTAGAAGGCAGGAGTCTGAAGTTCAGGAAAGGGGTCCAGGTGGGAGATACACAGGTTTGGGAGCCTCCACATTAAGGTTTGATGATGGACGAATCCACAAAGAAGAGAAGGGGTCCACGGACACAGCCACAGGACCCTCCAGCATTTAGTGTCAGGGAGAAGAGGTGGAAACAGCAAGAAGACTGTATAGAGCAGCTGCTGAGGAGAAATGAGTGACCAGGAGAGTGCAAGTTCAGGTGATGGTGGCCAACGGGGGCTGGAGTTTCAAGGAGAGATTGGTCATTTGTTTCAAATGCTGGTAAGTCTGGTAAGATAGGGTTTGAGAAACGACTATTTGAATTTAGCTAAGTTGTATCACAACTGGTATTGACAAAAGCAGATCTGGTTGCCTGGTAGAGGAAGATCTCTTGACTAGAAAGAGTTCAAGAGAGAATGGAAGGAGAGAAGGCAGAAACCGTCAGTGCCAAGTACTATTTGGAGAAACACTGCACCAAATCTAGAACCAAGAAATGGGCCTGCAGCAGAATATGGTCGTGCCCTGTAGACTTGCCATTTCTGGCAGCATCTGCTCTTGTGTCTCTCATGATACTATGTTCCCTGTTTGTGTAGGGCTTTTCACCCCTTGAGTTAACTGCATTCCCATGGCTTCCCCTACCACACTGTGAGCTCCACAAGGACATGGTTAGATCTAATTAGGCCTCCATCATTCTACTGTCTCCTATTCAGCTGCACACTGTCAAAATTTACAATTACCTGTATGTTTCTGTCTTCATCCCCTCAAGTACTGGAAGTCACAACCCCCACCCCTGCTCTGGTCTGCTTTGCTCCCTCCTGAGGATCCAGTGTCCAGCACATAGGAGGTCCCAGAGATCTGGGGTTCAGCTCAGGTTCAACAGATGTATGACCTTTGTAAGTACCAAGTATCAACCAATAAGTGTTACCAGTGTTGCTTAACTGAGTAAGTGGAGCCTTAATTCAGAAACATTTGATGAAAAAAAATGGAAAAGTAAACAAACATCCTGTCAGGTTCAAATTTTCTTAATGGACTCTCTCTGCTTACTGTCCAGCCACCTCCCCACTGTCCTGCTCTGAACAACTTCTTTTCTCTCCACATGGAACATCAGAAGAGGTCCAAGTTACATGGCCCCTCTGACCTCTGAAGCTCTTCAGGGGCTGCCCCCACCATGGGGTGAGGAGCTGCATTATGCTTCCCTCAGCTTTCATGGGATGAATCCTTCCAAGGGCACCTCCACTGAATACTCACAGGTCAGGACCCAGTGAGGAACCCACAAGAGCATCAGGCTTAGCCAGAAGATCCAGATCCTCTATAGGCAGGGGGCCAAAGGCTGATTATTGGAGATTTAATACCCCACAGGCAATGGGTTTATAGACATTATGGAACTTTCCTGCTATACTAACATCATCTTAGACTTTTCAAGCAAGGAGTCCTGGAATCAAATCTGTGCTCTTTCATTTGCTAAGTGTATGATATCATGCAAGCTTCTTAACCTTCCATGTCTCCATTTTGTGCTCTGTAGAATGGGTGCAAGACGTCCTATCTCAGAGATATTGTGAGGATTAAATAAAGCTACACATGAAAAACACCACTCCTGGTGCATAGTGACAGTTTGGTGCATAACGGTTCCTTCCCCCTCGAACAGAAGGCAATAGTGACATTTGGTCCAGAGTCGTGATGGTCTCATCCCTGAAACTGTATCAGCAACATGTCTGTCTCACTCGATGCTCAAAACCCCACCAGAGATGTCTTCCCTGACTTGCCCTCCAACATCATCTCTCTCTACTCCTGAATCTTTTCTTTCCATCTCACCTGTCTGCTGTCAAATTTTCTGTCTCCTTTAGGTCCTGCTACTGGCAAAGCCAGATATTAGCACTTTGGGAATTTTCTAAAACTCAGGGCTGAACACAGTCAAAATAGTTCCCTAGCTCCTCAACCCACAAGAATTTGAAGCTTCTCAACGTGAAATTCTAAGTAAGGGATCAGCAAACCTCATTTGTAAAAGGCCAGACAGTAGATATTTTCAGCTTTGCAAGCCATAAGGTCTCTGTTGCAACTATTCAGCTCTGCCATTGTAGCACCAAAGCAGTCACAATCTGCAAACGAATTGTATGGCTGTGTTCTAGCAAAATGATATTTACTAAAACAGGCACCCCACGGGCTGTAGTGTGCTGGCCTCTACTCTAGGTTCCCCTGAATTTCACTCAGTCTACTTCTCAATGGCACAGCCTACACTCAAGCCATGCTCTGTGGACCCCATTCAGATGCATCTCTCCCTGTGGGTGTGCATCCACGTCCCTCCTCCATGAAGGACTGTCACCATGCCACCATCAGGCTAACACCTTCTTATTTTTCAAAATGACCTCAAAAGTGGATGTCTACATCAAGAAGATAGAGGGAAGCAGAAGCTCTAACCACCTTCCTAAAAAGCCTAAGTGAAATAATAAAAATCATTTTTAGAAAACCAGCAGCACCCAAACCATGACGGGGTGAACGCATTATGCCATAAGTTCATAATGACCCTTAAATAAACAGATGGAAGATTCTGGTGTTGCTTTAAAAAGCCATGATGCCAAAACCTCACTCCCTTATCCCTCAAAGGGACAGCTGAGTCACATGTCTTTCTATGATAACGGCTGGCTGGTGATAGGGATCAATCTGTCCGCTAAAACATTAAAAGTTTACAATTAGATTTCCGGTCCAGACAAGATGACATCGGCCCATTTTGTCCCTGCTCCAACCCTCTAAGCAAAACTATAAATCCTGTAGATGGTTCAAGAGACACCAAAGGAGAACTCTGAAGTGTGATAAGAAGAAGCTGAGCTGGTTTAAGACCCCATGACTGGAGGAACAACACAGAGGCCAGGGATCTTGCATCTCCCCCGACCTGAGGGAGGACACCCCAACTCATCATTTCACAGCCCCTGACCCAGCAGCAGAAGGCAGCTAGGCGAGCTCCTAAGGTTCATCCTCTCCTGAGTGGAAGGGGATCCCCCGACCAACAACATCAGGAGAGTCCCACATCACTCAAAAAGGGGATCAGTGTGAGCCAGAAACAAGTGGCCATGAAGCGCTATCATTCTCCATCAGGCCTGAGGCTCTCGTTTCCAGCCCAGAGATACTGAGACCAGTGGGCAGAACTGGAAAAAGAGATCCAGTCATAATGTCTAATATTCCTGACCCTCGGTTTGCTCCTTTATCAACTGTAAAGTCTAGTCTCTCACTTTCAGAAGTGTGTGTGTGTGTGTGTGACAGAGAGAAAGAGAGAGAGAGAGAGAGAGAGAGAGAGAGAGAGAGAGAGAGAGAGAGACTGGTATAAAGCAAGGTATTTAAAGAGCAGTACAGAGATCAGTAAACAGGAGCTTACCAAGCCTCCTCCTTCCCTGTGGCTCAGCCAGGTGGCATGGACAGACACTGTCCACAGGAGGGACACTACTTGTGAGTTAACTGGAGCAGTAGGAAAAGGGGCCAGAGAGAAGAACCCAGCACCACCCAGTCCTGATTGTCTGCCACACCCCTGACTCCATCCATCCCTCTCAAGCAGGCCTGGATGCTTCTCACCCCTCTACCCTTCTGGGCTAGGACTAGGACGCTAGCCTCTGGGTTCAAGACCTTCTGCAGAGTTGGGAAGCATCTGAGCTCAAATTGTCACACACAGTGACAGCTCCCCTGCCTGGGTCTTCCCAGGGGCCAGAATGTCTCCTAGTGGGTGGACCATCATCCCTGGGAGTTGTGAGGCAGAACCTTGATCAGACTCCAGTGCAAAGGTGGCAGGAGCCCAGGGAAGGGTCTGGTGACTTCCTAGGTTAATGAAGCTGGTCAGGGGTAACTGAGACCCTCCAGGGTGTGCTTTCATCCTCAGACTTGGGCTCCTTACTCGATATGGGTATTAACCAGGGATTGGTGTAGTTCCGGGAAAAGGATAGAATACATGGGTATCCCCAGTAATTAGATGGGAATAATAAAGCTGATCTTGGGTATCATTGGTAGGAAAGTGTTAATCACTCAAGATTCTTAGGATATTTTACAGCTATTACAAGACCTTGGGAAACAAAGTTTCCTTGTGATGTTGCAGCTGTCCTCCCACTAGGCCTGAATAAGTGCAAGGCTGCTACTTCTCTTTCTCCATCTGAGCAGATTTTCACTTTTTCACTCTGTGAAAAGATTTTCCTCTGTGTTTTCTGGCATTTGCGTCTGGAGCCTTCTGTTCTCTCTGTGTGTGTGATCTCAGACACTCCAAGGCTCTCACCCCTGATTTCTCCCTAGACACTTCCTGCAGTTTCTGTCTAACTCAGGCTGTCCTGATCCCCAGAGTCATGAAGTGGCAGGAAGTCTGGGCCCTGTTGATAGGGCCCTGAGACCTACAGAGAAGAACTTCATGCCCTTCTAACATTCCCCTATGTGTGCCTTTCTGAGGGCTCAGGGGTGCCCATGCAGGGGCCTGGCTTCCTCCACACCTGTGGCCTTTCCAAGATCTATTACACCAGGTGATCACACCCTCCCCAAGGTAATCCCTTATCTAACCTTATGTAAGTCCCCCAAACCCTACAACAGGGCTCGCCAGCTGGTCCTCCCCAGAGCTAGCCTTTTTTTTTTTTTTTTTTTTTGAGATGGAGTCTCTGTCTGTCGCCAGGCTGCAGTGCAGTGGTGTGATCTCAGCTCACTGCAACCTCAGCCTCCAGAGTAGCTGGAACTACAGGTGCATGCCACCATACCTGGCTAATTTTTCTATTTTTGGTAGAGACGGGGTTTCACCATGTTGGCCAGGATGGTCTCAATCTCTTGACCTTGTGATCCACCCACTTCGGCCTCCCAAAGTGCTGGGATTACAGGCATGAGCCACCGCGCCCAGCCCAGAGCCAGCCTTTTCAGGCATCTGACATCACTACTGTTTTTTTCCTGGCAGGGTTGGAGACCTCCAGAGAAGGAAGGTGAGAAAAATTTGAGTTCCTTTCTCCCTCAGGACAGAGGAAGATCCTGGACATGGGAGCCCGAAGGGAAGGTCCAGACATGGAGACTCCATGATTATTAGCTCCCAAACCTCTCTCTTCTCTCCTAACCCACCTTCACACATCAGAGAAGCTCTTTGCTGATTTGGCCCTGCCATACACAGAAAAACCAAAGAACTTCTCTTCACTCTGATATCTGGCTTCCAAAACTATTCCCTATAGTTGTGAGTAAGCAAAGCAGGGAGAAGGAAGACATATGTATTTTTATAATGCTTTATTTACCAAAATTAAAGAAGTACTTTATGCAAGATTGTGCTACTTGTGTGTTTACCTTTCTGTAGATTTGGTAAGCCTGCCAATCAACACATATTTATCACCTACTGCGCGCAAAGCAAGTCCACAGTGCTTTTGAAAGTTGTACGTCTTTGCCTTCAGGGACTCACTTTCCATAGTGGGACCTCAGTATGCAGTGAGGAAACTTATCCTCTCACCTGCTCCCTGCCCACCTCCAATCTGTTCTCCACAGGGAAGACAGAGTAAATTCTAAAAATCCACTTTTCTGCTCCCTTCAGTGGCTTCCCATCACCCAAATGGGAATAGCAGAAATTCTTAAGATGAGTCCAAGGTGTTACATGCAGTATCATATATATGTATACATATATGTATACATATATATGTACATAGTATATGTGTGTGTATACATATATATGTACATAGTATATGTGTGTGTATACATATATATGTACATAGTATATGTGTGTGTATACATATATATGTACATAGTATATGTGTGTGTATACATATATATGTACATAGTATATGTGTGTGTATACATATATATGTACATAGTATATGTGTGTGTATACATATATATGTACATAGTATATGTGTGTGTATACATATATATGTACATAGTATATGTGTGTGTATACATATATATGTACATAGTATACGAGGAGATGGAGTTGGAGGTTCAGTGAAGATGTGCAAACCTGGATTTCCTCGGACCCTGGAGCAGAGAGGATGAGGAACGTGTTTGAGGCCAAAGGGGTCAACGGGTGGGTGGGGGTGTGGGTGGGGGTGGGGGGCTGCAGTCAATCACTGACTGGCTTATGGATGATTGACATAAAGGCTGGGTTGCCAGGGAGCCCAGTGACTCACAGCGTGAACCCGATTACCTGGTCTACACAGGCGGTAACCGTGTGACTAGCGACTGAGTGCCTTACAGGGGACGACCTCCTAAGAGGCTGACTGGCAGGAGCCCAGCTAACTGCTGGCCAGGGCAGGCCGTGGGGGCGCGTTACCTGATTGTCTGAGGAACTGGCTGGCGCGGGGACTGACGCTGACTCGCGGGGCGCTGCCCTGGTCACGGCCTCAGCTCCTCACCGGCCGCCTCACTGGGGCGACGGCCGCTGGCTGCCCTCGGGCTGAGCAGGTGACTGGCGTGGTGGAGGCGGAGGAATGCGCGGCGGGCTCCTGGTGATCTCCTGAGGGTCCGCGGTCTTGCCTCGTGACTGATCCAGAATGGGCCTTGGACCCCACAAGGGGCTCGGGGGCCTCGCGGGCCTGAGGGTGACACTGGCGGCCTCACGGGCCTGGGCTGCCCCACGCTCCAAGGGGTCAGCTGACTGAGGGACGCCCTGCTCTCCTGGAAGCCCACTTTGCGCAGTCCCGATACAGGTCCCGCAGCCGAGGACTGCCGGGGACGCCCACAGGCCAGGCACTGCTGTGAGGCCAGGAATCCTCCATCAGCGCGCGGAGAAAGCGGTGTGAAGGCTCCGCTGTCGCCCTGGGCCCAGCCCGCGCGCCTCGCACGTTGTGCGTCTACCCCACAGCCAATCAGTGGCTGCACAGGCCTCTTTAGTAGCCAATCAGCAGCTTCAGGTGCCTATTACGCAGCAGATCTGCGAGGCAGATGGAGCTTTCCCCCACGGACACTTGCCTCTGGGAGCTGACGCACAGCCAATCAGGAGCTGAAAGTGCAAGTCCCTCCCCGCACCTTCAGGCCCAGAGGAATCCTACGGGCTTGAGCCAATCAGCAGCCGCGGGCGGTGCCAGGAACGTTTGGGCGCCAAATTTCTTCTCAGCGAGTCCTTTCCTGACCGCGTTCTTGAAACCACGCTCCTCTCCAGCCAGCCCTGAGGACTCCGTTCCTCTTGATTAAATCTGCTTTATTTTCTCACACTTTACCCACTGCACACTTTCGAAACACTTCTTGCTACTCAACAATATTTTTGTGGCCGCCCCGCTAGGATACAGGCGCACTGCGGGCAGAATTTTGGCCGTTTTTTTCTCGCCGCTGTTTCCCCCACGGCCTTTGGCTGCGCCCTGCTCGCTGCTCTGGGATGAACTTGCCTTTCAGGCAGCCCTGCCCATCTCTCACCTCCCAGCTCACCTGTCCCACCTGCCCGCGGATCCTCACCCTCTCCGCTGGGCTCCCACAGCCCCGTCCTCCCCGCTGGCTCAGCCCGGACCCCGCCAGGCTGTGCCCGCCTCTGTCTCCCCTGCCCGTGGCCGGTGCCCCTCCAGGCTCCGCCTCGCCCAGCCCAGACGCCCAGGCGGCTCCGCCCCATAGATGGGAGGCAACTGCCCAGGGTGCAGGGGCAGCGAGGGGCTGCGGCTGAGAGCCCTGCCCGGTCCTGGGGAGGGAGGGAGAGTGTGGGTGGAGGGGGCAGCCCTGCAGATGTCAGAGACAGGGCGGCAGCAGCACAGGTTTCCTCTGGTGAGGAGCCCTTCCCTTCCCTTTTCTCCTTCCATCCTCTGAGCATCCCATGTTACAGGCTGTCCCAGACCCCTGTGGGGCTCTGCATCCACCGCGGTCCACACCGGGCTGTGCTCACAGGAACACATCGAATCCTCTCGACCACTCCATGGACTCTCTTGCCAGGGCCGCCTTGAGAAAGGAACACAGACCGAGTGGCTTCAACAACGCCTTTGTTTTCCCACCCTTCTGGAGGCTGGAAGTCTGAGACCAAGCTGTGGTCAGCGTTGCTTCCTTCTGAGGCCTCTCGGTGGCTTGCGGGTGGCATCTTCTCCCTGTGTCCCACGTGGCCTTTCTTCTGAGCATGTCTCTGTCCTAATCACTAATCGCTCCTTTTTTTTTTTTTTTTTTTTTTTTTTTTTTTTTTTTTTTGAGACAGTGCCTTGCTCTGTCGCCCAGGCTGGAGCACAGTGGCGCGATCTCAGCTCTGTAGCCTCTGTCTGTTCAAGCGATTCTCCTGCCTCAGCCTCCCGCGTAGCTGGGATCACAGGCATGCGCCACCATGTCCGGCTAATTTTGGTATTTTTAGTAGAGACGGGGTTTCCCCATGTTGGCCAGGCTGGTCTCGAACTCCTGACTTCAGGTGATCCGCCCGCCTCGGCCTCCCAAAGTGCTGGGATTACAGGTGTGAGACACCGCACCCTGCCTGAGATGATCTCTTGGGGTCACTTTTATCTATATGTCTTCTGTTTCCCCCAAAAAAATGTTTCAAGAAAACTTACATGGGTCTAAGGAGGCTCCACCTCCCAGGGTCCCCCACCACTCCCTCTCAGCCTGCAGCCACACAGTTAAAAATAGTCTTCTGTTTAATTCAGGTGCACGTTTCTTCTCCAAAATAATCCTGCCCAGCACTGAGGGTGTACGCCCCAGGCCTGGGGTCCTCGCTCCATGGCTCCTGTTCACCTGGACTCCTGGGAGCAGCACTTGCAGGAGCAAAGCCCTGGGTCCAGCAGACGCCGCCTGCTGTGGACTAACCAGGGGAAGTGTGGCTGAATGAGATGCCAGCGGTGAAGAAACCCCTCCTGATGTCCAGGTAACCACAACGAAGGGAGAAGTGTCTGCCCTTTTCAAATTGACGCCTTCTGTCCTGACCCTCCTTTCCAAGCCTCACTGAACAACAGCCTCAGTTTCCCCGGCCTCCTGCAGGCTGGGCTCCCCTCAGTGTCCTTGGCACGTATCAACACACAAAATCTTCCACAGCCCCGCATCCCTCTGCTCAGTCCTCCTGAGACTGAACCCTCAACCTAGGGGAGAGCGACCCCACCTGCCTGAGCCCTGCACTGAAGCTCCTGTCATGGGAAGCTCAGATGTCAGGAGCCTCATTGTCTCCCCACTGCACAGTGACTCCTTGGGGACAGCGTCCAGCTCTGCCTTGTTGATCTCGTCGTGCAGAAAGGGGGTGCCCACCTTGCAGCTGCTGAGGGAGGGAGGAGAGGCTGCCTGCTCACACCGCTTGCACCCCTGTCTCTCATGGCCCTGAGTCTCACCTTTGGCAGGTCTGACCTCCACAAACAGTGATAGCCACAGAGGAGACTCGGGGGTCTGGCCAGATGGACCCAGTTTCACCCTGCAGAGGCAAGGGTGAGACAGAGAGGCAGGATGTGGAGATCAGTCTCGGCATGGGGAGGGAATCTGGGTGAGTCTCTCACCCTGTCTGAGTTCAGGGACCCAGGAGTGGATGTGGGATTGTAGATGATTGATCTCCAAGGGCGGACCCTGACAGTGTCTGGGTTGTGAAGTTCCTCCTCTGAGGAGGTCACTGTTCCGACCTCGCCCCTGTCTTCCTGTGGGGCCTCCTCTAAGTCTTGAGCCCTCAGTTCCTGAGAGAAGAACCCTGAGGAACAGACGTTCCCTGGCAGCCCTGGCACCTACAACCCCAGACATGCTGCTGCTGCTGCCCCTGCTCTGGGGGAGGGAGGGGGTGGAGGGACAGGGACAGCAAGAGAATGGTTACACACTGCAAGTGCAGAGGGAGGTGAGGGTGCAGGAGGGCCTGTGTGTCCACGTGCCCTCCTCCTTCTCCCACCCCCAGGTTGCCTTGACTAACTCTCCCCAAGTTCATGGCTACTGGTTCCAGGAAGGGGCTGACACAGCCCAGGATGCTCCAATGGCTACGAACAACCCAAAACGAAAAGTGAAGAAGGAGACCCAGGGCCGATTCCGTCTCTCTGGAAACCTGCAGATGAACGACTGCTCCCTGAGCATCGGAGACGCCAGGAGGAAGGACCAGGGGTCATTTTCTTTCGCATGGAGAGAGGAAGCATGAGATGGAATTACGCGTCTAACCAGCTCCACGTGTTGGTGACGGGTAAGGCGCAGGCTCCAGAAGCAGCACAAGAAAAGGTCCTGGGGCTGCAGCTCAGGGGTGGGTTGGGACCCCTGTCCTGGGAGGGGGTTGGGGGTGAAGCGTGTCGGGCTCATGGGAGGCACTGGACCAGAGCCTGAGCTTCCCCAGGGCTGCACCTCAGACCTCCCCTCCCGATCCTGCACCCAACCCTCTCCTCACCAGCCCTGACCCACAGGCCCAATATCTCCTCCCTGGGGACCATGGAGTCCGGCCGCCCGGGAAACCTGACCTGCTCTGTGTCCTGGGCCTGTGAGCAGGGGATACCCCTACCATCTCCTGGATGGGGACCTCCGTGTCCTTCCCGGGCCGCACCACAGCCCGCTCCTCAGTGCTCACCCTCATCCCAAAGCCCCAGGACCATGGCACCAACCTCACCTGTCAGGTGACCCTGCCTGAGGCTGGTGTGACCTTGACCAGGACTGTCCAATTCAATGCGTCCTGTGAGTGCTGGGCCGGGATGCCTGGGTCCCTGGTGGGGTGGGGTGTTGCTGAGAGCAGCAGGATTGGGGTCAAGGGTGCTGGCTCCCAGAATCTGGGCTTGGAGTGGCTGGCTCTACTTTCCCCATTTACGCGGCTCCTGGGGAGACAGGGCCAGTGTCCCCAGCCCTCACAGTGATGTGGGTCTGCGTGTCTTTCTGTCCCAGACCCTCCTCAGAACTTGACTGTGGCTATCTTCCAAGCAGACGGCACAGGTAGGACAGAGCCCCCTCCCTGGGGCTGGGGGAGCAAGGTCTGCAGCTCAGGGCAGGGCCAGGTCCTCCGCATCCTGGACTCACCCTGGTGACCTGAGACCCCCTTGTGGGTGAATCCAGTGCCCCTGCCCATCCTCAGCCCCTGTGGCCACCTGAGCCCCTGTTCCCATCCCGCCCTCACTCCCCTTAGAATCCTCCACACGCACCCTCCTTGGCCCCACAGCAAGGGCAGGGGGACATTGATACAGCAGGGCCAGCCTCGAGGGTCCTGATCATCAACCTCCTGAACACACCTCTTTCTCTACAGCATCCACAGCCTTGGGGAACAGCTCATCCCTCTCAGTCCTGGAGGGCCAGTCTCTGCGCCTGGTCTGTGCTGTCGACAGCAATCCCCCTGCCAGGCTGAGCTGGACCCAAGGGAGCCTGACCCTGAGCCCCTCACAGTCCTCGAACCATGGGCTGCTGAAGCTGCCTCGAGTGCACGCGAGGGATGAAGGGGAATTCACCTGCCGAGCTCAGAACCCTCGGGGCTCCCAGCACATTTCCCTGAGCCTCTCCCTGCAGAATGAGGGCACAGGTGGGTAGGGGAGGGGCTGGAGGAGGAGAACACACCTGCGCCACCCTCATGGGCCACCCACTGCCCGTGAGCTTCAAGGGGGAGCTCAGCTCTGGTGTGTGCTCAGCTGTGAGGCCTAGAACTTCCCCACAACCCAGAGCATCACTGTCCTCTCCCCGCCAGGAAATGGGCGCGGGGTGGGGAGAGGGGAGGAGTGGGTCTTGGAGGGGAGGAGCTGGGGCCCGGCCAGGTGTATCTGGGGAGACAAGTGCCTTGCTTTGCAGTGCTTAGACTAGGAAGAGGCACGTGAAGCACTTGCCTTGGTACCAAATTTAAGAACCAAAACTAAAGCAAGAGAAATAATACTGTGACACGATAATCATTTTTAAAAAATAAAAATTAATGCAAAATAATTCCATGGCGAATACAAATCAAAATTTTAAATTAAAAAAAAAACTGCACCCAGCACTGTCATGCCTCACTGGCCTCACCAGAAGTCCGTAATCCTCCTCCTTCTGATGCCCGCTCTTTGTGTCTGGGAAAGCTGGGAGGAGAATCAAAGTCGAGGGCCTTACAGGCAGCAGAAGGTGAGGAGACCCAGTTATTGAAGGTAAATCCCAGAGATAACTCCAATCCATCTGCAGGCACCACATGGCCTGTATCAGGAGTGATGCTGGGGGTGGTCGGGGGAGCTGGAGCCACAGCCCTGGTCTTCCTGTCCTTCTGCGTCATCTTCATCGTGTGAGCATTGACCCTGGGGAGGGAGGGAGACCCCTGAGGGAGGGCAGGCCAGGAACAGAATCCCTGAAGCCAGAGCTGGAGGGACCTGCATGGTCAAGAGCTTAAAGCAAGGGCAAGAAGGAGGTCACAGGTGCACGGTGGGAATTTCACAAGCATCTTTGTTCGTGAGGCTCCAAGTCTATGGCAAACCTCAGGCCCCACTAGCCAGAAGGCAGGAACCTGTGTTCTCAACACCGGGGTCCCTGGGACTGGTTCACCCCTCTCTCACCTCAGTCATCCCTCCAGCCCTTTAATAGGAAACATGGTGGGGCGGGGGGTCGGTCCACCCACTACACCTTGATCGGTACAGACTGAAAGACTCTGGTCTCTTCACTCAGAGTGAGGTCCTGCAGGAAGAAATCAGCAAGGCCAGCAGCGGGCATCAGGGATATGGGCATGGAGGATGCAAACGCTGTCAGGGGCTCAGCCTATCAGGTGAGCGATGTGGGCATCTCCATACCCAGCATTCAGCCTGGACACCTCCCACAGGATGGCCCCCAGGATTGCTCAGCTAGTCCTGGCCAAAGTTGCCTCCTCACCTCCTCCTCCTACCTACAAGCTGGCTTCTCCTGCAGGATTCCCCCATCTTGCTGACAGCATGGCAGCCCCTCCTCCCAGACCAAGCATGGAGGAGGATTACATCCTCTCTGTCCTCCCTGTCTTCCTCTACAGCTGAAAATTCACCGTTATCTTGTCAATTTGCCCCACAAAGAACAGCTAGCATCACCCCCGCCCAACCTGACCCTCTCATTGCTGAGGCCTCAGGATCTTTTCCTTGGGCCTTGTCACCTCCCTACTTCTCACCTCCCCTTCCCTATCTGGAGGGACCATCTGGAAGGCATCACTGCCCAGTTCTTCTGCATTTGGACAGCTGTCCTCCACCCCCATTGTCTAGATCAGAGGCCAGCAAACATTTTCTGAAATACCAGATGGTAAGTATTTTTAGCTTTGTGGACTATACAGTTGCTGTTGCAGCTACTCAACTCTGCTGCTGTAGAATGAAATGAGCCGTAGACCATGTGTTAATGGTGAGTTGGACTGTGTTCCAATAAAACTTTATTAACAAAAACAAGCAATGGGCCAGATTTAATCCAAGGGCTGTAGTTTGCCAACCCCTGACAAAGCCCAAACTCCTCAGCCTGGAGCCCTGCACGTTCTGGCCTGTTAGGCACCTACCTCTCCAGGAGGGCCAGAGTTAGGGTAAGAAGAGTGAGGCACTTGCTTTGAATGCAACATTTAAGGGGATGCCAAAAATCTCAGTAATTGAGAAAAACTAAGTTTCATGCATTGTTTTTTAAAACATCAAAATTAAATTTAAAAAAACCAATGATAAGCCAATATCAAGATTTTAAATAATGACAGGTTCAATAAACTGAAGTGGCCGGGCGTGGTGGCTCATGCCTGTAATCCCAGCACTTTGGGAGGCCGAAGTGGGCGGATCACCTGAGGTTAGGAGTTCCAGACCAACCTGGAAAAAATGGTGAAACCCCACCTCTACTAAAAAATACAAAAATTAGCCGGACGTAGTGGCGGGTGTCTGTAACCCCAGCTACTCGGGAGGTTGAGGCAGGAGAATTGCTTGAACCTGGGAGGCGGAGGTTGCAGTGAGCCGAGATCACACCACTGCACTCCAGCCTGAGCAACAAGAATGAAACTCCATCTCAAAAAATAAAAATAAAATAAAAAAATAAACTGAAGTGAATTAAGAATTATTTAAGATCATCACTTAGTCAAGAGAAATTATCAAGTAGGGCAGTGTTCTCAGTTGAAAATGAGAGAATCAAAGTCGAATTTGAAAATATTATTTCTGCCTTGCTTCCAGTAGAGCCAGGAAAGCAGATTATAATAAATTCTGCTCTAGGTATACGTAAAATCTTTAAACTTAAAATGATGTTTTATTATACACCATTTTTCAATTTGTCAGTAGTAGCTCAATTATTTAATGTTCCGGATAAAAGTGACCATTAAACATACATGAAAACATATAGGCCAGGCACGGTGGCTCATGCCTGTAATCCCAGCACTTTGGGAGGCCGAGACGGGTGGATCACGAGGTCAGAAGATCAAGACCATCCTTGCTAACACTGTGAAACCCCGTCTCTACTAAAAATACAAAAAATTAGCCAGGCGTGGTGGCGGGCGTCTGTAGTCCCAGCTACTCGGGAAGCTGAGGCAGGAGAATGGCGTGAACCCGGGAGGCAGAGCTTGCAGTGAGCCAAGATAGTGCCACTGCACTCCAGCCTGGGCGAAACAGCGAGACTCTGTCTCAAAAAAAAAAAAGAAAAAAAAGAAAAAAAAGAAAAAATATATATATATATGTATATATATATATAAATAAAGAGGGACAGACATTTTTCTCGTGCCTCAGGCTGCAATTGGCTCAGCAAAGCACATTAAAAATCCTGGATTTCTTTAAATGTTTGTTCTCCATGGAGTTTTTTGGCACTAATTTTGATTTTAAAATATTACATGAGGCTGGGCGCAGTGGCTCACACCTGTAATCTCAGCACTTTGGGAGGCCAAAGTGGGCAGATCACTGGAGGCCAGGAGTTGGAGACGAGCCTGGTTAACATGGCAAAACCCCATCTCTACTAAAAATGTAAAAATTAGCCAGGCGTGGTGGCACACACCCGTAATCCCAGCTACTCAAGAGGCTGAGGCACGAGAATCGCTTGAACCCGGGAGGCGGAGGCTGCAGTGAGCCGAGATCACGCCACGGCACTCCAGCCTGGGTGACAGAGCAAGATTCTATCTCAAAAAAATAAAAATAAAAATAAAAGGGCTATAGTCTGTAAGTGGCCATCTAGGCAGGCAGGGAAGTGTAACCTCTGGTAAAAGTTGAAAGTCAGGTATTTTGAGGGAGGAGGGCTTGGAGCAGGAGTTCTATGTTGGATGGGTTGGCTAAATATACATATTTAACACATTATAGGCAGAGTTTTGGGTATTTATGAAAGGGTGTCATGCATACGTGTGATGGATAAATACCTAAGTTATATGCAACTCATGTTTATTTTGGGGTGGAGACTTAATATTTAAATGTATTATAATTAAGCCATCTCTGTCAAGAGATGAAGCAGGGACTCAGAGGTATTTGAGTGTGTAGTCTCCTACACACTTGGAGGAGCTAATGAGATTAGTAAACACCAAATGAGGTGCTCAGTAAGTGTTAAATATTGGAGGAAAGCATGAAAGAGACCGACAAAAATGCAGGTGGGATGAATGGAGGACGGATCTCCTGGGCCTCCTTCCTAGACTCTCCCCGCCTCAACCTGGCCCCACTGCTCTGTTCTGACTCCCTTCTCGCTCTCTCTGTTCAGGGACCCCTGACTGAATCCTGGACAGACGGCAGCCCCCCGAAGCATCCTCCCCCCAGCCATGGCTGCCTCCTCCTTAGGAGAAGGAGAGCTCCAGCATGCAACCCTCAGCTTCCATAAGGTCAGGCCTCAGAACGCGCAGGGACAGGAGGCCATGGACAGTGAATACTTGGAGATCAAGATCCACAAGCGAGAAACTGCAGAGACTCGGGCCTGATTGGGGGATCACGGTCCCTCCAGGCAAAGGAGAAGTCAGAAGCTGATTCTTCTAAAATTAACAGCCCTCTAGAGCCCTATGCTGTGCGGTAGGTCACCAGGGCTCCCTCCTCCTGCGGAATCGAAACTTGGACCAACATCTCCCCTTTCCCAGGCCACCTCGGCCCCGTCCCTGCCCCCAGCTTCTGCTACCCACCACTCTCCTCTCTATGTTTCTGAGGTTGACTATTTGAGATTCCACATGTAGGTGAGGTCATACAACATTTGCCTCTCTGTGCCCGGCTCATTTCAAACAACATAACGTCCCCTAGGTTCATCCGTGTTGTCTCAAATCACAGAATCATGCACTGAGTATTTTCAAAGAGCTAAGAGAGGATTTTAAATGTTTTCACACAAAAGATCGATATTTGTGCGGATGGGTGTGCTGATCATGCTGACTTGATGGTTCCATGGTGTATCCGGGTGTGGAAACCTCACTAGGGCCGTCTCAAGGCTACTCGGCTACTCGAGGCAGGGATGGAATTTAAAGCCCGCCTGATTCTGAGGTCTCTTCTCTCATCCGGTGCTGAGTCAAGCAACCAGCAGGCCGGGCACCTCTTAGCCATAAGTTTGCAGGAAACAATATTCCTCGAGGGCTTTGTTTTTTCCTGAAGAGGGGGCAGCAGTAGCCCAGGGTCTCCCGGACGTGACAGGTGCATTGAGTGGGTGAAGGCTGGGGACCTCTGCGCCAAAGGGATGTCATGTCTTTATTTGTTTTCCTCAAAATTTTTAACATGTGTTTTTTAAAATTGCAGGTTGTTTATTTGCTTGTTTTTCCTTGAAATTTGAAACTAGCATTAGCTTTTCAGTTGAGGCAAATTTACCTACCATGAAAGACGCAGATCTCACATGTGCGGTTCCATGAGCTCCGCCAAATGGGCACCCCTGAGTCACCGGCTCCCCAAAGACAGAGAAACTTTCCATCACTCCAGAAAGATCCTGGGGCCCTGCCCAGTCAGTCCTCAGCCCTGAGAGCCACCGCTTCCTGGTTTCTGCGACCATAAGTTACTTTCCATGTCCTTGAACTTCATGTGATTGGCATCACCCAGTATGTATTCCTGTGTCTTTTTTTACTCAGCGTTGCGTGTTCTGAGATTCATCCACGTCGTGTGTGTCAGCATCTGTTCCTCTTTATTGCTGAGTAGGACACCACTGAATGGGTACATCACAGTTTGTTTACCCATTTTTTTTTCTGTTCATGGATATTTAGTCTGTTTTGGTTTTGGTGATTATGAATATAGCTGCTGTGAACATATTTGCGCAAGACTGTATCGAGGTATTTTCATTTCTCTCCAGTGTTTGGGGCAGGGGATGGGAACAGTGGGGTTGGATTCCCATGCTTGGCGTGCGAGGGCATTTGGGATGTCCTGTGGAGATGGCATTCAGCAGCTCAGGAAGGAGGGAGGGGCTGGAGATGGACACGGGAAACATCAGGGGGTTCCATCATCCTGATCATGGGCGCCGGTTGTTTTGGGTTGAATCTTGTCCCCCAAAGAGATATGTTCAAGTCCTAACCCCCAGTATCTATGTCTGTGGCTTTATTTGGAAATAGTCTTTGCAGATGTAGCCAAGTTAATAGGAGGTCATACTGGATGAGGTGGGCCCTAAGTGCCATGACTGGTGTCCCAATGCAATGAGGGAAATTGAACACAAGACACACATAGGGAGGAAGGCCACATGACAGCGGAAGCAGAGCTTGGGGTTTTGCTGCCACAGTCCCCAGAAGCTGGAAGACGCCAGGAAGAATCCTCCCAGTGCCTTCCGAGGGAGATGGCCCCGCTGACACTGTGATTTTGGACATTTGGCCTTCATAATGTCGAAGAATAAATTTCTGTGGCTTTAAGTCACCAAGGTTGTGGGAATTTGATAGGGAAGCCCTAAGAAGCCAACACACCTGACACCAACACACCTGCTGGCACCTGCTGTGCTGCAACCTGGACCCATCCTATCTCCGCAGGCCTCAAAGTGACTCTCAAGAGGGCCGGCTCTACCCAGGCCACAGAGAAGCCCGGGGGAGCTGCTCAGCACCATGCAGGCCAGCAAGCGGAAGGTCTTCCGCCACCAGCATTGAGCTGCCCGAGGTATTAATATCAGGCCACCGAGACGCTGCTCTTCTCTCATGCAGGTGCTATGTTTACAGTGCTAATTTTGCTGGAACAACAACAAAAAAATCAGTTCCAAGGCCCTCACACACTCAAGATTTTTGAAACAAAATTAAAACAGGAGAGCAACAAAGGACCACACAGGAACGGCTGTTCACTGGATCAAGATGTTCTGCAATATGCAGTGTATTCATAGTAACCCATGGGGAGGACCCTGAGGCAGCTCTCCCTCTTCCCTGAAACGGTTTCTTAAAAAGTAGCTTGTTTGGCCGGGCGCGGTGGCTCGTGTTTGTAATCCCAGCACTTTGGGAGGCTGAGGCGGGCGGATCACGAGTTCAGGAGTTTGAGACCAGCCTGGCCAACATGGTGAAACCCTGTCTCTACTAAAAATATAAAAATTAGCTGGGCATGGTGGCGCATGCCTGTAATCCCAGCTACTCAGGAGGCTGAGGCAGGAGAATCGCTTGAATCCAGGAGGCGGAGGTTGCAGTGAGCCGAGATCCTGCCACTGCACTCCAGCCTGGGCAACAGAGCGAGACTCTGTCTCAAAAAAAAAAAAAAAGAAAAAAGAAAAAGGCCGGGCGTGGTGGCTTATGCCTGTAATCCCAGCACTTTGGGAGGTCAAGGCGGGCAGATCACAAGGTCAAGAGATCGAGACTATCCTGGCCAACATGCTGAAACCCCATCTCTACTAAAAATACAAAAATTAGCTGGGCATGGTGGCGCATGCCTGTAATCCCAGCTACTCAGGAGGCTGAGGCAGAAGAATCGCTTGAACCCGGGAGGCGGAGGTTGCAGTGAGCCGAGATCATGCCATTGCACTCCAGCCTGGGCGAAAGAGCAAGCTCTGTCTCAAAAAAAAAAAAAAATGCAAAGTATTCTTAAAAATCCTAATTCTGCAGGAAAGTTAATGACGTTTGGCTTCAATACGTGGCCATGCACCTTTCCTTAGCTGTACAGGTGAGAACTGGAAAATCTGCAATCTGTGACTGTACATATATCACACTCTGCCTGCTGTAAGCAATTGGTTTGTGTAGGTTCCATTTGCCCTGTTGGTCCCAGGTGAGCTGTTCATTCCCTTCAGACCCCAAGTAAATAAGTGAAAGTCTGTTAGCAAGTTCCAGCCTGATGAGAGGGGCCTCACACTGAGAACCCCAGGCTTCCTTTCCAGGGCATTATCGGCAGTTGCCTATATCAGTAGCTGAAGAAGAGATTCATCCAAAGGAATAAGGGGACCCCGAAAAACAGACTTCACCCTTTCCCAATTGCAGCCTCTGCTCCCACCTGGGCTTCTCACTTTTCCATCTCTGGATCTCTGTCTTGTCTGTTGCCTATCGAGTGGATTCAATGGCCAAACAACTGCAGTGAAAGTGAAAACAGACAACCCTCAAGGTACAGGAAGATCAGCAGGATGACAATTATTGCAGGTAAGGATTCACTGCATTCAGTCCACTGTCCTCGGACACAGGAGATAAACTGAAATCCACAGAGAATCAGACCGTGGGCTGAAGACGGAACTGTCTACATAGGAAAGAGCACAGAAAACTCAGATTCTTACCTCCTGCACAACTGCTCACCCACAGGCTCTGGTGACCCGTTTTGCAAACACATCTTTTGCAAGTACAGAAGTGGTGGGCACGCTCTGGCTTTGTAGCTGGTGGGCCAGTTCAGGTTCTTGACTTCACTAGGCAAAAGAATTCGAGAGTGAGTCCAGTGTAAAAGTAAGCAAGACAGTTAATTGCAAAGTGAACGTGCACTCTGACAGCTGGTCAGAGCGGCTGCTCAAAGGTGAGACAGCACTGACTGACGCTGGGGAAACTTCCTTTAGGGGAATCTTCTGTGATTACTCATGCGTGGGTGGGACGGTGTTGCTCTTAAGCGTGTTCTGGGTGGTCTGTTAGGCCCGCATGCGCAATGGCTGTACATGCTAGTGCATATACATCGCTGTCTCAGCAGCACCTTAAGTCTCCACGTGAGGGTGTGTTTTCACTATTATAATGAGCATAGGTCAGCCCAAGGACACTAACTAAGCATGGGTTTCTGCACTTGCACGAATTTGGGGACTTTCCCTTCTGCCCTTCTACCCCCTTGCTGCAAGACGTTCTGACCATGAGCCCAGGATGTTCTCTCCATCTATTTAGCAAGTTTGTTTCCCTTTAAGAGAGGCTGTGACCCGCCTGTCTAACCTATCTCCTTTTGGTACAGCAGCACTTGGAGCAGGTGTAGATCACTTCTCGGGGCTGCAGCTGCACACTCTCCGTGTATTCTTTTGTAGCCTTTCCTTTGGGTATCGCCCTGGGGTCGGTGAGCGTGGTTCCCAGCTAGGACAACAGGCAAACGCCGCCAAGAGGTTAAGATGACCCCATTGACCACAGAGCACCAGAAGTCTTTGGAAGGCAGCAGCACAACAAACGTCACCACAAAGTCCTCACAGAAGACCAGAAGCCACGTCATGACAGCGCGGATCATGCCACAGCCGTTGCAATGACCCAGACCCCATTTGCCACATCAGCCTCAGAGAAAGAGGAGGATGACGAAGAGTCGTTATTGTCATTTTCAGTCAGGAGAGGAGGATGCTCGGCAGGCACCCAGAGACACCTGACCCTGGCCGTGCAAGAATTCTGAGGAGTGTGTATCAGGATCTAGCGCATAATGCTTGGGTACTTTAGCACCAAATGTGTAAGATACACTCAGAAATGATTTCTAAACATCACTTGAACACTTTGTGCCTTTTCTTCAGGATCTAAGGTGCATGCTGTCCTGTGTGATAGGATCTGAGGCCCAGGCGGGGTCGGCCGGCGCTGCAGCTCCTCCCTGCCTCCTGCAGTTGCCAAGGCTGGGATGCATCATGCAGCTGCACTCACGTCTGGGCCAGAGTGGGCCCGGGGCTCAACTCTGTCCCCTCCATGCCACTGGCCAGTTAGAGGGAGATGGCCACCAAGCAGACGCTGGAGCCCAGAGCGGCATGGCCCCCGGAAGTGTCACCCAATTTTTAAATTACTGGTCCTGTTTTAAGACCAGCTGCTTTCCCCCTCAACAGGGTACTCTTCCCTTGTACCATTAAATATTCCTCAGCAAGTCCAATTTCAATGGCTGCAGGGCATGCTGGTAAAATCCCAAACCCAAGTTCGTATAACCAGTGTCCTTGTTGGAGTTTTACATTATTCCTAAATTCACTATTAGGAGTATAAACTAAAGTTCTCTGAAAAGGATTTTGGAGGAAAGAGACTTTATTCCAGTGAACAGTTTGCAAACCAGAGAGACTCCAGTGTAAAATGAAGGGTGCGCTCCATAAAGCCAAGGGAAGTGTCAGGTTTAGCGTCCTGCCCAGGCTCCCAATCAGGTCTGTTTATGCAAATGAAGGATTGAAACTTTCTGAGTTCTCATTGGTGGACACAGCTGAGCTCTGATTGGTTGGCTCAGGTGATCTCTGAAAGTCCGGAAGATGAAAATGCTGTGGGTTTTCAGGGAAGTCAGAGTACGTGGGTGACCTGTACTTGGCTCTATTTTAAACTCAGGCTCAGTTAGCCACTCAGGATCCGTCTTGAAGGAGTGGCTCATTCAGGTTCACATTTGTTCACAGGAATAACACTGAGGGTTAGGATATTTGTAGTTTTTTATCCCTCACCCCCTTCCTCATTCTGAGTCTCCAATAATGTCCATTACACCACCCTGTTGCCTTTGCACACCCATAGCTGAGCTCCCACTTATAAGTCAGAACATGCAGTATTTGCTTTTTAATTCCTGAATTACTTCTACACAGGGGTGGACTTGTGTAGACAGGAGCCCACGGAGGGGGAGTCGAGGTGTGCACAGATTCGATGATGTGTTTCGTACTGAGAAATAACAGAGAGAGAGAAAGAGAGACAGAGAAGGGGAAAGGCAGCAAGAGCCACTCAGAAATGTTCAATTCACAGGGTATCTCAAGCAGTACTTGGAAATATATTTGCCTTTTGCTTTTATAAGAACACATACTATTTTATTTTGTTTTACTTTAAGTTCTGGAATACATGTGCTAAACGTGCAGGTTTGTTACATAGGTATACATGTGCCATGGTGCACCTATCAACCTGTCATTTAGGTTTTAAGCCCCGCATGCATTACATATTTGTCCTAATGCCCTCCCTCCCCTGTCCCCCATCCCCCTACAGGCCCCAGTGTGTGATGTTCCCCACCCTGTGTCCATGTGTTCTCATTGTTCAACTCCTACATATGAGTGAGAACAACACACACTATTTTATAATTGCAGAAGGGATACATTTGCTACAGAAAATTTGAAAAATCTTTAAAAAAAAATTATAAATAGGCCGGGCGCAGTGGCTCACGCCTGTAATCCCAGCTCTTTGGGAGGCCGAGGCAGGTGGATCAGGAGGTCAGGAGACTGAGACCATCCTGGCTAACACAGTGAAACCCTGTCTCTACTGAAAATATAAAAAATTAGCCAAGTGTGGTGGTGGGCACCTGTAGTCCCAGCTACTCGGGAGGCTGGGGCAGGAAAATGGCATGAACCCAGGAGGTGGAGGCTGCAGTGAGTGGAGATCAAGCCACTGCACTCCAGCGTGGGTGACAGAGCAAGACTCCATCTCAAAAAAAAAATTATTTTAAACGATTACTATGTATTTATGCCTGTATATATTTTACATTTTGAAATAGATAAATATTAAATATGTGAAATAAATATAAAATTATTTATTGGCCCAGCGCGGTGGCTCACACCTGTAATCCCAGCACTTTGGGAGGCCGAGGCAGGCGGATCACCTGAGGTCAGGACTTCAAGACCAGCCTGGCCAATATGGCAAAACCCCATCTCTACTAAAAATACAAAAATTAGCCGGGCATGGTGGCGCATGCCTGTAATCCCAGCTACTTGGGAGGCTGAGGCAGGAGAATTGCTTGAACCTGGGAGGCAGAGGTTGCAGTAAGTTAAGATCGTGCCATTGCGCTCCAGCCTGGGTGACAGAGTGAGACTGTCTCAAAAACAACAACAACAACAACAAAAACAAACACCCTAAAAGCCCAAGGATATCACCCCAGGCCACCTTGCACTGAATGGGAGCACTTAGGGAAGGGAAATTCTTTCCGCGCTGGCTCCAAGAACATCGTGTTCTCCGTTTGCTTTACATGAAAACATCTTGCATGGCTCTTATTTTGGATGCATTCCTGAAATTTCTTGTGTGCACATACTAGACGTCAAAAAAGGCTTCATAATCGTATTTTTTTAATATTTTTTTTTTTCAGAAGGAGTCTCGTTCTGTCATCAGGCTGGAGTGCAGTGGTGCGATCTCGGCTCACTGCAACCTCTGTCTCCCATGTTCAAGCGATTCTCCTACCTGTCTCCTGAGTAGCTGGGATTACAGGCACGTGCCACCATGCCCAGCTAATTTTTGTAGTTTTTAGTAGAGACGGGGTTTCACCATGTTAACCAGGCTGGTCTCAAACCCCTGACCTCAAGTGATCCACCCATCTCAGTCTCCCAGAGTGCTGGGATTACAGGCGTGAGCCACCGCACCTGGTCCTTAATCGTATTTTTTAATGCCCAATGTGCTGCTTGATGTTGTGATGTATACTCTGGGTTGTAGAGGAGAGAAGAGTTTCCCTGTACTCCCTGAGGGTTCGATAACTGACTCTAGGAAATAAACGGACAACAGGCAGATCAACAGGAGAAAAAGAATCAAGGGTCGTGGGGTCCTGGGCCTGGGGATTTCTGCAGCTTTCTGCGGAGGGATGAGCTCTGACTGTGTGAGGGTCTGAGGTTCCTCTTCCACGCAGGGCTGAGTCTCCTGCTCCTCCCCAGCCTCTGGGGGTCCTGCAGCCCTTCCCCTCCACTCCATTCCCCTTCTCTGCTCACACAGGGATCCCGGGAAGTCCCGCCTCAGCGATGCTGCTGCTGCCCCTGCTGTGGGCAGTGGGGAGAGGGGCCGGGGGAGCTGGACTTCACTGACCTTCATTCTCCACAGGGGACATGGTTCAGGAGGCAATATTCTGGCTGGAAGTGCCTGAGCCCATGCGTCTTTGTGCCCTGCTCCATCTTCTCCTCAAAAAACAGCTGCAATGATTCTACCGCAGCTGTGGTTACTGGTTCTGAGATGGGGCCCGTATATACCAGCACACTCCAGTGTCCACAAACAACCCAGATCACAACATTCAGGGGGAGACCCAGGGCCGATTCCACCTCAGTGGAGACCCCCGGACCAACACCTGCTCCCTGGACATCACAGAAGCACAGAGGCGGGGATGCAGGGACGCACTTGTACAGGGTGGAGAGAGGGCTTATGCAAGATATAATTACAGTGGGAACCAGCTCTCTGTGCACGTGGGGAATCAGGGCAAGAAAGAACACACTGGTATGTACTGAGGGCCCCCTGGGGCAAGGCTGGGCTGGTACCCCAGCTTCTCACCCTGAAAGGGACCCAGGGAGATGGGGCGCTGGGGAGGGTTTGGGGGAGTCCAGCTGCCTCAGGGAGAGGCTGCTCTTAGGTCCACACTTAGGGGTCCCCACCTGCAGGGCCTGGGTCTCTGTCTCTGTCATCTCCAGCCCTGATACAGACACTACATCCACATCCAGGGGACCCTAGAATCTGGACATTCCAGGAACATAACCTGTAAGAGGAAGACCTCCCCCCGCCCACTTTCTCTTGGATCAATGTGGTCCCCACCTCCCTGGGAAAGAATCCTCACTCCTTGGTGCTCACCTTACCCCAGGGTTGCACAGCTTCACCTGAGCCCTTCCCCAGAGCTGGTGCAACCACGGAGAGAGCCATCCCAATCAATCTGTCCTGAAAGCACCTGGCCAGGCCCCTGGGTCCTGGAGTTCACTGGGTTTTGGGAGAAGGGGGCGGAGAATCTGAGTTACTGGGGGACTCTTCTTGGGGACCTCTTCTTGGGGACCTCTTCTTGGGGGCCTGGCTGGGGTCAAAGTGGAGGGAACACTCAGACACCACCCCGTTGCTCAGGACTGCCCGTCACATGGCAGGTGGTCAGTTACTGATTTCTACTCCAGATGCTCCACGGAACCTCAGCATTTGCATCTCAGGGACGGCAGCACAGGTGGGAGATGCCCTCAGCTCTCTGAAGGGGGTGGGTCTCTGCCAGCCCTGGGCAGAATTGAGGTCTCAGGGGTCCAATAAGGGGAAGGTCATCGAGTGTGACCGACGCTGCCCCTCACTTTCAGCCCATCCAGTCTCGCTTCTGCCCCCTCCCCAGGCAGAGCTCTCCATGGTCACTGTGACTTCCTAGCTGACAACCCACTGTCACCACCGGCGTTTCCTCTCCCCCATCCTTCCCTCTCCCCTCACTCTCCCATGACAGCCTCCTCCCGGTTCCCTGCCACTTCTCTGGCCATGCCATCCCCGTCTCCCACAGGAACCTTATATCCAGCAGTTCCCACAGTGGGGTCTTGGCCTCCAGCCGCTCTCTGCATGACTCCTCCAGGAAGCTCCTCCACCCTAGTGGTCCCAGTCCTACCTCTGCCCTGAAGACCCCCATAAATCTCTGTCTGGTTCAGCTGGTGCTGAGCACATCCCACTCCCCCTTGGGAGGCCCCTCCCACCTGAGAAGCCAGAGTCAATGTCCTGGGAGTCTCTTTGCACATCCCTGTATTTCCCCAGTACTTCCCATGAGTTGGTGAGTTTTGCAAACTTGACTTCCGGAAACTGTCTCAACTCACTCCTTTCCTCCATCCCCACCTCTGGCCTCGCTCACCTGGACCCGGGTGATGCCTGGACCTGCAGCAGCCTCCCTCCTGGCCTAGCAGCTTCTGGTCTTGCTCCCTCCAGCCGACCACAATTCAGATCCCAAAAAGGGGTCTCTCTCTAACCAGATCTTTCCCTGTCCCTTCCCTACTCAGCTCCTCCCCTGGCTCCTGTGGCTCCTGGAGAAAGCCCAAGTGTGTCACCTGTCTTGGTTCCTCCAAGTGGCCAGAACCACGAGGGTTAGCGCCCTCCACAGTTTTGCACATCAAGGCCGGTCGTCCTGGGACGTTCTCTCCATGTCCCGATACGGCCAAGTCCTCCGCATGTTTCCATGCCCCTGTCCCGGGACCATTAAGGAGCCTCCCGACCCCTGCATGCTGGGGGTCTTCGCCCCTACTTGCCCTTGCTTGTGATGCTTGTCTCAGAAACGCAGTTTCCTCTCCTGAGTCTAGAGGGAAGACACAGGGAGAGAAGGGCCTCTCAGCCCTGCCCCTCTGGCTCTCTCGGTCTCCCTCGTCCCTCAGGTCCTAGGCAATGCCCACTCCTGGTAGGGGCAGGAGGGCAGTCCCTACACCTGGTCTGTGATGCTGATGGCAGCCCCCCTGCCAGGCTGTGCTGGTCCCAGGGCAGCCTGACCATGATCCCCTCCCAGCTCTTGCATCCCCAGGTCCTGGAGCTGCCCCAGGTGGTTTCAGGAGACGAAGGAGAATTCACCTGCCGGGCATAGGCCCTGCTGGGCTCCCACCCCATCTCCCTGAGCCTGGCTGTGCATGGGGAGTGTTAGCAGAACACCTGATTCTAGGGGTCCATAGGCAGGGGAAGTGTGGACTCAGGAAACTCCCACCTCAGTCACCCTCCAGCTTTTCTTATGCCTGGTACCACCTGTTACTCACCCCAAATCTCTGGAGACCAGTGAGGCTCCTGACCTCTGACCCTCACACTGCTAAAGGAGGCCCTAAGTGGGGGCAGGGGAGTGGGTAGCGGGGGATGGCTTTCTTTTAACTCACAGCCTCACCTGGATCTACTGCACCAGGGAAGCAACTCTTCTCAAGGTGTCCTGGAATTTGAGCCCCCAAATTTGGCTGACTTCACCCATCTTCTCCCCAAAGGAACCCTCCATAGTGCTGGTCTCTCCTCTCAGAATGGTGTTTACCCCACTGGCTCAGAGGATCCCAAGGGGCAGTGCTACTCTGGGTGACTGAGCGACTGAACTTCCTCCTCACAGCAGGGCTGAGGTCTGGGCTCCAGAGCCCGACAGGGGTGAGGGTCCTTTAGACCACGTGTTCTGAGACTCATCCTGCACAGGGCTGGAGCAAAGAGCTCCTGGGTGCTCCGGCCCCACCTCCCATGCAGAATAACCTCTCTCCACCCCTCACCTCTGTTCCCCATGACTCTTCCTTATGGCTCTACAGGAGCGGTTGTCAGGACAGGTGAGGAAATAGATGGATATGCTTTACCAGAATTTCAATTATTTTCCCTGTAATACCTTGTTTCTGTCGCTTACTTTAATGTGGGTTTCATGAGCTCCAAATTCATTCCCATAACGTATTTTTACAAATCCCATAATATGTTTATTTTACACAGTCAATTTTTAAAGAGACTTTTTATTAGAAAAATAAACTATTTTATGTTTATCCACATGTTTACCACTTCAATTGCTCTTCATTACTTTGTATACAACCGAGTTTCTCTATGGCATTATTTTCCTTTGGCCGGAAGATCTCGTGTATTTCTTACAGTATAGGTGTGCTGGCAGTGAATTCCCTTGACTGTGGTTTGTCTGGAAACATTTCATATACATTCACTTAAAAATACTTTTATTGAAATTTATATGGAATTCTAGGTTAACATTTTTCTTTCCAGTAACTCAAATGGTTTTGGCTTGTGTAATTTCCTATGAGAATTCTGCTGTAATTTTTATCATTGCTTGTTTGTTTGTAGTTTGTGGTTTTCTCTGACTGCTTTTATTATTTTATTTTATTTTATCTTATTTTATTTATTTATTTATTTATTTGAGATGGAATCTCGCTCTGTCACCCAAGCTGGAGTGCAGTGGCGCAATCTTGGCTCACTGCAACCTCTGCCTCCTGGTTTCAAGTGATTCTCCTGCCTCAACCTCCTGAGTAGCTGAGATTATGGGTGCATGCCACCATGACTGGCTAATTTGTGTATTTCTAGTAGAAACGGGGTTTCATCATGTTGGCCAGGGTGGACTCGAACTCCTGACCTTAAGTGATCCGCCCACCTTGACCTCCCAGAGTGCTGAGATTACATTTTTTTAAATTAATGCTAATCCTTCTCAAACTTTTCTGAAAAATAGAAGAGGAGAAAATATGCCCTAACCCATTCTATGAACACAGTATTACCTGATAATACCAAAGACATCACAGGAAAATGCAACTACAGCCCGATATCACTTATGAATATAGATGCAAAAAGTCCTCGAGAAAATGCCAGCAAACTGAATCCAGCAGTGTATAAAAGACTCTACAGAATACTGAGTGGGATTTATCCCAGGAATACAAAGGTGGTGTACATACGAAAACCTATTGATGTAATACAGTACATTAATAGAATGAAGAAAACAACATGGAATCATTTTCAATTGATGCAGGAAAAATATTTGGCAAAATCCAACACTCTTCCATGTTAAAACGATTAGCACACAAGGAATAGAAAAGAACTTCCTCAATGTGATAAAAGGCATTTGTGAAAAACCCAAAGGTAACATTATATTCAATGGCGAAAGACTGAAACTCTTTCCCTCTAAGATCAGGAAAGAGACAAAAAATGCCTACTTTAACCAGTTTTATTCGACATCGTACTGGAGGTTCTAGTTAGGGCAATTACACAGGAAAAAAAAAAGAGAAATAACTGGTATACAAGTTGGAAAGGATGAGTATTTCTTATATATAGAACATTGTAAGTATCCCACTAAACTCTCTTAAAGCTAATAAGCAAATTACCATATATGCCAGATACAAGATTATAACACAAAATACAGTTGTATTTCTATACGCTAGCAATTAACAATCTGAAAAGAATTAAGAACACCACCCCCATTTATAATACCATCAAAAGGAATAAAATATTTAGGAATACATTTACCCAAGGAGGTGTAAGTCTTGTGTACTGAAAAATAAAAAATATTGCTGAAAGAAAATAAAGAAGACCTGAATCAACTGAAAAACACCCTGTGTTCATGGATTGGTAGAATTAATATTAAGATGGTAATATTCCTCAAATCAAGATTCAGTGCAATCCCTATCAAAACCCTAATGGATGTTTTTACTGACATGAAAAAAAAACTATCCTTAAAATTCATATGGAATCACAAGAGACTTCAAATAGCCAAAATGATTTTGAAAGTGAAAACATTGTAGGACTCACATTTCCTGATTTTACAACTTACCACAAAGTCACAGGAATTAAACTGGGTAGGCACTTGGTTTCTCAAGCCGCCTGCTTGGCCCTCTTCCAAGTGTACTTTCCTTCCTTCCTTTCTTTCCTTTCCTTGCTTTCCTTACTCTTCTAAAGCTTTTAAATAAACTTTCGCTGCCATAAAATAAAATAAAAAACTAGGTGGTACCGATACTGATCAATGGAATAGAATTGAGAGCCAGATATAAAGTGATAAATTTATGGTCCACTGATAATTCAGTAAGGATACCAAGACCATTTAATGAAAAACGATAATGTCTTTAACAAATGGTTCTGGGGCAACTGGAGAGCCACGTGAATAAAAATGAAGTTGGACTCCTTCCACATAAAGTATGCAGTATAGGCCGAGCGCAGTGGCTCATACCTGTAATCCCAACACTTTGGGAGGCTGCGGCGGGTGGATCACTTGAGCTCAGGAATTTGTGACCAGGATGGGCAACACAGCAAAACCCTACCTCTAAAAAAATCACAAAAAATTAGCCAGGCATGGTGGCATGCACCAGTAGTCTCAGCTACTCAAGAGGCTGAGGTGGGAGGATCACTTGGGCCCAGGAGGTCAAGGCTGCAGTGAGCTGTGTTCATTCCACTGCACTCCAGCCTGGGTGACAAAGTGAGATCCTGTCCCCACCAGAAAAAGAAAAAAAGAAAATACACAGTATAGTAATTAACTCAAAAAGGACCAAAGACTGAGGTGTAAGAACTAAAATTATGAAACTCTTAGGAGAAAACATACAAGTATATCTTCATGGCCTTAGATTTGGAAGGTGTTTCTTAGATATGTCACCAAAAACACAAGCAACATGAGAAGAAATAGATGAATTGGACTTAAAATTTAAAATTCTTATGCATCGAAGGATATTATCAAGAAAGTAAAAAGAATGGGACCAAATATTTGCAAATAATATATCTAATGAGCCTAGTATCCCCAAAGAAGATTCGCTACTCAACCACAAAGAGACAAAAATCCCAACTTTAAAATGGACAAAGGTCATGAATAGACATTTATCCAAAGAAGGTATAGAAACGACCAACAAACACACAAAAAGATGCTCAACATTATTGTCACTATGGCAATGGAAAGCAAAACTCTACAACGATTAAGATGGCTGTAATTAGTAAAACGGAACATAACACGTGTCGGTGAGGATGTGGAGAAATTGGAATTCTCATACACTGTATTTGGGAATGTAAAAGGATTCAGCCGCTGTGGAAAAGAGTCTGCAAGTTCCTCAATAGGTTAAACATAGAGTTATTGATATGGTTTATCTATGTCCCTGTCCAAACTCATGTTAAATTGTAATCCCCAATGTTGGAGGTGGGGCCTGGTGGGAGGTGATTGGATCGTGGAGGTGGAATTTTCATAGTTCAGCACCATCTCCTTGGTGCTGTTAAGACAGTGAGTAAGTTCTCATGAGATCTGGTTGTTTAAAAGTGTGTAGCACCTCCTTCCTCACTCTCTTTCTCATGCTCCCGCCATGTGAGACTCCTCCCTCGTGCTTCACTTTATGCCATGATTGGAAACTTCCTGAGGCCTCCCCGGAAGCAGAAGTCGCCATGCTTCCCTTACAGCCTGCAGAACTGTGAGCCAATTAAACCTATTTTCCTCACAAATTACCTAGTCTCAGGTATTTCTTTATAGCAATGCAAGAACAGACTAATACAGTTATCATATTGACTAGCAATTTCACTCCTTGGGATATACCCAAAGGAATTGGAAACAGATATTCAAATGAAAATCTGTACATAAATTTTCATGGCAGCACTACTACTCACATGAGCCAAAAAGTACAAACAACTAAAATGCCCAGTAACTGACAAATGGATAAATGGAATGTGGTCTTTCCATGCAATGGGATATCACTCAGTCCAAAAAAAGAAATGAAATAATGATGCATGCTACAACAAGGATTATCCTCGTAAACATGGATTTACCTTGAAAACATTACCCTTGGTAAAAGAAGCCAGACATGGAAACTCATCAAGCTTAGTAGGCCATTTAGAGAAAACCCACAGGTAACATTACACTCAATGATGAAAGACTGAAATTATTCCATTCACATTAAATATCCAGCATAGATAAATCCATGGAAATAGGTACACGTTAGTAGTTTCCAGGGGCTCTGGGAAGCAGGCAATAGAAAGTGACTGTTTCCCTTTCAGGGTGATAAAAATGTTCAGAAACTAGATGGTGGTGATGATTACACAGCACTGTGAATGCAATAAATGCCACTGAATTTTATACTTTTTCTTTTTTTTGAGACAGAGTTTCACTCTGTCACCCAGGCTAGAGTAGAACGGTGCGATCTCAGCTCACTGCAACCTCCGCCTCCTGGATTCAAGCAATTCTCATGCCTCCATCTCCTGAGTAGCTGAGATTACAGGCACCCACCACTATGCCCAGCTAGTTTTTTGTATTTTTAGTAGAGATGGGGTTTCACCATGTTGCCCAGGCTGGTCTTGAACTCCTGAGCTCAGGCGATCCGTCTGCCTTGGCCTCCCGAAATGCTGGGATTACAGACGTGAGACACCGGGCCCAGCCTGAATGTTATACTTTAAATTAGCAAATGGAAGAAATTCTTTTCTGATTTTCAAATATTACTGAAATTTTAAAGAAACAGCAGAGATGCTCAGGGTGAAGCAAGTGCTTACTGTGTGAATCCATTTATAGGAAGTTGTAAAACATGTAAAACTAGTTGATGGTGACAAATGTCAGAACACTGGTTGCTTCTCAGACTGTATGTGGAGGCAGAGATTAATATGGAAGGGCATGAAGGATGCTGTTTTCTCTGGTCAAAGAATGACCCTTATCTTGAGAGGGTTTCAGTTGTGTGAGTACATGCCAGTCTCGCCATAGGACGTCTCTGGGCTCCCATGGGCATCTTGCATAAACTCAGGAACTGGGTTCTTCTATTCTCTGCTGCCTCCCACCACCCTACTCTCAGAAGATACCTTGATTCTGGCTTAAGAGGAAATAAACACAGTGTAGTGATAGAGACCCTTTCCTGACTATAAAACTATTCACCTCATTGCAGCTGCTACCATCCCTCCTTCAACTTGGTTGTTCCATCTTACCTTGAAAAGTGACTTATGGAACAACTTGTCCAAACGTCTCCACTTTAGAGGGACACCAGTTTCCTGTGTAATTATGTTGATTGCAATGAAATACTCCTAAGAGAGGGCTGACATTCCTGCTTCCAATCAGAAAATGAGGTCATTAGGCAAACGTCCAGCAGAGAGAGTAATTAGAAAAGATGAAAACATGCATTCCAATCTATTCTGTTCTTATTATGTTTTTTTTTTTTTTTTTGAGATGGAGTCTTACTCTGTCACCCAGTTGGAGTGCAGTGGCATGATCTTGGTCACAGCGATCTTCACCTCCCAGGTTCAAGCGATCCTCCTTGCCTCAGCCTCCTGAGTAGCTGGGACTACAGGCACCCACCATCACACCTGGCTAATTTTTGTATTTTTAGTAGAGATGGGGTTTCACCATGTTGGCCAGGCTGGCCTCGAACTCCTGACCTCAGGTGATCCACTTGCCTTGGCCCTTCAAAATGCTGGGATTACAGGCATGAGCCACTGCGCCCAGCCTATGTTCTTCTGGCTGGACTGGAGGACAGTAAGGAAACAGGGCAGGGCTGATGCTTTCCAAACACAGTGGGACATAGTCCTCAGGTCAGCAGCGAGCAGGGGATGGGAACCCACCTCATCTCACTAACCCTAGCTGCCATCAGTAGAACAAAAAGTCATTAATAAAATCCAAATCCTGGAACAGCTTCAAGGAAACAAATGTCAACATTGACCAAGTCAATAAACATGTCAGTGTCTTCTGGCCAGAGATCAGCAGGCACCAGGAATAGATATGTAGTTGGGTTATTACTCATTGCAGTGAGGAACCACGAAAACCATGAGGTGTTTCAGTAAGAGAGAATTATAACTGGCTTATTATAGGATTTGGACTTGTGTTAGGTGATTTGGGGAAACTTTTTAAAAAGCAGTGTTTGCTTCTTTGGATGTCAGGAAGTCAGCATAATTCTAACACTGGATCTTCATACATCTAATAAAAAAGGAGAAAGAACTAGACCAAAGCTACCTTAGTCAGTTTGGGCTAGAATAAGAGATATCACAGACCGGCTAGCTTAAAAAACAAACATCTAACTTTGGGAGGCCAAGGTGGGTGGATCACAAGGTCAGGAGATCGAGACCATCCTGGCTAACACGGTGAAACCCCGTCTCTATTAAAAATATAAAAAATTAGCCGGGCGTGGTGGCGGACTCCTGTAGTCCCAGCTACTCGGGAGGCTGAGGCAGGAGAATGGTGTGAACCCAGGAGGCGGAGCTTGCAGTGAGCCAAGATCGTGCCACTGCACTCCAGCCTGGGTGACAGAACAAGACTCTGTCTCAAAAAACAAACAAACAAACAAAAAACAAACATCTATTTCTCATAGTTCTGGAGGCTGGAAGACCAAAATAAAGATGTCAGTACAACTGGGTTCTTAGTGAGGTCCCCGCTCCTGGGTCACAGATGACTGCCTTCTCACTATATCCTCACATGGGAGAGAGAGAGCTCTGGTCCCTTCCTCATTCTTACAAGTGCCATAATCCCAGCATGGGCATTCCACTTCCATGAGCTCACCTAAATCCCATTATCTCCTAAAGGCCCCACCTCCAAATATCATCACATCACATTAAGAATTAGGACATCAATACATGAATTTTAGGGTGACACCAACATTTAGTCTATAGGAAAGGCTGTGGCTGTAATTGGTAAATAATCATCAGTCTTTCCTGTTACCCTAGATGGGAAATATGTAGCCATTTTCCAATTTGGACAACATTCTTGTTTGTGTCTGTGTTAAGGCATGACTGTGCTGTGGTCTTATTCTTGTCTTGATCCATTATGCTCAAAGAATGTCCTTGTCTGGTGTTGATGTCCTGTGCAGTGATTGACAACAGGACAGGAGAATTGCTTGAACACGGAGACAGAAGCTGCAGTGAGCTGAGATGGTGCCATGGCACTCCAGCCTGGGTGACAGAGCGAGACTTCATATATATAAATCACGCCACTGCACTCCAGCCTGGCAACAGAGCAAAACTCCATCTCAACAGCCACAACAACAACAAAAGTCTATAAAAAGACTTACACCTGAGTACCATTAGTGAAAAATGGGGAAATCTCAAATGCCTATCAATAGATGAATAAATATAGGACTATAGTATATTCATACAATGGGATACTACTGAGCAATATCACACTGTGAAAACTATAGGCACAAACAACTTGGTTCAGTTTCAAAAAATATGCTGAGTGACAGAATACAGACACAGATGAGTACATTCCTTCCTAGGAAATTTTGAAATAGGCAAAAGCGACACACTATGAGAGAGAGGATCTCAGTGGTTGCCTGGCACAAGAAGTGGGAATGATGAACTGCAAAGAGGTTAGGCAAAGCCCTTGGTGTAGTGGAAATGTTGTATATCTTGATTGTGCCAGTCACAACAGGGCTGTATGCACCTGTCAAAATTCATGAAAATGAACACTTCAAGTGGGTGCACATCACCTCATGTAAATTATACCTAGTTAAGTTCATTAAAGAAACACAGTAAGACAGATTTTCTTATGTATCCTTCTACTCCATGAATGTGGTATGATATTTTACTGTTAAAAGTAAATATACTGAATATTATATTATGTGCCTATACTATCTTTTAAAATAACTTACAGCAAGATATTGTTTTATCTATTGAGGACTCACTTCCTTATATTTAAAAAGAGGATGGAAATACCTCTCTATGGTAGGTAGGATGAATGAACATTTTTATAGATACTACTGTGTATAGAGATTTTACCTGTATATGGTTGCAAATACTGATATGTCTCAGGCATTGAGGATCTCCCAGGTGTGTACCACAGAGAGTAAAATAAAAAACCATATGAGCTGAAGCTAAATTTTAATTTTGTCTGTACATTCAACTCATATTGTCTGGAAACATTATGTCTTTGGGCCTCATTTAATTATCAGAAATGTATTTTTACATGAAAGAAAATGCTAATCTCTATGGTAAGCCCCATAAAAAAATTGCTGCTGTCCCCACTGCAGGGAATGGCAACACTAATGGAAAAGAAATTTCTTCTGGACTTGTTCACAGAAGCTTTCGTTTTACATGAAAATACTACATGTTTCTTATTTTAGAGATGTCGCTGAAACATTGCAAATCAGTGTACTAACTGCCAGGGGAAAAAATCCATAGTCATACTTCTTAAAAATACCTCATATGATACCATGACATATGGCAAAGTCACCAGCATCCACAGCTGTGAAGCCAAACAGTATTTGTGTGTGGTGAACATGAGGCTATGGATGGGGAGTATCTAAAGGGGAGGGACCAGGTCAGTGGCATCTCTTCTTGTCTCCAGCCTCATTGGCACATAGATGCTCGGTATAGCTTAGGTGAATGAATGAATGAATGAATTGAATGAATGAATGACTGTCACCTTCACCACATCTAGGACCCTTCTTCATTTCTTCTGCCCCAGACACTTACATGAACCCTACAGAAACCTATATCCTGCAGGACGAACCACCCCACAGGTCAAGAAGAGGCCGTGACTCGGGCCAGGCCTGGAGTGACCAGCTGCCTGGTGTAAACAGTTGTGCACAGAAAAGCACCTCAGAGTGGAAGGACTTTAGACATGGGGTTCGCATGTCTCAGATGGCCCCGAAGGTACTGATCCAGGCTCTGGTGCTCCTGGAAGGCAAGACTCAGATTCTGCTCCATCTCCTCCCATCTCTGGGCGAGTCTCTGGCATCTCTGGCCCATGAGGGTCAATCTGTGTGGAGGGGACAAGCTCTGAGCACGTGTGGGTCTGAGGTTCCTCTTCCATGCAGGGCTGAGGTTTCCTGCTCCTCCCCAGCTTCCTGTCCGGCCCTGTAGTCCTTCCCCTCCACTCCCTTCCTCTTCTCTGCTCACACAGGAAGCCCGGGAAGCCTCTGCCTCAGACATGCCACTGCTGCTACTGCTGCCCCTGCTGTGGGCAGGTGAATGGCTGCGGGGAGAGGGGTTGTCGGGCTGGGCCGAGCTGACCCTCGTTTCCCCACAGGGGCCCTGGCTATGGATCCAAAAATCCGGCTGCAAGTGCAGGAGTCAGTGACGGTACAGGAGGGTTTGTGCGTCCTCGTGCCCTGCACTTTCTCCCATCCCATACCCTACTACAACAGGAATTTCTCAGTTCATGGTTACTGGTTCCGGGAAGGAGCCATTGTATCCAGGGACTCTCCAGTGGCCACAAACAAGCTAGATCAAGAAGTACAGGAGGAGACTCAGGGCTGATTCCGCCTCCTTGGGGATCCCAGTAAGAACAACTGCTCCCTGAGCATCGTAGACGCCAGGAGGAGGGATAATCGTTCATACTTCTTTCGGATGGAGAGAGGAAGTACCAAACACAGTTACAAATCTCCCCAGCTCTCTGTGCATGTGACAGGTGAGGCACAGGCTTCAGAAGCAGCCACAAGGGAAGGTCAAAGGGACCTCAGGACAGGGCTTGGGATGGGACCCATGTCCTGGAAGGGGGTTGGGAATGAAGCCTGTCAGACTCAGGGGAGGACCCGGACCAGAACCTGAGCTTCCCTCAGGGCTGTACCTCAGTCACCCCTTCCTGATCCTGCATCCCCGTTTCCTCACCAGCCCTGACCCACAGGCCCAGCATCTTCATCCCGAGGACCCTGGAATCTGGCCACCCCAGGAACCTGACCTGCTCTGTGCCCTCGGCCTGTGAGCAGGGGACGCCCCCCATCTTCTCCTGGATGTCAGCTGCCCCCATCTCCCTGGGCCCCAGGACCCTCCACTCCTCAGTGCTCACGATCATCCCATGGCCCCAGGACCACGGCACCAACCTCACCTGTCGAGTGACGTTCCCCGGAGCTGGTGTGACCACGGAGAGAACCATCCAACTCAGTGTCTCCTGTGAGTGCTGGGCCAGGACGCCTGGGTCCCTGAGGGTGTGATGGGGGGAGGACCAGGAGAGAGGAGGACCAGGACTGGGGCCACTGGTGGCTGTGTCCTAGAGGCCTGGCTGAGTAGAAGACCTAGGCCACAAGCCCTGTCTCTCTACATTTCTGTGGCTTCTGGGGTAGGGAAGGAGTGCCGCCCTTATCTCACCCTCACCCCAACTGAATGGGAAATCCTCTCTTATTGTCCTAGATGCTCTAGGGAACCTAAAGATTGGTGTCTCCCTAGGAGAAGGCACAGGTAGGATAGAAACTCCCTCCTTGGGAAGAGGAGACCTTCAGCTCAGGGCAGGGGTGGGCCTCTCCTCATCCTGACCTCACCTCATCCTGGTGATCTGACACCCTTTTGTGGGTGAACCAAGGCCCCATTCCCATCCTCAGCCCCCATGGCCATCTGAACACCTGTCCCCATCGCCCCCTCACTCCCCTCAGACCCCACACACAACCCCCTCAACCCCACAACAAGGGCAGGGTGATATTCACACACAGACCCAGCCTTTCAGCTTCCCTACATTCATCACCTGAACACGCCTCCTGCCTCCTCTTTCTATTTCCCCCTGTAGTTCAGACCTAAGTGCTTCTGGACAGGTGATACAGTCTCATGGGAAGAACTTAACAATGCACAGCGGAGTCTGTCCTTAGATGCCCGTCCTCCTCCCCAGAATTGACCAGTGTCCACCCTGGCTGCTCTGAGCCTTGGTGTGTTCACCTGAAGGATCTCAGAGGTCATTTGGCAGCAACAGCATAGACTGTTCTTATCCTCCTGTAGGACGCCTGTGGTATTCCATTGCATGAATAGAAATTCTGTATAAATCTTCTGCTCCTGGAAAAGCATGGCATTGATTTTGTTCTACCAACAGACACACTGCAATGAATAATCTTGTATCTACTTCAGCAAGTGTATGCCTATGTATGTGGGACCTGTTCCTAAACGCAAAATAGCTAGCTTAGACGTTCTTTTTAATCTTGTGAAATATGGCAAAATTTTTCTCAATCAAGAGTGGGCAAGCTGACATTCCCAAAAGTAAGGGGTCAAGGTGCTTGTTTTCGTCAACCCAGTGTGGAAGGAGACCTTTTGGTTTTTGCCAATGTCAGGTGACAATTGTTGTGTCCGTGTAGTTTTTATTAGATAAAAATTCACATAACATTAAATTCACCATTTTAATCATTTTAAATTGTATGATAAAGTGGCTTTTAGAATGCTCACAATGTTCTTTAACCATCCCACTATCTAATTTCAGAACATTTTAATCACTCAAAAAAAACCTCTAACTTTTTGAAGAAATACCAGACTGTTGTCCACAGTGTCAGCACCAATGTATGTTGCACCACCAATGGGTTTGGGTTGCAATTTCTCCATATTCTTGCAAAAATTCTCATTTTTCTTTTCTTTTGTTTTGTTTTTTGTTTGTTTGTTTTTGTTTTGTTTTTTGTTTTTTGAGATTGAAGTCTTGCTCTGTCGTCCAGGCTGGAGCACGGTGACACAATCTCAGTCCACTGCAACCTCCACCTCCCCAGTCCAAGCAATTCTCGTGCCTCAGCCTCGCAAGTAGCTGAGTTTACAGGCACCCACCACAATGCCTGGCTATTTTTTTTTTTTCAGTAGAGATAGGGTTTCCCCATGTTGGCTAGGCTGATATCGAACTCCTGACCTCAAGTAATCTGCCTGCCTCGGCCTCCCAAATTGCTGGGATTACAGGCGTGAACCACTGCGCCCAGCCTCATTTTTCTTTTTCTTTTTTTTTTTTTCCTTTTTTTTTTTTGATATAGGGTCTCGCTCTGTCGCCCAGGCTTGACTGCAGTGGTGCAATCTCACCTCACTGCAACCTCCACCTCCCAGATTCAAGCAATTCTCCTGCCTCAGCCTCCTGAGTAGCTGGCATTACAGGCATGTACCACCACGCCTGGATAATTTTCGTATTTTTAGTAGAAACAGGGTTTCACCATGTTGTCCAGCCTGGTCTCAAACTCCCAACCTCAGGTGATCCACCTGCCTCGGCCTCCCAAAGTGCTGGGATTACAGGCATGAGCCACCATGCCTGGCCTCATTTTTCTTTTCCTTTTTTTTTTTTTGTTTCTTTTCTTTCTTTTTTTTTTTTTTTTAGATGGAGTCTCACTCTGTCACCCAGGCTGGAGTGCAATGGCATGATCTCAGCTTACTGCAACCTCTGCCTCCAGGTTCAAGCGATTCTCCTGCCTCAGCCTCCTGAGTAGCTGGGATTACAGGCACATGCCAGCATGCCCAGCTATTTTTTGTATTTTTAGTAGAGACAGGGTTTCACCATGTTGGTCAGGCTGGTCTCGAATTTCTGACCTCGTGATCTGCCCACCTTGGCCTCCCAAAGTGCTGGGATTACAGGCGTGAGCCACTGTGCCAGGCCTCATTTTTCTTATTTAAAAGATGTATAGCCTAATAGTGAGTGTAAGGTACATCATTGTAGATTTAATATGCATTAACATAATGATGAATGATGTTGAGCGTATTTTCATGGTCTTATTGATTATTTATATCTTTTGGTAAAAGTTTTATTTAAGTCCTTTGTCCATTTTTTCATTGGATAATTTCGGTTGTTTGTAATTTGAGTTGTAAGTGCTCTTTATATATGTTGGATACTAGACCCTTACCAAATCCATGATTTGCTAATATATGCTCCCATTTTGTGAGCTATCATTTCACTTTTCTGATAGTGTCAATCACTAAACAGAATTTTAAATTTTGATAAAGTCCAACTTACATATCATTTCTCTACCCAACCATTGGACAGTCAGGGCATGGTTTATGGTAAGCCCTGGGCTCATGTGATCTCACAGCCAGGGATGCCTGAAGGGTCTGGAGAACCTTCCTTTTCTTATGTTCAATATGGACACAGATTGTGGCTTGTCAAGTGAATCAACCTCATCCCACTTTTTTGTAGGGAAATCAAGGCCTGTGACAAAGGTGGTTCTTGTGGCCATTGGGGAGGCAGCTGTGAAGATCCTGCTTCTCTGCCTCTGCCTCACCTTCCTCAGGTGAGCACTGCCCCAGGGGAAGTGTGTGGAGGGCAGGAGACATGATGCTGAATCCCAGAATCTCAATCATGGAGATACTCAAATACCTTAAGAGCACCTAGGACCAGGCAAGGAGCTCAACTGGTGGTGAGAATTCCACATGGTTCATTTGTAGTCAGGCCTGTGTCTGTCCCAACCCGAGGCCAAATGCCAGGGTGGAGAGGTTTCTGTTCTCATAAAGAAGATCTTGAGGGCTAGGCCTGCTCTGTCTACCACATTTTCTATCAGCCCCTTTGCAGCGCACAGGGAGGTGAGTCTGCTGCCCTCTGCACCCCAATCTGGCCACACTTATATGCCCCGATCTCTTCACTCAGTGTGAGGTCCTGCAGGAGGAAGGTGGCAAAGGCAGCAGCAGCTGTGGAGGCTGAAAACACTGCCATGGGCTAATCTCTCAGGTGAGTGTTGTGGACGTCTCACCCTCCAATATCGTGCTGGATGACTTCTTTCTGTGGCCCCCAGGATAGCTGCACTCAGCATGGCCAAAGTTGAACCTCCCATGTCCATCCCCAAACCCACTTCTCTTTAGCCCCATCTCTAAAGTCAGAACCAGCTTGTGGGTCTCCACCTTGACCTCCCCACCTTCTCCAGATCTCATAAATCACCCACTCTTGTCCCTCTTTCTCCCAACCAGGGCTCATTTGGTGCCCTTTTCTCCGTCCTGACCTTGGTCATGCCTGGGCCCTCACCTCCTCCCTGGTCACTGAACCATCCTCACCTTTTGCCTCCCTGTCTCCCCAGCACAGGCCTCCAGACTCTGCTTCTAGCTGCCTCCTCGTCCAGTGCCTCCACAGTCTGAACAGCCTTGTCTCCTTGTTTCCTCTCCATTGCTGGAGAACACCACCGTCTGGACTGAAGGCCTTGCACGTTCTATCCTCCACTGGACTCTCCTGATCCCTCCTTTCTCTGTGTCACCCAAAGTCTCCCCACACCCACTGGGCCAAGCCCTCTATGACTCTGAGACTTTGCATGTGTAGTTCCGTTTCCTGAAATGCCCTTCCCTCCCATTCCTGCCAAGTCCAGGTCCTGATTGTCCTTCAGGCTCAGTCTTAAATGTCACCCGAGTGTGTGTGTGTGTGTGTGTGTGTGTGTGTGTGTGTGTGTGTGTTTCTTGTATGATATTGAGGGAAGGAGTGACATTTATTCATTAATCTATAGATTCTTTGGTAACTATACTGAACACCTACTATGTGCCAGCATTGTTGTAGGTGCCAGGGGTTCACTGGTAGACATAGCATCAGAAATCTCAGTATTAAGAAGATGTTCTGGGCTGGGCATCGTGGCTCACACCTGTAATCCCAGCACTTTGGGAGGCTGAGGTAGTGGATCACCTGAGATCAGGAGTTCGAGACCGGCCTGACCAACAAGGTGAAACCCCATCTCTACTAAAAATCAAAAATTAGGTGGGCATGGTGGCATGTGCCTGTAGTCCCAGCTACTCGGGAAGCTGAGACAGGAGAATTGCTTGAACCTGGGAGGCAGAGGTTGCAGTGCGAGACTCTGTCTCAGAAAAAAAAAAAAAGATATTCTGAAGACAAGATGGACATAAAAAAAGGAATAAGCAATAGAAAGTATTTAACTATATAGGATGGCAATATATGTTTAGAGAAAAATCATGCAGGGAAAGAAGCATAAGATATACTGGGGAACCATCTCTGTACCTGATGATGGGAAGAGATTATATTTGGGCTAACACATGAAGGTGGTGAGGAAGCAGGCTCTGTGTGTATATAAGCAAAAGCATCCCAGGAAGAAGGAAAAGGGGGAAGAGCAAATGCATTGCTCAGAGGCAGCAGTAGGCCTGGGTGTTGCAAACACACCCAGTAACCCATGTCTAAGAGCAGAGGGAGGCAGAGGAGTCAAGCGGTGGAAAGGACACTGCAGACCACCTGGTGCCCTGCAGGCCACACAGGAACCTAGAGCCTTTGTGGAGAGGAGAGACTCAACTGGACTGGATCCCTTGGCTCCCTGGCGAGAGCAGGCCTGAGCGGGTCAAGGCACCTACAGACAGACTGGGAGAGCGCTGCTGGATCCTCCAGGAAGAGGAATGAGGTCTTGAACCAGACAGGCAGGGTTGGAGTGAGGATGTGTTTTTGGATGTATTTGGAAGGTCAAGCTCACAGGATTTTCTAATGGATATAGTCATTGAGGGGAAGGGAAGAGCATGGATAAAGCCAGAATGTTCCTCTGAACATCTCACTCTTTCGAAACTCCAATGTCTTTTTTGTTTTTGTTTTGTTGTTGTTGTTGTTTTGTTTTTTTTTTTTCTTGAGACGGAGTCACTCTGTTGCCCGGGCTTGAGTGCGATGGTGTGATCTTGGCTCACTGCAACCTCTGCTTCCCAGGTTCAAGCTATTCTCCTGCCTCAGCCTCCCGAGCAGCTAGGATTACAGGCGCTTGCCACCACACCCAGCTAATTTTTGTTGTTGTTGTATTTTTAGTGGAGACAGGGTTTCACCATGTTGGTCAGGCTGGTCTTGAACTCTTGACCTCAAGTCATCCACCAATCTTGGCCTCCCAAAGTGCTGAGATTACAGGCATGAGCTACCACTCCTGGCCTCCAATGTCTATTATTCCACACTCTATGCCCATGTATACACATTATTTAACTACACTTATACATGAGAACATATGATATTTGACTTTCCACTTCTGAATTATTTCAGTTAAGATAACCTTCAGTTCCAACCATGTTGCTTGAAAAGACATGATTTCATTCTTTTTCATGGCTGGGTAGTATTCCATTGTATAACCCCCATTTTCTTTATCCAATCATCCATGGATAAGCATTAGGTTGATTCCATATCTTTGCTGTTGTGAATAGTGCTGCTACAAACATACGAGTGCAGGTATGTTTTTGATATAATAATTTCTTTTCCTTTACCCAGTAGTGGGATCATTGGATCAAATGGTAGTTCTATTTTTGGTTATTTGAGAAATCTCTCTGTTTTCCGTAGAGGCTGTAATAATTTACCTTCCCATGAACACTGTATAAGCATTTCCTGTTCTCCACATCCTCACCAACATCTGTTATTTCTTGACTTTTTAAAAATAGCCATTCTATCTGGTGGAAGATGATTTCTCACTGCGGTTTTAATTTGCATTTATCTGATGATTAGTGATGTTGAACCTGTTTCACATGCTTCTTGGCCACTTGTATGTCTTCTTTTGAAAACTGCCTATTCATGTCTTTTGCCCACTATTTAATGGGATTTTTTGTTTTTTATTATTAAGCTGCTTCAGTTTCTTGTACATTCTGGATATTAGTCTCTTATCAGATTCACAGTTTGCAAATATTTTCTTCCATTCTGTAGGTTGTCTGTTCACTCTGTTGATTATTTTTTATGCTATGCAGAAGCTTTTTAGTTTAATTACATCCTGTTTATCTATTTTTTGTTTTGTTGGATTTGCTTTGAGATCTTAGTTGTGAATTCTTTGCCTACGCCAATGTCCAGAAAAGATTTTCCTAGGTTTTCTTCAGTATTTCTATAGTTTCAGGTCTTACATCTAAGTTTTTAACCCATCTTGAGTTAATGTTTGTGTATGGTGAGAGATAGGGGTCCATTGCATTATTCTGCACATGGCTATCCAATTCTCCCAGCACCGTTTAATTAATAAGGTGTCCTGTCCCCAGTGTATGTTTTTGTCGACTTTGTCAAAAGTCAGGTAGCTGTAAGTATATGGCTTTATTTCTGGGTTCTCTATTCTGTTTCATTAATCTGTGTGTCTATTTTTATACCAGTACCATGCTTTTTTGTTTACTATAGCCTTGTGGCATAATTTGAAGTCAGGTAATGTGATGTCTCTAGCTTTGTTCTTTTTGCTTAGGACTGCTTTGGTAATTTGGGTTCTTTTTGTTTCTATATGAATTTTAGAATTTTTTTTCAAATTATGTGAAATATGACATTGGTATTTTGATAGGAATTGCATTGAATCTGTAGATTGCTTTGGGCAGTACGGTCATTTTCAAGGTATTGATTCTTCTGATCCATGAGCACGGGATGCTCCATTTTTCCATTCATCTGTGTCATCTACAACTTATTTCATCAGTATTTTGTGGTTTGCCTTGTACTGATCTTTCACCTCCTTGGTTAAATATATTCCTAGGTATTTTTCTGTTGCAATTGAAAATGAGATTGACTTCTTGATTTTTCTTCTGTTAGATTACTGTTGGTGTATAGAAGTGCTACTGATTTTTGTACATTGATTTTGTATCCTGAAATTTTACTGAATTAATTTATTAAATCTAGGAGTCTTTTGAAGGAGTCCTTAGAGTTTTCTAGATTTAAGATCCTATCATCAGCAAACAGAGATAATTTGACTTCCTCTTTTCCAATGTGGGCGCCTTTTGTTTCTTTCTCTTGCCTGATTAATTGCTCTAGATAGGACTTTCAGTATCAGGTTGAATAGCAATGAAGAGAGTGATCATCCTTGTCTTGTTCCAGTTCTTAGGGGGAATGCTTTCAGTTTTTACCCTTTCAGTATGATGTTGGCTGTGGGTTTGTCATAGATGGCTCTTATTATTTTGAGATATGTTCCTTTAATGTCTAGTTTGTTGAGGGTTTTTACCATGAAGAGATGTTGGATTTTATCAAAAGCTTTTTCTTTGTCTAGTGGGATGATTATATGGTTTTTGCTTTTAATTCTGTCAATGTGATGAATCACATTTATTGATTTGCATGTACGGAAACATCCTTGCATCCCTGGAATAAAGCCTACTTGATCGTGACGAATTATCTTTTTGATGTGCTGTTGAATTTGGTTTGCTAGTATTTTGTTGAGGATTTTTGCGTCTATGTTCATCAGGGATATTGGACTGTAATTTACTTTTCTCATTGTGTCCTTGCTAGGTTTTGATATCACGGTCATACTGGCTTCATAGAATGAGTCAGAGAGGATTCCCTCCTCCTGAATATTTTGGGAGAGTTATTCTTTGTACATTTGGTAGAATTTGACTGTGAAACCATCTGGTCCTGGACTTCTATTTGTTGAGAGATTTTTTTCTATTGCTGGTTCAATCTCACTACTTGTTATTGGTCTGTTCAGCATTTCTATTTCTTCCTGATTCAATCTTGGCAGAATCTTATGGTTCTAGGAATTTATGCATTTCCTCCAGGAAAAGTTCCTCTCCATGTTTTGAAACAAAAGATATTATTCTCTCACAGTTCTGGAGGCTAGAAATTTGAAATCAGTAAGGCCAGGCAGAAATGAAGGTGTTGGTTGGACTACAACACTCCAGAGACTTGAGAGGATCCATACCTCGCTTCTTCCACATTATTGTGGCTGGTGTCATTCCTTGAATTTTGGCTGGACTGCTCCTACTTCTGTCTCTGGGGCCACATGGCCTCGCCTCCTTCTGTGTATATCACATCTCCCTCTGCTTTTCTCTTATCAGGACTCTTGTAGGACTCTTGTGATTAGATGTAAGGGTTGACTGCATAATCCAGGATTTCCACTGGTCAAGATCATTAATTTAATTAAAGTTGTAAGAATACCTATAAAGTAACAATACAGGCTCAAGAAACTAAGACCCAGTTTTCTTTGGGGGTCATTATTCAGATTACTGAGCCGCTGTGTGATCTTCTGCCCCCTAGGAGGCCCCCATCTGCCCTCCAGACCTTGCCTTCTCTTTCTATTACTTTCTCTGTTCTTTCCGTCCTGACACACTAGTGGGCCAACTCATGTAACGCGTATTTATGGGAATGGGGTCTATTATACCATAAAAGACACTGATAAGACAGCCAAAAGATAAGTTACAGGGTGATAACACCTGAATATAGGTATCTGATGAATGACTTGTATCCAGAATATATCAAGGACTCTCAAAACAAAAACATAAGTAAACCACAACAGCAACAACAACAACAAAAGGCCCAATTTTGTGTAAATGAAAAAGCAGCCACTCAACAATAACAAAAAATAAACAACACTTAAAAATGGACAGAGGGTGTGAATCACATTTCTCAAAAAAATATAGTACTCAAGGCCCTCACCAGAAGCAAATGCCAGCACCACATTTCTTGCACAGCCTGCAGAACTGTGAGCCAAAATATATCTGTTTTCTTCATAAATTACTCAGTCTCAGATATTCCTCTATAGCAAGCCAAGAATGAACTAACACAATATTTTAAAAAGGTAGCCAAAGGTTTTATCAGCCACCTCACCAGAAAAGAAAAACAGATGGCAAACAGGCTCATGAAAACATACTAAAGATCATTTGTCCTTAGGTAATTATAAATCAGGAGAATAAGCATTCTTAGGTAGCATTACATACCTGAGAACATAACTAGAAAACAAAACAAAAATAAAAAGAAATGTTTAAATATTCTGATAATATCAAATGTTAACAAGGATGTGAAACAATCAGAATTCACACATAACTCCTGGTGGGAATACAAAATGGCACATCAACTTTGGAGAACAGTTTGACAATTTCTTATAAATTTAAACTGAACACTTACCATAGGACCAGGCACCTGACTCCTAAGTATTTACCCAAGAGCAATAAAAACTTACAGTTACACACAGAAACCTGCATGCCAATATTTATAACAACATTATTTCATAGTCACCCAAACCTGAAAACAATCTGAATGCTCCTCAAATGGTAAATGCATACAAAATGGGGGGTCCATAAAAACAGTGAGTTACGAGTCAGCAATTAAAGGGAACAAACTATAGATTCATACACTCAACCACATGATTGAACCTCAGAGGCACTGCACCAAGTAAATGAAGCCAGACTTTGGAGGCAACATTTTGTATGATTCCATTTATACGACATTCTGTGAAAAGGCAATACAGTAGGGATGGAAAACATATCAGCATTTTTTCATGGACTAAGTGTGGAGGGAGGGTTGACTACCCAGAGACAGGAGGAAGGAACGTTTGGTTAATGACACTCTTCAGTGTCTTCACAGTGGTTGTGGGTATATAATTATATACAACTCTCAAACCATATCAAAATTGCATATGATAAAGAGTTAATTCAACTGTATCTAACTTTAAATAAATTAAAAAATTTAAAACACTGGATGCCACTATGCTCTCACTAGAATTGTTCAAATATAAAGCAGGACAGTATCATACGTCGACAAGGGTGTGGAGCTACTGGAATTCTGGCACATGGCTAGGAGGAGTGGTAAAAAGTCAAAACCATTTTGGACAACAGTTTGGCAATTCCTACTAAGGTTAAACTTACAAGTAGTCATTAGTCTGACTATTTATCTTCCTGTGTATACCAATTAGTATAAAACCATGTATGTAAAAAGACTTGTACCTGAATACCTGTAGGGAGAAAACTGGAAAATCCTTGTCTATCAATAGGTGAGAAATAAAACATTATAGTATACACATAAATGGAATACTACTTAACAATATCACATTTTGAAATACAGACACAAACAACGTGGTTCAGTTTCAAAAAATATTATGCTGGGTCATAGGATACAGACACAAATTAACACATCTCTAGGAGATTTTCAAATAGACTAACTCACAATGAAAGAGGACATATCAGTGGTTGCCCAGCATAGAAGGTGGGAAGAAAAGCCCTTGGCATACTAGAAATGCTGTATATCTGCAGTGTGGTGAGTATACAGGCTGTACATACTCGTCAAATCTCATGCAAATGTGAACTTCAAGTAGGTGTGCTTTATTTCATGTAAATTATACCTAATTAAATTCATTAAAGAAACACAGTAAGACTCACATATTCATATTTGATCTTCTGGTCCATGAACATAGTATGACTTTATTGTTAAAACTAAATGTGGCTGGGCACAGTGCCTCATGCCCATAGTCAAAGCACTTTGGAGGTCGAGGTGGGAGGATTGCTTGAACCCAGGAGTTCAAGATCAGCCTGGGGGAACATAGCAAGACCCCATCTCTCCTAAACATAAAAACAAAAAGTTACTCCGGCCTGGTAGTATGAGCCTGTGATCCCAGCTACTAGAGAGGATGACGTGGGAGAGTCACTTGAGTCTGGGAGGTCAAGGCTGCAGTGAACTGTGGTCAGGCCGGTGCACTCCAGCCTGGGCAACAAAGCAAGACCCTGTCTTAAAAAAAAAAGCACTAAATGTATTGAATTTTCTATTACGTGCCACATGCTAAATATTTAAATAACTTACAACAGATATTATTTACTGGAGACTTAATTTGTTGTATATCAAATGAGGATGCAGCTACCTCTCTATTAGTAAGGATGAATGAAGAGTTATCTAGATACTATTGTGTGTAGAGATTTGACAAAGGTATGGTGGCAAGTACTAATATGTCCCAGGGATCAACGGTTTGCTGGATGCATACTACACAGAGTGATATGGAAAACCATGTAGCTGGACCTAAAGTTTAATTTTCTCTGTACACTCCACTCATGTTGTCTGGAAATATTATGTCTTTGGGCCATATTTAACTGTGAGAAGCAGATTTTTACATGAAAGAAAATGTTGATCCATATGATGAGCCTCTAAAAAAACTTGCTTCTGCCCACACTGAACCAAATGGCAGCATGAATGGAAAAGAAGTTTTTTCTGCACTGGTTCATAGAACATGTGTTCTCCCTTTTGTTTCACAGGAAGATGCTGCATGGTTCTTGTTTTGGAGATGTCATTGACACTGTGCAAATCAGTGTACTAGGTGCCAGGGGAAAATTCTATAGTCATATTTCTTTTAAAATTTCCAATATGCTACCATGATACATGGCAAATTCCCAACTTTTCACAGCTCTAAAGCCAGACAGCATGTGTGTGTGTGGTGAGGACATGAGGCTATGGATGGGGAGTATCTTAAGGGCAGGAATCAGGTCAGTGGCATCTCTTCTCAAGCCCCACCTATACACAAAGGCTCACTGTAAGAATTAAAGAAAGAGGAAAGAAACACGAATGGTGGCTCACCAGTCAAGACAGATTTTAGAGAAAACAAACCTGAGAGGAGTTTCTGGCCGAGTTAAGTCAGAGGCACACTCTCTTACAGACTAAGAGTTTTTAAGGATTTAGGGTGGGAGAGTTTATCAGAGACTTGGACTGCTTCTGAGTCTCTTTGTTGTGCTTATCTGGGAGAGAGAGGTGTGTGTCTGTACCCATACATCTTTCTGCAGCTACAGGCATACCCACTGAGTCTGCTTTTAGCTTCCCTATCTTAGTGCACCTGAAGGGAAAGGAATTTGCTTATTAAGGCCCACTGTTTTACTAGGGCCATTGTATGAGGGTGAAGTTTGGCAGTAACTCAAGAGACTCTCCCCCTACCTCCCTCTGTGCCCGAGCTGTCTTATCTGTGTTTCACTGTCTGCTCTTTCTGGTTGCTTGTAGTTAGCAGAGAAGTGATTTCCTTGAAATGCATGAGGCTAGAAAGGAAATTGGAACTTAAAGAGGCAGTGTTTCTCCGAGATGACGGTGCTCCTGCTCTGTCACTCACTATATCTTTAGTGAATGAATGAATAAATGAATGGCTGCCACCTTCACTTTACCTAGGACTCTTCTTTGTTTCTCTGCCCCAGACACTCACACGGACCCTATAGAATCCTATATCCTGCTGGACTAAACACCCCATGGATCTAGGTGAGGCTGCGACTCGGGCCAGGCCAGCAGTGATCAGCCCTGGTGTAAACAGTTGTGCACAGAAAAGCACCTCAGAGTGGAAGGACTTTAGACATGGGGTTCGCATGTCTCAGATGGCCCTGAAGGTACTGATCCAGGCTCTGGTGCTCCTGGAAGGCAAGACTCAGATTCTGCTCCATCTCCTCCCATCTCTGGGCGGGTCTCTGGCATCTCTGGCCCATGAGGGTCAATCTGTGTGGAGGGGACAAGCTCTGAGCATGTGTGGGTCTGAGGTTCCTCTTCCATGCAGGGCTGAGGTCTCCTGCTCCTCCCCAGCTTCCTGTCCGGCCCTGTAGTCCTTCCCCTCCACTCCCTTCCTCTTTTCTGCTCACACAGGAAGCCCTGGAAGCTGCTTCCTCAGACATGCCGCTGCTGCTACTGCTGCCCCTGCTGTGGGCAGGTGAGTGGCTGTGGGGAGAGGGGTTGTCGGGCTGGGCCGAGCTGACCCTCGTTTCCCCACAGGGGCCCTGGCTATGGATCCAAATTTCTGGCTGCAAGTGCAGGAGTCAGTGACGGTACAGGAGGGTTTGTGCGTCCTCGTGCCCTGCACTTTCTTCCATCCCATACCCTACTACGACAAGAACTCCCCAGTTCATGGTTACTGGTTCCGGGAAGGAGCCATTATATCCAGGGACTCTCCAGTGGCCACAAACAAGCTAGATCAAGAAGTACAGGAGGAGACTCAGGGCAGATTCCGCCTCCTTGGGGATCCCAGTAGGAACAACTGCTCCCTGAGCATCGTAGACGCCAGGAGGAGGGATAATGGTTCATACTTCTTTCGGATGGAGAGAGGAAGTACCAAATACAGTTACAAATCTCCCCAGCTCTCTGTGCATGTGACAGGTGAGGCACAGGCTTCAGAAGTGGCCGCAAGGGAAGTTCATGGGTACTGCAGGGCAGGGCTGGGATGGGACCCTGGTACTGGGAGGGGTTTAGGGGTAAAGCCTGTCGTGCTTAGCGGGGGAGCTTGACCAGAGGTTGATCTTCTCTCAGGCCCTCACCTGGACCCTCCCTCCTGATTCTGCATCCCCTCTTTCTCCTCACTAGACTTGACCCACAGGCCCAAAATCCTCATCCCTGGCACTCTAGAACCCGGCCACTCCAAAAACCTGACCTGCTCTGTGTCCTGGGCCTGTGAGCAGGGAACACCCCCGATCTTCTCCTGGTTGTCAGCTGCCCCCACCTCCCTGGGCCCCAGGACTACTCACTCCTCGGTGCTCATAATCACCCCACGGCCCCAGGACCACGGCACCAACCTGACCTGTCAGGTGAAGTTCGCTGGAGCTGGTGTGACTACGGAGAGAACCATCCAGCTCAACGTCACCTGTAAGTGCTGGGCCAGGATGCTGGGGTCCCTGAGGGTGTAGGGGAGACAGGATGGGCTGGTGCTGGGGACATTTAGTGTCCTGGAGGCCTGGCTGAGTTCGGGAGCCAGAAGGACATGAGCCCTGTCCCTTCTGCATTTCTGTGGTTTCTGGCAGGAGTAAGGGGAAATGCCTACCCTTATCTCATCTCTACCCCCAACTGAAGGAAATCCTCTCTTCCTCTCCTAGATGTTCCACAGAACCCAACAACTGGTATCTTTCCAGGAGATGGCTCAGGTAGGAAGGAGCCTCCCCGCCTGGGGCTGTTACTGACATTGAGTCTGTGTCAGGTTTGGTCAGATCTGGACTTTCAGAGTCAAATGTTCAGAGGCAAGGCCTGCAGTTAGACACGGGTAGACATCAGGCACCTTGGAAAAGGATATTTGGGGATGACTAGCAACTTCCCCCTTGCCCATCCAAATAATGCTCTTTGTCTCCCTCCTGTCTCTGAATGTCTTGGGGTATTTTATTTTTAATTGATATGTAATAATAGTACATATTTATGGATGGCATAGTGATGTTTCCATACTAATAATGTATAGTAATCAGATCAGGGTAATAGCATATCCATCATCTTGAACATTTATTATTTCATTGTTGTTGGGAACATTCAATATCCCCTTTCTAGCTATTTGAAGCTATCTATTATTGTTAAGCATAGTCATCCTACAGTGGTATAGAACACCAGAACTTATTCTTCCTTTCCAGGTGTAATCTAGTATCCTTTAACAAATCTCTCTCCTTATCATTGTTCCCCTAACCTTCCCAGCCCTTATTATTCTCTGTTCTACTTTTTACTTCTATGAAATCAACTTCTTGTAGCTTCCACTTATGAGTGAGAACATGTGGTATTCAACTTTCTGTTCCTAGCTTATTTCATTTAACATAATGTCCTCTAGTTCAATCTATGTTATAGTGAATAACAAGATTTCATTATTTTTTATGGCTGAATGATAATCCATTGTGTATATACGCCACATTTCCTTTATTTATTCATCTGTTGTTGGACACTTAGGTTTATTTCATATCTTCCTATTGTGGATAATGCTGCAATAAACATTGAGGTGCAGACGTTTCTTCAATATACTGATTTCCTTTCCTTTCTATAAATGCCCAGTAGTGGGGTTGCTGGATCATATGGTAGTTCTATTTGTAGTTTTTTGAGAAACTTCCATACTCTTCTCCATAGTGGTTATACTAGTTTACATTCTGGTCAAAAGTATATAAGAGTTCCCTCTTCTCTACATCCTCACCATCATTTGTTAATTTTCATCTTTTTTTTATCATAGTCCTCCCAACTGGGGTGATGTTACCTCATTGTGGTTTTGATTTGCATTTCCCTGGTGATTGGTGACGTTGAGCATTTTTCATATACACTTGTTGGCCATCTGTATATCTTTTCTTGAGAAATGTCTACTCAGATAATTTGCCCATTTTTAAATGAGATTGGGTTTCTTTGCCATTGAGATGTATGAGTTCCTCGTATGTTCTGGATATGAATCACTTGTCAGATGAATAGCTGACAAATATTTTCTCCTATTCTGTAGGTTGCCTTTTCACTCTGTTGGTTGTTTCCTTTCTGCATAGAAGCTTTTTAGCTTGATATCATCTCATTTATTTACTTTTGCTTTTGTTGCTTGTGCTAGTGAGGTCTTACTCATAAAATATTTTTCCAGACCAATGTCCTAAAGCATTTCCCCTATGTTTTTTTCTAGTATTTTTTAAATTTTGTGTCTTATATTCAGGTCTTTGATCCATTTTGAATTGATTTTTGTATAGGACGAGAGGTGTGAGTCTAATGTCATTCTTCTGCATATGGCACCAGTTTTCCCAGCATCATTTATTAAAGAAACTGCTCTTTCCTCAATGAGTGTTCTTCATGCATTTGTCAAAATTCAGTTGGCTGTAGATCGTGGATTAATTTCGGTGTTCTCTATTATGTATTATTGGTGTATGTATCTGCTTTTATGCCAATATCATGCTGTTTTGGTTACTACAGCTTTGTAGTTTTGAAATCTTTAAATTTTTGAAATTTTGAAATTTTCTAGTTTTGAAATTTTGAAATCTTGTAGTGTGATACCTCCAGCTTTGTTCTTTTTTGCTTGGGATTGCTTTGACCATTCAGGCTATTTTTAGTTCCATATGAATTTTAAGATTGTTTCCTCTAATTCTGTGAAGAATTACATTGATATTTTGATAGAGCCAGGTTTGAATCTGTAGATTTCTTTGGGTAGTATAATCATTTTAGCAATATTAATTCATCTGATGAGTAAGGAATGTCTTTCCATTTGTTTGTATCCTCTTCAGTTTATTTCCTCAGTGTTTTGTAGTTTTTCTTATTAAGGCTTGTCACCTCCTTGGTTAAATTTATTCCTAGGTATACTTCATTCTCTTATAGCTATTGTAAATGTGATTGCCTTCCTGATTTATTTTCAGCTAATTCATTGTGTGTAGAAATGCTACTGATTTTTGTATATTGATTTTGCATCCTGCAAATTTACTAAATTCATTTATCAGTTCTGAGAGTTTTATTGTTAGAGTCTTTAGGTTTTTGTTTTGTTTTGTTTTGTTTTGTTTTGTTTTTGAGATGGAATTTCACCATGTTGGCCAAGCTGGTCTTGATCTCCTGGCCTCAAGCAATCTGCCCACTTTGGCCTCCTAAAGTGCTGGAATTACAGGCATGAGCCACCACGCCTGGCCAAGTCTTTAGGTTTTTGTATGTTATTTGCAGAGACAATTTGACTTCCGCCTTTCCAGTTTGGATGGTTTTTATTTCTTTCTCTTGCCTAATTGCTCTGGCTAGGACTTTCAGTACTATGTAAAATAAGAGTCATAACAGTGGACATCCAGTTCCTAGAGGAAAAGATTTCAGCTTTTCTCCATTCAGTATGATGTTAGCCATGGGTTTGTCATATATGGCCTTTTTTGTGTTGAGGTACTTTCCTTCTATACCTAATTTATTGAGAGTTTCTATCATGAAACAATATTGAATTTTAACACATGCTTTTTATTCTGCAACTATTTAGGTGATCATACGGTTTATGTCCTTCATTCTGTTGACATATGTATAACATTTATTGATTTGCATATGTTGAATCATTCTTGCCTTTCTGGGATTAATCCCACTTTATCATGGTATGTTATCTTTTTGATGTATTGTTGGATTTGATTTGCTACTATTTTGTTGAATATTTTTGCATCTATGTTCATCAGGGATATTGGCCTCTAGTTTTCTTTTTTTATTGTCTCCTTTCTGATTTTGGTGTCATGGTTATGCTGGCCTTGTAGAATGAGTTAGGAAGAGTTGCCTCCACTTCAATTTTTTGGAATAGTTTGAGAAGAGTTGGCATAATTTTTTTTTCTTTAAAGGTTCAGTAAAGTTCAGCACTGAAGCCATCCAGCCCTGGAATTTTCTTTGTTGGGGGGCCTTTTATTATTCATTCAATCTCATTACTTGTTGTTTGTCTGCTGAAGTTTTCTATACCTTCTTGATTCAATCTCGGTAGATTATATGTGTCCAGGAACTTATCCATTTCTTCTAGACTTTCAAATTTGTTGGCATATTGTTCATAGTAGTGTCTAAGATCCTGTGTATTTCTGTGGTAACCATTGTGACATCTTCTTTTTTATTTATGATTTTATTAATTTTTATGTCTTCTGTCTCTTTCTTAGTTTAGCTAATGATTGTCAATTTTATTTATTTTTCCAAAAAGCGAACTTGTTCATTGATTTTTTTTTAATTTCATTTATTTCTGCTCTGATCTTTATGATTTCTTTCATTGTGCTGATTTTGGATTTGGTTTGTTCTTGCTTTCTAGTTTCTTGAAATGCACAGTTAAATGGTTTACTTGAAATTTGTCTAATTGTTTGATGTAGGCATTTATTTCTCTCAAGTTGTCTCTTAAAACTGTTTTTGCTGTGTCCCATAGGTTTTGGTATATTTTATTTCTATTTTTATTTATTTTGAGAAATTTTTAAATATCATTCTTAATTTCTTCCTTCACTATTGGTCATTTAGAATCATTTTGTTTCATTTCTGTGTATTTGTATAGTTTGCATGTTTCCCTTGGTATTGATTTTTAGTTTTATTCAATTGTAGTCAAATAAGATACTTGATACATTTTGGTTTTTAAAAATTTTTGGCACTTGTTTTGTGTTCTAACATATGGTCGATCCTTGGGAATGTTGCACATGCTGATGAAACCATGTGTATTCTGCAGCTGTCGGTTGAAATGTTCTGTAAATATCTTAGGTTCATTTGGTATATGGTGCAGTTTAAATCCAACGTTTATTTGTTAATCTTGTCTAGATGATTTGTTCAATGCTGAGAGTGGGGCGTTGAAGTCCTCAACTATTATTGTATTGGAGTCTATCTCTCCCTTTATATCTAATAATATTTGCTTTACATATCTGGGTGCTCTGGTGTTGTGTGCATATGTATTTACAGTTGTTATATTATAGTGCTGAACTGACCCCTTTATAATAATATAATGTCCTTCTTTGTCTCTTTACAGCTTTTGACTTGTAGTCCGTTTTGTCTGAGATAAGTATAGCTATTCCTGCTTCCTTTCATTTCCACTTGGGTAGAATATCTTTTTCCATCTCTTCCTTTTCAGTCTATGTGTGTCTTCTAGGTGAGATAAGTTTCTTGTAAGCAGTATATAGCTGTGTTGGTAGAAGGGCTGAGGCAGGGCTTGCTTGTCTGACATAATGTAAAAGAGTCTTGGAACATGTCCTGGGTCCAGGGTCTCAAACCCCTCGTGGCCTATGGAACACCAAGCTCTGTGCCTAAGGGTGGAAGGCTGCCCTGCCACACTGCAATCTAAGCCCAGGGCATAAAACCCCTCGTGGCTTGGAAAGAATCCAGGGCTCTGGGCATAAAACCCCTCATAGCCTCTGGAATGTGTCCAGACTTGCTGGCCCCTTGCTCCTTGCTCTCCCAGGATCATAAATTGATTGTATCTTGAGTGAAAAGAACTTGTTCTCCATTATTTCAAGTAGCAGAGCATATGCTAAACCGTCACAGCTATGCTTGATGCACCGCTACCTTTCTACCCCAAAGTCCTCACGTTCTCACTTGTCTATCCCCACTTCTGCACGTCCTCACCACCTGCTTCTTTGTTTGATTACCAATAAATAGTGTGGGCTCCCAGAGCTCGGGGCCTTCACAGCCTCCATACTAGCGTCGGCCCCCTGGACTCACTTTATGTACTATTAACTTGTCTTGTCTCATTCCTTTGACTCCGCTGGACTTCGTGGCCCCCACGGCCTAGTGTTGGATCTGATCACCCCAACAAGCTGAGTCTAGATTTTCTTTTCATTCATTCAGGCAGTCCATATATTTTAAATGGGACAATTTAATCCATTTACATACACATTATTATTAATAGGTTATTTTCATTTCATTGATTGTTTTCTGATTGTTTTATATATTCCTGGTTCCTTACTTCCCCTCTTATTGTTTCTTTTTGTGGTTGGCTGATGTTTTTTTTTTTTTTGTAGTGATAAGATTTGATTCCTTTCTCTTTCTTCTTTGTGTATGGGCTGTCAGTGAGTTTTAAGTTCACGTGTTTTTGCCTTTTCACTTCCAGATGTAAGACTCCCTTGAGCATTTCTTTTCTTTTTCTTCTCTTATTTATTTTTATTATTTTTTTTTTGAGAAAGTGTCTCACTCTGTCGCCCAGGCAGGAGTGCAGTGGCATGATCACGGCTCACTATAGTCTCGACCTCCTGGGCTTAAGCAATCTTCCTGCCTTAACCTCCCAAGTAGCTGGGACTACAGGCATGTGCCACCACGCCCAGCTAATTTTTGTGTTTCTTGTAGAGGTAGGGTGTTGCCATTTGCCTAAGCTGGTCTCAAATTAAAGAGCTCAAGTGGTCCACCTGCCTGCCTTCACCTCCCAATGTGCTGGGATTATAGGCATGAGCCACACTGTGCCTGGCCCCTTGAGCATTTCTTGTAAGGCCAGTCTAAGAGTGATTAGAATTCCCTTAGTTTTTGCTTATCTATGAAATATTTTATTTCTCCTTCTTTTCTGAAAGATAGCTTTTCTGGGTATAGTATTTTTGACTGTTAAGTTTTTTATCTTTCAGTACTTTGAGTATGTCATCCCATTCTATCCTGGCCTATATAATGTTACTGCTGAGAAACTCACTGTTAGTCTAATAAGGATAATCCTATATGTGACTAGATACTTTTACCTTGCTGTTTTTACAATTCTTTACTTGACTTTTGACAATTTGGCATAATGAGCTTTGGAGAGGACTTGCTTGGGTTGAATATTTTGAGAGTACTTTGAGCTTCCTGGACCTGGATGTCCTTCTAGTTCCCAAGGCTTGGGAAGTTTTCACCTATTACTGGATTAAATATGTTTTCTACACCTTTTCCATTCTCTTCTCCTCCTGGAAATACCATAATGTGAATATTTGCTTGATTGTGTCCCATGAGTCCTGTAGGTTTCCTTCGTTCTATTTTATTCTCTTATTTTTACCTGCCTGTGTTATTTCAGAAGATCTGTCTTCAAGTTCAGAAATTATTTTTTCTTCTTGACCTAGCCTGTTGTTGAAGCTCTCGATTGCGGTTTTTTATTTCATTTATTGAGTTCTCAGCTGTAGGAGTTCTGCTTTGTTCTTTTATATAATATCTATCTCTCTGTTAAATTTCTCTTTCAAGTCATGAATTAAAACAATGGGACACAGGTGCCCAACTACTTGGCTGACCTGGGGGCATATCTGCTGGAGGTGCCAACATGGCTGTTTTGCAGGGCTGAGATGAAGCTGAATGACTCTTGGCTGGCCTAGGTGTGTTTTTGCCAGGAGTAGCACTCAGAGCTTTATCTAGGGTTTGGGATGTGAGTGTAAGACTGCTCAGCTGGCCTAGGGGGTGTACCAGCCAGTGGTAGCCCATGGGGCTGTTTCTCAGGCCTGGAATGCAAGCACATTCTGCCTGGGGTCATGTCTAAAAGGGTTGGCTCACAAGGCTGTTTCTCAGGCCCTAATTGTGGGAGAGTGGCCTTTGGGCAGGCCAGAGTCATGTCCACAGAAGGCGTCTGGGCACCGTAAGGCTGTTTCTCAGAGCCTGTGTGTGAGCACATAACCACTACCCCAGCCTGGGGATGTATCAACTCTTTGTTGGCTCAGAGGTCTCTCCCATTCAGGTGAGCATGCACAGTAGTTTGGCCAACTCAATTGTGTGTTCGCCCTGAGTGGGACTATAAGACCTTTCCTCCAGCTGGAAGTACGGGCAGCAGGGGTTGGTTTCTCTGCTGTTCAGGGCCAGAGTCCCAGCCAATCCTGGGCCCAGGCTCCATGCAGCTCTAATTGTGGTATTCAGCCACTACTGCAGGTTTAGTGGAATGAAGATGCACAATGATAAAGAGGTGCATGCCACTGGCCCCCAGAGGAGGGTGCACTCCAGAGATGGCTGTGGTCTCAAGATGGTTCTGTGTTGTAGCAGCTTGCCCGCAGGGGCTGGTTAGGGAGTTGGGAGTGCACACCAAATGCTCCATGCAGCTGTGTGAATTCCTGGCAGCTCTTCCAACTGTGCTCAGAGCTTGTGAGGACTGTAAGATTAACCTGTAGTAAGGAATGTAGGTATCTGCAGTGGCACTGGAGGTTGGTTGGATTCCTCTGCTTATCATTTCCCTACAAGGGGAAATCCTTCCTGTCTCTGGGACAAACCAATCTGGGCTGGGGAGATGGAGCTGCAAAGCCCGGGTGCCTCCATGCTGCCCTCCTGGGTTTCCAATTACCACAGGTAACTCTCCACTCCCTTGCTGCACTACACTACTCTCCCTTCGACACTCCACTCAAATCTTTGCTGTGGTTTATTCATTGCCTTGGTCCTTTCTTGTCTGGTGACACGGGGGAGGATGAGCTCCAGGCACCTCCGGTGAGCCATTTTGCTCCAATGGGGGCATTTTTTTTTAATAGGTTTTATTTTTCAGAGTAGTTTTTGTTTCACAGCAAAATTGAGTGGAATCTTCTAGTCGCTGATCATCTTGGGAGCATTTATAAATGAACCTTATTTTTCATGAAGAAATTGAGCAGAAGATACTAAGACTTCCCGTATGCCCTCTACCCTTACACATAGTTTCCCCGGCCATCAGCATCCCCCATCAGAGTGGTACATTTGTTACAGTCAATAAAACTACATTGACATATCATTGTCACCTGAAGCCCATAGTTTACATTAAAGTTCACTCTTGGTGTTGTACATTTTACAGGCTTTTTAAAAATGTATAATGACATGAATCCACCATGAGAGTATCATATAGAATAGTCACACTTCCCTAAAAATCTCTTTAGGGCATTTTTTTCTACTGTCCATACCTCAACCCTTAGCCCTGGCCTCTGTCCAAAGACCAGTGCTCTCTCCACTGCCCTATTCCAATTAATAATGGCATCTGGCACCTCAGTGGACAGTGAGCCCAGTGAGAGCAGGAACAGTTCCCTCAGTAGTGGTTATCAAACTGTTAACAATGATGCTCAGAGACACGCCCCTGACTCTGAGTGTTGGGACCTAGAAGGCACAGCCAGGCAGGTCCAGGAGAACTGTCTGGGTCTAAGAAGGTCTGAGAACCACCTCCCTGCCCCACCCTGCTTCCAGGCCCTTTTTAAGGCCAAAAGGACCACCTTTGACCCTAAGTGATGGGGCCAGTGGGAAGAAAGAAGAGACAAGGCCTATCAGCATTCCAGTGCTTTCTCTCTCTCTCATCCAAGAGGCTCAGAGCTTCACAGTCCTTCAGGGGCTATGTCTGAGGTTCATTTCAGAAAGACCCAGGGTGGAGAGGAACCTGAGTCCTAGGAGAGATGATGTTTTGTGCACCAGAGAGAGAGGGTGGGACAAGAGGTGTCAGGTGCACTGTGTACTTCATCTCATGGTCGTGGTCAATATTGATGTCTATGATGGGTGGGAAGATCTAGGAGCTAAACCCCATTTTGGAGGTGAAGTCACCCCTCTCTACATGCTGGAGAGGAGGATACACATACCTGTTTATCTAGATTAGAATTCACCCCAAATCTTTTTTGTCTGCAGGGAAACAAGAGACCAGAGCAGGAGTGGTTCATGGGGCCATTGGAGGAGCTGGTGTTACAGCCCTGCTCGCTCTTTGTCTCTGCCTCATCTTCTTCATGTGAGCATTTTCTCTGGGTCAGGCATGGGCCAGAGGTGAAGAGGATGGACCTGGTGTAGAAGGGTCCTGGAGGGGCTGTGAGGGCTGGAGAAAGGGCAGGGGGTGTGATGATGTACAGAATCCAGCCTGTGGCCACTGGGATAGGCGTGGGTCTATTCCAGGGCCCTGATCTCAGATGTCCAAGGAGTGGGAGGTAGAGGGAGACCTTGTGACTAAGTCTTGTTTGAGGGCTCCTGGATTAATCCCACCCTTTACCTGCCAAAGTCCCTCATTCCAGGCTCATAACAATGGCCCCACAGCCTGAGAAAACCAGGCTCAAAGACCCTGGTGTCTCCCATCAGAGTGAAGACCCACAGGAGGAAAGCAGCCAGGACAGCAGTGGGCAGGAATGACACCCACCCTACCACAGGGTCAGCCTCCCCGGTGAGTGATGGGGCATCCTGGCATCCAGTCTGTCCTGCAGACACCTCCTCCCAATGTGGCCCACCGTCATGCCCCATTCAGCATTTCCAGAACTGAGCTTATTGTCTTTCCTCCTGTTTAACAGTGTAGGTTTTAATATTTTTCAGGTACGTTGAGGCCAACAGATCAGGAGATGATGGCCATTGAAAAGATAGTTTCTTGGCCGGGCACAGTGTTTCACACCTGCAATCCCAGCACCTTTGGAGGCCAAGGCGGGCGGATCACGAGGTCAGGAGATTGAGACTATCCTGGCTAACATGGTGAAACCCCGTCTCTACTAAAAATACAAAAAATTAGCCAGATGTGGTGGCTGGCGCCTGTAGTCCCAGCTACTTGGGAGGCTGAGGCAGGAGAATGGTATGAACCCGGGAGGCAGAGCTTGTAGTGAGCCGACATAGCACCACTGCACTCCAGCCTGGGTGACAGAGAGAGACTCTGTCCCAAAAAGAAAAAAAAAATAGTTTCTTATTCACCGTTCCCGAGAGGGCACACCACACCATGCAAGGCCATATGGAGAAGCACCAGGGTCAGTCAGGAAGCAGAGGGAGCAAGGAGAAAATGGGACAAGAGCCTTCACTGTGGCTTTCATGGAAAAGAATGGGCAAGACAGGGTAAGCAAGCTAGGCAGGTTTAGGATTGGCTACTTAGAACAATTTCAGCAGACTCTGGGGTATAGGAGTTGTCTCTAGTTGTCTGGTACATGGCCCTGGGTTTATTAAGGAGGATTGTGGTCTGGAGTGTAAGAGCTCAATAAAGGATCCAGCTGGTAGTGTGGGCTTTAGATTGACTGGTTTGCACATGAAAGGTGCACTTGTATGCAAGTCCTTTATTAGCTCTAGAAATCTACTATCCTTGGGAAAGGCAGTCTCTCAAGGGTCAGTAATGCCCCAGATGTCAAAACATCAGAAACACTTGGTTGACACACCCCTAAACATACTTCTCCTGATGGGTTCTCCATCTCGCTGATGGCACTCTTGTCCCCATTACCCAACCAGAGACATGGCCCCCTCCTGTCCCAGTCCTCCATCTCTTCCTGTGCCAGTATGCTACGATGCATGTCTGAGCTTCCTCTGAACACGGCTTAACACAACCACTCCTGAGCCGAGAGCCCCTCTTACTCCTTATTCTGCTGCAGCCTCACCTCCCATTTCTCCTCTCCAGAACATTAGCATCACCTCCCTAAAAGGTCATTGTCCCATCATTCCCAAGTTTGAAATGCACTGCTTCTCTACACTCCTGAAAGATTGGCATTCCAACAACTTGGTCTGGCATTTGGAGCAGGAAAACCAGAGTCCCCTTCAGTGCTATGCTCCCCCAACATTAGCCACTCAATCACCTCAAGCAGGGCAAGCTTTCTCATCTCAGAATCATTGCTGGGCTGTCCCCTCCTCCTCATATGCCTAATAGCTACCTGCCCAACTCCAGTGCATCCTTCAAGCTCTGATTTTTTTTTTAATTTATTTAACTCTGACTAAAGTGAACACCACAGTAAAGTTTTTGAACACAGGGTCAACCAGCACCCATTCATTCTGAAATATCTATATAATCCCATTTGCCAATTGCTCTAGGTCCTTGTGCCATTCTGTATTTTTATAAACACACAGTTTACAAATATAAAATATTCCTCCTATCGGGGGCTTAACATTTATTGGGGAAAGGGATGAAAATAATGAACAAATAAGCAGTGCAAATATACATGAAATAGGCATGAAATAAGTGCTATGGCAGGAAATGAAATGGGAGAACGGATTGGACAGTCCTGGGGGCCAAAGAATGGCCTTTGGGCAAACACCTGCAGAAAGAAAGTGAGTACAGTATGAGCAGTAGAGAATCATCAAGGAAGCAGCAAGTACCATGGCTCTGAGGCCGGAACACATCTGATGTTTTAGAGAAACAAAGTAGGACAGTGTGGATAAGGCAGAGTTACGTGTTGGGGGTGGAGTGTGGACTGAACAATGGTAGGTAGGAAATGAGGTTGAAGAGACATAGGAGCTGCAAATATTGCAGGATCCTAAGTCCATCATAGTTATTGATGCGTTTAGAGCAGAAGAGTGACATGAACTGACACTCATTTTAGTGGGAGTCACTCTGGCTGCTCTGTGAGAAACTCTAGTATGTAGTATAGAAGAGAAGATACCAGAATAGAAGATACACAGATAATCAAGCCAAGAGATGACTGACTCAGACTTAGTCCCAAGTAAGAATAATGAATCTGATGTGGAGAAATTGGGTTCCGGATACATCTTGAAGGTGGAGTCAACAGTATTTGCAAGTGGAGTGATGGAGTGCATGCAAGGCATGAGCAAAGATAGCTCACGGGCTCTGCTCGATAAGTGTCTCAGATGTCATAGGTGGGTCCACAGATATCATAGATGTCATGGATGTCCAAGAAGACCCCATAGATGTCATAGATGTCTATAGATGCCAATGATGATGTTCATGTGGTTAACTCAGAATTCAAACTTAAAAAATCAAATTGCCAATGATTAAAATTGCCATCCTTGAAGGAGAAGTCTATTTTCAAGTGTATATCAAACATTATTTTGGTTACCGTAAGTTTGAGGTGCCTCTGAGACATCCATGTGGAGATGACAAGTAGCAGGCAAGTGTCTGGAGCTCAGAAGAGGGCTCCACGTGGGAGACACAGAGGTTGGGAGCTTCCCTATCAACATCCAATAATCGATGAATCTACAAAGAAGAGAAGGGGTCCACAGACACAGCCCTGGAACCCTCCAGCATTTAATGTTAGGGAGATGAGGTGTAAATGGTGAGAAAGCTGAGAATGAATAGGAGCCAATGACCAGGAAATTGCAGGCTGTAGTGTTGGTGGCCAAGGGAAGATGGGGCTTCATGGAGGAGAGGTTGGTCATTTGTTTCAAATGCTGGTAAGTCTGGTAAGATGGAATCTGAGAAATGGCTATTTGAATGTAGCTAAGTGGTATGACAGCAAAGCAGATCTGATTTTTCTGCTGGAGGAAGATCTCTTGACTAGAGAGAGTTCAAGAGAGAATGGGAGGAGAAGAGGCAGAAACTGTGAGTTGAAGGACTCTTTTGAGAAACACTGCCCCAAATCTAGAACCAAGAAATGGGCCTGCACCAGCAAATGGTTGTACCCTGTAGACTTGCCATTTCTCCAGCATCTGCTCCTGTGTCTCTTATGATACCATGTTCCCTGTTTGTGTAGGGCTTTGCACCACTTGAACTAACTGCATTCCCATAGCTTCCCCTACCACACCATGAGCTCCACAAGGAAAAGCCTGGGTTTTATTAGACCTCCATCATTCTACTCTCTCCTGTTCATCTGCACACTGTCACAATTTGCAATTACCAGTCTGTTTCTGTCTTCATCCCCTGCAGTACTGGAAATCACAGGGCCCCTGCTCTGCTCTGCTCCCTCCTGAGGATCCAGTGCCCAGCACATAGGAGGTCCCAGAGACCTGGGACCGAGTTCAGGGTCAACAGATGTGTGACTTTGGAAATTACCTAAGCTCTCTGAGACCTAGTTTCCTGGTCTGTAAAATGGATTAAAATAATAGATGCCAAAGATGATGTCAGTGTAGCTGCCCAGAATTTTTCCACATTAGTCTCTGTGAGTATTCAAGAGAATTGCGAATCAATCAATACGTGCTACATGTGTTAGATAATGAATAAGTAGAGCCTTAATTAATTAACATTTGATGAAAGAATGAAAGAGTGAATAAATGTTCTGTCAGAGTCAAATTTACTTCATTGACCCTCTTTGCCTTCTCCTGGTCCCCCTCCTCACTGCCCTGCTCTAACCCCCTTCTTTCCTCTCCATAAGAAACACCAGAAGAAGTCCAAGTTACATGGCCCCACTGAAACCTCAAGCTGTTCAGGTGCCGCCCCTACTGTGGAGATGGATGAGGAGCTGCATTATGCTTCCCTCAACTTTCATGGGATGAATCCTTCCAAGGACACCTCCACCGAATACTCAGAGGTCAGGACCCAGTGAGGAACCCACAAGAGCATCAGGCTCAGCTAGAAGATCCACATCCTCTACAGGTCGGGGACCAAAGGCTGATTCTTGGAGATTTAACACCCCACAGGCAATGGGTTTATAGACATTATGTGAGTTTCCTGCTATATTAACATCATCTTAGACTTTGCAAGCAGAGAGTCGTGGAATCAAATCTGTGCTCTTTCATTTGCTAAGTGTATGATGTCACACAAGCTCCTTAACCTTCCATGTCTCCATTTTCTTCTCTGTGAAGTAGGTATAAGAAGTCCTATCTCATAGGGATGCTGTGAGCATTAAATAAAGGTACACATGGAAAACACCAGTCCTGGTGCAGTGAGAGTTCGGTGCATACTGGTTCCTTCCCCCTTGAACAGAAGTCATTAGTGATATTTGATCTCTGGAACTATATCAGCAACATGTCCATCTCACTTGCTGCTCAAAACCCCACCATATATGTCTTCCCTGACTTACCCTCCAACATCATCTCTCTCCACTCCTGAATCTTCTCTTTTCATCTCACCTGTCCCCTACTCGGATTTCTGCTTTCTTTATGTCCTGCTACAGGGAAAATCACATATTAGCATTTGGGGAATTTTCTAAAACTCAGAGCTGACCATAGTGAAAATAGTTCCCTAGATCCCCAACCCACAGGAATAATTTGAAGCTTCTCAATGTGACATTCTAAGTCAGAGATGGTCAACCAGTATTAGCAAAGGGCCAGATAGTAAACATGTTCAGTTTTGCAAGCAATGTGGTCTCTATTGCAACTATTTAATTCCGCCATTGTAGCAACAAAGCAGCCACAGACAATCTGAAAATGAATTATATGGCCATGTTCCGACAAAATGCTATTTATCAGAACAGGCAGCCCACGGGCTGTGGTGTGCTGACCTCTATTCTATGTTGCTCTGAATCTCGCTCAGTCTACTCTTCCATTGCCACATCCTACACTCTATGGACCCCATTCTAATGCATTCCTCCCTGTCTGTTTGAATCCACATCCCTCTTCCAAGAAGGGCTGTCACCATGTCATCATCGGGCACCATCTTTTTATCCTTCCAAATGACCTCAAAGGTAGATGTCTAAATTGAGATGGCAGAAAGAAGCTCACAATCATCCTCCCAAAAAGCCTAATTAAAATGATAAAAATCAGTTTAAGAAAACCAGCCCCAAATTCATCAGCAGCACCCAAACCATTACAGGGGGTGAAAGCATTATGCCATAAGCTCACAATACCCTTTAGATAAACAAATGGAAGATTCTGGTGTTGCGGTGGCTCACGCCTGCAATTCCAACACTTTGGGAGGCCAAGCCCGAACCCTGCTAGGCTGTGCCCGCCTCCGCCTCCCCTGCCCATGGGAGTGGCGGGTGCCCCTCCAGGGTCCACCTCACCCAGCCCAGACCCCCAGGGTGCTCTGCCCCATAGATGGGAGGCAACTGCCCAGGGTGCAGGGGCAGTGAGGGCGCTGCTGGCTGAGGGACATGCCCCATCCTGGGGAGGGAGGGTGAGTGTGTCAGGGAGGGGACAGCCCTGCAGTTGTCAGAGGTGGGGCTGGAGCAGCACAGGTTTCCTCTGGTTACAAACTACTCCTAGGTGCATACCTAACAGAAATGCATACAAATGTTCTTCAAATATACAGAAGAATGTTCATAGCAGCACTAATTGTAATGACTGAAAATAAAACCTACCCAATACCAATCAACAGTAATACAGATAAATAAATTATGGATTATTTCTGCAATGGAAGAAGCAAATAATGACTCCATACAACATGTATGAATCTTAGAAATATAATGTTGAGTGAAAGAACCCAGATACAGAAAGTACATACTATGTGATGTACTTGATACAAGGTTTAGAAACACACATAACTAATCTTTGGTGTTCAAAGTCCAGATACTGGTGACTAGTGGGGCGGAGGTCAGGGGCTGGTGGTTAGTAACGACTAGAAGGGGGCATTAGGGAGTTCTGGGAGATTCTGGTAAGGATCTGTTCTTTGGGGATTTTGTTTGTTTGTTTTTGTTTTGTTTTTGAGACAGAATCTCTCTGTCACCCAGGCTGGAGTGCAGTGGTGCCATCATGACTCACTGCAGCCTTGACCTCCCTGGTTCAAGCCATCTTTCCACGGCAGCCTCCAGAGTAGCTGGGACTACAGGCGTGCACCATCACGCCTAAATAATTTTTTTAGTTTGGTGTAGAGACATGGTCTCCGCATGTTGGCCAGGCTGGTTTTGAACTTCTGGGCTCAAGCGATCCTCCTGCCTCAGCCTCCCAGAGTGCTGGAACTATAGGCATGAGCCACTGCACCTAGCCCAGGATCTTTTTTTTTGATCTGGCTACTAATTGCTCAGATGTCATCACTCTGTGAAAATTTTTTTGGTAAAGCACTTGTGATGTGTTCCCTTTTCTACATGCATGTTACTCTTTAATCAAATTTACATTAATATTTTTATAAATTATCCTTGTTAGTATTTAGCTCTGATCTCCAAACTGTCAGCTTCCCCAGGTCAGGAACTGTACTATGTCCAGCCCTGTATTTTTAGAGTCCAGCCTTGGACACAGCACATGAAGTGTACTCAGTAAATCTTTGAAATGACCTGAACTCAATCCAGGTGGGAACCACAAGGTTGGACTCTGATGAGGCCTCACAAGTTACATTTCCAGCCCAGGCCTCTCTCCTAAGCTCTAATCTCCTATATTCTCCTGCACATCTCTCCCCGAATGACCTGCAGGCTCCATGCTTTTAATGCACCCCAAACTGGACTCATCTTTCCTTAAGCCTGGTTGTCTTCCAGGTTTGCCATCCAGAGGTGTGAGGATTCCCATCTGCAGTCACGGCACCTGGTACTCAATGCCTGGGTGTCTTAGTTTGTTTGGGTTACTATAGCCAACTACCATAAACTGGGTGGCTTATAAACAATAGAAATTTATTTCTCACAGTTCTAGAGTCTAGAAAGTCCAAGATCAAGGGACCAGCAGATTCCATGTCTGATGAGGGCTCATTTTCTGATTCATAGACAATGCCTTCTCGCTGTGTCCTCACATGGTAGAAAGGCAGGGAAGGGAGCTCTCTCAGGTCGCTTTTATAAGGGCACTAATCCCATTCATGGGGGCTTCACCCTCATGACCTAATCACCTACCAAAGGCCCCACCTTCAAATACCATCACACTGGTGATTAGGCTTCAACATATGAATATGGGGGGACATAAGCATTCAGTCTATCTCAATGAGCAAGGAGAGCATAACACCCCTGTGCCGAGTTCTAACCTCCCACCAAGACAAAATTTCTGGCCTACATTCATGGTTTCTTGTGAAACAGGCCTCCTTACCTTCCCTAATCTCTCAGATCCCAATTTAGGTTCCTCTGCCTGTTCCTCTAAGAGGCCACTGTTTGAACCACTTCCTGAATCTGGTGAGTTTATACCTCTTCCTCCTCCTCCTCCCTTCTCCTGGCTCCCTCTCCTCTGGGGACTGTGAGCTCCACTGGCCACAGTATGAAATACCTCAAGGCCCAAGTACAAGGTCTTCTCCAGCATGAAGCATCCTTCAACTTCGCACTACCCTGGGACGAATCTGGAACTCCCTCCTCTGGGATCCCACAGGCTCCCATCCATCTCTCCACCACAGCTATACTCCCAGGATCTAGAATCTGTTAAAATTGTCTTAACGAAGGCAGCAGAAGGCAGCAATTAAAATTTTCACTTCCTTCACAGTAGCCAAAAATTGGAAGCAACCCAAATGTCCATCAACTAATGAAGGAATAAACAAAATCTGGTACATTCCTGCAATGCATATCATTCAGACATAAAGATGGGCCGAAGTACAGATACATGCTACAACGTGTATGAACTTCGAAAGCATCACACCAAGTGAAAGAAGCCAGACACTAAAGATCACGTACCATATGATTCCATTGATATGAAATGTCTAGAATAGGAAATACATTTCTGGAGGCAGAAAGCAGGTCGGCGGTTGCCAGGGGCTTCGAGGAGGGCAGTGACTGCTTAGTGAGTACATGCTTTCCTTTTGGGGCAATGAAAATGTTTAGAACCAAACAGAGGTTGTGGTTACACAACGTTGTGTATGTACTGAATGCCACCGAGTTGTTCACTTTAACATGTTCATTGTATGTAACGTGATTTTACATCAATAAAAAAAAATAATAATTTAAGCTTTCAAGTCAGATCTCCAGCATCTGAACACCTGCCTCACCACTGAACCTCCTGCTACTTCCATTTGCTTATCTGTTAAATGGGGATAATAGCACCACTTAGTTCACTGGTTCATCCTGAGGATTCAATGAATCAATGCTTGACAGAGTGGCTGGTGCATGCCAAGCCCCCAGCTCTTGGGGGCTGGTCAAAGTGAACTCAGCCACTAGCCAAATTCTTCAAGGTAATGATTCGATTCACTGAATGACCTGCAGGTTTCCAGCTATATCCTTGTGGCGCCAGGCTTTTCACTTGCACCCTGATTACATGGCTGACCCTGTGGTCACAGGGAAAACTGACGTGCAAGATAGTAAAAGTGAAGTATAAAGTCTATTTTTTTTTTTTTGAGATGGAGTTTCGCTCTTGTTGCCCAGGCTGGCATGCAATGGCACGATCTCAGCTCACTGCAACCTCCGCCTCCTGGATTCAAGCAATTCTCCTGCTTCAGCCTCCCAAGTAGCTGGGATTACAGGCGCCTGCCACCACACCCAGCTAATTTTTTGTATTTTTAGTACTGTCAGGCTTTCACCATGTTGGCCAGGCTGGTCTTGAACTCCTGACCTCGGGTGATCTGCCCACCTCAGCCTCTCAAAGTGCTAGGACTACAGGCATGAGTCACAGTGCCCGGCCATATAAAGCCTATTTTAAGTCTCCATGGCCAGAGTTTTGTTCCACTTCTCCCTTTCCCTCTTCACCCATTCCTGTAAGTCACCAAGTTCCTGGCCTGTCCCCTTCCCCTTACTCTCAGATCCAGGTCCCATCTTGACTCCTCTTCCCCAGAACATGGCAAAAGCCTCCTCCCCAGCCTCTGGGCTCCAGTCCCACCCCAACCAGCCCATCACCAAAACCATCAGCAATGGGAGCTTTCTAATACTCACCTCTAACCCTGTATCTTTCTTGCTAAATATCCTCCCATGCCTGCCTCTTTGCCTCAAGATGATGTTCTGACTCTAGTGAGAGTTATTCAAGCTTTTCCCAGGCCAGGAACAGTGGCTCATGCCTGTAATCCCAGCACTTTGGGAGGCTGAGGCAAGAGGATTGCTTGAGGCCAGGAGTTAACACCAGCCTGAGCAACATAGAGAGACCCTGTTTCTACAAAAGCAAAGAACAATTAGACAGGTGTGGTGGCACGCACTTATAGTCCCAGCTACTTGGGAGGCTGAGGTGGGAGGATCCCCTGAGCCAGGCGTTCAAGGTTATAGTGAGCTAGATCACGCCACTGCACTCCAGCCTGGGTAACAAAGTGAGACCTTGTCTAAAAAAAAAAAAAAGGCCTGGTGTGGTGGCTCACGCCTGTAATCCCAGCACTTTGGGAGGCTGAGGCAGGGAGATCATAAGGTCAGCAGTTTGAGACCAGTCTGGCCAACATGGTGAAACTCCGTCTTTACTAAAAATACAAAAATTAGCTAGGCGTGGTGGCATGCACCTGTAGTCCCAGCTACGTGAGGGGCTGAGGCAGGAGAATCACTTGAACCCGGGAGGCAGGGGTTGCAGTGAGCTGAGATCGCACCACTGCACTCCAGCCTGGGCGACAGAGCAAGACTCTTTCTCAAAAAACAAAACAAAACAAAACAAAAAATAACTTTTTACAATCTCACCCTCAGCTACCACCCCTCACACATCTCAGCCACATCCTAGAGATTGCATGTCCCTCTGTGCCTCTCCATGCTTCATTCATGTGGTTCTGTCTCTTTGCAATATTGTCCCCTGCCCTCCTTCTTTGCAGCACACACTCATCCTTTGAGAGCTGGTTCAAACATCACCTCCTCAGACAAGCTGCATTCCCTACCCTGTCCCCTCTCCCAGCCCCTGTACTTTCCCACAGCTTGGATTAGAGCAGTTTATCAACTGCTGTTGGTGGGCCAGTTCAGGTTCTTGACTTTGCGGCACAAAAGAATTTGAGAGCGAGTCCAAAGTAAGAGTAGGCAAAGAAGTTTATTACAAAGCGAAAGTACACCCTGAGAGGCAGAGGGAGGGAGAGACAGCCTCTAGCATCTCAAGGTAATTCCTTTCATGGGAACTATACATACATATTCATAAAATATTGGTGAGTCCAGCATGAAAGGCATGCACTCAGAATCTATGTGCTCTAACACGCATTGCATGTATCATTAGCATATAAAATCTCCACCTAGGGGTGTATTTTCTACTATTCAAATGAGGAAAAGGTCACTATAAGCTAAACTTTGAACATAGCTGCACACGCAGAGCCCTGGAGAAGTTCCCAGCTCCCCCAAGGCAGGAATTTGTAGCTCACAGCTTCTTGGGTTTTTGGTGTTGATTGGCTGGAGACTGGGGAAACTACACCATGAATAAGTGGCTTTTGTTCTCTTTCCCAGGCCACATTAACAGGAACTTGCAACCATCTGGTGGTCTGCTTGTATCCTGTAGGACTGTTTATCTTGCAAGAGTTAGGTGCTGACTCACGAGAGTGAAAACCAAAGAATCTGCTTCGAAAGGGATCCATGGGGCTTTGCGCAAGGATACAAGTGAGTATGGCCTCCTAACCTTACTTATCCTGCCTCACAACCTCAACGATATTCATATTCTGGCATTTGGGGCTGGATAATTCTTTGGTGGTGGTGGTTAGGGGAGGGTGTGGCAGGTCAGGTCTCCCTAACCGCTGAACAGGCAGGCCTCCATAACAACTGTCTCAGCACTGATTGAGTGGTTAAGTTAAATATTAAAAGCTGACAGAGCCAGTGCCCTCATACAAAGGCTGGAATGTAACAAAAGCCCACCAAGAATTTTGCCCAGGCCTTTTCTGGGCCTTGAGCATAACAAGATAATGAAGGAATTCTTAACAGGACCCGTTTAGGATTAAACAAGTTTTATTGGGGGGTCTGAAGAAACTCCTCTAAGCCTCCACAAACAAGTTTATTGGGGGTCTGAAGGAACTCCCCAAACCTCCATGATTTAGCAGGAGACAAGATAAGGGTAATCACCCCAGCACCTGGACCCATTTAGTTTAAATAAATTTACTGAGGCTACAGAGGAAGATCTTCAGGACTGACATCTTAGTTACAGATTGGAAGAAGTTAATCGCTTACGTCCAGATGAATGCACTCTTACATGTAGACAAATAGCTTAGAAGGTATATGAGCTCTGGAAAACTTTGTAATTTTGAGTTGGTCTGGCAATATTTTCCAGATCTTCTCCCTGTGCCCAGTTACAGAAATAAACTCCCTTCTCTCCCAGTTCACCTGCATCTTGTCATTGGGCTAAGAGAATAAGCAGCCTGACCCTTGGTTTGGTCCAGGAACAAGGGTGCATGGTCAGATGTTGAGCAGCGTCTCTAGGTTGTACACACAAGATGTCAGTAGCTCCCCTAGTCCAGTTTTGACAACCAAAAAAGGACTCCAGATATTGTCAGGTGTCTATCAGGGTGCAAAAAAGCACCAAATTGAGAAACACTGAACTAGAGCCTTCCTCCTCTGTATTCACATAGATACTTGAACAAAATGAACTTTCTCTAGTTCTTCAAGTTCACTACGAAAACCACTATGTTGCCCAATTTCTTTTTTTTTTTGAGACAGAGTCTGGATCCATCACTCAGGCTGGAGTGCACTGGTGTGATCTTGGCTCACTGCAACCTCCACCTCCTGGGTTCAAGCAATTCTCCTGTCTCAGCCTCCCAAGTAGCTGGGACTACAGGTGCCTGCCACCACGTCCAGCTAATTTTTGTATTTTTAGTAGAGACGGGGTTTCACCTTGTTAATCAGGCGGTCTCGAACTCCTGACCTCAGGTGATCCACCCGCCTCAGCCTCCCAAAGTGTTGGGATTACAGGCGTGAGCCACCGTGTCCGGCCGTTGCCCAATTTCAAAACAATTTAGTGCATTTGAAGAAGTTTATCGCAAAGCAAAAGTACACCCTGAGAGGCAGACGGAGGGAGAGATAGCCCCTAGTGTCTCAAGGGTCTCAAGACCCCCAGTAAAACTTGTTTAATCCTGAACGGGTCCTGTTAAGAATTCCTTTGTTATCACATTTATGAAGACGGTCTTGAGAAATCCTGAGGTTCTAATTTCTTTGTTTTCCAAACTTTTCCTGCATGCCTACTACATGCTACACCAATACAGGAGTTAAGAAGGAATTACTTAGGCCCAGAGCAAGGGCATGGGAGTCCTTGGTAAGGCTTTTCTTTTTAATGAAAAGCAGCCCCAAATCAGTTTCTAACAAAGAGCAGCCTGCAACCTGGGAGCTTGCATGAGTGAATGACGGCAGGAACTAAGGAATGGACATTTTCAAGATGGCCGCTCCATCTTCCCTTCTCTGTCACGTGCTGTAAGGAGCAGACAAGGTGGCACTGATCAACTGGAAAGTCCATTTGCATAAGAAGATTAGGGTGGGGTTACCAGCCTTCCTTGTGTGCTATTTAAACATTATACCCGATCAAACCAATCTATGAGCCTTATGTGAATCAGACACCACCTCCTCAAATGGGACTATAAAATTTGCAGCATTCACCACCAGATGGTCTTTTTTTCCGTTCCAAGACCCCTTCCTCTTTAGAGGAAGCAGTTTCTCTTTCTCTTCTCTTCTACCCATTAAACCTCCACTCCTAAAATCCTCGTGTGTTTCTGTGTCCTAAATTGTCCTGGCATGTGCCAGCGGAACCCCATGTTTATACCCCAAGTAACCTAGCTGCTTCAGCTCCTCCAAGAACATCAAAAGGAAGAAGATACAGTCCCTGGCTCATATGAAAATATAAACTTAGACACATTAAAATTTTAAAGAATTTATTTGAGCTGACATTCATGAATCCAGAAGTGCCAAACCACCTAGTGGGCACACAAGGAAAACTTTTATAAGGTATTCCTGGAATCAAAACAAAGAAAATAGTTTCATTTGGTTAAAGGGGAACGGTAGCCTTAAAGTTTGTAATTAGAGGTCAACTTGCAGTTTCTGATTGGTAAAGTCTCTACTTAGAGGTTAGTAGGCAGTTTCGATTGGTTAAGCCTAAGTTTCATTTTTCTAGGATATGACCATTCACTTTGAGTTAGGTTTGAATTTGCTTACTTGGAAACAAAGGCCTTGGAGCCATCTCAGCCTAATGGCTTCCCAGTTAGTTATTTTGACAATTGGGAGAGCTCAAGTTCATGGGGTAATGTTTGGGAAAGGGACAGAAATAGGTAACTTACTGAAACACAGTATGATAAGGTTCCTATAAAGATGGCAAAGGATATAAATTATGGGGATAATTATGGCCTAGGGTCTGGGGACCCAAGGGCAAGAGCTTTCAGGGATGGGAAAGAAGTTAGAAAAGGCTTCTCAGAGGAAGCCCCTTTCTAACTGCACCTTGAAGGGAAAGCAAGAGCCAGCAAGCAGAGAAGCGAGGAAAAGCAGTTTAGGTACTGATAATATCAATTACAAAGCAAGGAGGTAGAAGAGGGGCTGGCAGATGTTTAGGTAATAGCAGTCAGTCTGCTACAGCTAGGGTAAAGGGAACAAAGTCAGGTCCCCTCTCGGGAAGTCTATCTGGGGCCTGCTCTGCAAGCTGTAAGGGCCATGGAGTAAGGCCCTGGAGGGTGAACATCATCCTTCAGTCTGTCACATTAAAAAAAAAAAATCTGCACATAAATAAGGCAAGATTTTATCCAAAACAATTATTCCAATAAAGGGAGAAGAATCTTTGCAGCAGTGGAAGGGGAACTGCTGCAACAGGGAGGTGGAGACTGTTGTAATAGGGAGTGGAGGTCTCCCATGTACCATAAAACAAAACCAAAAAGTGAGCTTCTATTCTAGTGGCACAGTCAAACCATAAACAAAAATACCATTAGCAAATGATATTTAGCACAAAGTGTTTTTGTTACAGGAAAGGGGTTCTGATCCAGACCCCAAGAGAGGATTCTTGTATCTCTTGCAAGAAAGAATTCAGGGCTATTCCATAGAGTAACGTGGAAGCAAGTTTATTAAGAAAGTAAAAGAATAAAAGAATGATTACTTCATAGAGCAGCCCCGAGGGCTGCTGGTTGCCCATTTTTATGGTTATTTCTTGATGACATGCTAAAGAAAGGGTGAATTATTCATGCCTCCCCTTTTTAGACCATATAGTGTAACTTCCTGACGTTGCCATGGCATTTGTGAACCGTCATGGTGCTGGTAGGAGTGTAGCAGTGAGGATTACCAGAGGTCACTCTCATTGTCATCTTGGTTTTGGTGGGATTTGGCTGGCTTCTTTTTTTTTTTTTTCCTTTTGAGTCAGAGTCTCACTCTGTTGCCCAGGCTGGAGTGCAGTGGTGCAATCTCGGCTCACTGCAACTTCCACCTCGCGGATTCAAGCGATTCTCCTGCCTCAACCTCCCAAGTAGCTGGGGTTACAGGTGCCTGCCACCACGCCCAGCTAATTTTTGTATTTTTAGTAGACAGGGTTTCGCCATGTTGGCAGGCTGGTCTCAAACTCCTGACCTCAGGTAATCCGCCCGCCTCAGCCTCCCAAAGTGCTGGGATTACAGGCGTGAGTCACCGAGCCCAGCCTTGGCTGGTTTCTTTACTGCAACCTGTTTTATCAGCAAGGTCTTTATGACCTGTATCTTGTGCTGACCGCCTATATCATCCTGTAACTTAGAATGCCTTAGCCCTCTGGGAATGCAGCCCAGCAGGTCTCAGCCTCATTTTACCCAGCTCCTATTCAAGACGGAGTTGCTCTGGCTCAAATGCCTCTGTCATTTTGAAAGTGTAATGGGTAAGAAAGTGCGTGACGGATAAAGTGTGAGAAAAAATAAACAGGGTTAAACAAGAGGAACGGAGTCCTCAGGGTTGGAGAGGAGTGTGGTTTCATCAGCACGGGCTGGAAAGGCCTTGCTGGGAAGAAAATTGGCCCACAAACTACCCTGGCACCGCCCCCAGCTGCGGATTGGCTCAAGCCCTCAAGATCCAATTGGGCACAAAGGTTGGAGGAGGGAGTTGCAGTTGCAGTTCCTGATTGACTCTGGCAGCCGTGCATCAGCTCCCAGGGGCACACGCCTGTGGGCACAATGCTTCTGCTTCATTGATTGGCTGTAGAAAAAGCTCATGCAGCCTCTGATTGGCTATAAAATAAGCCCATGCAGCCTCTGATTGGCTGCAACATAAGCCCATGCAGCCTCTCATTGGTTGTAAAATAAGCACATGCAGCCTCTGATTGGCTGTGTAAAGTAAGCCCATGCAGCCGCTGATTGGCTGCGGGTGGATGCACTCACCTAAGGATGCGAGCTAGCAGGTCTTGCAGCGGCTATCACGCCCCTCACGCCGCTATCTCTGTGCAGCCGACTGAGGATCCCTAGTCGCATAAGGCTGTGCCTGGCCTGTTGGCGTCCCTGGCAGTTGTTGGGTTCTGGCGGTTGTTGGGTCCCTGGCAGTTGTTGGCGGTTGTTGGGTTCCTTCATTGAAACTGCACTAACTGGGCTTCCAGTCAGCGTCAGTCAGCGGATCCTTGGGCCGTGGGGCAGCCGCAGGTCGGTTAGGCCACCAGGGCGGCTCTCGTGCCAGTGAGGCCCCTGAGAGCCCTTTGGTCAGACAGAGGCTAAATCTGAACAGTCAGGCGGTGAGATTAAGCATAGTCAGGGAGTTCGCCAGGAGCCAGCGTTCCTCAGCCTCCACCACGTCAGTCACCTGGTCAGCCAGAGGGCAGCTGGGGCGACATCCATCTACCAAGAAGGTAAGCAAGCGGCCCGTGGGTTCACAATCAGGTCAGTGCCCTTATGAGTCAACGGTTAGTCCCTTTGAAAATCAGTTCATGAGAAAATCCACTCCCTTCAGAACCTGCCCTGTTCATTGGTTAGTTAGGCTCCCGCTAAGTCGGTCTCTTGGTAAGTTACACCCCTGCAAGGCACCCAGTCATTACTCACACAGTTATCCCATGTGTGTCTATCAGTTTCATTGTTAGTTATCCTGGCTTTCCCTAGAAAATCGTTTTCCTCACCATAAATAGGTCAGTCATTAGTAAGTCAGCCCTTCCCTTAGAAAGCCGAACACCTTTGCATCACTCACACCCTGCTAAGGAAATACACAGATGGAAGTGTGCTGAGAACAGAGAATATCCTGAGCCCTTTGGAACAAGAGACAGAAGGAAAATTGAGAGACATGATGGTGAAGGAAAATTGAGAGACATGGTGGTCAAGGAAAATAGGCTGGGCGCAGTGGCTCACGTCTGTAATCCCAGCACTTTGGGAGGCTGAGGCCGGGGATCACTTGAGGTCAGGAGTTCAAGACCAGCCTGGCCAACATGGTGAAACCCCGTCTCTTCCAAAAATACAAAAATTAGATGGGCATCGTGGCCCGTGCCTGTAGTCCCAGCTACTCGGGAGGCTGAGGCAGGAGAATCACTTGAACCCCGTAGGCAGAGGTTGCAGTGAGCCAAGATCGTGCCACTGCACTCCAGCCTGGGCAACACAGCGAGACTCTGTCTCAAAAAAAAAAAAAGAAAAGAAAAGAAAAAGAAAATATAATGGGTGCATGACGAGTCATCACATGTATGCTCTAAAACTGATGGAGAGAAGAAAGAAGAAATCAGAATTTTGTACTTAAATGGATCATTACATCTCCAGCAGTAAAACCCACTCATGTTACACATGAGGAAATAAGAAGAGGGAAAATACTTGACCACAGTTATTCAGTGCTTTACTGGCAAATCCTGGCCCAGGACCTAGACAAGGCTCATTCCGACCATCTAACATGGGCTTTTAAACAGAAGAAAGGGGAAGGAAAAAAAAATTGACAATGCAAAAAGAAAGTGGATATGTGGCGTGAATGAGAGAGGCATTTAACGACCTGGAAACTTGGGCGATATCTTTTTTATGTGAGAAGGAAAAAGGGCAATCAGTCTGGAGGCTAAGGGTTGGGAGCACAGACCACTCAGAGAGGTCTGTTAAAACATGCCGAAATATGGAATAGGAAAGGACAGGGCTGGTTCCAGAACTCTGGGAAGGGATTAGGGGTGGTCAAGAGTGGTCCCAGGCTGAGTGTGTTGGTTCACGGCTGCAATCCCAGCACTTTGGGAGGCTGAGGTGAGAAGACTGCTTGAGCCCAGGAGTTCGAGACCAGCCTGGGTAACATAGTGAGACTCTGTCTCTACAAAAAAAATTTTTTCATTAGCTGGACCTGGTGGCTTGTGCTTATAGTCCCAGCTACTCTGGAGGCTGAGGTGGGAGGATCACTTGAGCCTGGAAAGTCGAGGCTGCAGTGAGCCATGTTCATGCCACTGCACTCCAGACCCTGTGTTAAAAAAAAACAAAAAAAAAGTGGTTCCAAGTTAAATGCTGATAGGAGCTAAGCAGGGAACCTAATACATAGTAACTAACATTTTTTGATTGCTTACCAAATGTGAGGTTCTGTTCTACTGACTCATTTAATCTTAACAACAACTCTAAGATGGGTGCTATTATTATCCATGTTTTTAAAATGAGCAAGTAGGCCTAGAGAGAGGTGAAGCTACTTGCACACTATAAAACAGCTAACCTTCATATCTAGGCAGTTTGACTTGAATTTAAAATTTAAAAAAAAGAGAGAGAGAGAAGCTGGTTGTTTGAATTTTTTGTGAAGTGCTCTGATTATTAAATGTTATCCCATTTTAAAAGTTAGTTTTAAAAAGTAAGCATTTGTAGGCCAAACAAAATTCATTTATGATTGTTTTTAGTCTCTGAAGCAGGCTGACAGTGAGGGAAGTGACTTACCCAGAATCACCCAGGAAGTAGCGACAAAGATTAGGTCTTCTGACTTCTGGTCCACTTCCAGGAAAAATCTAAGTATACTGTGTGTCACATCAGGGCTAGCTGATTTATTCTTATATTTTATTCATGAGGAAGTGAATTTGGAGAGGAGAATGAACTTCACCATGCTTATACAGCAGTTTTTAAGGCAAAATAGAATCATGAAAAAGACACCACAGTTGTAGTCAAAGGTTGAGTCTGAAATCTATGAACGTAACGGCTGCATGTCTTGGGGCCAGTCATAGTACTTTTGTGGATCTCTGCCTTCCTTTTGGAAGTGTTGATAATGAGATGTACCTCACAGAGTTGTTGAGACTAAGATAAAAGATAAAATTTCTACGTCTCTAGAGTTGTAAATGGCAACCATAGTTTCTCATTAGATGTTAACCAAAAAAGTAGTTAACAGTCATGGCATGATTCAGTCATTCCCAATTGATTCACAGCAGGGCACAGTGGCTCATGCCTGTAATCCTAGCACTTTGGGAGGCTGAGGCGGGAGAATTGCTTAAGCCCAGGAGTTCAAAACCAGCCTGGGCAATATAGCAAGACTCGACTCTCTCTCTACAGAAAATATTTTTTTTAAATGAATTGGGTCTAGTAGTGTGCCCTTAAAGTCCCAGCTACTCGAGAGACTGATGTGGGAGGACTACTTGAGCTCAGGAGTTCGAGGCTGTAGATAGCTGTGATTGTACCACTGCACACCAGCCAGGGTGACAGGGTGAGACTCCATCTCTTTAAAAAAAAAAAAAAAAGGATTGATTCACAGTATCCAAATAGTAGAAACAACCCAAATGCCATCAACTGATGAATGGATAAACAAAATGTGGTCTATCCATACAATGGAATATTATTCAACGATAACAATGAAAGGAGTACTGATATCTGGTACAACATGAATTAGCCTTGAAAGCATGCTAAATGAAAGAAGCCAGACACAAAAGACCACATATTATATCATTTCATTTATATACAATGTCCAGAATAGGCAAATTTATAATTACGGAAAATAGATTAGTGGTTGCCTACAACTAGGGGGTGGAGTTGGGGTTTGGGGAAACGGGGAGTAAATGTTAATAGATATTGGTGTTTTTAGGGAGGTGATGAAAGTGCTCTGGAATTAGGTAATGGTGATGTCTGCATATCTTTATGAATATACTAAAACTCCTAAATTGTGTGCACTTTAAAATGGTGAATTTATGGTATATGAATTATAGCTCAATAAAAATAAAAAAATTAATTATAAAAAGGTTAGCTACCAGTAGACCCATGGCTAAATAAAAACCTGAAAATTTTAGGGAAAACTAGATACTCACATGGAAATTGGACACTTAGTTTATACCAAATACAAAAATAAACTCAAAATGGGTTAAAGACTTAAATATAGCCAGGCGCAGTGGCTCACGCCTGTAATCCCAGCACTTTGGGAGGCCAGGGAGGGTGGATCACTTGATGCCAGGAGTTTGAGACCAGTCTGGCCAACATGGTGAAACCCTGTCTCTACTAAAAATACAAAAGTTAGCCAGGCATGGTGGAGCACGCCTGTAATCCCAGCTACTCAGGAGGCTGAGGCACAAGAATCGCTTGCACCCAGGAGATGGAGGTTGCAGTGAGCCAAGATCATGCCACTGCACTCCAGCCTGGGCAACAGAGTGGGGACCCTGTCTCAAGAAAAAAAAAAAAAAAGACTTAAATATAAGAACTGAGATTGTAAAACTACTAAAAGAAAACATCGGAGAAAACTTCTGTATATTTATATGTAATACACAATAAAAATTATTGGTTTGGGAAATAGTTATTTGGATATTTCTGCAAAAACACAGGAAACAAAAGCAAAAATTGACATGCAAGATTGCAGCAAAGTAGTTTCTGAACAGCAAAGGAAACAATCAACAGAGTGAAGAGACAACCTACAGAATGGGAGAAAATATTTGCAAAGCATCCATCTAATAAGGGGCTAATATCCAAAATACATAAGGAACTCAAACAACTCAATAGCAAAAAAATCAAATAACCCAATTAAAAAATGGGCAAGGACCTGAATAGGCATTTCATAAAAGAAGACATACCAAAATGGCCAACAAGTATATAAAAAAAATGCCTGACATCACTAATCATCAGAGAAATGCAAATTCAAACCACAGATATCACCTTATACCTATTAGATGGGTATATCAAGAAGGCAAAAGATAGCAAGTGTTGATGAGGATGTGGGGAAAAGTAAACCTTGTACACTGTTGGTGGAAATGTAAATTGGTATAACCACTATGGAAAATAGTATAGAGTATCCTTTAAAAATTAAAAATAGAACTACCATATGATTCAGGAATCCCACTTCTAGGCATGTATTTGACAGAAATGAACTCAGTATCTTGAAGAGATATCTGCACTCCTGTGTTCATTGCAGCATTATTCACCATAGCCCACACGTGGAATCAACGTAAGTGTCCATTAATAGATGAGTAAAGAAAATATTATATATGTATACACACATGCACGCACACACACACACACACCCCATTCAAATAATGTCATTTTGTTCAACATTGTCTAATCATAAGAGAAAAAAATCAATTCCCAGCCAGTACCAGTATCTGTGTGGAGTTTGCATGTTCTTATATATGGTAAAATTGGTTTCATTTTACATCATTTCACTTAAAGCAGCAGTTTCCAAGAACTGAATGATGATGTTAAGTGAGGATTTATTGTGCACACACACATACACACACAGTGGAAGTTATTCAGCCTTAAAAAAGGACATCTTGCCATTTGCAGCAACGTAAATAAACCTGAAAGACATTATGCTATGTGAAACAAGTCAGACACAGAAAGACAAGTACTGCATGATCTCACTTATATGTAGAATCTAAGAAAGTCAAACGCATGGAAGCAAAGTATAGAATGGTGGTTGCCAGGGCTGAGGGCTAAGGGAAATGAGATATTGATCAAGGGGCACAAAGTTTCAGCTAGGCAGAATGAATAAGTTCTGGAGGTTTCATGTGCACCATGGTGACTATGGTAAATAACACTGTACTGTATACTTGAAATTTTGTGACAGTAAATATTAAGTGTTCTCACCACCAAAAAAATGGTAACTGTGAAGTGCTGATTATGTTAATTCACTGGATTGTGGTAATCATTCCACAGTGCATACATACATCAAAACGTCATGTCGTACACCTTAAGTATATACAATTTTTATTTGTCAGTTATACCTCAATAAACCTGGAATTAAAAAACTGAAAATTCTATAATCTCATCTCTGATCACTGCTCTAACCATAGGTAAGCACTGGTATCAAATTATACATCATTCTAGATCTTTGTTTTACTCATTCATGTATGTATAGTTTTGAGTGTATTATATATGAATATGTAGATACATATTTACATATTATATATATAAAGCTTTTATATAAATGACAAATGATCCAGTTTTCATTTAAAGATTGTGAAATATTTCAGACATATAGAAAGATATAAATATGGTATAATGAGCATATACCCACCACCAGCTTAATATTGAAAACACTGGCTGGGCACGGTAGCTCACACCTGTAATCCTAGCACTTTAGGAAGCCCAGGTGGGAGGACGGCTTGAGCCTAGGAGTTCAAGACCAGCCTGGGCAACATAACAAGATCCCATCTCTACATAAATTAAAAAATTAGTCAGGCATGGTGGCACATGCTTGTAGTCCCAGCTACTTGGGAGGCTGAGGTGGGAAGATTGCTTGAGCCTGGGAGGTCAAGCCTGCAGTGAACTGTGAATGCTCCGTTGCACTCCATCCAGTCTGGGTGACAGAGCAAGAAACTGTCTCAAAAAAAAAAAAAAGAAAAGAAAAGAAAGAAAACACTACCCCTGGTATACTCCCTTCCCCAAACACATCTCCCACTCTCAAACATAGAGATCGCTGCTATTCTGAATTTGACATTTTATTCTGTGTACTAAGGAACTTAACCTTGCCTGAAGAGAAGTCTGGCCTTTGCCCTTGGCTTCTGGAAGACACTCCCTAGCTCTTAGAATGTCACACCTCATAGGGGTGTCTTTGTTTGCCCAGGGACCTTGCATCACACTGAATATTCTAGAAATGTGATTTAGGATGAGGGCTGGCCACACCAGATAATGTTAACAATGTGATTTAGAGTGGAAGCAATACCAGATAGTCTAACAATGTGATTTAGAATAGGGGCTTTGGATCAAATGGTATCAGCTCAACTTCAGGAGGAGCTGGATGCTAAGATCCACCATGAGGGAAGTCACCATGTTACACGATGGAGGCCCAATAAAAACACTGGACACAAGGCTTGGGTGAGCTTCTTTAGTTGACAGTACTATGCATATTGTCACACATTATCACCAGGAAAGCTAAGTTATGCTGTCCATGACTCCACAGGGAGAGGATAACTAGAAGCTTTGTGTGGGGAACTTCTGGCCTCTGCCCTGTATGTCTTCCCTTGGCTGATTTTAATCTCTATCCTTTAGTTGTAGTAAACAGTAATCACGAGTATAACAGCTTTCAGTGAATTCTGTGAGTACTTCTAGTGAATTACCAAACCTAAGGGTAGTTTTGGGGTTCCAAAACCTTGCAAATGATTTGAGAAATGAGGGTAATCAGGGATCCTTGATATCTTCAGTTGGTGTCAGAAATGAGGGGATCTTGTGGACCATTCCCTAACTTTTCAGTTGTATCAGAAATGGGATTCACTAGAACAGCCCTGACTCACTGAAACATATGGTTTGAAAAGAGGAAGGATGTGAAGTCAAGATGATAAGCCTTTGATTCCTGGGCTGTCCTGCGGTCACCTGTGCGTATAGAAATGCAGCTGTTCTGCAAACAGTTACAGGAGGTAAAAGTTACCATTGCTTTTTCAATACAATGGATCCAACCCCCAAGGAGCTGACCCACTGGATGCATAAGGAAACAAACTAAATAGGCAGTCCCTTGGCTATTTTTATCTGTAATCGTTAAAATGAAAGTGGCTGAGGCGGATCCTGATGCTGGCCCAATCTTGGGCTCTGGCCAGCCTGAGCTACAGCTGCTAGCCTCAGGGCTGTGGCTAAAGGGAAAAGTTAGGCTGAAATGACAGATGGCAAAGAAAATTAGAGTGGTTCACCAGAGAGTGAGAAAAGACGAACATTTCCAAGAGGGTGGAAATCTTTATAAACAGTTATTAAGAAATGAGATGAGTTAAGTGGACATTGAGGGAGTCTAAACAAAGGTCTCAGTGGAGCACTCTTAGAAATTAGGTGGAGCAGTGAGAACCTAGACTTGCCCTCCAGTGTTGAAGGTCCCCCATCAAGTCTGCTATATTTACCCTAGTTTGGAGGAATTTTAGAAGCCAGAAGGCAAACATGACAATGGGAAATCTGACCTCAGATCTCCTGAGGGGACGAACATGTGATCTAATCAAGATAAATGACAAAAGGGCCTGGGTTGCTTGGCCTGACCCCTAACTGAAGACCCAAAGTCATATGCATATTAGTAGTAAAATAGTCAGGGGATGGATAAGAGATATTTCTGGGACTCATGTGGGAGTCTTATACCTGCATTCCAAAAGGTTGGTGAAATTCTAATAGCATCTATGGTTAGATTGCGAAGACATAGGATTACAAAGTGGATGAGATTCAGGCGAAACTTTGGATGAAAATTGGAATGTTTGGACAGACTATGTAAATATGTTATGTGAATGTATTTACCTAAATGTATTATGAGGAAAGATATTGTGTCCAACTATGGAAGAGTTCCCCTACGTACTATTATGAAACAGAAGGCATGTAAATCTTCCCTTCAACCAATATTGATTGAATATGCTAAATAGGAACCAATAAGATTGCCCAAGCCCACACTAATTGTTAATTTGAAACAGTACAGGATATCTGGTGGACAAAACATGTTAGAAGCTTAACGTTTGCTTTATTTAGGCAGACTGGAGCTAAGGCCAGTGAGCACCACCCAGTGGTGAATGCTGGGATTTGGGGCCAGAAAATTTCCAATGGAGAGACAACTAGCTGCCTATTGGGCTTTGAGTCTGCCCCATCATTGAAGGATATAATAATCCTGACACCTGAAATCCTCATGATGTGTTTGTCATGTTGGAAAAACACTGTAGTAAGGAAGGCCATGCCCAAAAGAGTCTCGTAATAAAATGGAAATTGTTTATACAGGAACATGCTACCAGGGAAATGCAAGGAGGTCCTCGTTATATTTATGAACAGGTGGCTTTTTCCCTACTGAAGAGCTGCGAGATCCTATTATTACTTGAATGATGTCTATTAATAGCTCTTGATTGACCAACTAAGAGCGGTTTGATTTATGGATGGCAATTCCAAAGTGAATTAATAACATCCTGTTTGGAAGACTGGCACTCATACTGAGGAAGGCAAAAACAAGTCACTTCAGTGGGCTGAACTGCCTCCACATTTGGGTTTTTACCAATTCATGGGCAGTGGCCAATGGCCTGGCCATATGGTCAGGCAGATGGGCAATGGGAAACTGTACTATTAAAAGGATGCCTATATAGGGTACAGCCTTATGGAATTCACTATAGCCAGTATCTCAAAAGACCTGTTCATACCCCCTACAAATGATAAAATAAACAGAGAAACAGACCTCTTCCTCCCAAAAAGGCAATTAATATCCTACCTTTTATGCTGGACATTTCTTGGCAACTTTTAAAGGATTTTTACTACTTGTGTGTGCGTTCTTAAACACTTGATTTTGCCCGGTTTTTTTCAAATTTTAAAGAAATGCTCATACATTATTACTTATTTGTGTCTGGCTTTGTTCATTCAATATTTTATTTGTAAGAATGGTCCATGTTGTTGCATCTAGCATTAGCTCATAGGTTTTTGTTGCTGTGTAGTATCTCATTTTTTAAAATTCTCTGTTTACTGGCATTTGGATTGTTTACCTTTTTAGCTATTTTTAAATAATACCACTGTAAACATTTTTGCATTCCTTTGTGGCGTACATATGCACAAACATTTCTATAAAGTATACATCTGGGAGTGGAATTGAGGGTCATAGAGTATGTGTATCTTCTGCTTTGATAAATAACTTTGTTGCCCTGATTTATATTTCCACCAATAGTGTGTGAAAGTTGAGTACCACATTCTCACCAAGACTTGATATATTGTCTTGGATATGTACTGGTATCTGATGGTTTTAACAGGCATTTTGCTGGTTATTAATGAGATTTTAAATATTTTCATGGAAATTTTATTAAGATTTGTCTTATGATCCAGCTGTGGCCAATTTCTGTAAACGTTCTCTGTGTGCTTACAAAGAAATTGTATTCTGCAGTTATTGATTGCAGTATTCTCTATATATTTTTGGTCAAATTTGCTGATCAAGTTGTTGAAATCTTTATATATTCCAATAGTCTGTTTGTTCTGTCAGTTTCTGAGAGAACAGTGATTAAAATGTCACACTACTATTGTGGATGTCTGTTTCTCCTTTTATTTTTGTAGATTTTTTGCTTTATATATTTTTGGACTATGTTAGTAGGCAAACACAAATTTTAAATATATACTTTATTCCTGTTAATGTCAGCTTATCATTAGGAGATATGCCATTCTATCTTTGGTAATGCCTTTTGCTTAAAGTCTGCTTTATGGGATGTTAATGTAGGTATGTCTACATTACCTGGCTTTCTGGTTGGTATTTGCTTGGTGTATGTTTTCATTCTTTGGTTTTTTCTTTTTTTCTTTTTTTGAGACGGAGTCTTGCTCTGTCGCCCAGGCTGGAGTGCAGTGGCATGATCTCGGCTCACTGCAAGCTCTGCCTCCCAGGTTCATGCCATTCTCCTGCCTCGGCCTCCTGAGTAGCTGGGATTACAGGGGCCCGCCACCACACCCAGCTAATTTTTTGTATTTTTAGTAGAGACGGGGTTTCACCGTGTTAGCCAGGATGGTCTGGATCTCCTGACCTCGTGATCCGCCCGTCTCGGCCTCCCAAAGTGCTGGGATTACAGGCATGAGCCACCGCTCCCGGCCCATTTGGTTTTTTAACTGTCCTTTACACTTATGCTTTGGTTGTGTCTTTTGTAAACAGCATGGAGTTTGGCTTTGCTTCTTTTTTCCAATATGATGATCTTAGATTCATAACTGGATAATTTAAGCCATTTATATTTAGTTAAATCACTGATGTATTGGAGTTTAAATCTAACATCTAGGTACATGATTTCTACTTGTCCCAACCGTTCTATTCTCTTTTGTATCCCTTCTGTTTGTTTCTCTGTCTTTATTTTCAAACAAGCTTTTAAATCAAAGTACAATTTTATACAGAGAAGTATTAATACAGATAGTAAGTATACAACTCAAATTATCACAAAGGGAGCAGACCAGTGTAACCACCACTGAGGTCAAGAAATAGAACATTAACAACACCCCAAACACTCCACTCATGTACTACACCATTCATTACCCCCTTTATCCTTGCTATGTTCTGGATGCAAGCACGTTGTATGTGTTGCAAGTATGTTCTCCAGCCCTGCAACTTGCATTTGTCCTCCTTAATGGTATCTTTTGATGCAGAAATTAATTCTGATACAGTCCATTTTATCCATATTTCCTCATAGCTAGTGCTTTTTGGCCCTTTTAAAGAAATATTTCCTTACCTAAAACTTACCAAGATACTCTCCTATGTTGTATTAAAGAATTCCACTGACCAATGTGGTAGCTACTAACTACATATGGCTATTGAGCCCTTATATTATGGCTAGTCTGAATTGAAGTGTGCTGTAAGTGTAAAATATATACAAGATTTTGAAGAGTGTATAAAGAATGTACCAAATCTTAACAATTTTGTGTTGATTGCATGTTGAAATATTGGGTTAGGTTCAATATGAATAACCTAGTGAATAACCTAGGTTTCTTTCACTAGGTTAAATGAAACATCATTAAAATTAATTTTACCCATTTCTTCCTTTTTAATGTGGCTGCTAGAAAATTTAAAATTATACATGTAGTCCACATTTATAGGTCACATTATATTTCTTCACACAGCACTGTTCTAGAAAAAAAGTCTAAGGACTTTCCCAATGTCCCTAGAAGTTATTTTTATGTATGACATGAGGTAGGGGTCTTATTTCCTTTTGCTGTATGGCTGTCCAGTTATTCTGACACAATTTATTCAAAAGAGAGTCCTTTAACTTCTATGCAGTGCCATATTTATCCTAAACCAAGTGATCACATATGTATAGGTATTTTTCTAACCATATAGCCTGTCCCATTGGTATTTTTATTTATCCTTGTGTCAATACCATACTCTATGAATTACTATGTATGTATGTATGTATTTTATTTATTTACTTATTTATTTTGAGATAAAGTCTTACTCTGTAGCCCAAAGCTACAGTGCAGTGGCGTGATCACGGCTGACTGCAGCCTTGACCTCCCTACCTCAGGTGATCCTCCCACCTTAACCTTTCAAGTAGCTGGGACTACAGGTGCGTACCACCACACCCAGATAATTTTTGTATTTTTTGTAGAAACGGGGTTTTACCATGTTGCCCACGCTGGAATTACTATGGATTTTTAAGTCATGATATCCAGTAGGAATTGGAATTGATCATTTTTTTGAGACAGGGTCTCGTGCTGTCTCTTTTTTAATAGAAATTTACTGAGAACAAATTTATTAAATAAATGTCTACATGGGATATAAAAGGGAACATTGTGCCATGCTATACAATGTTACTTACACCATTCATTTCAAATTTTATGGCAAAACAATTATACTGTGGTAGGGAGATGTTGTTTTACACTTCTCACCAAACTAAACATTATCATATTTTTCCTGAGAGAATGTCAACACTTTGCTATCTTAAGTGATCACACCACTGCAATCCAGACTGGGTGACAGAGAGAGAGAAAGACCCTGTCTCAAAAACAAAAACAAACCGGGCATAGTGGCTTATGCCTGTAATCTCAGCTGTTTGGGAGGCCAAGGCGGGTCAGGTGTTTGAGACCAGCCTGGCCAACATGGTGAAACCTCATCTCTACTAAAACTACAAAAATTATTTGGCCATGGTGGTGAATACCTGTAATTCCAGCTACTCGGGAGGCTAAGGCAGAAGAGTCGCTTGAACATGGGAGATGGAGATTGCAGTGAGCCGAGATCGAGCCACTGCACTCCAGCCTGGGCGACAGAGTAAGATTCCATCTCAAAAAACAAAAATAAAACAAAGAATAAAGCAGACATGACACTGAGGCTTCACAGACAATCTTAGTTGCCTCCCTGTCCGTACGTGCTCATGAGCCTCTCATCCCATATAATTCCTGCTTCTCCAGGTGAACAGGCCTTCACGATGACCAGAGACAGAAGCCCCTGACTTGGCTAAAGATACTTCTGCTCTCCCCATCCCCACATCCTCTTTCAGTTACGCATCACCTCACTCCTTCTGAACCATATGGTTCTGATGTCAGAGCCAGTGTAGTAAAGAGCTTCTGCTGTTCCTGAGAACTGTTGCTGCTGGAAGTGATGCTTCCACTGCTACAGCTGGGTAAGTAAGGTGAGAAGCAGCACTGGAGGTGTGTTTGGAAGCCAAGACTCCAGGGCCTGGGTGTTGGCAGGGCAGAGGATGGGCTATGGAGGCATGGAGAAAGAGGACATATGGGCATAAGTACCAAATAATCAACATGAATTAGACAGCTTCTGTGTGTCAGATTTTGACAGGGCTGGTGTGTCTGAAGCAAATAGCAAATTGGGCAAGGGAGAGGGATGGAGAGTGTAGGTGCTATGAAGGCATGAGAGCACTAGGAGCTGTTTCAGACATTACTGGAAGCCCTGAAGTTAAGTTTTTCAGTGTTTCTGTGGGCACACTTTGCCAGGTGGAAAAGACAATTCAGAGGACAGCCATAGAGGGGTCCGTACATGAGAGTCCCCCGCAGATTCCTCAACAGCGCCCCGCAAGTGACTCAGGTGAAGAGACCGAGATCAGGAGCTACTGGTTAGGGGAAAATTACCCCTTTCTTCCAGTAACCTCAAAAAACTTCAACGAAAAAGTGTGTGTCAACACTGAAGACAGATTCCTCATTATTAGAGACCTTGATGAATGTGACTGTTCCCTCCTAATCCATGATATTCATCAAATGGCCACCATGTCCTACCTGTTCTAAATAGAGCGAGGCAATTTCCAGCATTCTTACACAGAAGATGCCATAGTACATTTGGCTTCCAGTGAATGTTCCACCAAAGACCACTTGAGACCGGGAAGAAGGAAATTAAGAAAGGTGTTCTGTTTATTGAATGGGTAATACTTCACTACGCACTGAGCTGGGTGCACTGCAAATCTTGGGGCATTCATTCTTATAACGATGATAATATGAGATAGGTTCAGCAAATATCCCGATTTTCCAGGCTAGGAAACAGCAATGATAAGGGGAGTGACTTGCCCAGCAGCACCCAGACAGGAAGTGATGGAGGGAGAATTGGTCATAGAGCCTAAGAGGAACATTGCAGGTGGGAAGAAGAGAAGCAGAGTAGGAGGTCTGGCTTGGACTTCTAGCCTTGCAGGGTAGGTGAGGGATCACAGACAATGTAGAGCCTCAGGAAATTTACTTGCCACCCCTCAAGAAGGTCTAGCGATCAGGTTCAGGCCAGATGAGGACAGAAGATAGAGGGGAACTGGTCTGGGAGGCCTGAATCCTGTGGGCTTCCAGAAAGTCCTTCTGAAGCTCCTTGTGAATAGCAAGTAAAGAGAAGGCTGCATGCTGGAGAAACTGGAAGAGGGAAGCCAGGATGCCTTGCTGACTCCTGACCCTTCCTCCCCACAGTACCTGCTAAGCTGCTCAACTCCTCTTGCTCCTTGGAGAAGACACTGCAGTGCAGCTGTTCCTTCCATGGGATTCCCACACCCTCTGTGCAGTGGTGGATGGGAGGAGTCCCCGTGGGTGTGGATGGCATGGATGGCAGCCTCCAAGTGACTTCCACCATGCTTGGCCCCTGGGCTAACAGCACCATCAGCCTAACTGAAGAGCCAGAAATGGGCATGAGACTTCTCTGTGAGGGGAAGAACCAAAACGGAACCCATGCTTTGAGCATCCTACTGATGTCAAGTGAGGGTGGAGGGGGCTCGGTGACTGGGTGAGGACAATAAGCGGGATGGGGACAGTCACTGGGGCTAGAGAATGGAGCAGAGTTTTGGCTCCGATGCCAAACTTCTCACATGCTCTCTGCTTCCAGGAAAGAGTTCTTTGGCTGCCCAGGCCTTCGTGAAAGGGCTGATCCAGGGTGCTATCTATGCGGGAATTGTAATTGCGCTGCTCTTCCTCTGCCTCCTCCCTCTCATGTGAGTACTAGGGTTAATATTCACCCGCAAGCCTACTACCGGGCAGGCCCTGGCTGCAGCCCTGGCACAGAGAGAGCAAAGACAGGACCCCTCCCCTCAAGGAGCTTAGGGTCTAAAGAGGGAAAGATGTACCAAACATGGTCACCACAATCCAGGGCCATGAGGACTATACAGAACCGTAAAACTGTGTCATAAAACAGACACTTTGAACACATTTTATAAAGGAGAAGACCAAGAAGGGACTTGGCAGCCCTGGAAAAGGCAGCAGCGAGTCCCCGGGGTGCTGTCTGTGGTGGGCCTGCAAGGGTTCAGTACTCGTTAGCTTGGTGGAAAGTATTAATAGTACAGGTTGAGTATCTAATCCAAAAATCCAAAATCCGAAATGCTCCAAAGTCCAAAAGTTCTCGAGGCACCGACATAATGCCACAAGTAGAAAATTCCACACCTGACCTCATGTGATAGTTCAATGCACACAAACTTTATTTCATGCACAAAATAATTTTAAATATTATATAAAATTACCTTCAGGCCATGTGTATAAGGTATATATGAAACATAAATGAATTTTGTTTTTATACTTGGCTCCTATCCCCAAGATATGTCATTATGTATAAACAAATATTCCAAAATCTAAAAAAAAAAAAAAAAATTGAAATCTGAAACACTTCTGGCCCCAGGCATTTCAGATAAGGGATATCTAACCTTTGTATGCAGACGCCCAGAGGCATGTTTGAGGCATTTCCAGTGTCTTTGTATAATGTCAGGTGCATTGAGAGTACCAGGTAATGGCTAAAAATGAGGTTGAAAGACATCCTTGGTGTTGGTTCACAGGGTGTTAAAACTTAGCTGCATGTATTAGCTAGAAGCATGGAGTGGGAAGGGGTGAGTTGCAGGAAGTCAGGCCAGAGAGACGGGCAGGGGAGCCTGTCCAGACAGCTTGGACTGAATCCTCATTTCGGAGCCATGGAAGAGTGCTAAGCTGTGAAGGAAAGCTTGAGCTTGGGGTGGGACACAGATTAGAGAGAGTGAGAGCCAGAAGGTCAGAGGCCAGGCAGGAAGCTGGTGCAGGGGACTAAGCAGGAAATAGAAGGCCTGACCTGGGGCAAGTGATGAGGGGCAGCCAGAGAGGTGGGACTTGGGCATGGCTGGCTATGGGGAGACAAAGATGAGGAGTGAGGTGTCAGGGCAAACTGAGGAGCTATTTTCAAAGTATAATCAACAGGACTTGAAGACCAGTAACAATCTCTCTGCCAGTTGCAAGGCCCTTTCTTAGCTGACCTCATCTGAGCCCCACAGCCTAATAAGCAGGGTATCCCCCTTATTCAGAGTGTGAAACTAATTCCCAGAGAGGATGTGTGGCTTGCCCTAGGTCATACAGCAAGCTGGTACTGTTGTTGAGGCTCTAAATCAGAAGTTCTGGTCAAGATAGAGCCCATTTGGGGATTCAGGGAGATGGAGAGCCAGAACCAATCCAAGGCTTATTTCCTTAGAGTGAAACATATCAGAAAGAAGCAGGCGAAGAAAGCTGCAGCGATCAGAGCAAAAAAGAGCTCTAAAGTCAGAGCAAGCCAAGAACTTGAGATGTCTCTGAAGCCTGAGGAACCAGGAAAACCCGTAGTCGCCACATTTTCTGAGAGCCGGATATTGGTATGTACCTATTGTGTCTGGAATCTAGTCTATCGGAATACTGATAATAAGACCCACAGGGAAAGGAGCACACAGTGTTTTGAAGGTGTTATCATCCTCAGTCTTGCAGGATACCTAATGCTAGAGTGTGCTTTCAGGTCATTTTATAAATAGGAAGCTAAGGCCCAGAGAGGAGAAGGATGAAAGTTAAGAGAAACAATTTAAAGAACAATTAAAATCAATTTACACGCACACACCATTACATTGAATCCCCACTGAAAAGGCAGTTGGGGAAAATCCTAATAGCAGTTGTAGCATCAGAGTGGAAACCAAGGATTTGGCCTCTGAGTGTATGGCCGGCAGCAGTCAGCTTGGTGTAGATGCCACAGGCCAAGTCAGCCTGAAGTGGTTAGAGATTAGGCCAAGCCCAGGTTACTCCTTCATTCACCCTGTACCCCACATCTTCAGCAGGGCTTGGAAGATACAGTGTCCGAGGTTGCTATGCCTCACTGTTATTTACCGTTTATGATTCTCCAGAATCAGAATTATCCTGCTGCCCTCCTAACACCCTGCATGAACAGTTGGTGTCCTTTTGTAGATAAGCCATCTGTTAAATTCCACCAATATTTCCTGCAATATCTCCTAATCTTTGTGCTCGACAATGCTGGGGTCTCAGAAATGGGCCAAACCTAGGCCTTGTCCTCAGAGAGCAACTAGACTGGTCGAGAAGGCACCTTCACAGTAGGGGATGCTGAGCCAGGAGTTACGGTGGTGCAGAAGAGGGAGGGACCAAACCTACCTGAGGAAGTCAGGCAAGATTCCCTGAGGAGTCTAAGGAACAGTCAGTGTTATGGGTACTGAAGATGCACAGAGAGGACCAGATGGAGAAGACCGAGTTGCAGGCTTTAACCATGGGGTTGTGAGGAAGGGCTAAGCCAGTGCTCACTCCATGTTGCCTTAATTCTGTGCACAAGGGGGTGTCTTTTTAAGATTTGGATACCTCACCTCTAGACCTGTTCCAACATTCTTTTTTCTTTGTTCTATTTTGCACCTCGCTTTCAGGAAAAGCAAGATAAACGAGCCAGCTAAGCCTGTGGAACATGCCTCATACCTGGAGTCGCCATTATCCCTGGAATTACAAAGATCTGCAAAATTTATAGCGCTCACAGAAACCCTGGAGGCTGTAATAAACCTGGAGCCCCCTGGACTCTCCTCAGCTCACAAAACCCTCTCAATTCCTACACATCCCTTAACACTCATTCTCCATTGAATAGGTGGTTACTCTTAGACCTAGTCTTAGAACCTCTGAAGACACACTTTGTAATTTGTTGTTTGGCTAAATGAGAAGAAATCTGTGCCACCCTGGGAAGGTGTCAAAAGAAGGAAAAATACATGTGACAATATGAATCAAGTCCATCAGCAAGTTACTTTTGAGCGCCTACTGTGTGTCAGTGCCTGAGATACACCTACAAGAGCGCCAGGCTTTCAAGCCTTCATATCTGGATAGAATCCCAACTTCAGTGCTTGGTGGCTGTCTATCTTTGGACAAGATCTTTCATTCCCCATCCTTTGAACATCACATGACCCATATCTGGGTGGAGAATGGGTGAAAAGTACTGTTCAGAGATGCAGGTGAGAAAAAACATGACGATGGGCCCTGAATGCCAAGATTCATTGGAGCTTTGGAGCTTTATCTTGTAGGACCTTATCCTGACTCCCTTAGAATGTAAGTTCCAAGAGAACAGGGACTTTGTCTGCCTTGTTTTCTACTTTTATCACCAGCACCCAGAATGATGCCTAAAATACAATAAGATCTCAAGAATGTTTGTCAAATGATTTAATTAATTATAAGCTGTTTTAAGGTTTGAAGCAAGCAAGTAGAGTGACCAGATATAGACAGAAAAATCATTTCCGTACCCTGACCCCACATATGATATATTTAGAATGGGTAAGGCTGGAGGTAAAGATGCTAGTTAGGAGGTTATCGCAATAGTTCTTGGCCAGATTGAAAGGCAGGCATGCAAGGAATGGGAAAGGGATTCTGGCATTAGAATGAACCACAACTATGTATTGTTCCTCTCAGAATGGATGACAACCTCCTTTCTAGCCAGATGCTAGTAGATTTTTTTTTTTTTTGAGATGGAGTTTTGCTCTTGTTGCCCAAGCTGGAGTACAATGGTGCAATCTCGGCTCACTGCAACCTCTGCCTCCCGGGTTCAAGTGATTCTCCTGCCTCAGCCTCCCGAGTAGCTGGGATTACAGGCACACACCATCACACCCAGCTAATTTTTTATAGTTTTAGTAGAGACAGGGTTTCACCATGTTGGCCAGGCTGGTCTCAAACTCCTGACCTCAGGTGATCCACCTACCCCGGCCGCCCAAAGTACTGGGATTACAGGAGTGAGCCACCGTGCCTGGCCAGATGCTAGTAGTTTTCAGTAGGTGGAAAGAGGGTCATCTCTTCCCTGGGGCAATATTTGTGGGTAAATACAGTGATCCTGTAGCACCAGCTAGATGGTCATCTTATACTCAGGGTGGACGTTTACGTTAGCCCCCACATGTATAAGCACCTCTCACAGGCAGTTCACATTTCACAGAAATATCAGATGTGCCACCATGTGCCAGATAATGAGGGGAAGAAGTAAGACACTCACCCTGCCTCCGTGGAGTCATGGTCTACATAGACAGACGATGAAGAAATGCAGACGAATTTATAGCTTAAAATGTTGATAAGTGCTAGAAAGAAAACAGGACAGAATACTATGAGAAAGCACAGGAAAGGAAGCTAGGTTGGATTACAGAGTCAGAGAAGGCCTCTCAGAGAAAGTGACACTTGCCTTGAGACCTATAGGATTATTAGGAGCTGGCTAGACAGAGGGAGCAGTAGATCCTAAGCTCTGACATGAGAACAGTTTGGTGAGTTCAGGAGCCCAGAGCAGGCCGCTGTGACTGGAATTGACTGAGGGATGAGCTCCTGAAGGGCCAGAACTTGCAGGCCTTCCAGGGCTCTAGTGGGAAGTTTAGGTTTTGTCCTCACTTATGGAGGGTTATTTCCTCTTATGCTTTGTAATTCTGGAAAGTGCAGATTGTTTGAGAATCACATCCAGTGGAGCTGTGTGAGAATCCTGGGCAGCAGAGGTTTTGAGTTGAGGATAGAAGCCTCTATGTAACAGGTTTGGTGTTTGCTTCTACTAAAGATACATCCTCTGTTTGGGAGGGAGAGGCAGACAAGGCTGGGGAGAGGGAGAGTGCCAGTGTTGGGAAAGAAGAGAAAAAAATGTAGAAAAGGAATAGGAGAGAGGATAGGGATCGGGTTGGAGATAGGTCAGAGATGGGTTTGGGAATGGGAATAGAGAGGCTGGGCTTCATCGTGTGTCTTGTTTTCTCGGTGATAGGGGCCTCGCGTGCAGGACAGGAAACAATGAGTACACAGGGTGCCTTCTGACCAGCCCTGGGGTCCAGCACTAGTCATTTTGTGCCTTAGTTAATGCCTTGACTTCCCGCACATACCAGGTTGAGAGAGGAACGTCCCTTAGCAACTGATTGGCCTGGAGTCTAGAGGACTGGTGGGGGTCTGGAACCAGCTGCCCAAGGAAAACGATTCTCCCAATGTCCGGGGGACGCAGTAGCAACTGTTGCTTCTGACTAGCTCAGGCTCTGGAGACCCGCGCGCTCTCTTATGCGGCTGCGCATCCCAGCAGCTCCCGCGAGAAGGGTCAGGCCCTGATTGGCTCTGGACAAACCCGCGCGAGCTTGCGGGGCGGGGCTTCAAGGGATTGGTATCCCCGTGCAAGGAGGTTGGCGAGGCCTCAGGGGACTCCCAGTTCAGCGAATCCGTTAGCCTTCCTCTGCCTTAGTCACTTCCCCGTGAGGCACTCCGTGTTTGTGTACACGGTTATTCCACGTGTCAGTCAGTTCATCGGGCGCATCCGGAGTCATTGAAAACAGTAATAGGAAGTCAAACAAACCCGCTTGATGCAAAAATTCAGGAGGACATTCGGTTTTTAAGGAAATAGTGCTGAGGAAGGACCAGGCTGGAGCTCCTTGGACCCTGAGACTGGGAGGTAAATATGGAAAAAGAAGTGATAATTTAGGGGGAGGGAAAAGAGATCACCTGTGAAGAAAACTCACGCACACACCAGGGCCTGGAGAAGGAAGTGAGACTGGAAAGAGATCAGAATTTTATTTTTATTTCATTATTTTATTCATCTATTTAATTTGAGACAGTGTCTTGCTCTGTCACCCAGGCTGGAGTTCAGTGGCACAATCTCAGCTCACTGCAGCCTCGACCTCCCAGGCTCAAGCAGTCCTCCCACCTCAGCTTCCAGAGTAGCTGCACCCACAATGCCGGGCTAATTTTTTAAATTGTTTTGTAGAGACAGGGTGTCGCTGTGTTGCCCAGGCTGGTCTCAAACTTCTGGGCTCAAGCGATCCTCCCACCTCAGCCTCCCAAAGTGCTGGGATTACAGATGTGAGAGATCAGAGTTTTTGAATCTGAAGGACCCTTACATAGTCTGCAGTAACCCTCCCATTCTACCGAGGAGGAAAAAGAGGGGGAAGCAGAAAGGGGACAGAACTTGCCCAGAGCTATCCAACGAGTTACTGGCAAAGCCCCAGTTGGAACCAGCCCAGAGCTCTTCCCAACCTTTGATTCGAGGTTGTAAATTAAAGGAGGAGGAGGAAGGATTTTGATAGTGAAAAAAAAGCAAAAGTGGGTTATGATGCAGAGATAGGATTTGTTATCTGGAAGCCTGAGTAGCATCTTGATGTAAGGAGGGAGTCGTTTTTTTAAGAGAGGCAGCGATCAGAATGGAAAAGCAGAGGGCTGGTTCTTGAATCAAAACATCACTGAGAAAAGAGATGAGTCAAGAGCGGTCACAAATTAAATGCTGAGGGAACCAGGCAGGTGATGTGAATGATAAACAGTTGCCTAGCACTTATTTTGTGCTGGCCTCTGTTCTGAGGGTTTTACATGCATTCATTCATTTAATCATTTAATGCTCCCAACAATTCTGTCAGATGAATCCTGTTAAAATCTACATGTTATAAGTGAGGAAACGGGAAACCCAGAGAGGGGAAGTAATTTGCCCACAGTCACACAGCTGGCAAATGGTGGCGCCAGACTTAAACTCAGGCAGGCTGACTCAGCACACGGTCTTAACCACTGTGTTATATGCCCCTCCCAGGTGAGTGCAGCAGGGAGAGCAGGGGCAGCAATGGACTGGAGAACAATTGTCCAATATTAAAGGGGAAAGTTAATATCTGCCATGTGTTGTCAGATCTAATTTATTAAAAAGTAGCTGGGAGTTCAGACTTTTATGTGAGGATCCTGATTTTTAAACATTGCAACTAATGAAAGAAAGTCTGTATGCAGTTTTCTTAATGCAGGCTAAATAAAACCCCCTGCATTTTAACTACCTCACAAAGCCACTAATTTGCAAACTCTAGACTATCTTAAATGAGGAAGCAGTTCCCTAGTGAGGGAAGGGCCTGGCCCAGAAAAACCTAGAAAATGGGAGGCAAAGACCAAGCCTTTGGACTGCTGGCCGTCCACTCACAGAAGAATCTAGAACCCTTCCTTTGAACTGGCTTCACATCCAAGTTGTATGGGTTTCCTGTTGCTTTCATAAGAATTACCACAACTTGGCCGGGCGCGGTGGCTCACGCCTGTAATCCCAGCACTTTGGGAGGCCGAGGCGGGCGGATCACGAGGTCAGGAGATCGAGACCATCCCGGCTAAAAACGGTGAAACCCCGTCTCTACTAAAAATACAAAAAATTAGCCGGGCGTAGTGGCGGGCGCCTGTAGTCCCAGCTACTTGGGAGGCTGAGGCAGGAGAATGGCGTGAACCCGGGAGGCGGAGCTTGCAGTGAGCCGAGATCCCGCCACTGCACTCCAGCCTGGGCGACAGAGCGAGACTCCGTCTCAAAAAAAAAAAAAAGAATTACCACAACTTTAGCAGCTTTTTTGTTGTTTGTTTTGAGACCAAGTCTCACTGTGTCACCCAGACTGGAGTGCAGTGGTGCAATCTCGGCTCGCTGCAACCTCTGTCTCCTGGGTTCAAGCTATTCTCATTCCTCAGCCTCCCAAGTACCACCACACCTGGATAATTTTCTAAAAATATTTTTAGTAGAGACAGGGTTTTGCCATGTTGCCCAGGCTGGCCTGGAACTCCTGGCCTCATGTGATCCACCTGCCTTGGCCTTCCAAAGTGCTGGGATTATAGGCATGAGCCACTGGGCCCAGCCCAATTTTAGCAGCTTTTAAAGTAACACTCATGTATGATCTCACAGAAGGTCAAAAGTTCTGGTGTGGCGTGGTTCCCCTGGTTTTCTGCTCCAGCTTTCACAAGGCCTGAATCACAGTGTTGGCAGGGCTATGTTGCTTTCTCGAGTCCCTTTGGATGAACCCATTTCCAAACACATTCAGAATCAGTTCCATGCTTTGTAGTAGTGAGGTCTGCATTCCCTTGCTAGCTGTCTGCTGGGGTCATTGTCAGCTTCTAGGAGCTGCCCTCATGGGCTCGTGGGTTCGTTCCTTCATCTTCAAAGCAAACAATGGTGAGTCAAATCCTTCGTATGCTTCACATCTCTCTGACCTCCACTTCTGGCTCATGTATGCCCTTTCTTTCTCCTGAATCTCTCTGACTTTTCTGCTTTGCAAGTTTCACGTGATTACATTACATTCACTCAGATAGTGCAGGATGATCTCCTCAATTTAAGATCAGCAGATTAGTCACCTTCACTCTATCAGCAAAGTCCCTTCACTCAGTCAGCAAAGTCCCTTCACTGAAGCACGTAGATTAATGTTTAATTGAATAACCAGGGCACAGGAATCTTGGAATGGGAGACATCTTTAGAATTTTGCCTACCACACAAGTCGAGGGGGAAGACATTTGTAACTCATATGGTGCAAAACTATATGCTTTTCCCACTGTCTTTCTCAAACCTTGTGAGGTGGACAGGACAGTTTGATTTATTCCCATATTTTATACATGAAGCATGGGACTCAGAGAGGAGAAGAGGCTTCAACCGTGATGACACAGCAGTTCTGAAGGCAGCCTGGCATACCGGAAAGAACACTGGGTTCGGAGTCCAGGGACCTACATTATGACTTCAGGATGTCCATTTCTTGGCCCTGTGAACCTGACTAGTTCCTATGCTGTTCTGGGCCTCAGTTTCCTTATCTGCGAAGTGATGCATTGAGAACTACATCACAGTGCTGTTGTGAGATTGAGAATGATAAAGTATGTGAATCTCCAGTGCACAGCACATGGGCCACCATGATTGTTCGGTATTATTTATTTATTTATTTTAAGGTATCTGCAGAGCCACAGCTAGAACCCAGATTTATTTATTTATTTATTTATCTCTCTCTCTTTCTCTCCCTTTCTCTCTCTCTCTCTCTGTCTGTCTCCCAGGCTGGAATGCAGTGGCACAATCTCTGCTCACTGCAGCCTCTGCCTCCTGGGTTCAAGTGATTCTCATAACTCAGCCTCCTGAGCAGTTGGGACTACAGGCGCATGCCACCACGCCTGGCTAATTTTTGCTTTTTAAGTAGAGAAGGGATTTTGCCATGTTGGCTAGGCTGGTCTCGAACTCCTGGCCTCAAGTGAGCTGCCCGCCTTGGCCTCCCAAAGTGCTGGGATTACAGGTGTGAGTCCCCGCGCCTTGCCAAAACCCCAAATTTCTTGGTTCCAAATCTTCTTTCATTTGATAAAGCTTTATTATGCACCAGCTGTGTTCCAGATTGTGTGTTGGGTACTAGAGACACAAAAGTGACTCAGACTTGACTTTGAAAGGTGGACTCCATTATGTCACATAAAGGTACCTTGGGCATGACACACAAAGGCCACCCAGAAGTGGTACACAAAGGTGATTCCAACATGACACACAAAAGATATTTGGACATGACTAATTTTCTCAAGGAACTCACATTCTGGTCAGAATAGATACAGAGTTACTTCCCTGCGTACTGTGAAGGGGCAGAAGCTGACCAAGGAGAGAAAGAGAAACAGAGGGGAAGTAGGGTTAGGTAGTATTTCTAGCAGTCTGCCAAAATCTGTCAAATTTTGGAGTTTATTTTGACAGTAAAGTGAAGCCAACAGATGGTAACGAACAGGGAACTGACATGATTGATTTATAATTTAAAAGGATGCCATGCAGATGTGGAAATGTGAAGGGGCAATGGTGGAAATATCACTGGAACAATGGAGTAATGGAAATTCCACTGTCCTTCCTCAGCTGCAGAGCCCCCTGCAGAGTCTCCTTGTCATCTTCCTCCAAAAGTTTTCTAGGAGTCCCCAAGGAGTCTCCTATGTCTTCACAAACAGGCCCCATTCATCTGGTACCTGCAAGCATGGAAGCTTTACTTTTTTTTTATGGTGGGGATGGAGTCTTGCTCTGTCACCCAGGCTGGAGCGCAGTGGCGCGATCTTGGCTCACTGCAACCTCTGCCTCCCCAGTTCAAGCAATTCTCCCACCTCAGCCTCCCGAGTAACTGGGACTACAGGCATGTGCCATCACACCTGGCTAATTTTTGTACTTTTAGTAGAGATGGGGTTTCTCCATGTTGCCCAGGCTGGCCTCAAACTCCTAGGCTCCAGCAATCTGCCCGTCTCGGCCTCCCAAAATGCTGGGATTCCAGGCGTGAGCCACCACGCCTGGCCTAGGAGTTCACTTTTGGCTAGATTCCCTGGTAAGGCATTTTATCAGTTTCCCAACTAGCGTGACAATCAAATGGAGAAGAGATATGGCAGTGGGCTGTGTGGGGTTGTTACAATAGCTCCACAGGGTCATCAGAAAACCAGGCTCCCCATGTTGTTGTCAGTGACATCCCCAGATCTCTAGCTTTCATTCTCACAGTTGTCTCATAGTCGCCAGGTGGCTGCACCATCTCCAGCATCACGTTCATCTTCCAGGAAGTAAGAAGAGGAAGGTGAGGAGGAGGAAATGATGGTGCTAGTGTCAGAAAAGCAGAACTCCCAAAACTCTCCAGCAGATAGCCTCTTAAGTTTGGTATTTTTAAGTAGACAAGTCTCTCAAAATGTGCGCTCAGTAATCTAGTGGAGTTAAAGATTTCTTTTATTTATTTATTTATTTATTTATTTATTTATTTATTTATTTATTTTTGAGATGGAGTTTCACTCTTGTTGCCCAGGCTGGAGTGCAATGGTGCAATCTCAGCTCACTGCAACCTCCGCCTCCCGGGTTCAAGCGATTCTTCTGCCTCAGCCTCCCCAGTAGCTGGGATTACAGGCGCGCCTGCCACTACACCCTCTATATATATATTTGTATTTTTAGTAGAGACGGGGTTTCACCAGGCTGATCTCAAACTCCTGACCTCAGGTGATCCACCTGCCTCAGCCTTCCAAAGTGCTGGGATTACGGGCATGAGCCACCACGCCTGGCCAGGTTTTTATTTTTATTTTTTTGCATTGTTCATGAGAAAGAAGAGTACGGTCCTACAGATTGGTATACAATTTAGGAAAACAGAGATGTCAATTACAATGTTATTATTACCAGAGCAAGAAATCATCAAATAAGACAACCCGTCAGAATTCCATTTTATTTGGGGATCATTTTCATAAGACATGGAATAATTTCTAACATCTTTGTAGTCTCATAAGACCATTTGGTTTAAATTATTCTTCCAAGAGCAGATTCGTATTACCAAAGACTAGAACAAGTCAGCAACCGTCATGAATATTCATACAAAACTGTATATTGCAGAGGAGAACATAAATGATATTCTTATAAACAGTCTCAGTTTTGCACAACATCAAATCAAATTCCTTGAACCATTTTATAACACAGAACAATATCTTTTGATTTATTGCTGCAGGGGCAGGAAACGTGTCCTTCAACTCTTTCTGAGAGTCATGTACTTTATTATGAAAATTTATGTTTTTAAAACCAAGTCCTGGAATTTTATTAGCTAGTATTACATGAAAAAAAAAAAAAACCCTTGGGAGCTCAGTTGGGATGGCAAAAAAAAAAGGGAGAAAAGCTGAATAGGCTTTTATTCACTGATAGTAATTTGATAACATTTTTCTTCTCCTTGGCTCACTGGCCAGAACTCTGCCATATGGCCACCCTAGATGAAAATGAAACAAGAAAATAGAGATTTTATTTTTCAGATTGGTGGCTTGATCACCTGGACAAATTTGAAATAACAAGGAGGAAACAGAGGTTGAATATCAGGTAGGCAACTCTCAGGGTCTACCTGAGATATTGCCCTAGAGGAGATGGATAGCTAGGGCTGCTGAAGACAGTCTGAGAGAGGAGGCTTCTTTCTGGTTGTGAGATCCAGGAGAGAACTTCCAGGAGGAGGTTACATTTGACCTGGACTTGGAGAGAGAAGGAGGGTTTGAATGTGGGCAAAGGACAGAGCTGCAGAAGGACGCCATGACACGGGGAGTGGCCTGAGTAAACAGGCGGAGGAAGGATGTGCGGAGCATCTGTAGAAAGGATCCCCATTTCAGCCGGTGCATTGGCTCCCGCCTGTAATCCCAGCACTTTGGGAGGCCAAGGTGGGCAGATCACCCAAGGTTAGGAGTTTGAGACCAGCCTGGCCACCATGGCGAAACCCTGTCTCTACCAAAAATACAAAAATTAGCTGGGCGTGCTGGCAGGCACCTTTAGCCCCAGCTACTCAGGAGGCTGAGGCAGGAGAATTGCTTGAACCCGGGAGGCAGAGGTTGCGGTGAGCTGAGATCGCGCCACTGCACTCCAGCCTGGGTGACAGAGCAAGACTCTGTCTCAAAAAAGAAAGAATGACAGGGTGCAGGCATGGGGGCTATCGAGGTAAGGGAAAAGCGGGGCAAAATCAGGGAGAGCTCGAATGAAAGGCAAGGGAGTTTGGAATGTATCCTATCAGCCGCTGAAATATTGTTTATTTCTCAAATATCTCTCTTAAATATATCACCTTCTCTTTGTCCCCCATAGCTATTGTTGCAGCTCAGACTTCATCCTCTTTCTCCTGGACTGTTGCTTCCTCCTCACTGCAGACCCAGAGGAACCTTTCGAACACCCAAACCCGTTCTCCCATGGTTCAAAACCATTCCATAATTTCCATGACTTCCCCCATTGACGTGGGAGGGAGTCCGAGCTCCTCAGCTTGGCATTTGAGGCTCTTTGAAGAGGTAATGGAGTGGGAATGCAGACTAGAGACAGGAAAGCAGACATGGTGTTGAGGCTTCACAAAGAGCGTGCGGACAACCCCTGTTCTTTTGTTTCTGAGGCAGGGTCTCGCTCTGTTGCCCAGGCTGGAGTACAGTGTTGTGACCACAGCTCACTACAGCCTCAACCTCCCAGGCACAAGAGATCCTCCCACCTCAGCTTCCTGAGTAGCTGGAACTACAGGCATGTACCATTACACCCGACTAATTTTTTTTAACATTTTGTAGGGAGAGGGTCTCCCTACATTGCCCAGGCTGGTCTCAAACTCTTGGGCTCAGCCTCTCAAAATGCTGGGATTACAGGTGTGAGCCACTGCGCCCAGCCCAAACTCTGTTCTTGAAGCTCCCCAGCATCTGGTCCCATCAGGCCCCTAATTCACAAGATTCGCAGACCTTAGGGGTGGATTGAAAAGACAAGAGCCCCTAGCAAGCAGTGGACTTCTTTCTAGCCTCACCCCATGCTTCTTACTGCTGCCCCTCTCCTCATCCATTCCAAATCCTGCCCTCCAGGACAGACCAATCTGAGGTCAGAGTTAGCAGCAGGATACATCCTGGTCCTCTCTTGCCCCTGAGATCTCGCTGGGGCTGATGGCACTGCCACTGCTATGGTTGGGTAAGTAGAAGGAGAGGCAGCATGGAGGTGTCTTGGGGAGGTAAGGGTGGGTGGAGTTGGAAGGCAGACAGGGCTGAGGTAAGATGAAGGCTGAGGTAAGATGAAGTACCTAAAAAATTAGGTACTTGGCCAAGCACAGTGGCTCATGCCTGTAATCCCAGCATGCTGGGAGGCCAAGTTGGGCAGATCTCCTGAGGTCAGGAGTTGGATACCAGCCTGGCCAACATGGTGAAACCCTGTCTCTACTAAAAGTAGAAAAATTAGCCAGGTGTGGTGGTGGGCACCTGTAATCCCAGCTACTGGGGAGGCTGAGTTGGGAGAATCACTTGAACCCAGGAGTGGGTGTTGCAGTGAGCCAAGATCGTGCCACTGCACTTCACCCTGGGTGACAGCAAGACTCTGTCTAAAAAAGAAAAAAAAAGTAGAATCTTTATTCTACAATATAGATCCTCAAAAAACCCTCAGTCTTTGAAGACCAGAGTTCAGGTTCAAGCTCTACCACCTTGAGTAATTCTCTTCAGTTTGCTCACCTAGACAATGGGGTGTTCCCCTTCTACAGAGCAAAAGGAAATTTATTTGTGGAAACCATTCAACCACAACAATCCTAGCTTTCACAAGGCTGTTGGGGAGGGGAGGGAGTTCCAAATGAGCTAATGGGTGGTGAGCACAATTATTCACTAACGGTTCACTATGACATGGTCTCTTGTAATGTAATGTGACTGAAGTCAAAATCTGCAGTTATTACAGAGGGCCATGTGCCTCTGTAGTTATGGTCCTTAATTATCACAATACTGTAGCATTGGTATTATCGTACCCACTTCTCTGATTGAGAAACTGAGATTCAGAAATGATACAACATGACCCAGATCACAAGATACGGTTAATACCAACAAGAAGAGCAATAAAAAATCCAGCAGACTAGATTGGGGTGGTGCAGTTTAGGAGTCCCCCCAAGATGCCTCTGATTCAGTGATCCACAAGAAGGACTCAAAACTCAGCAGAACTGTTTTACTCATGATTGCAGTTGATTATAGCAAAAGAGTACAGATGAAAATCAGTACAGGGAAGAGGTGCATAGGGCAGGGTCCAGGAGAGAGCAGGCATGAGCTTTCAGCTGACCTCTCCCAGTGGTGTTGCACCAATAGAGCTTACTTCTTTCTGCAACAATGTGTGGTGACATGCACAGACATGCCAAGTAGAGAAGTGCACCCAAGCCTTGGTGTCCAGGGTTTTTATTGTGGGTCTGGTCACTGACTTAGCTTAGTCTTCAGCCCCTCCAGAGGTCAAGCTGATGCCCCAGGATCCAGGGCTCCCACCATAAATCATAGTGTTAGCATCAACTGATGAAGTCCAAGGTCCCAGGTAAACAAAGACACTCTTATCAGGCAGGATATCCCAAGGGTTTAGAGATCACCTCATAGGAGTTGGACAAGTGTCAAGCCTTTCTTAGGTAAGGTGACTCTTTTAATGCACAGATATAATACAGGAGTATGCTAGGTGGGTCTGTTTTTCAACTTGGATCTCTCCTTACAGGGCTACTTTCTCATGTTTTGATGGAAGTCAAGAAGATACCAGTGGAAGAGGGGCTGTGCACTACAATCCCTTGTGCATTTGAATTTCCCAAAGAACCCCCAAGCAATTCCATGATCATGCACTACTGGCTCAACAAAAACATCAGCTCCCTGGTAGCTACAAATAAACCCAATGCTACCATTGGTGATAACACCAAGGACAAATTTTACATGACTGGGAATCTTGATGAAGAAGACTGTACCCTACTCATCCACGATATACTCAAAGGGAACAGCATAATATATTTATTCTACGCAGATCTAGGAGAACAAAAAAGTGCTTTCCTGGGGGAGAATATCAAACTTTTTGTGTCAGGTGATGTTCAATATCATCCGATAAGTGGTTTGGAAAGAAGGAAATCCAAAAGTGGTTCTGGTGATTATGTGGTTTTTACCTGATGGGCACTGGGCTTTACAAAACCTTAGGTATTTGAGTTTTATAATGATGCAATGAGATCAGTATAATAGGTAACTTTACTTTTCCAAATAGAAATGGCAAAGAGAGAAGCGATTCACCCTATATCATCCAACCAGTACAAAATAGAGAGGAAATGATCACAGATTGGGCTGGGAAGGGGCAGAGTCTAAGGGAGAACTGGGCTGGAAAAGGGAGACAGAGTAGGAGCTACCACTAGCACATGTAGTCTAGGACTCAGGTAAGGGGTCAGAATGTAGAATCCTCATTCTACAATGTAGAGCCTCAGAAAACTACTCACCCTCAGTCTTTGAAGACCAGAGTTCAGGTTCAAGCTCTACAACCTTGAGTAGTTCTCTTCAGTTTTATCACCTGGACGCTGGGCTGTTCCCCTTCCACACAGAGAAAGGAAATCTATTTGTGAAAAACCATTAAACCACAACAATCCCAGGTTTCACAAGGCGGTTGGGGAGGTGAGGGGGTTGCAAATGAGCTAATGGGTGGGGAGCACTTTGTAACCTGGAAACGTTGTGCATCAGTGAAGTGTCCATGAGGGTCCCTTTTCCCCCAAGGTTTGGGTCTACTTCTCTCTTCTCCAGAGCTAACCCAAAAGCCAGAGCTCCACATGCCAGAGATTCTTTTGGCTGAGAAGACTGTGACCTTGAACTGTACCCTCAAAGGCACCTGCAAAGAAACCAAAGCCCTCTTCCACTCCCGGAAGAACCCAGCCATCTCCAGCAGCTCCTCCTCGGTGCTGCACTTCACCCTGAGGCCTGAGGACCATGGCAACACCCTTGGATGTCACTTGAACTTATCCCTAGCCAACGTGACCAGAAGTAGCTTGGTCAAGCTCCAAGTGGTCTGTGAGTGCTGGTGGGCACAGGCAGGATCCTGAGAAATAGTGGGCTCAAGAAAAGACCTGAGCCCCAGAGGGAGAGAAGTCTTAGGAGCTGTCACATCTTCCCCCTTTGGGAAGACCTTTGGGGCTGAAAGGCCAGAGGTAGGAGCTGAGCCCAAGTCTGAGGCAGATGTGGAGAGAGGATGAAAGGGGACTGTTTTGAGTCCCAGCCCCACTCTGGGTTGCCAGAAAGTCTTTCTGAAGCTCCCTGTGAATAGCAAGTAAAGAGAAGGCTGGGTCTTAGGGGAAGTAGAGAAGCAAAGTCAGGACATCTTGATGATCCCTGATTCTTCCTCTGCACAGCACCTGCCAGGTTGTTCAATTCCTCTTGTTCCTTGGAGAAGACAGTTCTGTGCAGCTGTTCCTTCCACGGGATCCCCACGCCCTCCGTGCAGTGGTGGATGGGAGGTGTCCCTGTGGCTGTGAACAGCATGGATAACATCCTCCGGGTGACTTCTTCCACATGTGCCCCCTGGGCCAACAGCACCATCAGCCTCATTGGGGAGCCAGAAAGAGTCATGAGACTTCACTGTGAGGGGAAGAACCAATATGGAATTCACACTTCCAGCATCTTCCTGATACCAACTGAGTATCCAGGGACCTAGTGACTGAGCTGGAAAGAACACCTAAAGACCAGATGCAGATGGGCACAGGGCCGGAGGAAAGGGTAGAGAGTTTTAGCTCAGACTTTAAAGCCTTTGGAGAAAGGTGAATCTCACTTCCCTCCAATTCCAGATAAGAAATCAGTTTCCAGTGTGTTCGTGAAAGGATTAATCCAGGGCATTGTATATGGAGCCATTGCATTCTCATTGCTCTTCTTCTGCCTCATCCTCTTGTCGTGAGTATCAAAGTTCAAATTCATCAGCAGCCTTTCCCAAAGCCTACTACCTTTATTTATGTTCTCCTTTTCCTTCCTCATACTTTCTTCCAATTTATTTTGCTTTGTCTATTTTTTTTTTTTTTTTTTGAGACAGGGTCTCCCTCTCTCACCCAGGCTGGAGTACAGTGGGTCAATCACAGCTCACTGTAGCCTCCACCTCCCTGGGCTCATATGATCCTCCCACCTCAGCCTCCTCAGTAGCTGGGACTACAGGTGTGTGCCACCACGCCTGGCTAATTTTTGTATTTTTTGTAGAAATAGGATTTCACCATGCTGCCCAGGCAAGTTTCCAACTCCTGGGCTCAAGTGATTGACCCACCTCAGCCTCCCAAAGTGCTGTTGGGATTACTAGGTGTGGCCCACTGCCCCTGGCCTTGTCTACCTTTTAAAAATGGATTCTTATATCGTTAACTTTCAGCTACTCTTCTTTTTCAGTATTTGTATTTAGGGCTATAAGTTTCCCTCTAAGCATGACTTTAGCTGCATCTCACAAATTTTAATATAAATATTTCATTATCATTTGGTTAACATATTTCTAATTTCCATTATGATTTTTTGACTCATGAGTATTTTTTGTTTGTTTGTTTTTTGGTTTGGTTTGGTTTGGTTTGGTTTGGTTTGGTTTGGTTTGGTTTGGTTTTGAGACAGAGTTTTGTTCTTGTTGCCCAGGCTGGAGTACAATGGTGCGATCTCAGCTCACCACAACCTCTGCCTCCCAGGTTCAAGTGATTCTCCTGCCTCAGCCAACTAAGTAGCTGGGATTACAGGCTTGCGCCAGCGCACCCAGCTAAATTTTTTGTATTTTTAGTAGCGGCGGGGTTTCTCCATGTTGGTCAGGCTGGTCTTGACCTCCCAACCTCAGGTGATCGCCTGCCTCAGCCTCCCAAAGTGCTGGGATTACAGGCGTGAGCCACCGCCCCTGGCCTGACCCATGAGTTTCTTAGGCACATTACTCTCTTTTTAAATTTTTAGCTTAAACCGAATAAGGTCAGAAAATATACTATGCATGATTTCAATTCCTTATTTTCTTTGTAACACATTTTTTGTCTCGTTTTTATAAATATTCCATGTGAACTTGAAAAGAATGTATATTTTATGCCTGTCAAATGCAGTATATATATCTCTCTGTGTGTGTGTCTGTGTGTGTGTACACAATCACATACATATACATATATACCCTTTAAATCAAATTCATTATTCATGTTGTTTAAATCTTCTCTACTTGGACTGACTTAATTGCCTGCCTGCTCTAATGATAAGAGATATGTGTTTCTAATCTCCCACAATGATTGTGGATTTGTTTGTTTCTTCTTGAAATTCTGTCAGTTTTTGCTTTCTAAATCTTGAGGCCATGTCATTAGCTTCAAGTCTATTTTAAAATGTGCATACAAGGCCGAGCATGGTGGCTCACACCTGTAATCCCAGCACTTTGGGAGGCCAAGGCAGGTGGATCACTTGAGGTCAGGAGTTTGAGACCAGCCTGGCCAACATGGTGAAACCTCGTCTATACTAAAAATAAAAAATTAGCCGGGCATGGTGGCTTGTGCCTGTAATCCCAGCTACTTGGGAGATTGAGGCAGGAGAATGGCTTGAACCCAGGAAGCGGAGGCTGCAGTGAGCCGAGATCATGCTGCTGCACTCCAGCCTGGGCAAGAGAGTGAGAGACTCTGTCCCCCAAAAAAAAAAAGTGCATACAAGTATCTTCCTTATATCAGATACCATTTTTCTTCTTCACCTTTGTATTAAAGCCTATTCTGTCAGATATTAGTATAGCTCCACCAGCTCCTTCTTTTACATCTACTCTCAATCTGTGATCTGAAGGTTTAGTTATGTGTTTCATAATCAGCATATGATTTTGACTTTTTTTAGTCTTGTAATTTTTAAATTGGATTTAAATTAATTTGCTTGATGTAATTACTGGTGCATTTAAATACTGATGGTATTTCAATATACCATCCTAGTTTGTCCCATATGTTTCTTTTTTTCCCTTTACTTGTCTTCATTTGGATTGGCTGGGTATTTTTATCAATCCATTCTTTTCTTTCTACTAGTTGAAAATTATGCAATTATATGTTTTTTAAATATTCTTTTACTGGTTACCCAGAAATCACCACATCTATACTTCAGTTATCAAAGTATATATTTGATAATTTCAAAGTATAAAACCTTTACCCTCCTCCAGATAACATAAAGACCTTAGAACAGTTGAACTCTAGTTTTCCTCCTCACAACTTACATGCTATTTTTATAACATGCTTTGTGGCATTTTATCAATTCCAATATACATGTTATTTCACATTCGAACATCTCTGAAATAGAGATATGTCTTCAACCGATGGTGATTTACAGTTGCTGTTGGTCTCAGGTGGCAGTCCTGATAAAGTTGTCATTGCCTGCAGGTGCCTGAACTCTTGTCATTGCTGTTCATATTATCACTGTAATTGAATTATTTGTTCATTGATACATGTTTAATTTATTGCCTTTTCAAACATTTGCAAAAGTATTACATTATTAGCTGCCACTGAAACAAAGTTATGGTGTATACAGAAGGGCACAGAAGTAAAAGAGTAAGCATACCTTCCATTCTGTGACACCTGTAACATTTGTTTGAGAAATGACCAGAATTCCATATTTTTTGTAAAGCAACAATCTGGTGCTTTATAGAACCTAGGAAAGAGAGATACCCACATGTGGATGAAGCCATGTTACTTTTTCTTGTAAGATAAAAAGCAAAAGGGTAATTTATCTCATAAACTGTCAATGCAAATGAAACCAGAAGGAATTGCTTAATCCTTCGGAAGACATTTTTAAAATTTAAATTAACATGACATTGGATGATTCATGTGCTGTTCAGGACTATGTTAGTTCTTAATAGTTTAACTGGCAACATTTTTTTCCCTTAGTGATATATAAATTATGCATCTTACTATTAATGGCATTTTATTATTAATGAAATACCAATTCTATATTTTTGAGCCCCCAAAGACGTCATCATCATCTTTGGTTTTATTTCGTACATTCACTGCTCATTTTGATTTACATATATATTTACCATAGTCTCTATTCTTTATTCCTTACATTCTGTTAGTATTCTCAGATCTTCCATCCAGAATCTTTTTTCCTGAAATATATTCTAGAAAGCTGTTTAGAATTGGTTTTCTGGTAGCAAACATTCTTGGTTTTTTCTCTCACTTTCTCTCTCTCTCTCTCTCTCTCTCTCTACCCGCCCCCCGACTCTCTCTCCCTCTCCCTTCATAGTTGAAAGATATTTTGGCCAGATGTGGTGGCTCATGTCTGTAATCCCAGCACTTTGGGAGGCCAAGGTGGGTGGATCACTTGAGGCCAGAAGTTTTAGACCAGCCAGGCCAACATGGTGAAACCCTGTCTCTACTGAAAATACAAAAAACAAAAATAGCCAGATTTGGTAGTGTCCACCTGTAATCCCAGCTACTCGAGAGGCTGAGGCAGGAGAATCGCCTGAACCCTGGAGGCAGAGGCTGCAGTGAGCTGAGATTGTGCCACTGCACTCCAGTCTGGACCACAGAGTGAGACTCTGTCTCAAAAAAAAAAAAAGGTATATTTGCCAAGTTTGGAATGCTGCATCGGCAGGCATTTTCTTTCAGTATCTTGAACTATTCCATGTTCCATTATATCTTGCTTCTATTATCACAGGAGAAAAGTCAGCCATGACTCTCATCTGCTGCTCCTTTGAAAATGATCTCTCCTTATCTGTCTCTGCCTTTAAGACCTCTTTGTCTCTGACATTTCCGGTTTGGCCTCACACTTTACACTTTCATAACACCAACTTGCCTATTTGTCTGTGACACATGCGTTTCTTGTCCTGCAGCTTTGCTGATATGTGGCTTCTGCCCAATACTCCCCCTCCTCTGCATTTCATTTTCTACCCCTGCTCCCCTCTCACACCTGGCTGACATTTACTCATCATTTAGGACTCAACCTACAGCCCCTCCATCACATGCTCTGGAAAACTTCCCCGGGCCTCTCTCCGGGGCCAGGTGTCTTTTCAGGACTCCTGTAGGTCTCCTGGACTTTTGGGTATTAGCACTAACACTTTTACTTTGATGTGACTGAGTGTGGATATCATTTTTTTAGATTTGTCTTTATTTATATTTATTTGGCCTCTTCAATCTATGCTTTGGTGTCTTTCATCAGTTCTGGAAAGATTCTTAACCACTGTTTATATTGCCTCTGCTCTTTGTTTTCATCATAGGGCTCTCATCTAATGTTTGTCAAACTTTTTTATCTGTTTCCCTTCTTACCCTGTGTCCTGTATTTTCCAGAGAGAGGGAGTCAAGTAAACAAGTACTAGGTTAGAGGTCTGTATGAGGGAGTTGCTAAGAGAACCCTACTCTTTCACTGTCTCTCCATCCTTGGGGCAGAGGTAGGGGATCAGTATTGCCCAGAAAATCCTTTAGCTTGCCTCTAATCAACTCCCTCCAACTTCACACTCTGTCAGTATGCCAGGTGTTTCCCTCTTTCCCCCAGTCTCTTATCTCATCCCGTCATGTTCAGCAATAAGGTTTACCTACTTCCAAGGAAAAAATCAGCTCCCCAACACATACAACGTTATTACCATTGACATTGAGTGATGTACTCCCTGCCTTTTTTAGGGAAAGAGGCTTTCTTCCTCCTGTCCAAGGTAAGCTCCACCTTCTCTGCTTGGGAATCCTTCTCCTCCACTGCCTTAGGAGCTGTACTCCATCAATCATCCCTTCTGGCTCCTAAATTTTCAATCATTCTTTCTTTGCTGGCACAAATCTCTCCCGCCTCAGCCCCACAGGCTTCCTCTATGTACTATCCAATATTCTTTCGAGAAAGTATCTTACACCACTTCCTGATTCTCATCACTCTTCCACTTGCTCCCCAGCACCAGGCCACTGACATGACATTGTCTAAAGCAACCAGTTATCCTTATTCTCAATGTTATTCTCAAAATCCAGTGGCAGGTGTTCTTTCTCTTGTTCACCTTTAGGCAGCATTTAGGATTGGGGTTGGTGGGGTGAGGATCTCCCACCCAGTGGCTTATTTTCATAGCAAGGAAAGCATGGCAAGGCTGTCTGCTGAAAATGACATGGGTGGGAGCATGGGGAATCCATGGGGAATTGAGAAGAAGTGTGATGTGTTAGGGTGGTTGGAATAGCCACTGGGGAGAATGAGCAGGATCTGTATAAGGACAAGGAGAGCAACCACTGAGCAGTAGCCAAGGCCCATTGGTTACTGGAGATTAGTAATCGTTAATGGTGGCAAGCATCATTGCTATGTGACATCTCCTCCCAGCAGCAGTCATTGGAAGACGTCTTAGTCCATTCAGCCTGCTATAACAGAATACATAGACTGGGTGGCTTATAAACAAAAGAAATTTACTTCTCCCAGTTCTGAAGGCTGGGAAGTTCAGGATCAAGTCACCAGAAGATTTGGTGTCTGGTGAGGGCCTGCTTCTTGGTTCACAGATGGCACCTTCTGGTTGTGTCCTCACATGGTGTACAGGGAAAGGGAGTTATCTGGGCTCCCTTTATAAAGGCACTACAATCCCATTCATGAGGGCTACACACTCCCGACCTAATCACTCCCCAAAGGCCCCAGCTCCAAATACTAAAACACTGGAGATTATGTTTCAGCAGAAGAATTTTGGAGGAACACAAATATTCAGACTATAGCAGAAAAAAAGGAGTAGATGATGGCATTGGTCTAGGTTTGAGTATTCATGGACAAGATGCCAGGAAGGGTGATGGAGTGGGGAGGTTGGAGACGGGCAAGCAAGGAGGCTGGAAGGAGAAAGAGAGCGCTTTAACTGGGGAGCCGTTGTACCTAGTGGGGTGGGGAGGGAGGAAAGGAAGAGAAACAGAGAGTCTTCATAGACTCTAGAAAATATAGTGTCTTGGAATTGAAGCTTCCACCTGTGATATCATATAATGGGAACAGTTGGAAGGGGAGCACCAAAAAACTGGATGGATAGAAGAACTAGGCAGATCATGAGGTATTGGAATTTACATTTTCATAAGTGGAAAAGTTTTGGGAGATAATGAACCCTTGGTAGTTAAAGGAAACAGTTGCATTCATCAGGTCTCTTCCAGTTGTGAGTTATAAGGGCTGAATTCAACAAGCTCAAAGAGAAAGGGAACAGTTCTGGTCATCTGTTGCTATGTCTCTACCCCTGTCTTAGTCCATCTGGGCTACTACAACACAATGCCATAGATTGGGTGTTTTGTGCGTAACAGAGATTTATTTCTCTCAGTTCTGGAAGCTAGGAAGTCCAAGGTCAGGGTGCCAGCAGGTTCAGTGTCTGGTGAGGGCTCTTTTCCTTATAGATGACATCTTCTCACTGTGTCCCCACTTGGTGGAAGGGACTGGGGTCTCGCTGAGGTCTCTTTTATAAAGGCTTTTGTCTCATTCAGGAGGGTTCCATCCTCATGAACTAATCACCTCCCAAAGGCCCCACCTCCAAATACGATCACTTGAGGGTTAGGATTTCAACATGTGAATTTGAGCGGGGGGTGTAAACATTCAGATCATAGCAATCCCCCAAAATACAGTGGCTTCAAACAATAATCATTTTAGTATTTTTCATGATTTCCTAGATTAGGAATTTGGGCAGGGCCCAGCTGGGTGATTCTTTTGCTCCCTGTGGTGTCACTGGAGGTCACTTGAGTTGGGCTAGCATGGAGAATCCAAAATGCTTTCATTCACAAACCAGGCATTTTGGTGTGGATGGCCAGAAGGTGAGGCTCAGCTGGGCCCCTCTTTCTTTCCATGTGGGCTCCGAGTCTCTCCATGTGCTCTCTTCCAAAGCAGAAGCTGCCAGTCCTCTTAAAGGACAGGCCCAGAATCAATAGCACATCACTTCCACAGCATTCTCTTAGAGCAAGTCACAGGCTGGCCAAGATTCAAAGGAAGAAGAAATAGATTCCACCTGTCCTTAGGAAAACTATCCAAGGATTTGCCACCATTTTTAATCTGCTGTAGGAACAGATTGACTGTTAAGTCTAAAGGCACGTATTAGTTTGCAGGCGCTGCCATAACAAAATACCACAGACTAAGTGGCTTAAACAACAGAAATTTGAGGCTGGGCACGGTGGCTCACGCCTGTAATCCCAGCACTTTGGGAGGCCGAGGCAGGCTGATCATCTGAGGTCAGGAGTTTGAGACCAGCCTGACCAACATGGAGAAACCCCATCTCTACTAAAAATACAAAATTAGCTGGGTGTGGTGGCGCATGCCTGTAGTCCCAGCTACTCGGGAGGCTGAAGCAGGAGAATCACTTGAACCTGGGAGGCGGAGGTTGCAGTGAGCTGAGATCATGCCATTGCACTCCAGCCTGGGCAACAAGGGCAAAACTCCGTCTCAAAAAACAAACAAACAAACAAAAACGGAAGTTTGTCCTCCCAGCATTCTGGAGGCTGGGAGTCCATGATCAAGGTGTCAGCAGTGTTGGTTTCTCCTGAGGCCTCTCTCCTCACTCTCTTACTGCCTCTTCTCATGGTCATACCTCTGTGCACACACCCCTCGGTCTCTCCCTCTTCATGTAAGGTGCTATGGTCTGAATGTCTGTATGCCCCTACCCCTGCTAATTCATTTGTTGGAATCCTAACCCCCAAGATGATGGTGTTTGGAGGTGGGGCCTTGGGAGGTGATTAGGTCATAAAGGTGGAGTCCTCATGAATAGGATTAGCGCCCTAATAGAAGAGCCCCCAGAGAGCCATCTCCTCCCTTTCACCACATGAGGACCCAGCTAGAATTTGCTATCCATGAACCAGGAAGCAAGCCTTGCCCAGACGTCAAATATACCAGTGCTGTGATCTTGGGCTTTACAGCCTCTAGAAGTATAAGAAATAAATTTCTGTTGCTTATAAGCCACCCAGTCTATGGCACCTTGTGATAGCAGCATGGACAGACTAAGAAATAAGGACACCAGTCATATAGGATTAAGGCCCCACCTGAACAGCCTTCATTTAACTTGAGGCGCTATTTCCAAAAACAGTCGCATAGACTATGGCCCACCCATAATGATCTCATTTAACCTTAATAACCCCTTAAAAGGCCCTATCTCCAAACATGGTTACATTCTGAGCTACTGGGGGTTGAGACTTCAACATATATATTTGTGGGGACACAATTCCACCCGTGACAGGCGGATCTACACTTCAGGCATGTCTGAATCCAGGCATGCAGATGGCTTCACCAAGAGTCTGTCTGTCCCCACCCTATGGCTCTGTTTCCTTCTGGTTAACGTGAGCTCTGGAGGCTCTCTTCACCTTACAGGCAAGATGGCCAGCCCCAGATTCACGTCCTCCTCTCTTAGCTAACTCCAGCTGACAGAGAACTTGTCTTCTCGTGGTGATTTAGCAATCCCAGGGAAGACTGATTGGCTCTACCTGAGTCAAGGGTCGATGCCACCTCTAACAGCCCATCCCAGCTGGCTCCCCCAGGAAGGGATTCCAGCCACCACCAACAAAAAGGAACTGGCCTCAGAAGCTCTGGGAGCTGACATGTCGGGGTGACAATTGGGTCTGTCCATGGGAATGTCAAAGGCGCCCAAAATGATGACAGAAATCTGGGGACAGAAAGACTGAGAGTCAAGCATAAAAATCCTCTGGGAATACAGAGGCCTGGCCTAGGGGGTTGCCAGTGACAGAAATGAGAGGAAGGGGATGTTCTGGCCCAATAGCCAGAGGCTCAAAGTAGCAGAAGGAGACTCTTTCTTCAGAGGATGAGGGTTCTAAAACAGAAGGGTAACTTCCTGACGTTGCCATGGCATCTGTAACCTGTCATGGTGCTGGTGGGGGTGTAGCAGTGAGGACGACCAGAGGTCACTCTTGTCGCCATCTTGGTTTTGGTGGGTTTTGGCCAGCTTCTTTACTGCAAGCTGTTTTATCAGCAAGGTCTTTATGACCTGTATTTTGTGCCGACCTCCTATCTCATCCTGTGACTTAGAATGCCTTCACTGTCCAGGAATGCAGCCCAGTAGGTCTCAGCCTTATTTTACCCAGCCCCTGTTCAAGATGGAGTTACTCTGGTTCAAATACCTCTGACAATATCGTAGAGCAAACCAGGCCTCAGGGAGGTGGACACTGAACGAGGACATATGCAGATGTGTAGGGACAAATGTTGGGAAGTGCCTGGAGGAAAACGGGGAGCTGGGAGAGAGTGTGGCAAGGGGACGGGGCGGGGAGCAGCCTTCAGGTACTTGCTCTGAGGCCTAAAGGAGTGTGGGGAGCTGCCCAGACTGAGGGAGCCGCAGTTCTAGGCTCTGAGATTGCAAAGGTTTATCGAGTTCAAGAGCCCAGCAGGGCCAGATGAGCTCAGAGCTTAAGGAGAGCTTGGGAGAGGCTAACCTGCTGGCAGAGCCTCAAGGGCTCTGGTGAGAAGTTTGGGTTTCATCTTCCCTCGTGGAGGGCTATTGCCTCTCATGCTTGGTCATCCTGGAAGGTGAGCTGCTCTCAGTGGGGACTTTACCTGCAAGAAGCATATGCGGACAATGTGGTGGGCAAGTCCCCCTGAAATGAGTTTTGTGTGAGTTGCCCAACAGCGAAACACACCGGGGGCTATTTGTGTTCATTGCTCACTTTGTCGCTCTCTGATGCAAATCTCTATAAATGGAGGCCTCAGCTTCTAAGATAAATACAAAAAGGTTTTTTTTTGCCACCGAAAGCCCAGGCCAAAATAGACATGCTTCCTTGTCATTCCCTTGATCAATGACTAGATTTTTTTTCTGGCGCCCCCCTTGATGTGGGGGTGTCATATCCAGGTTGCTACCTAGTATGGACCCAAGGCCTTGTTGTCTGCTGTCACTGGACCATTTAAAGCAAGTCCCTTGGTAATCATAACAGCAAGCCCCCGCTTCCCCACAACCCAGCAGTGTGCAGCCAACCCTCAGTTGATGCGTGGCCTCTGATCTTCAGTCCCCAACGTCCTTACGACCTCAGCCCCATCAGTATTTTCGGATGTTTTTGTAGAGCAAGTGTTTTCAGACAGGAAATGGACGTTTGAATCTTATTGTCTGAACGCAGAAAGAAACAATGGAAGGATCTCCATTTGGGGAGGAACAGGTCGGGTCTTTAAAGCTTGCTCAGGCTGCTCTGCAGGGGACACGGGACAGAAGGACACAGCCGCCAGCCAGGGACCAGCAGGTGGCCCCTGCAGCTGCCAGAGCAAGAAAGGAAAGGGAACAGTTATATAATCCATGGGACAGCCATACAACAGAACAACACAGCTGTCAGAAAGAGCAAGGCGATGTGCCGGGCATGGACATGCAGACATGAGCCAGCAATATTCGAAGGAGGAAGAAAGGTGCAAAAAAAAAGACCTGTCCAAAACTGAAAAGTATATATGGAGACATCGCAGAGCAGCAAGAGAAGCAGGAATGGACCAGACACGAAGGGCCACCAGGCTGAAGGGCTGGGCTGTGTCCTGGGGGGACTGGGAAGCCATGGGAGGGCTGTGAGCAGGAGAGGAGCCGGGCAGCTCTGGGGGACAGAGTGAATTCCAGGAGGCCCAGAAAGAAGCTTGGGAGAGGGTCCACGCCAAGACAATAGAGGTTCTTATCCCCATTTGACGGCGTGGGGTGGGGCTGTGCTGGTCTCAGAACCAGGAAGCGGAGGAAGCTGGTGTTCTGGGCCCAGCCCAGGGCTCCTTCTGGGAACTGGACGGGGCAGGGACTGAGCACAGCATTCACCACGGGGCTTCCTGCCTTAGAATGAAGATGCTTACCTGGTGGGAGGAGCATCAGAGTCCCAAGGCCAAAGAAGGCTTGCCCCTTAAGAAACCAGAGCTGCTGGAGGAAACAGAAGTACCCAAAATGCCTGAAGCTGACACCCCACCAGACCGGGCTGGAGGTAAGTCCCTGGGACAGTCACAGGCAGACTGTCAAGCAACAGGGCCGCAGGCCAGGGCCCCCACCCCATCACCTGGCAGAACCCCGGGGAGGCACTTGTTCAGGACGGAGAGACCCAGGCCCCCTCGCCCCACACAGCAGATGCTACATTTGCCAAAACAAAGCCCCACAGACTGGGCGGCTTGAACGGCAGATACTGATTTTCTCCCCCTCTGGAGGCTGGAAATCCCAGGTCAAGGTGCCAGCAGCAGAGCTTCCTTCTGAGGCCTCTCACCTTGGCCGGTAGATGCTGTCTTCTCCCTGTGTCCTCACAGGGTCATCCCTCTGCGTGTGCCTGGGTCCTAATTTCCTTCCCTTGTAAGGACACCAGTCATTGAATTCAGGCCCATCATGTGACATCACTTAACCTTAATCACCGATGTTAAGACCTTGTCTCCAATACAGTCACATTCTGAGTCACTGGGGGTTAGGATGTCAACATATGAATGATGGGGGGTGGGGTGGATCCACACTTCCGCTCATAACAGAGGCTTAAGGAGGCTGCTTGGATTCCCCCGTGTTGGGTACTTAGAGAGGGGATTGGGCTTGTCTAAGGCAGCGGAGCAACCGACTGTGGTTCTCCCAAAGTCTAGGGCTCTGGAGAGAAAGAAGAGTGTAGACTCCGAGATGGATCACGGCATGCGGCCCAGGACGTGGAAACCTGGCCCAGGCAGAGGTGCGACTCCATCCCAGACTCCAGACCCAGAGGCCGTCGCCCGGCTCTCACCCATTTCCTGGGGAAACATGCCCCGGGGCCTCCCCAGCGCCAGCCCTCATGTTAGCCAATGTAGGGGACACGCCTAACACCTGACACCTGCCCAAGGGACACGCCACCCCAGCAGCCAGGCTGACAGGAGCAGAAACAAAACACACAGGGATACGCCAGGCGGGCAGCACCAGGAAACAGGCTGCTGCCGCCACAGGGGCCGCTGTGAGCCCAGAATGGATCCAACCCAGCCTCAGCCTTCTTCAGAGAGAGAAACTGAAGCATGCTCAGCACGATGGGAAGTGGCTGAAACCCTGAAGAACCCCCAAGAGCACATCCACGGAGACACTGGGAACCATGAGGCCCCAGCCTCTGCACATCTGCATTGCAAACAGGGAAACTGAGGCTCACCGTGCCTCGGGCCACACTGCAAGGCTGTGCACTGCTCAGGACTCCGGAACCCGGGACCCTTGTCCCCCGCTGCAGCAGCTGACCCTGTCCTGGACATTTTCTCCTGACTTTATGAGACTCTAGTGCAGAGGTTGCAAACTCAGATGCTCACAGCCACCAGGCAGGGAACAAGAGGGGCACAGTTGGCCTAATGGGGGCCGTGTCTGTCTTGAAAGCAGCTGCCCCTCCTGAAGGCGGCGGCTCACAGTGGCGGAACTCCCTCCGACTCCTCCCCACCCCCTCCCCACAGGTCAGGAACACGGGGAGACTACAGCTAGCTCTTCATATTTTTTTTTGTTTGTCTTTTGAGGAGAATCCAGAGATCTCGATTTCAGTGTGAAATATCTTGATTCCGGCACATTAGCAATTGAGAACATGTTTTTAAAAGGCAGCGCCGCGTGGGTCAAAGAAAAACCCTGATGAGCCTTCTCATTTGCAAACTCAGATCAGAGGCATAGATGTGGAGGGGACTCCTGCTCCCTGAACACCCTTCCTGCCCACAGCAGGCGGGGTTATTCAGAACGCAGACGCTTTGCCAAGGGCAACAAGAATCCCCAGGTTCTGGGAGGAAGCTTGTGTGTGGAAGAGTAAGGAGGGATTTCTAGGTAGAGAAAAACATTCCAGGTGTTCACTCATGTCACTCATGTGGCCACAAATCCCCGGAGGCCTCCTGTGTGCCAGGCCGCGGGCTGGGGACAAAGAGAAGTCAGACCCAGGTCCTGCCCATAAGACCTCCAGGTTGTTACACCCTTCGAGCAGGGCCAGGGCTGTGTCCCAAGAAGCATGGGGAGAGGGGAGGGGAGGAGGAGCTGGCATTGAGGGAGGGAGGGCTTGACCCGGCTCGGGGAGCTGAGTGTTGCTACCTGAGCCCAGCAGGCATGCAGGGAGAGGTGACAGCACCGCCAGGCACAGAAAGCTGCAAGATTGAAGGCAGGAGGCATGGTGCTGGGGGGTCAGAGCACTCCAGCAAGGGCAGAGCAAGCAGCATTTCTAGGGCAGGAGGCAGACAATGGTGAGAACTGAGCCAGGCAAGGGGCCACAGGCTGCGCCTGGGTAAAGCTCCCTGCAAACAGGCCTCAACTGTCGCCCCGCTCACCCTCAGGAGAAACAAGGGAGGAGCTGATACCTGGGGGATCAGCTTCCCCCTCTCTCTGAAGGACATGCACAGTGGTGACAATGTCCCTGAGTTTGACTTCAGTCCTGATCCCCCACCAATTGAAAGGTCGTGGGGACTAGGAGGGTGACTTCAGGAAAAATGTGGCATCCATATGGGTGGGCTGAGGGATGAGCGCAGCAGGGGCCCAGCAGCTCCACAGATACAGGTGAGATTGGAAAGTGGAATCATCTCCCAAGAAGTGGATATTGGGCTGAACTCTTTCCCCAGAGTCAAGGGAAAGACACAAGAGGGCACTCCAGGTCAGACAGACAGATGGGGTCTAATACCAGGCTGTGTTTCCCCGTCTAGGCTGAGGTCACTGCCGGCTCCTCAAGATTCCCTGTAGGGACCAGAGGGGGCTGAGTCCATGGAGCAAACCGCTAATTGGCCAGTGGTCAGTTGTGTGCATTTGTACATCTACAAGGAGAGGATCCAAGGAGGAGGCCATGGCAGGTGGCTCTGTACAAACCTCTGTTCCCTCAGGAGATGACGGAAGCAGCCGTGATCACTGTCCTGGCCAGGACTGAGGGTGACCCAAGCCCTCACAGGCCTTCATTCACTTAAGCCAGAGACCCTGTGGAATCGGTCCCATTATCATGCCCATTTTACAGAGGAGGAAACTGAGGCCCAGAGAGGCTCAGAAGCCTCCCTGAGGTTACGTTCCTACCTTCTGAGACAGATGCTATCCCCCTGCCCTTACCCACAAGGAAGTTGAAGTTCACAAAGGGGAGGTCCTTCCAGAATCTCACAGCCTGGGGACAAAGCCAGATTTGAGATGGCCCTGCCCTCTCCTGCCTGCTCCTAGGAGCAAGGCCCATCAGGATCACATCAGGCTCACTTCTCCCCATTCCAGAGTGCAGACTGTGGAAGGGAACTGTCTGGGGCCCTGCAGCCACTTCAGGCTTTGCTGGCTCCAGGAGCAGGTCTAGGCTCTCCCTCCCATTGACCCTCAAAGTCTAGTCTCTCTGTCTCTGTTTCTCTCTCTCTCTCAATTCCATGCACTCTCTGTGTGCCCTGTACCCTGCTAAATTTGGAGAATGGCTGTGGATAGGGCTGCCACCATCCCTTCCTCTCCCAGATGCGGATTCCCCCAACCATGGGACACTGCAGGGTGGGGGGGTCCGTGGGATCATGAACTTCTTCTGCAGTGGCCACTTGGACAACAGAGCTGAGCCACCTGTGTTTACATCCCAGCTCTGGCCCTGAGTGTGGGCCACTCCCATGTTCCCTAACCCCAGCTTTCACCTGCAAAATGGGGGTATAGCATACCGTGGATCACTGTGAGGCACAGAGGAGTTCATGTTTATTCAGGAACCAGCTCGGGGTTAAGGGCACGGTGACGGCAGCCTGTGTCTGTTGCACACTGTGTCTGTGCCAGGCCATGTTCTAAGCACATTACATGGGTCCTCTTGTTTATATCCATCAGGGTTCCACCAGGGAAACAGAACGAGTAGCTGATCCTTATACAAAGGCTTATTGCATGGGAGTGGCTTATGTGATTCTGAGAGCTGGCTAGGCAGGTGCTATGGACTGGATGTCTGTGTCTCGCCAACATTTTTAAGTTGAAACTTAACCCCCACTATGATGCGGTCTGGAGGCCTCGGTGTGGACTGCTACAACAAAATACCATAGACTGAGTGGCTTATAAACACAAGAAATTCATTTCTCACAGTTCGGGAAGCTGGGAAGTCTAAGACTTCTTATTTCTTCTCCTGGGCAACCTCCATTCTGCTCTTAAGGCCTTTTTGGGATGTGATTAGGTTATGTAGGTGGAACTTTCATGAATGGGATTCATGCCCTAAGATGGCCGGGCATGGTGGTTCATGCCTGTAATCCCGGCACTTTGGGAGGCTGAGGCAGGAGGATAACTTTAGCTCAGGAGTTTGAGACCAGTATGGGCAACCTGGCGAAACCCCATCTCTACTAAAACTACAAAAATTAGCCAGGCATGGTGGCACATGCGTTTGGTCCCAGCTACTCGGAGGATGAGGCAGGAGGATCACTTGAGCCTGGGAGGTGGAGGTTGTGCCACTGCACTCCAACCTAGGTGACAGAGCCAAACCCTGCCAAAAAAAAAAAAAAGACCTAAGAGGCCAGACGTTTCCTCTTCTACCATGTGAAGACATAGCATAAGGCACTGTCTGTGAACCAGGATGCCGGCCCTCACCAGACACTGAACATGCTGGTGCCTGGATCTTGGACTTCCCAGCTCCCAGAACTGTGAGAATTGAATTTCTTGTGTTTATAAGCCACCCAGTCTGTGGTATTTTGTTGTAGCAGTCCACACCGAGTAAGACAGCAGGTGTGAAGTCTGTAGGGCAGGCAGGCAGGAGGGGCAGTCTGGAAACTCCAGCAGCAGCTGAAGCGAAATTCTTTCTTTTCCCGGGAAACCCCCATTCTGCTTTTGAGGCCTTTCAACTGATTGAATCAGACCCACCTACATTATTGAGGATAATCTCCTTCACTTAAAGTCAACTGATTAGAGCAAAAACAACAACAAAAAGGTAACTATGAGACGTGACGGATATGTTAATTTGCTTGACAGTAGTAATCATCTGATTATGTATATATATATATATATCAAAACATCATGTTGTATACCTTAAATGTATACAGCATAGTCAACTGATTAGAGACGTCAGTCACAGCTACAAAATCCTTCCACAGCGACATGTCTCAGTGTTTGGTTGAGCAGCTGGGGTCTGTAACACAGCCAGGTTGGCACATAAACAGACCATCGCACTGCTGGTCCCCACCATGGCCCTGTGAGGTGGGTTCTGAGATTATCCCCATCCTGTAGAAAAGGATGAGGAGACTCAGAGAGGATAAGGAGCCCGCCTGACTGAACAAACGGCCGAGACACCTGAGCCAGGGCTGGGAACGCCCCTTCCTCACCCCCCCGCGCCACGTCCCATCCAACCTTGCTCAGGGAATGCTTCAGCTGCTATTATTAGCACCAAGCTCGGCTCCAGGGACATGGCACAAAAAAGAAAAGTACATCTCAAAGTGGGTAACCATACCTGACCTTGTCCTAGGAAACAGAGAGTCGGGGAGGGACGTCTTTGAAGATGAGAAGAGTTCAGTCAATGAAAGGGATAGGAACTAATTTATTCTCTCAAAAATATACTAAGGGCCAGGCGCGGTGGCTCATGCCTGTAATCCCAGCACTTTGGGAGGCCGGGGTAGGCGGATCGCTTGAAGTCAACGTGGTGAAACCTTGTCTCTACTAAAAATACAAAAAGTTAGCTAGCTGGGTATGGTGGAGTGCACCTGTAGCCCCAGCCACTCCGGAGGCTGAGGCAGGAGAATTGCTTGAGCCTGGGAGGTGGAGGTTGCAGTGAGCCAAGATCGTGCCACTACACTCAAGCCTGGGTGACAGAGCAAGACTCCCTTTAAATATATACTGAGGCTGGCTATGATGGTATGCACCTGTAGTCCCAGCTACTCTGGAAGCCAAGGCAGGAGGATTATTTGAGGCCAGGAATTTGAGACCAACCTGGACAACACAGCAAGACGCCATCTCTACAAAAAATAAAAATAATAGCTGGGCATGGTGGCATACACCTATAGTCCCAGCTACTTGGGAGGCTGAGACAAGAGGATAGCTTGAGGCCAAGCACAGTGGCTCACACCTGTAATCCCAGCACTTTGGGAAGCTGAGGCAGGAGGATCACTTGAGCCCAGGAGTTTGAAACCAGCCTGGGGAATACAGTGACACCCCACCTCTATAAAAAGTTTTTAAAATTAGCATGCAGCCAGGCGCAGTGGCTCATGCCTGTAATCCCAGCAGCACTTTGGGAGTCCGAGGTGGGCAGATCACCTGAAGTCAGGAGTTCGAGACCAGCCTGGCCAACATGGCGAAACCCCGTCTCTACTAAAAATATAAAAATCAGCCCGGCGTGGCAGCGGGCACCTGTAATCCCAGCTACTCAGGAAGCTGAGGCAGGAGGATCGCTTGAACCTGGGAGGCAGAGGTTGCAGTGAGCCGAGATTGTGCCACTGCACTCCAACCTGGGTGACGAGAGTGAAACTCCATCATCTCAAAAAAAAAAAAATTAAAATTTTAAAAAAGAATTAATTATTTTGGAAAGCCTTTGCATGAATAAGGCATGAATCTTTGAACACCCCTGAGATTTCTAAGCATTGTGTTCAGTGGGCTTCAGGCCTTGACTCATGCCCTGCAAAGCCCCCTAGCAGAATGGAACGCTCTCCATGAATAAAGATAAAAGCCAAAGATGGTGCTAGGTCAGCGAGGTCCTGGCCTGAAAAAGACAGTCCCCTCCAGTGGGATTTCTTAAACAGACTGTCTAATAAAGGTACGATTTGCAGAGGTGCGAGCAGTGTTAGGGATGTAGGGATGGTAAGGATCTCAGGTGCCAGCAATGGGAGGAGAAGTTTCCTGCCAGATTCTGCTGAGTCCTGGAGGAACAAAGGGAGGAATGGTATGACCGAGGCCTTAGTGAGAACTGGGATCATGGAAGAGGGGCTGCTGATGGCACTGAGGCTCCCACCTTGGGAGCAGCAGGCAGGGAGGAGGGGATCCTCCAGCCCCTTCCAGTATTCTGCCTGTGCCTCCCTTTGACCAAACCCACCTCGAAGTTGAAGGGCAAGGGAGCTTGCTGATGGGGTCAGTAGAGGTCAGCCTCATAGGCAGAGGGGATGGAGGAGGGATGGTGTGGTGGACTGAATGATGGCCCTCAGAGACATCAGTCCTAACGCCTGGACCTAATGCCTGTGCATGCTACCTGATAAGGAGAAAGGGTCATTGCAGATGTGATGAAGTTGAGGCTCTTGAGATGAGATTACCCGGGTTTATCCAGCTGGTCCCTAAATGCAATCACAGGTGTCCTTTTCTTTCTTTATTTTTTTTATTTTTTATTTTTTATTTTTTGAAACAGGGTCTCACTCTGTCACCCAGACTGGAGTGCAATGGCAGGATCTCAGCTCACTGCACTGCAACCTCTGCCTGGGTTCAAACGATTCTCCAGCTTCAGCCTCCCGTGTAGCTGGAACTACAGGCACAAGCCACGCAATTTGTCTTTTTTGTAGAGACAGGGTTTCACCATGTTGGCCAAGCTGGTCTCGAACTCCTGGGCTCCAGCTCTCCTCCCACTTAGGCCTCCCAAAGTGCTGGGATTACAGGTGTGAGACACATTGCCCGGCTCACAGGTATCCTTATAAGAGGGAGTCAGGCCAGGCACAGTGGCTCATGCCTGTAATCTCAACACTTTGGGTGGCAGAGGCAGGAGGATTGCTTGAGCCTGGGAGGTCGGGGCTGCAGTGAGCTATGATCATGCATAGCTATATCTCTGTCCATTCAACTACCATCCAGACCAAGAAGTAGGACGTGCCTACTGCAGAAGGCTCCCTTCCACGTACCTCCTGCTGGATCTCCATGACATGTCTCCTCCCGGACTCTCCCCAACCAGAGTAATTACAATTCTCACATCTGTTGCCATGGATCATTTTTGCCAGGTATGAGACTTCATATAAATGGAATCATACGGTAGTAATCTCTTGTATCTGGCACTTTTCACTCCACATTATGCCTGTGAGTTTCCACCATGTTTTAGCACGTATCAATAGCTCATTCCATTTTATTAATGAATCGTATTCCATGGTATGAGTCTATATTAATTCATTTACACATTCACCTGTTGCTGGATATTTAGCTATCTTCAGTTTGAGACTTGCATAAATGAAGCTGCAGTAAACATTCATTTGCCAGTCTTTGTGGACATATTGTTTTTATTTCTCATGGATAAATAACTGGGGTGAAATTGCTGGATCATAGGAGTGCTCAGCTTTAGTAGACACTGACAAAACATTCCCCAAAGCAATCGTGCCCATTTACACTCCCACCAATGATACAAGAGAGTTCCAGCACTTGTTATTGTCAGTCCTTTTCATTTTAGTCATTCTGGCAGCAGAGTAAGAGTATCTCCTCATAGTTTTGATTTGATCTCCCTGATAACTTATGCTGAATTCTTTTTCATGTGATTATTATTACTATTATTTTTTGGTCTGGAGTCTTGCTCTTTCACCCAGGCTGGAGTGCAGTGGCACAATCTTGGCTCACTGCAGCCTCTGCCTCCCAGGTTCAAGCGATTCTCCTGCCTCAGCTTCCTGAGTTGCTGGGACTACAGGCACGTGCCACTACACCTGGCTAATTTTTGTATTTTTAGTAGAGACAGAGTTTCACCATGTTGGCCCAGCTGGTCTCAAACTCCTGACCTCAGGTGATCCACCCCCTTGGCCTTCCAAAATGCTGGAATGACAGGTGTGAGCCACTGCACCTGGCCTGAATATCCTTTTTTTTTTTGTAAAGTGCTTGTTCATGTCTTTTGCCCATTTTAAAAATCAAGATGTCTCCTTTTTGTTGATTTGTGAGAGTTCTTTATATATTCTGGATATAAGTTTGTTATCAAGTGCACATATGGCAGATATCTTCTGTCATATTCTGAGGATATAGGAAGAAAACTAAAGTTTTCGGCTCACTGCAACCTCTGCCTCCTGGGTTCAAACGATTCTCCCCCTTCAGCCTCCCTAGTGCCTGGGATTACAGGTGTGCGCCACCACACCTGGCTAATTTTTGTATCTTTAGTAGAGATGGAATTTCGCCATGTTGGCCAGGCTGGTCTTGAACTCCTGGCTTCAAGTGATCCGCCCACCTTGGGCTCCCAAAGTGCTGGGTAGAGCTGCCAGGCCCTCAGCAGGTGCACCACCCTCCAGGAACCTCCATGTGTTCAGCTATCCAGAAGCTCTCTGAACCCAGTCCCTTTGGGTTTTTAAGGAGGCTTCATTACAGAGGCATGGCTAATTAAAGCATTGGCCTCTGGTGATGAACTCAACCTTCAGCCCCTCCCTCCTTCCGAGAAATTGGGAGGTGGGCTGAAAGTCCCAACCCTATAATCCTGCCTTGACCTTTCTTGTGACCAGACCCTATCCTGAAGCTACCAGCCATTAGTCAATTAATTAGCATACAGAAGACATCGCTTTGGAGGTTCCAAGCATTTAGGAGTTGTATGTCAGGAAAGGGGCAGGAGGAATGAAGACCAAATATGTATTTCACACTATCACACCATTCACCCCTGGTCTTTGGACATGGTTCCCTTATACCAAAAGAATATACAACTCAAAAGATACTGCCACGTTACTAGAATCCCATTCAATCATGACTAATTGGTTCAGTCCATCATATTGTATGAATGTCTCCCAGAGTAAGACCACTCAAGTTTGCAGCCTTCCATTCTATCTTGTCAGGTTCTAAAAGCAGGAGTGGTCTCTGCACACATATAGTTTCACCCTCTCAGGCATCTGGTATAATTGAGCTAAGAGACAATGTCATCCCATGTTCTGAGCATCTTTCAAGGTGTTAACGTAATATTAGATTTCCTTCATTACATAACCCATTTATTCATTCCTTTACCTTCAGCTACCATTCTTCCTTCTCTTCATTTATATACAAACTTTTCCATCTTTGCAAGGAACACTGTGCTTGTCTGGACTGCAGGCAGCAATACTAGTCTAGCAAGTACCTGCCCCACAATCCACTCCCATTCAGACTGGGTAAGGTTACACAGGTGCAGAACCAGTGGGCTGGTTTCACTACCAGACAATATAGCTGCATCCACTATTAGCCCCAGTTTTGCCAGATAGGGTGGAGGTACAATCTGCCTCTATCAGGCCTTTAGGGAATTCTGACAAAAAAGGGATATGAAGAGATTTGTTAAAGGATGCAAAATTATAGCTAGATAGGAGGAATGAGTTCTAGTGTTCTATAGCACTGTAGGATGACTCCAGTTAACAATAATATATAGCTTCAAATAGCTGGAAGGGGGATAGTGAATGTTCCCAACACAAAGAAATGAAACATTTTTGCAATGATGGATATGTGAATTACCCTGATTCAATCACTATACACTGTGTGTATCGAAATATCACTATGTACCCTGTAAATATATACGATTATTATATGTCAAGTACAAAAAAAAATAACCAACAAACAAAATAACATAGCTACATTTTTTTGCTTAGGAATCATCCCTGCTTCCAGCACTTGTAGTTTCAAGACCTGGTTCTCGTCCTAGTGTTACTAACATGCCAGGGGTTTAGTCTAGTTCCCATTGCTAGATGCACAGAAAGCCAACCCCTGAGACAATAAGGGTTGCCAGGGAAGAAGATTTTAACTGGGTGCTGAAGCCAAGGAGAATGGGAAATCAGTCTCAAATTCACTTCTGACGGACTAAAACTGGGGGGTTTATATAGTGGTGAAGGAATGTAAAACAGGAATTAGGGAGGAGTAAGGAAGCAATTGAGAAATGAGGGATTTAGTCTCTCGTTGTCTGTGTGGTATAATCTGGTGAGTTTCAGTCCTTTGCCTGAAGGTCAGTTCCAAAGGAAAGAACTCAAGTGAGACAAATGTAAATTTCAAATTTTAACACTAAAAGGGTCACTTTCTAGGTTTATTCAAAAACTCAGCAGGTGAGATGGCTCACTCACACCTGTAGTCCCAGCACTTCTGGAGGCTGAGGCAGGAGGATTGCTTGAGGCCAGGAGTTTGAGATCAGCCTGGCCAACATGGCGTGACCCTGTCTCTACAAAAAAGTTTAAAACTTGTCAGGCATGCTGGCATGCATCTGTAGGATATGCAGGAAGCTAAAGTAGGAGGATCACTTGAGCCCAGGAGATGGAGGTTGAAATGAGCCAGGTTTGCACCACTGCACTCCAGCTTGGATGACAGAGCCAGACCCTGCCTCAAAAAAAACAAAATAGTAAATGCCACTTCTATGGGACAATTGGGTTGGTTTTACTAGGACCACTGCATCAGGTAGGAGAAAAAAATGAGGTTATATCTGGAAGAAAGAAAAAAATATATAGTCATTATAGCAACTTGGTAAGAATTGCATAGCCACACCAGCATTCTCCCTACCCCCACTTTCCCAGGTCAACCAGAAAACAGGAAAGTCTAGTGGTGACGCTCCTCTAGTCCCATCAGGTTGAGTGTGAGCACACAGGAGGGCATGTAAGCCAAATCTTCCTGTTTTTTTTTAAATTTTTATTTTTATGGGTACATTAAAAAAAATTATGGCTACATCCTTCATGCTTTTATCTCCCCTGTTTTTGACAACCAAAGTTTTAATTGCTCATTCCACTTCTTGATCAAATTATTACCCAAAGGACAGCTCTCTGCCCATTGCTGGACATTATGGGCTAGACAGTGTGTTCCTTGGTCGGAAGAAATGACGGCAGCCTGTGCAAATGTGTGTAATATATTCTGTTCTGATTCTTTTACAGCACTCTGAGCATTTGCATCTTCCACTGGGTAAGCAAAGGCCAGCCCAGAGTCAGCGTCTATTCCTGTCAAGACCCATTTGTAGCCCCCCAGGGCTACCAGCATCAGCCTCACTTGCCAGCTGTGCTTGGGACCTTCCCACCAGGGAATCTGGCCCATAGCCATCTGCAGCTTCTGTCTCTCCTGCTGGCAAACAGAACAGTTCTTATTGGCATTATGTGCCTGAGAGGGTGCAATAGAAACATATTTAGATTCAGCCCATCTCTGCACTGCTGCAGTGCCCTCATGTCCTCTCATTTCATGCACCCAGGTGGCCACCCAGTGAGCACACAGGGATATCTGCTTGTCGATTTCAATCACCTTCCAGACCTGGAAGAGAGCTCTTCTGGTGGGCATTGACATGTCCTACCTTAAGGACCCCTCAAATTTCCAAAGGGCTGTGTGTGTCCCATATGGACATCCCTTTAATAGGCTAGGTTTCCATTATCCACCTGCTTGACTATATGGCCAAGCCATTGGCCACTGCCTGTGAGTCAGTAAAAACCCACACGGAAGGGCTTTTACCACTGTTCAATTCTTCAGCATGCAATTCAGCTCACTGGACGGATTTGTTTTTATCTTCTTTGATCAGAATGGCATCCTTCTAAATAGAACGTGGTCTTTTCATCTTGGCACTGTCATCTGCACACCAAGCAGCTCTTTGTTGGCTAGTTGAGAGCTGTTTATAGGGCACTGTCCAAGTGGCAGTAGGATCCAGCTGCTCCCCATACGCTTCCAGAGTCAGTCCGAGGGAGAAAGAGGCTCCTTTTTTATTAGTATCTCCTCCTTGCATTCCCTAGGTAGCATGATCCTGTATAAATCATTTCTAATTTATTAGGGGACTCTTCTGGGCATTTTAATCTCCATTAGAGTGTTTTTAAACATAATCCAAGAGATTATTGGTATTTCAGGCTTCAAGATCATTTTATGTCCTCAGTCATAGGGGTAGCTTGAATTAATATCCCATAGAAAGTAGTATTATGCTCTTCAAATTGAAATTCTGTAGTCCAGAGTCTCAGTAGTTGTCACTGGAAGGTGCTTATAGGCTGTTCCCATAGGCCCCAGTCTGGGTTCCATACAGGGCTCTGTCTCAGAGAATTTGTCCATAGCATCACTCTGTCTTCTATTCTACATTTTGTGGGCTCCAGAGATCTGACTGGTTCCTATTTAGCATGTCCAATTAATATTGATTAAAGGCAGATTTACATGGCTTTTGTTTCATAATGCTAGGTATGGGAAACATTTCCCAGTCTGATACAACATCCATCCCCATAATATAATCAGGTAAAATCACTTCAGAGAAAATGTGTTCAAATATACCAACTCTCCTATAAAGGTTTATCTTAATTCCACCAACCCTCACTTTCCTAACTGTAGCCTCTATTAGAACTTTATCAATGGTTTTTGGTTTCACAATACTACAACCCTTAAATTTTTACATTCTCTCAATCTAATCCCAAGTCAGGACTTCACCAATGGATGTTGGTACCATAGTCAGTGGACCTCCCATATCAAGGAGTCCCATGAATTTCTCTTCTGCATCCCTGATCATTTTGTCCACTTGTGTACATAAGGCTTTAGGTCCCCATCAGGGCGTTGAGCAAAAGAACTCTTGCTTGTTGGTTAATCTTTATCTTGATTAAACTGCCAGACTATTGCCCCAGAAAATTTCAGATCAGATGTCTTATTTTAATCTTTGCTTTCTGACTTTTAAAATTTCTCCAAACTAAGGTAAATACAGCAAACTTTTTTGGAACCCTTTAATGTTAGGGAACCAACAAGTACTCCCTTTGGCCCACCCAACCTTAAATAGTATTATATTAAGACTTTTGTTCTAACTCCATCAATTTCTGTTTTACTCATCCCACTTCTGACACCAAATCTGAGGCTATAGGGAAGACAACCAAAGTGCTTTTTCTATTCTCTCACTTAACAATCAACACTTCTCTTTTGATTGGTGTCACCAAGAATTGTGTAGGGATTTCTCCCCACCAGCAACCAATTAATCAGTTCTGCAGTGGACACGAATTGGGTGTACTCCAATTCAATCCTCATACATCTACCTGGACTTCACAGCAGATCCCACAAGTTGAGGGCTTGGTCCCACAAGACTGTCCCCCACTTCCAATGCCAATTGTAGGCTCCAGGTTCTTTACCTGTGCTTCTGACTGACCAGCTATAAATTGGGGTTCCATAACACCTTTCTCTTCAATTAATTTTTTAGAGCAGCTCAAAGAACTTAGAAAAACACTTATGCTTACCAGTTTATTATAAAGGATATTACAAAGGATACAGGTGAAGAGACGCACAGGGTGAGGTGCAGGGGAAGGAGAATGGAGTTGCCATGCCCTCTCCAGGCATGCCACCTTCCAGGAACCTCCGTGTGTTCAACTGTCCGGAAGCCCCCTAAACCCAGTCTTTTGCGGTTTTTTAATGGAACATTCATTACATACGCATGATTGATTAAATCATTGCCCATTGGTGCTCCACTTAACTTTCACTCCCTCTCCCTTCCACAGAGGCTGGGAGATGAGCTGAAAGTCCCAACCTTTTAATCATGCCTTGTTCTTTCCTGTGACCAACCCCCATACTGAAGCTACCTGGGGCTTGCCAGTGGACGTAGCGGGGGTGTTATGAAGACCAAATATATATTTCACAGTATCACACATTTATAGCTCTTGGGATGTAAAAAATTCTCCATGTCTCTTTGTCCTCACCTGTGAAATAGGGATAAAGATAAGTGCTGCCTCAGAAGGGTGTCATGATGCTTCAAGGAGATAATATGTACAAAGTGCTTAGAAAGATCCCTACACCGAGTAAGCACTCATATTTTATCAGGCATGGGATGGGCCATTTCAGGAAGAGGGAGCTCCTGTTCTCATCCTAAGTCTGAACGGTCCGGAATTCAAAGAGGATCAATAAATGGCCTTTCACCAGGATCACAATGGATTTTGTAGAGTGGTGGGCTGGCAAGCTGATTCAGTGTTCACCATTGCTGTGGTGTAAATCCTCCCAACATGGCCAGTTTCAAGCTAATAATGGTTTAACACCTGGCTTGCACAATTTCTGAAAATTTAATAATCAGCTCTTTTGAGCCAGTGCAAGCCACCTGCAGAACACCATTAACTTTTGCATCACCCAGTTTTGTGAACGCAGGCAGGTCTCTTCCTCCCTCTGTATCTTACTTCCCTCCATCTCTCCAAACGGAGCTAAGCCATCCGACTCACTCATGCAGTACGTATTTATTTGAGTACGTACTACATGTCAGTCACTAGGTTGGGCTCTGGAAATCCAGCCTTGAACAAAAGCAGACCAAAACAAAAACAAAAAACTCCGTGAAGCTTACATTCTGGAAGTGGGAGTAGGGGGAGAGCAACTAAAAATAACAGTGAAAGAAGGAAATCGGCCGGGCGCAGTGGCTCACACCTGTAATCCCAGCACTTTAAGAGGCCGAGGCGGGCAGATCGCCTGAGATCAGGAGTTGAAGACCAGCCTGACTAGCATGGAGAAACCCCATCTCTATTAAAAATACAAAACGAGCCGACTGTGATGGTGCATGCCTGTGATCCCAGCTGCTCAGGAGGCTGAGGCAGGAGAATCACTTGAACCCAGGAGTTAGAGGTTGTGGTGAGCCAAGATCATACCATTGCACTCTAGCCTGGGCAAGAAGAGCAAAACTCTGTCAAAAAAAAAAGAAAGAAAGAAAGAAAGAAAGAAAAGAAAAGGAAAAGGCAAAAGAACATTGTTAGTGCTATGAAGAGGTATGACGTAGAGTTATTGTGCTGGGAGTAGCAGCTACTTTGGAAACTATGATCAATGAAGGCTTCTTAAAGGGGAGAAGATGAGCCTTAAATAAGAAAGAGTCATCTGCCAGTGTGGTAGGAAGAGCATTCCAGCGAAAGAACGGCAAGTACAAAGACCCTGGGGCTGGAATTGTTCGGTTTGTTTAAGGAATGGAAAGAAGGTCACAGCGAGCTGAGTGATTGAGGCAGGGAGTGGCCCTAGCTGGTCCAGGTGTTTAGTGGTGGTTGTTCTGAAGGTGGAGGCAAAGGTAGAGGCCAAGAGAGTAGAGCATAGGCTGCTACAGCCAGAGTCCTACAGGGAGAGGTGGTGAAAGCTCAGACCAGGATGGGAGAGTAAGAAAAGGACAAAGCAGAGATTTGTTTTGGAGACAGAGCCAGCGGTTCTTGCAGACAAATTGGATGTGAGTGGAGGGGGAAGGAATTGAGGATGGATATGTTTCTGAGGCAGAACAGCCCCTACTGGGTAACTTCAAAAGCTCCTGCCTTGAACTGCTACAGAAATAACGTAGACTCAGAGATTATTTTGCTCCTGCGTATGCCAAGGGGACGGGAACAGGAGGGTGGAATACACCTAGTAAACAGATGCAAAGTGGAAAGGGGAGGGAGAAACTCACTACAGGTTTTTGAGGTGCTGGCTGGAGCCAGGAGCTGCTCCAAGATCTCTCATTCTTCTCAATAACCTTGGGCAATAGGGAATTTTCCACCTTGCAGGGGAAGACGCTGAGGTTCTGGGAAGAGAAATGGCTTGTCCAAGGTCACACAGCCAAGTCAGTGAAAGAACAGGGAGCCAGGATGTTTTGCACCTAAACCCTGGATTATGGTTTCCTCCCCACCTGCTCCCCCAAGATAAGTCCCCCAATCCCTTCCCATTGCCTTATTATACTGGGGATGAGGGTTGGGGTGGAGGAAAAAAGCAAATTTCACTCCAAAAGTCAGTGTTTTCGTTATCCATGAAAATAGATGGAAAAGCTGAACTGTGGCCCACAGGAAGAGGGGCCTGGGGGCCTGGCCTCCTGGGTCTGAGGGAGGAGGGGGCTGGGGGCCTGGACTCCTGGGTCTGAGGGAGGAGGGGCTGGGGGCCTGGACTCCTGGGTCTGAGGGAGGAGGGGCTGGGGGCCTGGACTCCAGGGTCTGAGGGAGGAGGGGCTGGGGGCCTGGACTCCAGGGTCTGAGGGAGGAGGGACTGGGGACCTGGACTCCTGGGTCTGAGGGAGGAGGGGCTGGGGGCCTGGACTCCTAGGTCTGAGGGAGGAGGAACTGGGGACCTGGACTCCTGGGCCTGAGGGAGGAGGGGCTGGGGACCTGGACTCCTGGCTCTGAGGGAGGAGGGGCTGGGGGCCTGGACTCCAGGGTCTGAGGGAGGAGGAGCTGGGGGCCTGGACTCCTGGGTCTGAGGGAGGAGGGGCTGGGGGCCTGGACTCCTGGGTCTGAGGGACGAGGGGCTGGGGGCCTGGGCTCCAGGGTCTGAGGGAGGAGGGGCTGGGGGCCTGGACTCCTGGGTCTGAGGGAGGAGGGGCTGGGGGCCTGGACTCCTGGGTCTGAGGGAGGAGGGGCTGGGGGCCTGGGCTCCAGGGTCTGAGGGAGGAGGGGCTGGGGGCCTGGACTCCTGGGTCTGAGGGAGGAGGGGCTGGGGGCCTGGACTCCTGGGTCTGAGGGAGGAGGGGCTGGGGGCCTGGGCTCCAGGGTCTGAGGGAGGAGGGGCTGGGGGCCTGGACTCCTGGGTCTGAGGGAGGAGGGGCTGGGGGCCTGGGCTCCAGGGTCTGAGAGAGGAGGGGCTGGGCCTGGACTCCTGGGTCTGAGGGAGGAGGGGCTGGGGGCCTGGACTCCTGGGCTGAGGGAGGAGGGGCTGGGGGCCTGGACTCCTGGGTCTGAGGGAGGAGGGGCTGGGGGCCTGGACTCCTGGGTCTGAGGGAGGAGGGGCTGGGGGCCTGGACTCCAGGGTCTGAGGGAGGAGGGGCTGGGGACCTGGGCTCCTGGGTCTGAGAGAGGAGGGACTGGGGCTAGTCTCCTAGGTCCATGGGAGGATGAGATTGGGACTTGAAGGAGGAGGGAGCTGGGTTTTAGGAAGTATCCCAGACTCCGTGTTCTGCGGATGTGGTGGAAAGACGTGGGGACGCCTGGGGCGGGAGGGGTAGGGGCCGGGCCGCAGTAACAAAGGCCTCTCCCTCCAACAAGCAACCCCCCCTTGACCCCGCCTCCCCGGCCCCCCACCTCTCCTGATTGGCCGGTCTCCCTGCCCGTCAGCGCCGCCCCCCTCCCCGGGTCTGCAGCAGCTCCAGCCGCCTCGTCGCGCCCCCCCAGCCCCCTCCCCCCGCCCCCGCCGCCCCCCGGGCCGGTGCAGCGCAGGCGGGGTCCCCCTCCCCCTCCCCCCTCTCCCCCCAGGCCTCGCGCGCCCCGGACCGGCCCCCCCTTTCCCCTCCCCCTCCGCGCCGCCTCTGCCGCGATGCCCCCCCCTGCGCCCGGGGCCCGGCTCCGGCTTCTCGCCGCCGCCGCCCTGGCCGGCTTGGCCGTCATCAGCCGAGGTACCGCAGCGCCGGGGGCGGGGGGCTCGGCCGGGACGCCAGGGTCTTGGGTGGGTAATCGGGGGATCAGGGGTGGGGGTCGAGGGCTGCATCCCTGGGCCGGCGCGGGGAGGCCCCGGGACGCCGGGGTCTGGGCCCGGGGGTGGGGTCTGCATTCCCTGGCTGGGCAGGGGGACCTCGGACGTGGGGGTCCGCGCCCCGGGGCAGGGGTCGGCGTCCTCGGGCCGGAGCCGGGTCTAGGGGCGGAGGTCTGCTTCCCCGAGCAGGCAAGAGGGTCGCAGACACCTAGCCCTGCCTGGGGGCAGGAGTCTGCGGCTCCTGTTGAGGAGGGGGCAGACACTGGACTCGGGGTCCCCGGGTCGGATCTCCGAACTGAGTTGGGGTGGGGGGCAGGGGATAATGCCCTGTTAGGGGTCTTCATCTGTACGTGGAGAGGGTCCCTGAAGAGGTCCTTGCCGGGGGCTGGGGTAGTCATCTCGGGACAGAGGTCAGGGGATGGATGCCTTCCCAGGGTCAGTAAGAGGAGGGGACAAGGGTGTCCACAGACCTAGTCCCAGGGTCAGGAAAAGAGGGGAAGGGTCTGAAATCCCCCAGCAGGGTCATCTAGGTTGAGAGAAAGTGTTGGTACTTGGGGAGGTTGCAGTTATGTGGGGGAGAAGGGAGCTGGAGATACAGGAAGTTGGGGTGCTGGGCTGGGGTCTTGGATTCCCAAGCTCTGATTGAATGTCTAGGTTCGTGGGGCTGGACAGTGGAAGAGCGATGGGCATGGGAGGATGAAGGAAAGACGGAAGGGAAGGGTTAAAGCAGGTTGAAGGGTTAACCCCGGCCCGGCCCGGCCCTCCCAGTTGGGGAGAGGGCCAGGGGCAGGTTTCTGCACTGAGGTTAGATAGCTGGACCTTGAGTCTCCCCAGTAGGGCCTGGCAGGCAGGGGGTGGTCAAGGAGATTCCTAGATTTCCCCCTAAGAAAAGGGAGGAGAGTGCAAGGAGGCAGGAGGCTGGAGGGTGGGCGCTCAGGAGGGCAGGGAGCTGGGTTAATTCAGACTTTCTGGAGGATTCCCCCAGGCCCTCCCCTGAACAAAGAGTTCCAGGGACAACCAAGAACCCCGACAGAGTCCCCAAGAGTCTCAGAGAGGCCGCCCGCATAGACCAAGTCTGGCACAGAAACCCCGTCACAGCGTCCCACCCGAAGCAGCACCTGCAGACACCAGTCACACAAACACAGCCCCATCCACGCAGGACGCAGGGACCTGGTGGGCCACAGCCTCAGTCCCTTGCTAGTCCTCCCCCGTCTCCCACCTGACCAGTCTGAATCGCCCTCTGACTTTCTGACCACCTGTCTCTGTCTCTGTCATGCATCTCTTTAGGTCTTTGTGTCCCTGCCATTTCTGGAGGTTCCCATCCCTTCCCATCTCTGTTATCCACTGCTGACTTTCCACCTGCCTCTGTCTCTGGGTCATTGTCTCTCCATCCCTGCTGCTGACAGCACAGTTCCACATCTGTCTGTCTCTGCTTTTCAGACTGTTGCCCATTGCATGACTCAGTCTCTTGATACTTGCTTGCTTCCTCACTTATGCCTTAATCTTCATTAACTTCTCTCATTTCCTTCTCTCATTCATTTCCTTCTTGTTCTGACCTACCTTTCTCTTTTTTCTTTCTCTTTCCTTCTTTCTCTTTCCTTCTTTCTTTCTTTCCTTCTTTCTCTTTTTCTCTCTCTCTCTCTTTTTCTTTCTTTCTTTCTTTCTTTCTTTCTTTCTTTCTTTCTTTCTTTCTTCTTTCTTCTCTTTTTTTCTTTCTTTTTCTTGTTTTTTTGAGACAGGGTCTGACTTTCTCACCTAGGCTGGAGTGGAGTGGTGCAAGCATACACAGCTCACTGCAGCCTCAATTTCCCTGCCTCAAGCGATCCTGCCACCTCAGCCTCTGGAGTAGCTGGGACCACAGATGCACGCCACCACACCTGGCTAATTTTTAATTTTTTTTCTTTGTAGAGATGGGGGTCTCACTATATTGCCCAGACTAGTCTCAAATTCCTGGCCTCAAGTGATCCTCCCACCTGGGCCTCTCAAAGTGCTGAGATTACAGGTGTGAGCCACTGCACCAGCCACCTCTTCTTTCTTTCTCTCCTTGTCCTTATCTCTTGTCTTCTTCTTCCTCCTCTTCTTTCCCTGATCCTGTACCCTTTGTGACCTTTCCCCCACTTTCCTGTTTCTTCTCTCCCTCCCCTTCTCTCTCTCACTGCAACTTCCCATTTTTCACATTCACTATTTTTTTTTTTTTTGAGGCAGAGTTTTACTCTTGCTGCCAGGCTGGAGTGTAGTGGCATAATCTCAGCTCACTGCAACCTCTGCCTCCCGGGTTCAAGTGATTCTCCTGCCTCAGCCTCGCAAGTAGCTGGGACTACAGGTGTGTGCCACCACGCTGGGCTAATTTTTGTACTTTTAGTAGATACAGGGTTTCACCATGTTGGCCAGGCTGGTTTCGAACTCCTGACCTCAGGTGATCTGCCCACCTCAGCCTCCCAAAGTGCTGGGATTACAGGCATGAGCCACTGTCTGGCCCCCACATTCATTCTTAAAGTCCCTATAAATCATTACGGGGCTAGACTGGGGCAGGAAGCTGTGGCAGAGCCAGGAGGTGGCTTGTGACCCTGCTCAAGTCTTTTCCCATCTCTGGTCTTAGGTTCCCCTTTTGAGAACTGGGGACGAGAGGGGATGGGGTGGGGTTGAGACAGAACGAGATGCCAGAAAGACACCCCCACCCACCCATGGATAGTTTGAGCTGTCTGGGAAAAAAAGCTTATGGCAAGATATGCAAACTAGCATCTTCTCTCTTCTTTTATTCATGATCTTGTCCAAGTTACAAGAGGAATACACTGCAAACAGTCCGCCTCTGATAAGGGCAAACCCCATTGTGCTCCTGCCCTGCCACCACTCTCACAACCACTGTCTTGAGAGAACCGGTCTGTGGCTGGAGTGCATCCTTCCATAGCTTTCTCTCACTTCTGCAGACTTAGACACGACACACAGAGGACAACATAAGTGATGGATTGGTTGGTTTGTTGATTTTTTTCCCCCAAAATAGAAACAAAATAAGCCCATTTCTCTGCAATCGGCCTTTTCCCACTTAACCATACCTCCCTTACATCCATAAATATTCATCTATCTTCAATTCTTTTCTAAATCTTTTATGCCAACACACACGCACCCCCTCACATATACATATTTATTTACAAAGCAGCTACATTGTGGTATTTTAAAACAATTCAACAAAATCAAATGGCCGCTTCTGCAGCAGCAAATGAGGTGGGTGGTTCCTTTGCTTCTGGGGCAGCTAGCAGAGTGATGATGGTCAGGAGGGGGCAGGAGCCCCAGATTTGAGTCCCAGCACTGCCCCTGACAAGCTAGCTCTCCCCAGGACCTCTGAGCTCCAGGTTCATCTGGCTTGTGGGCTGTGCTTGGTTGTTGGTTCATATAGCAAATGTTCTTGGGGACCAGGGCCGCTATTCTAGACACTGGATATATACATATGGCAGTGAGTGAACCAGGCAGTCACTGTCCTCACGGAGCTTAGATCATAGTGGGATGGAGAGAGATCAAAGACCAAAACCAAAACCTAAAGACAAACAAATAAAAGATAATTTCAGAGAGTGATGAGTAATGTAAAGAAGATAAAAGTGACTTGGCCTTTGAAGCTCAAGTGGTTGAGGAAACCATCTCTGAGCAGGGGAGAGTGGAGTTAAGACCTGAAGGAAGAGGGAAGTCAACCTTTTTTTTTTTTTTTTTTTTTTTTTGAGACAGAGTCTTGCTCTGTCGCCCAGGCTGGAGTGCAGTGGCACTATCTCAGCTCACTGCAAGCTCCGCCTCCTGGGTTCACACCATTCTCCTGCCTCAGCCTCCCAAGTAGCTGGGACTACAGGCGCCCACCACCACGCCTGGCTAATTTTTTGTATTTTTAGTAGAGATGGGTTTCACTGTGTTAGCCAGGATGGTCTCGATCTCCTGACCTCATGATCCGCCCGTCTTGGCCTCCCAAAGTGCTGGGATTACAGGCGTGAGCCACCACGCCCCGCCGGAAGTCAACCTTTCAAAGTTGACAGCAGAGGTAAAGACCTTGAGGTGGGACCAACAGAAAGGAGGGTAAAGCTGGGCGCAGTGGCTCACACCTGTAATCCCAGCACTTCAGGAAGCCAAGGCAGGTGAATCACCTGAGCTCAGGAGTTGAAGACTAGCCTGGGCAACATGGGGAAACCCCATATCTACAAAAAAAAAAAAAAAAGCCAGGCATGGTGGCACGCACCAGTAGTCCCAGCTACTCAGGAGGCTGAGGCAGGAGAATCGCTTGAGCCTGGGAGGTGGAGGTTGCAGTGAGCCAAGATGGTGCCACTGCATTCCAGCCTGGGTGACACAGTGGTACCCTGTCTCAAAAAAAAAAAAAAAGAAAAGAAACAAAGGGAAAGAAAAGGTGTGTCTAGTTTCAGGATTCTTGGCACAGTGTCTGGACTCCCCTGGTGTCGGTGACGCTAATGCCCTCAGATTTTTTCTTTTTTTTTCTTTGTTTTTCTTTTCTTTTCTTTTCTTTTTTTTTTTTTAAGACGGAGTCTCGCTGTGTCACCCAGGCTGGAGTGCAGTGGCACAATCTCGGCTCACTGCAACCTCCGCATCCTGGGTTCAAGCAATTCTCCTGCCTCAGCCTCCCAAGTAGCTGGGACTACAAGCACATGCCACCATGCCCGGCTAATTTTTGTGTTTTTAGTAGAGACGGGGTTTCACCATATTGGTCAGGCTAGTCTCGAACTCCTGACCTCAGGCAATCCATCCGCCTTGGCCTCCCAAAGTGCTGGCATTATAGGCGTGAACCACCATGCCCAGCCAACCCTCAGAACTCTGAGGTCAGCAAAGGGAGGAGGACCCTCCTGGGGACTCCTGGGTGCCAGACATAACAGGCCCAGCCCCTTCTCACAGCCTTTCCCAGCCAGAGCCGCACCCCCTCCTCCCTGCCCCAGTCTCATGCCCCGCCCCTCCACCCCCTACCTCCCAGGTTTCCCACCTGCGTCTTCTGAGACTGTGGAATCAGAGTATCACCCTCCCGACCCCTGCCAACCATTTCAGGGTTCCAGCTTTGCCTAAGCTCCTTGGCAGGGCGGCAGAAGATTCTCACCCCCAGCCCAAGGTCACTCAGCTTGTTAGGGATCTCTTTCTGTCTTAAGAAAAGTCACCTGCCTACCACCTTCATTCCCAGGTTTATCAAACAGGTATGAGGCCTGTGCGTCTGGACTGTAAATCCTACGAGGGCAGGGAACAAGTGAGCCCTCTGATCACCGCCAGACACCTCCCTTGCCACAGGCCGGTGCCTGCCACATAATCACCCTAACAGCCAGCTCACGGACGGCTGTTTGCAAGCACTTAACTGGCAGGCACTGTACTAGAACCTTTACTTGGATTACCTCTTGTAATCCTCCCCACAACCCAGTGAGGAAGGCATGATTATCATTTCCATTTCAGGTGGGGAAACTGAGTCCCAGAGAGGTGAAGTAACTTGTGTGGCTCAGCAGCAGAGCTGGGACTTGAACCCAGCTGCCTGGCAGCCACACTGCATTCCCTGGGCCCCCTGGTTATGCAAGGTTGGCTTTATCAGTAGATGCTTACCAGGGTGTCTGCCCAGGAGTCAGTGACTCAGAGCAACTGACAGCCCAGATACAGCCCTGCCCTCCCCGCTCCCCTGAGTGGAGCATCTAGGGAGACCTATGCCAAGCCAGGGATAGCAATAGATGGTTCCTAAAAAAGAAGGTGCTGTTAGGAACCGCTAGCATTTATTGGGTTCTTTCCGAATGCCAACAGCTGAGCTAGACACTTCTGCTTGCATATTCTCACGGAATCCCTCACAGAAACCCTTGCAGGGAAGAACTACTATTTTTCACCTTGTACAGTTGGAGAAACTGAAGCTCACACTGGCCAGGAGTGGGGGTCATCCAGCTAGGAAGTGGTGGGACAGACGTTTGATCTTCCAACCCTAGCTCCTCAGGGATTTATTATCTGGTCTCTGAGGACCATCCATGCCCTTTCCACAAACACTTCCCAGTTCTGAGATTGGCTCGACCCTGGGGGGACACAGCTAAGATTCAAGCCATCACAAAGCTCCTCATCACTGTCTCAGCTAAGTCAAACAGTGCCCAGAAGAAGGAGTGGGAGCTCTGCCTTGAACAGTCAGAAAGGTCCTCCTGGGGCAAGGGACATTTGCATTGGGGTCTTGAAGAATGAGTAGGAGTTCAAGAGTTGAAGAGTGTTGCAGGCATCCATTTATATTCATCCATTCAACAAATATTTCCCAAGGCCTCTGGTGGGCCAGGCCCAGTGTTGGGAGATGCTGGGGACACAGACTTGAGTCAGAACCAAGATTTACCCCCAAGAAACTTCTAGTCTGATAGGGAGGCCAGATACAGACAGTCATCAGAGTGCAATGGACAAAGTCCTGAGGCACCCGGAGTCCTGCCTTCCCTGCAGGGTCCACTTCCCACCCCAGTGACCAGATAATAAAGCCCTGACCAGGCACTCTGGCTCACGCCTGCAATACCAACATTTGAGAGGCTGAGGTGGGAGGATAGCCCAGGAGTTCGAAACCAGCCTGGGCAACATGGCAAGACCTCGTCTCTTAAAAAAAAAAAAGTAGCCAGGTGTGGTGGTGCATGCCAATAGTCCCAGCTACTCGGGAGGCTGAGGTGGGAGGATTGCTTTTGCTGGGGAGGTTGAGGCTGCAGTGAGCCATGATCATGCCACTGCATTCCAGTCTGGGCAACAGAGCGAGACTCTGTCTCAAAATAAAAACAGAAATAAAAAATAAAGCCCCAAGAAGCCTGGAGTGGTGTGTGGGCTCAACTCATGGGGGCAGTGCCTGCTTCAATCAGCAGCTGAGTTCAGGAGCCCTGGAGCCCCTGAACCTTAGGGTAGGCACCTTGGACAGCTCCCTCTTCCCCCCACTTCTTGGTTCCTGTAGGACAATGGCTCTCAACGGGGAAGGGGGTGTGTGATTTTGCCCCTTACGGGGCATCTGACAATGTCTGGAGGCATTTGTGGTGGAGAAGGGCATCAAATGGATCCAGATCAGAAGCGAGACGCTGCCGACCTCCTATGTTGCATAGGACAGTCTGGCCCCAAATGTCAGCCGTGCTGAGGTTTAGGAACCCTGGCCCAGAAGGTGTGTCAGCAGGAGCATAGCAAATCCTGTGTGTCTGGGGGATAGGGCAGGGTACGTGCCTGTCTGTTTTCACCAGCCTAGGAAGGGATCTTGGTGCGTACATGTGACTCTTTGGCAGCACTGAATGTGGCACTACCCGTCGTTCGGTCCAGGTTTTTGTTGGTGACTTTCCAATTCCCTGTGTGTGTGCGTGTGTGTGTGTGTGTGTGTGTGCGTCCAGCCGTGTGTGATCTGATCACAGGAGACAACATGACCTGATTCTCGGCCCAGCGTGGCCCCTTCGTGCTTGAGGGGATGTGACAGTGTTGCTGTCTTGTTACACGGGTTGTAGCTTTGTGTGCGTCTGACCCAGGGCCTTCCAAAGTGCAAAGTTGGGAATCATGGTGCTCGCACCAGTGGTGTCTGTGTAACCAGTTAGGTTAGTAAGCGTGTGTGTGTGTCTGTCTTCACCAGCCTGGGAAGGGATGTAATTGTGTGTGGACTTTGCAGCCATGTGTGGGGCTGTTGATGTCGATGGAACCATGTGGGAACTATTGTATATGATGGGGTGACTCAGGGTGCAGCATTGCTTGGCCTGAATGTGACAATATGAGCGCTCCTGGGACAGATCCTCCTTTCCAGCTGACCTGCTGCTGGGTGCCTGTGCAGAGCTGGGTCTGTCAGCATCACTGTATATACACACCTGTCCCTCTGAGCGGGTCCACAGCCATGCGCGTGACTGAGAGGGTGGGACTGTCTCCTGTGTTTGTATGCGTGTGATTGTATGTGTTTGTGTGTGTGTGTGTATGGGTGTAGCTGGAGCTGTTTGTGTCTGTATGACTGTGTCTGTACCTCTCTGTCTGGGTAAGGACATAGCAAGTGTGGGGACTATTTCTAGGCCTGGAGAGGTCTCCGTGCCTTGTCCAAGCCTGTGTGTGTATGTGTGTGTGTGTGCACGCGCGTGCACGCGTGCATCCATCATCCATCCCCAAGCTGTCTCCTGTTGCTCCCAGGGCTGCGTGTAGCAGTGTCCACTGTGTTTAGCTCGGGGAGGGTGAGCCCCCTCTCTCCATTCTCTTTAAATCCCAGCAGTGACTCTGGCATGAGGGGGCCCAGGGTGAGGGGCTGCAGGGCCCAGCCCCAAGCCCCAGAGCCTGCCAACCCACTGCACCTGGCTCCGTCCTGGCCCCATCCTGTGGGGCTGCTGATGGAGAGGGCCCCCGGGAGTCATTGGGGCAGCACGGGCCATTAATTCATTATATTAATTAGCTCTTCGTCTGGGCTGGGGGCAGGGCAGCCCCGCGCAGGCCCCTCCCACTCCAGAAGTCCAAGGTCATCCAGCCGGCCTTCCTCCCTCTCCGCCTGGTGCCAGCTCCACCGCCTCCGCATGCCCAGCCCCCACTCCCTGGCCCTGGTCCAGCCCGCTGGCCACGGTCTACAGAGAGATGACTGCGTGGGGGTGACGGAGCCTGCCTGCTGTGCTGAAGTGTGCGAGTGGGCATGGGCTCACACCTGCAAGCATGCCCTGGCAAACTTGAGCACACAGTGTGCCTGTGTAGATGTGTGTGTCTGCAAAGGTTTGTGTGTGTGTGAGGGTGTATTTGTGCATCTGTGATGGATGTGTGTCTGAGAATGTACACATGTGGATCTCTGTGCGCACGTGTTCATATCTGTGTGTCTGCAGGTCTGTTACATATATGTGTTATCTACATGCATCTGGTTTTATGTGTATGCCTTCGGTACATTTCTGAGTTAATGTACGTGTGCATCTGTGTACTTGTGGGCCTGTGTGTATATATTTGTGTGTATTCACGTATATATGTGTGTTTCTGTGTGTATGCATATATACTATGCGCTCATCTTTGCATAGGTACATGTGTGTCTGTATACCGTACCTATGAATATTTGTGTGCCCATGTACATGTGTATTTGTGTGTGTGTATGTGTGTATACATGTATCTGTGCATAAGTGTTCTGTGTATGCAAGTATCTGTGTGTTGATGTACCTGTGTATATGTCTGTGCGTGTAGACCATGTGTGGATGTGTGTACATATCTCTGCATATGTATATGTATCTATGGTAATTGTTGGGGTTCTTTTTGAGACCAAGTTTCGCTCTTGTTGCCCAGGCTGGAGTGCAATGGCGTGATCTTGGCTCACTGCAACCTCCGCCTCCCGAGTTCAAGTGATTCTCCTGCCTCAGCCACCCGAGTAGCTGGGATTACAGGCGTGCTCCACCACACCCGGCTAATATTTTGTATTTTTAGTAGAGATGGGGTTTTACCATGTTGGCCAGGCTGGTCTCGAACTCCTGGTCTCAGGTAATCCTCCCACCTCGGCCTCCCAAAATGCTGAGATTACAGGTGTGAGCCACCGCACCTGGCCGTATCTATGTAATTGTTAATCTGCTCATATTGGTATGTGTGTCGCTGTACTCTGTATCTGTGAATGTATGTGTTCTGTGTACACAGGTATCTGTGTCTGTGTATATGTGTCTGTGTGTATGTCTTATGTGTACATGTGTCTGCATGTATATGTTTGTACATATGTCTCTGTATATATATGTGTCTGTGTACACATGCATCTGTGTGTATCTGTATGTGTGTGTTTGTGTGCTACGATTGTCTCTGCATCTCTGGAGGTGTGTAGGTTTGTATGTCCATGGACACCTACCCATCTGAGTCTGTGAGTCTGTGTGGGCTCATGGGAAGATACATGTTGCATGTGTCTGCTGTGATTGTGTCTGCTGTGTGTGTATCTCTGAAAACATCAGTGCATGTGTGTGGCAGCGGGTGCAGGAGACGTCTGTGTCCGCAAGGACGTGTGTGTGCACGTGTGGTGCATGTGTGTGGCAGCGGGTGCAGGAGACGTCTGTGTCCACAAGGACGTGCGTGTGCACATGTGTGCAGGTGCTACCATGCCCGGGCCTTGCCTGAGCTGCCAAGGCTGAGCCACCCCCACCTTCCACAGGGCTGCTCTCCCAGAGCCTGGAGTTCAACTCTCCTGCCGACAACTACACAGTGTGTGAAGGTGACAACGCCACCCTCAGGTACCTCCCTCGGTGGGTGGGGACTCAGATCTCATGGAGCCATGCGGTCCTGCCCCTTCACCTTCCTGGGTGGGGATCCTGGTTACAGGAACAGCCTGGGATGGGAAGACTTGGGCTCCACATTCCCCCTCAGTAGCGACACAGCTATGAGCTGGCTCCCCCTCGGCTTCAGTGTCCCCATCTGTCAAAGGGGTGGAGAGAGGGGGCAGAGACACACACAGAGAGAGGGACAGAGACCCAGAGAGAGAGAGGGACAGAGACCCAGAGAGAAGGGGACAGAGATCCAGAGAGAAGGGGACAGAGATCCAGAGAGAAGGGGACAGAGATCCAGAGAGAAGGGGACAGAGATCCAGCAGAGAGGGACAGGGTTGCTGTTTCCCCAGGTCTCCACCTCTCCTCACCCTGGTCTCTGTTCCCCCCTCTCTCCACGCCTCTCTCTCTCTCTCTCTCTCGCTTGCTCTCTCTCTCTCTCTCTGTTTCTGGGTCTCTGTCCCCCCTCTTTCTCTGGGTCTCTGTCCCCCTCTCTCTGGATCTGTCTCTGGGTCTCTGTCCTTCTCTGTGTGTGTGTCTCTGTCCCTCTCTGCTGGATCTCTGTCCCCTTCTCTCTGAGTCTCCCTCTGGGTCTCTTTCCCTCTCTCTCTCTGGGTCTCTGCCCCCCTCTCTCTCTGGGTCTCTGTACCCCTCTCTCTGTGTGTCTCTGTCCCTCTCTCTCTGGGTCTCTGTTCTCCTCTCTCTTTCTCTGGGTATCTGTCCCACTCTGTCTCTGGGTCTCTGCCCCCTCTGCCTCTGGGTCTCTGTCTCCCTCTGTCTCTGGGTCTCTGTCCCCCTCTCTCTGGGTCTCTGTCTCTCTCTCTCTGGGCCTCTGTTCCCCTCTGTCTCTGGGTCTCTGTCCCCCTCTCTCTGGGTCTTTGTCTCTTTCTCTCTGGGTGTCTGTATCTGTGTGTGTGTGAGTCTCTGTCCCCTCTCTCTGGGTCTCTGCCCCCCTCTCTTTCTGGGTCTCTATCCCCCTCTCCCTAGGTCTCTGTAGCTCTCTCTCTGGGTCTCTCTCTCTCTCTCTTTCTCTCTCCGGGTCTCTGTCCCCCTCTGTCTCTGGGTCTCTGTGTCTCTCTCTCTCTCTGGGTCTCTGTCCCTCTGTGTGTGTGTGTGTCTCTGTCCTTCTCTCTCTGGGTCTCTGTCCCTCTCTCTGGGTCTCTGTCCCTCTCTCTAGGTCTCTTTCTCCTTCCTTCTGCATCTCTATTCCTCTCTCCCAGATTCTCTGTTCTCCCCTTTTTGTGTCTCTGACACACACGATCACTCAATAACCACGAGCTATTGTTCCGTTCTGCAGTTGGGCTCACAGCTTTCCCTCCCTGAGGCTCAACTTACCCCCAGCTGTATGGTGGGCACAGCAGCATCCGCCTCACAGGGCTGTGGTGGGACCTGGAGATGCGGTGGCCTCCTTCTCCCACCCACCCCCTCGGTGGGGGAAGCCTCAGGCTGGGTGGGTGGAGAAAAACCTTCCCACTCATTCTCCCTGCAGCTGCTTCATCGACGAGCACGTGACCCGCGTGGCCTGGCTGAACCGCTCCAACATCCTGTATGCCGGCAATGACCGCTGGACCAGCGACCCGCGGGTGCGGCTGCTCATCAACACCCCCGAGGAGTTCTCCATCCTCATCACCGAGGTGGGGCTCGGCGACGAGGGCCTCTACACCTGCTCCTTCCAGACCCGCCACCAGCCGTACACCACTCAGGTCTACCTCATTGTCCACGGTGAGCCCTTGGCCGGGGCCTGGCTGGGTGGAGGGGTTGAGAGCGTGGGGGAGACTAGGCATGATGACAGATACCACGTGTTCCCCAACCCCAGGGATACATAGCGAGAAAGACAGACACAGCCTTGCCCTTGGGGATTTCAGCCCAGCAGAAGGGGGCCAGTTACACAGACAGTGACGCATCAACATGATTGCTTCTAGGGCAGGAGAGCTACAGGGATGAGGGGGTGCTTGGGGGAAGACCACGTTCATTTGTTCAGCCCCATTCCTGGAGGGCCTACTCTGTGTAAGCATTGATCTACAGAACAAGGCAGGCTGTCCCCACACCTTGGGAGCTGATTTTCTGAGGACAGGCTCAGAGAGGACTTCCCAGACGTGACGTCTGAGCTGACGCCTTTGGCTGGGCACAGGGCTAAGACCGGAAAAGAAACAGTGTGTGCAGGGCCAGGCAAGAAGATGAGCCAAGTGTGCAAAGGGAAGTCTCATGAGGCTGGAAGCGCCAGATCCAGAGCAGGAGAGATGGGGCTGGAGAGCTCCACAGTGAGGCGAGAGGCAGAGGGCATCTGAAATGGTGGAGGGTAGGGAGCACCTGGAGAGACAGGACCTGGAGACAGAGAGAATCCAGGGGGATCCTGGCAAGCTCCAACTCTGGAGCCAGACTGCCTGGGTTCCAACCTCAGTGCCACCGTCCACCAGCCCAGGGACCTTGAGCAGGGAAGAGGCCCGGGACTCCTTTGCAAAATGGGGATGGTGCTGTCATATGTCAAATCCCAGACGTCGTCAATTAGAAGAGCTACTTTTATTTTATGCCCTACTAGAAAAGAAAAAACAAAAACACTGCCAGCGATACCCTGGCATCCTATCTCGAGGGCCATCCTGCTTGGAGAAATGTTCAAATGGGAGAGGGGAGTGGAAAGCACAGATGACTTAGAATTGATGAAATACAGTAACATCCACCCCAGAGGCTGGTAGTGAGCATCTAATCAGTGGATTTGGGTAAAGCACTTAGAATAGCATCTGTTACACAGAAAGTCCCATGTGGGTATTTGTTAAATAAATTTATTTAAAATAATAATAAATACAAATAGAGACGGGGAGAGGAATTCAGACCCCAAGATGGAGAAACCAAGTTAGGATGAAGGTGGAGAGAGAATAGAGACAAGACCAGCAATTAGACAAGAAGATGCCAGGCCCAGACAGAGGTTTCAGAGAAAAAGGCAGAGACTCCTGGGTCTGAGGGAGAAGGGGCTGGGGTACTGGACTCTTGGGTCTGAGGGAAGAGGAACTGCGGGTCTGAACTCCCGGGTCTGAGGGAGGAGGGGCTGGGGGTCTGAACTCCTGGGTCTGAGGGAGGAGGAGGGGCTGGGGGTCTGGACTCCTGGGTCTGAAGGAGGAAGGGCTGGGGGCCTGGATTCCTGGGCATCCATATTCAGCCTCTGCCGCTGCCCGCAGTCCCTGCCCGCATTGTGAACATCTCGTCGCCTGTGACGGTGAATGAGGGGGGCAATGTGAACCTGCTTTGCCTGGCCGTGGGGCGGCCAGAGCCCACGGTCACCTGGAGACAGCTCCGAGGTGAGGACCCCATCCCAGGTCAAAAGCCCCGTCCCCCACTGCGCAGTCTGGGCCCCTCCATTCCCCATATCCCTAGCTAGTTTCCCCAGCCCCCTTCTCCCTGGCCCCTTGGCTTCCCCTCCCACTCTGCTTCCAGTTATTTCATCCACAGACCACAAACCCCAGACCTAAGAGGCGTCACCACTGGCTTTCCACCTGCCGTCCTAGGCCTGGGCCACTGCTTCTGCGTCACTTGCCAAACCCCAGCCTGCGTCACTTCCCCAACCCCAGTGTCCCCGATGTCTCCCCACGCGCTCACAGCATTCTCCTGGGCTGAGATCCCCTGCCACTAGGTGCCCTAAGCCAGGCTGCACCAGCGGTCCTGCGTACATCTCTGCCTCTCTCTTCTGCTGGACGCTCTAGCCCAGCGGGCCTCATGGTGTGGGCCCCAGACCCGAAGCATCAGCATACCTTGGGAACTTGCCAGGAATGCACTTTCCCAGGCTCCAACCAAGACCTGCTAAATCCAAAGCTCCCTCTCGCTCCACAAGCCCCAAGAACCAGTGCTCAAGGTTACCCACAAACGGCGCCAGAGTGCCCATATATGACAGTCCAGGTCCTAGACATCACCCACCAGCCCTTTTATGTGGATCTCCACCACCAGATCCCAGATCCCTGGATCCTCATTCTCAGGGTCTTTGAAGACCCATGGTGCCAGTCACTAGATCCCATTCCCTGAATCCCTGGATCTTACCCCACTGGGTCATCTGAGCCCCATGAGCCTGGTCTTGACATCTGGGAATCTCTGGATGCCCTAAGTCCCAGAGGGTCTTCTGAGACTGCTGCTGTGTTATGAGACCCCCATATACTTGGATTGCTGATCCCAATCACCAGATCCTGATTCCCTAGACCCCATGAATCAGATCCCAGAACGAGGGACCCTGCCCCACTGGTTCTGTATTTGCTAGATCCTTCTGAGACCTAACATCCTGGGATCCCCCTCCCCATTGGGGTCCTCCCCACGGAGCTCCATGATCTGAGTCAGATTCCTGGAGGGATCTCCTGAACCCTTAGATTCTCTAACCCACCCCACTGGGTTCCAGGAACTGAGTCCCAGACCTCACTCCTTCCCCCACCCCCAGCTGGAGAGATCCCAGGCCCCCGGCCCTGCAGCCCCTCCCCCACCCCACCCCCATTGACCCGGGCACTCCAGGCCTTGCCGTGCCCGCCCCGCTGATGTGTGTCCGTGTTGTGCCCGTGTTGTCCCGTGTTAAGTGTTTGTGTCCGGCCCCGCCCCCTCCTCCTCCTTCCCCCCACAGACGGCTTCACCTCGGAGGGAGAGATCCTGGAGATCTCTGACATCCAGCGGGGCCAGGCCGGGGAGTATGAGTGCGTGACTCACAACGGGGTTAACTCGGCGCCCGACAGCCGCCGCGTGCTGGTCACAGTCAACTGTGAGCCCCCCTGGCACTGGGCACGAAAGGGTGGCGGACCCCCGAGTCCCTGGGGAGGAGGGATCTGGGGGAAGAGGAAGCGGGGGCGAGACTTACGGGCCTGAGGGAGGCGGGGGCTGGGGGCGGGACCCCTTCGTCCCCACGCGGCTAGGAGAATTCGCTGACCCTTGCCCCTCGCCAGATCCTCCGACCATCACGGACGTGACCAGCGCCCGCACCGCGCTGGGCCGGGCCGCCCTCCTGCGCTGCGAAGCCATGGCGGTTCCCCCCGCGGATTTCCAGTGGTACAAGGATGACAGACTGTGAGGACAGCACTGAGGGGGCCGTGGGAGCGGGAAGGGGAGGTCTTTAGTCCCTTCGATTGTGAGGCAGGGGGACGGAGCGGGGCGGGGGAAGGCAGCAGAGCTCTGGGTCCCGAACCTGGGGCGTCCAGCTTCTAGGTGATGGGATCTGTCCAGCCCCGGAGACAAGCTTGGGTCCCCGCTTGATGAATGCTGGAACCCCGTCTCCCCGGACTTTTCAGGGAGCTGGCCAGGGGTCGGGGGTCAATGCTGAGGATCTGTCGGGCAAGATTTAGGGGACCAGCAGAGTTCAGGAGTCCCTAACGACTAGGGGTGCACTACGGGAGAGTCCAGAGTCCTGAGAGGCCAGGGTGCCTGGAGGGGGGCGGCGGTGGGAGTGACCCGAGGTACATGAGGTGCTAGAACCCGAGGCGATGGGTCACTGGGGTAGGGGGCAGAATGCTGGGTCACCGGGGAACGGAGGAGCCTGAGAGTCGGGGGGCTGGCCTGGCTGGGCGCTGCGGCCCGGCCCCTGACCCGGATCCCTGGCAGGCTGAGCAGCGGCACGGCCGAAGGCCTGAAGGTGCAGACGGAGCGCACCCGCTCGATGCTTCTCTTTGCCAACGTGAGCGCCCGGCATTACGGCAACTATACGTGTCGCGCCGCCAACCGACTGGGAGCGTCCAGCGCCTCCATGCGGCTCCTGCGTGCGTCTTCGGGCGGGGCGGGGCCGGGAAGGTGGGCGGGGCCGGGGGCGGGGCTAGGGAAGTGGAGACGCCGGGACCGCCCTTCAGGCTGGCCCTGAACTTAGGAGATGGACGCTGAGACTGAAAAGCAATGCGAGTAAGAAACCGATCCACGCAATCAATATTCATTGAGTGCCAGCTAAGGGTTTGTCGTGGGGGACGCAGCTGTGCACAAAAGAAACAAGGTTTGGGGATTCGCAGAGCTTATAGTCTAGTAGGAGTAGAAAAGCAATAAACAAGTGGTCATGTAGGTAAATAAGCAAACACATACATAAACAAAAAATAATTTTGGAGGCCGGGCGTGGTGGCTCACGCCTGTAAATCCCAGCACTTTGGGAGGCCGAGGCGGGCTGATCACCTGAAGTCAGGAATTTGACACCAGCCTGTCCAACATGGTGAAACTATGTCTCTACCAAAAAAAAAAAAAAATACAAAAATTAGCCAGGCGTAGTGATGGGCACCTGTGGTCCTAGCTATTCAGGATGCTGAGGCAAGAGGATTGCTTGAACCTGGGAGGCAGAGGTTACAGTGAGCCGAGATTGCGCCTGGGTGACAGAGCGAGACTCCGTCTCAAAAAAAGAAAAAAAAAAAAAAAAAGAAACAGAGTCAGAAAAGCAGGCACACCCAATGAGAGATCCAGAAAGGACGCTAAAGAGTGGGCTCAGAAGAGATGGGGCCCCTGGAGAGACACACATGGGGTTCCCCACTCTCAGGCCTCCCTCCATGACCCCTTCTCTTCCCCCAGGCCCAGGATCCCTGGAGAACTCAGCCCCGAGGCCCCCAGGGCTCCTGGCCCTCCTCTCCGCCCTGGGCTGGCTGTGGTGGAGAATGTAGGCGCAACCCAGTGGAGCTCACCTCCCCCTGCAGGGGGCCTCAGGCCAAGAGTGAGAGAAACGGGGGAGCAAGAGCCGTGGGTCTCGTGGGGGCAGAAGAGCTCTCGGCCACCAAGGAAGAAGAGAGAGGAGAAGAGGAGGAGGCAGAGGAAGAAAGATCTTCAGAGAACCCATCACTGTGAGGGATAACGCAAAATTATGCATCTTTCTACAGCCATTCTCGCCACCCGTTCACGTTTCCGATTGTGACCCACTCCCGCCACCCCATACCCCTCTCTCTTAGCTCAGGCTGTCAACTGGCTTGTGTGGGTGTGGGTGTGTGAGTGTGAGCCTGCATGCATGTGTAGGTGTCTGTGTCTCTGTTTGTGTGTGTGTGGGGGGGTGGGCTGGGGGAAGGGACTCAGCCGTCCTCCCGCCCCCAAAACCCCCATGTCCACTGTCCCCAACCCTATTGCCTCTCACCTCTGGCTGGAGGTAGGTATGAGGCTCTGCAGTGGAAGCTGTGAAGAGAGGCTTACCAGGCTCCCTGCTTCCCCAATATATGCACGCACACTACCCCTCCCCCTGTCGAAAGGGCAACTCCTGGCAGGTTGGGAGTGGGGAGGGGCATCGCACTCACCTGTCAAGCTGTCATTCAGCCTTTGTGAGTAAGTGGGGGACCTCCATCTAGGCTCTGGGCTTCCCTGCTGTCAACCACCAGCTTCCTGTAGCCAGAGGCCCCATCGCTGGCTCAGTGGCCTGAGACCTTCCCACTTTTCCTGTCCCTCCACACCCTGGATTTTCTGGCCCCCTCCTGGGCCAATCGGTGCTTCCATCCAACTGTCAGACTGGTGGCAGGAGTCACCTGTCTGTTTCAGTGCTTTGCCCTACCCTTGCCACCACTCCCCTTGGCCTTGATTTCCCCACCTGCGGCACCAGCCAGCTGCCCTTGGGGCCTTTGCAGCTGGCCCACAGGTGTGAGCTTGCTGGTCTATCACTTCCTGGCCTCTCCACCAACTGTACCTCCCAAAGGCTACCTGACCGCCCTCACAGACACTCAGACGCACCACACACACATACACACACACAGACACACACACACACACACACACACACACCAGCGACTGTGACCAGCAATAGCCCCCTGGCTCCAGCTGTCCGGTAGCTGGTGACTAGCTGTATTTCCCCCTGGGTAGGCATCTGGTGTCAGGAAGGGACGCTGAGAGGCCGCAGCCTCAGCTCTGACTGTAGGAACACTCCACCCTGGTACACCACACCACACAAAGTGGGGGACAGAGAGGCATCACACAGACATCCTGAGCCCAGACAAAGATGCCATGTCACCAACTCCGACTCCCAGGAGACCCTCTATATAAACACCCACCCCAAACCACACCACCCAGAGTCTGGTGGAGAAAAGGAGAGGGCAAGGCGCAGTGACTGTACCTCAGACGGGGGCATGGGCCCCATCCCACATTGTCTTCCATTCCCAGGGTCCAGGGGATGGGGTGGGACAGGGGAGGGATGCTAGGGAGGGGGTGGGGGGCCCTGGGGGCCATGTGTTCCAATTCATGGGGAGTGTTGAGACCACCACACCAATAAACGCCTTTTTCCAAAGTCTGCCTGCAGGTGTCAATGTCATTAAGGATTAGAGTTAATGAAGGGCAAAGGGTAGCAGTCAATTGGTGGTGCCTCTCCAGCATCATTCCTACCGCCTACTTTCTCACTGGTAGACTTGGAATGGACTCATTACAGAGATGCCCTGTGATTGGCCGAAGACACCCAGCATAGCCCATTTCCCACCGTGATTGGCTCAGAGATGGGCACATGACCCAGTAAGGCTAATGAGAAAGTGAATGGATTCCCAAGAAGAGATGCTTTTCTGCTGGATATTGTGGCTCCGTGATGTGAAGTCAACATCTGTAGGGTTGCTTTTCTCCATCACATGGAGAGATCTTGGCTCTGTGGGGATAGCAATGGTGGGGAGGACAGCATATGGAGCCTGAGAAGGATAGGAACACTGTGAAGGGCAGAGTGGAAACCTTAGAGAAACTGAGTCCATGATTATATATCATTTGAGCAGCTGGATCAAAACTTAACTGATGCCCATTTTCACTTATATAAGCAATAAAGTCCCCTGTATATTTAAACCAATTTGCATTGGATTTTCTATCTCTAGTAATAAAAAAGAGAATGAAAACCATAATAGATACAGAAGAGACATAGAAGGCCCAGAACCCCAACCCTCACCTTTCCAAAAGGATCCAGGGGTTCTATTTTCCAATGGCCTTTTCTACCCCCAATCATTAACCAGAAATTCTCTCACATGCTTTCCTTCCCTGAGACAGATGCTGGTTGCCCACATTTGAGTTGTTTGGTTCCCCTTTCTTCTTCGCTGGCAGATCCACGTGTTATGATACAGGCTAGATATCTGGTTTCCTAGCCTCCTTTGCAGCTATGTGGCCAGTTTGGGCCAAAGAGACATAAATGGAAATTTGCTTGTAGGTTTCCAGGAAAGCTTCCCTCCCACCCCATGAGAGGGAAGAAGGCAGTGATAGAGGGAGGTAGAGGGTGGGGAAGATGTATAGGGAGGAAGTTCTGCCCCCTTCCTTTTATCTTTGGATACAGTTGTGTGAAGATGTGATGACTGGAGCTGCAGCAACCATCTTGCTACGTGAAGCAACATGCTTAGAGTCAATGTGCCAACCCACTGAGGGTGGCAGAGCAGATGGATGCAAAGGGCCCATGTCTTTAATGGCGTTACTGAGCTGCTGAGCCAGCCTGAAACCAGCCGCCTCCATAGTTCTTGCCACCATTTTATTTTGTTACTTGCAGTCAAAAGAATCCTCACCAATGCACTCTCTAAATTCTCAATTAGAAACCCAGCTGAAAAAGCAAGACTTACGCTGAAGACAGCAGCAGCAAGCCCAACTCTTCACTGGCACCAAAACATTTGATCAGTCAACAAATATTTATTGATTGCCTGCTGTGTGTGAGGCTCTGGGTTAAGTGCTGAGTTAATGATGTGGTCTCTGCTTTTGTAAAGCCCTTAGTTTAGAGAGAGAGTCTCAGGCCACACAAGAAATTACATATTTATGTATCAGGAACGGCAAATTCAAGGATTCTGGGACTTAACCCAAGACTAAGGGAGGGGTAAGGGAACGGTCGTCTAAGATGGTAACTGCTACTCTTAGACTTGAGAAATGAATGACATATGGGAAAAAGAAGTGTTATAAGCACAGCAAACTCTAGGGGCAAAATAAATTGTGGCTGAGAGACAGACTGTGATACTGGAGTCCGGGGGCAGAGAAAGAATTGGGAGGGGAGGTCAGGGAGGCCAACAGAGGCCAGACCACAAGGTTTTGAAGGTCACGACGATGAGTTTGGATAATATCTGAAGGGAAATGCACAGGCCGTAGAAGCGTTTAAAGAGAAGAGTGACATGATCTGATCTGTTTTAAGATGAAGATGCTGGGAGCTGGATGGGGTGTGGCCTACAGGTGGCAAAGTGAATGTAAGGGGACCTTTTCAGAGAACATGGCCAAGCTCCCTCTCTAGCTCAGAGCAACACAGCAAGCCCTGCCTGTCTGCTGCAGAGGCTTGGAGGTTGTGCAAACCACACAGTTAGATCAGCAAGAGTTTCCCAGCCAAGAAGTCACATCTCCTTACTTGCACAAATACAGGAAGACTCTTCTTCTGCAGCAAGAGAGGGAGACAGAAAGTCCCACTTTCAGGGTCCAACCCTCAGTCATAGCAGGCCCTGGCTGCTGCTGGAGTGAAATAGGAAGTTCTGGCCCAAAACGCCCTGTGCAGGGCAGACCACTGGCTCTGATCACACCTGTGTGGCTGCGCGAACAGTCTTTGAGCCTCCGCCTACAGAGACAACTGAACTGGGGTCTGTGCCTGGAAGAGAGAGGTGGGGTGAGGGGAGAACTCAGTAGGTACTCTGGATGTGACATAACTCACCCGCCTAACTTTTTCTAGCTCTTGCTTGAACTTTTTAGAGATTATCTGGGAACCCTCCATTTGGAGAGGGGAAAAAAAATGCCTGGCTATCCTTGGTGGAGCGAAGCCAGCCAACAACCCAACCCAGTTGTTATTTTTTATTTATTTATTTATTTATTTATTTTGAGACAGGGTCTCACTCTGTCATCCAGGCTAGAGTACAGTGGCACCGTTAGAGCTCACTGCAGCCTTGACCTCCCAGGCCCAAGCAATCCTCCCACCTCAGCCTCCCTAGTAGCTGGGACTACAGGTACGTGCCACCATGCCCGACTAATTTTAAAATTTTTTGTAGAGATGGGGTATCCCTATGTTGCCCAAGCTGGTATCGAACTCCTGAGCTCAAGTGATTCTCTCTCCTCAACCACCCGAAGTGCTGGGATTACAGGCATGAACTATCACACCCAGTCACAACAATCCTTCTTTTATGGGGAATGAGGTAACTGTACCCCACTTCATAGAGAAAAATGGGCCTTGCCCAATTTTTATGGGAAAGAAAAATGGAGGGGCTGGGCGTAGTGGCTCATGCCTGTAATCCCAGCACTTTGGGAGGCCAAGGTGGGCGGATCACTTGAGGTTAGGAGTTCGGGACCAGCCTGCCTAACATGGTGAAATCCCGTCTGTACTAAAAATACAAAAATCAGTCAGGCGTTGTGGTGCTTGCCTGTAATCCCAGCTACTCAAGTGGCTGAGGCAGGAAAATCGCTTGAACCCAGGAGGCGGAGGCTGCAGTGAGTCGAGATTGCACCACTGCAGTCCAACCTGGGCAACAAAGTGAGACTCTGTCTCCAAAAAAAAAAAAAAGAGAGAGAGAGATCCTATTTCCCTCCTTTGGAGAAGAAACTGGAATTCACTCTTATTTTAATATACATCAAAGTTGGGCGGGAAGCTCTGTCCAACTTTGATGCATTTTTAAAAAGGATAAAGTTATACAGACTGTAAACTAACAAGTAAAACTGGAGTTAGATAATTGAGACCCTCTCATCTCCCTGACTGTAATACAAGAAGTTCCGCCCCGATTCCAGGAGGAAATGAGGGCACCCACACTCACTTGGTAGGCCCTAGTTGAGCTGTGGTCCTCCAGAGGGACTTTGAGGTCCAGAGGCCATGAAATCTCCACTGGGGTCACACTATGCATCTTCTTTTCTGAGGGGGTGACCACGGGGACCAAGGTAGAAGGATGCTTCTTTTTCTCAGGAGTCTTTCCTGATTGAGAGGCAGAAGAGAAGCAGGAACACGTGATTGGCTGCCCCAACATGCCAACCCAGCCAATAGCAAGGGAAGCTGGTTGGAGAGGCGGAGCCTTATGCTGATTGGCTGATTTGGAGGTAGGAGGGCAGGATGGATGACCTATGACGGCACTGATTGCCTCAGCCAGGTCTTCCATAGGCCTCTTTCTAGGGTCCCTCCCCGTTGGTCATGGTTGCCCCTTCCCCAGTCCCCTTGCTCACCACGAAAGCGGCACAGGCAGCAGATGCAAAGGAGGAGAAGTACGGCTAGCAGCGCCAGGCCCAGCAGGGAGCCCAGGACGATGCCAGCGATGGCCCCATGGCTCAACGTGGGGCCTGGAAGAGACAAAGAGAAGAAAGAGAAGGGGAACAGGAACCAAGGTTGGACCCAAGTTTCCTAAGCCCCCTAACTTTGTGCTGGGACCCAGGAGTCCGGCCCCCACTGTCCCTCCCCTCCCAGAACCCAGGAATGTGGGACCCCAGCACTCTCAACTCATTTAACAGTTACTGAGTGACCGTGGTGTGCCTGGCTCTCAGACAGGTAGTGAGGATTCATTCGTGGGCCAAACAGGAAAGATATCTACCCTTATGGGGCTTAATTCTAGGAGAGAAGACATAAATAAATGAGCAATACATAAGATAATCACAGATTGTCCCGAGAAAGAAAAAGTGATGTGATAGAGATAATGGGGGACAGGTGTGGTGGCTCACACCTGTGATTCCCAACACTTTGGGAGGTCAAGGTGGGCAACCACTTGAGCCCAGGAGTTGGAGACCAGCCTGGGCAACATAGCGAGATCCTGTCTCTACAAAAAATAGAAAAACTAGCCAGGTGCGGTGGCTGCGCCTGTAGCCCCAGCTACTCAGGAGACTGAGGCAAGATCACCTGAGTCTGGGGACGTTGAGGCTGCAGTGAGCCCAGATCGTGCCACTGCACTCCAGCCTGGGCATCAAAGTGAGACCTTCTCTCAAAAAAAGAAAACAAACAAACAAAAAACAAAAAAGGAACAATGGGAAGGGATGTGACATTTAGAAACAGTGGTGAGCTCAGGTCCCTGAGGAAGTAACGTTTGAACAGAGACTTGAAGAATAAAGACCAGAGACAGTCATACTAAACCCGGGGAAAGGGCGTTCCAAGAGGAGGGAACAGTAAATGCAAAGGCCCAGAACTAGAAAAGCTTTCTCTGTTCAACGAAGGCCAGCGTGGGTGGAGGATAAGGAAGGAGCGGGCTGGAGGTGGAGAGTGAAGTAGAAAAGGTTTCCAGGAACCAGATCCTAAAGGGGTCCTGCAGAAATTAATGGACGGCTTTTATGTAGAGCAGCCTCATGATCTGATTTGCATAACTTTGGCTTCTGTGTGGAGAATGCATTATCTGACAGCAAGAGGGAGTATAAAGAGACCAAATAAACTGCTGTTGCAGTCCAGGCAAGAGAGGATGCTGTGTTTGACCAGAGCCTTGGGGTGAAGATGGAAAATATTTTAGAAGGAAAATGGACCGAACTTGCTGGCAATTAGGATGTCAGGGGTGATGTGGCCTGTAAGTGGTGACATTTATGAGGATGGGGAAGACTGCAGGGTTGGAGGATGCAGTTTTGAGGGAAAACATCGAAAGATCTGTTTTGGGCATATGACATTTGGGATGCTAATTGGACATCCAAAGTGAAGATCTTGACTCACGCCTGTAATCCCAGCACTTTGGGAGGCCGAGGCAGGCAGATCACTTGAGGTCAGGAGCTCAAGACCAGCCTGGCCAACATGGCAAAATCCTGTCTCTGCTAAAAATTCAAAAAAAATTAGCTGGGCGTGGTGGCTCACACCTGTAATCCCAGCTACTCTGGAGGCTGAGGCAGGAGAATCACTTGAACCCAGGAGGTGGAGGTTCCAGTTAGCTGAGATCATGCCACTGCACTCCAGCCTGGGTGACAGAGCAACACTCTGTCCACACCCCCCACCTCCCCAAAAAGTGAAGATCTTAAGTTGGGCGCATCCTTTTCAAGAGAGAAGTCAGGGCCCAGGATAAGACATTTGGGAGTCATCTGATTATTAATGTTATTGAAGGCCATGAGCATGAACATGATCACTTTGGGGAGTGAGGACTAAATCCTGAGATGCTCCAATGGAGGCATGTTATCAACTGAATTGTGCCTACCCCAAAAGAAAAACATATGTTGAAGTCCTAACCCCTGTTCCTGTGAATGTGACTTTATTTTGGAATAAGGTCTTTGAAGATGTAACCAAGTCAATTTGAGGTATTAGGGTGGACCCTAATCCAATATAACTGGTGTCCTTAAAAGAAGAGGACAGAAGCCAGGTGCGGTGGCTCACACCTGTAATCCCAGCACTTTGGGAGGCCAAGGTGTGTGGGTCACCTGAGGTCAGGAGTTCAAGACCAGCCTGGCCAACATGGTGAAATCCCATCTCTACTAATACAAAAATTAGCTGGGTGTGGTGGCGCATGACTGTAATCCTAGCTACTCGGGAGGCTGAGGCAGGAGAATCACTTGAATCTGGGAGGTAGAAGTTGCGGTGAGCCGAGATCATGCCATTGCACTCCAGCCTGGGCGACAAGAGCAAAACTCCTTCTCAAAAAAGAAGAAGGAGAAGGAGAAGAAGAAGAAGAAGAGACACACACACAGGGAAGAAGCCTGTGGGAAGCTGGAGGCAGAGGTTGGAGTGATGCAGCTGCAAGTCCAGGAACGCCAAGGATGAAACAGCCGCCACCAGGAGCTAGGAAGACACAAAGGAGGATTCTACACAGGGTCTCAGAGGGAGTAGGACCCTGTCGACACCTTGATTTTTTTTTTTTTTTTTTTTTTGAGACGGAGTCTGGCTCTTTCACCCAGGCTGCAGTGCAGTGGCTGATCTCGGCTCACTGCAAGCTCCGCCTCCCGGGTTCGCGCCATTCTCCTGCCTCAGCCTCCCCAGTAGCTGGGACTACAGGCGCCCGCCACCGCGCCAGGCTAATTTTTTGTATTTTTAGTAGAGACGGGGTTTCACCGTGTGAGCCAGGATGGTCTCGATCTCCTGACCTCGTGATCCACCCGCCTTGGCCTCCCAAAGTGCTGGGATTACAGGCGTGAGCCACCGCGCCCAGCCGACACCTTGATTTTAGACTTCTGACCTCCAGACCTGTGAGAGAAGAAATTCCTGTAGTCTCAAGCCATGCAGTTCATGGTACTTTGTTAGGGCAGGCCCCAGGACACTAAAACAGGGAGACACGGAGGATCTGGCACAACAGAGAAGGTCTACTCTGACAGCCCCAACTCACCGGCCCGGTAGACCCGGCTTTGTGATGGAGTCCCTGGCTGGCCCCCCAGGATGGGCAGGATCCGAAAGGTCCAGGTCCCTGGGTTCCGAGGTGGAAGGGGCACCACGGCTGACCGCTCCTGAGGCCCCAGGATGAGCAGGGAGACCCAGTCCCTGTAGGTGGAAGTCCTGCCCAGAGCAGGCCCATCTGGCCATGCCTGGATCTCAAAACTGCTGATCAGGGCCCCGCGCTCCACATCCCAAGTCAGCACGGCTGCATCTCTGGCTCTCTGAAGCCTCCACGAGGATATGGAGGGTCCTAGAGGGATGTGGGGGTGGCTGGATTCTTGGGTGCCAGAGGGGAGAGGGAAGGGGGCTGGGGGGCTGGGCTCCTGGGTCTGAGGGGGAGGGGGCTGGGGGCCTGGACTCTTGGGTCTGAGGGAGGAGGGGGTGGGGGCCTGGACTCCTGGATCTGAGGGTGGAAGGGGCTGGTGACCTGGACTCCTGGGTCTGAGGGAAGAGGGGCTGGGGCTAGACCCTTGGGTCTGAGGGAGGAGGGGCTGAGGCCTGGACTCCAGGGTCTGAGGGAGGAGAGGCTGGGGGCCTGGATCCGAGGTCTGAGGGAGGAGAGGTCTGGGGCCTGAACTTCTGGGTCTGAGGGCTGGAGCGGCTGGGGACGTGGACTTCAGGGTTTTTTGAAATAACGTGGCTCACCAATGAGGGTGATCTGGTCACCGCCAGCACCCAGCGCCCCACTGCACAGCACGGAGTAATTTCCCAGGTCCCAATCCAGGCTGAAGTTGCCGATGTGGAGTTTCCGCCCATCTTGACTGAGCCGCAGGCGACTCCCGCCTCCTGGAGCCAGGGGCCTCCCTTCCCGGGCCCAGGATGCCCGTGAGGGTGGGGGACAACCAGAGGCCTCCAGTGCCACCTCTGCCTCCCCCAACCGTGTCTCTGCCACCAGCGGATGCAGCAGCACCTCTCGGGGGGCCTCTGCCGGTGGGAGAAGTCCAGTTAAGAAAGTCAAGACCTTACCTTGGATTCAAAGAACAGATCCTATGCCCTACTTTAAATCAGATGGTGGTAAGCCCCCACGCTTTGGCCACCTGAGAAAGAACTGCCAATTTACTCACTCATTAGCTCATTCATTCATTCATTCATTTATTATCTGATTTCCTCATCAAACACTTATTGAACACATACCATAGGCGCAGGCCCTGTACTGGGAAACTCATATTATTTTCAGCTATTCTTTCTTCTTTATTATTATTATTATTTTGTAGCAATAATAATTACAAGACTGGGTCTTGCCACACTGCCCAGGCTGGTCTTGAACTCCTAGACTCAAGCAATCCTCCCGCCCCCAGCTACCAAAGTGCTGCGATTATTGCGCCCGGCCTTGTTACTTTTTAAAATATCACTGCTTTATCTCTCTGAACACGTGTGAAAGTGATGGCCTTCTTCCTGTGTCCAGAAAAATACCCCCATCCCTGCACCCCGCCACCATGAGGTATAGGAAAATCTTTGTCCCTTTTCTAGTTTGAAGACAGTGAAGTCCTGCCTCTTTCTTGGACTAAGGACGTACCCCATACCCCTTCAGAATTTTCGAAGGACCAAAGAAAAAGTCTCCCTCCTCCTCGAGAAACAGCAAAAAAGCCCCGCGCCCTCTCACCCGGCGTGACTGTGCAGGTACGCGTGGCCACCAGGTGGCGAGCAAGGCAGGTGATGGGGACGCCGCTGAGCCGGGGGTGGGCGGGGACGGCCGCCAGCAGCACAGAGGACACTGGCCCGGCGCGGATGCCTTCGGGGAGACCCTGGAACTGCAGGGAGGCAGCAGGGGCCCCGCCGGGCCACGAGCAGCGGAAGCGGAGGCTGCGGTCCCCGGGACCCCCTTCAACTGAGCACTGTGGGGCCCCGGGGGGCAGGTCTGCGGAGAGAAGGGAGAGAATGAAGATGGAGTCCCTTTCTCATTTCTTCTCCAGCCCCGCCTCCCCGCGCGGTGACTCCACCCTTCTTCACTAGCCCCACCCCATAGGCGCTCACACTCCCCACTTTTCCTGCGATCCCGTTCCCTTTTCCCATTAACTTCCTCGCTAAGTGGGTAGCCCGCAGCCCTGCTGACTGCCCAACTTTCTTAAGAAAACTGCATCTTCACACAATGATATTTCTCTTCCCAAACGTAACTCAGCCCCTTCCTTTCCAGCTCCACCCACTTCTGCCAGGTTACTTCGCCCCCTCCTGGATTGCACTCCGAGAAGCCTCCCCTTTTCCCAGATATCTCCGCCCTTCCTTGTGGACCCCTTCCCCTTTCTAAGACAATTCTGCCCGCTTTCTAAATGACCTCGCCCCTTTCCCTGGTGACTCCGCCCCCCTTGCCAGGTAACTTCTCCCTTTGCTGATCCCACTTAAGCAAATTAGTTCTTTCCTTTTCTAACTCCCACTCTTTGCCATTTAACTCCGCTTGTCGACTTTGTCGAGTGTTCCATGCCCAGGAATGTCCGCCCTCTCAGTGCTGGGCCGGCCCGTCAGTCCTGGTCATCCCTGCCACTCTATTTGGCTCCTTCCCTTATCCTCTTTCTGGCCCCGCCTCTTATCCTAGGTGTCTCCGCCCCTCCGCGCTGGCCCGCCCCACCACGGGTATCCCAGCTCCTTCTTGGTGACCCGCCCTCCCGCTGGCCCTGCCCCACCCACCGGTATGCTGCTCCTCCTTGCTGGCCCCGCCCCTTTCCTCTAGCCCCGCCCTCGTTCTGGCCCCGCCCCTCTCCCAGGCATTCCCCTACTCCCGCTCCAGCCTCTCACCCGCCACTGTAAGGTTGAGCAGCGAGCGGCGGCGGCGGCCGGTACGCGGGTTCGCCGCCAGGCAGGCGTAGGTGCCTGCGTGGCCCGGTCCGACCGCGGGCAGCAGGAGGCGCGACCCCGCGGGCACCGCGGCCTCGGCCGGGTCCGCCAGGCTCCACGTGATGTCGGCGGGCGGCCGCGAGGCGGCGGCGCAGCGCAAGGTCACGTTACTGCCCGCGGTGACAAAGCGGGCAGGCGCGGCGTCGCGGTCCGAGGAGACCGTGATGGTCGGCGGGTCCGGGCCGTCTGGAGGGAGGAGGGGTCGGGACCGCGAGTGTCAGGGTCACCTGGGACGCCGCTAGGACTCCCGGAGACTGGGTCCCCAGCCCGCTTCTCCCCAAGGACCCCCTGTCCCCGACCCGAGGCATCCCCCACTCACAGAAGACGCTGACGTCGGCGGCAGCCTCCCTGTGGCCGAAGGGGCTGCGGACGCGGCAAGTGTACCGGGCGTGGTCGCTGCGCACAGGGCGCACGATGAGCAGCTGGTCGCCCTCTGAGCGCATCCGGGGCGTCTCGGCTCCCTCCGATTCCGCCGCCTCCAGGGCGCGTCCGTCCCGGCTCCAGCTCAGCTCCCCGCGACCTGGCCCCCACCCCAGGCAGCGCAGCCGGAGCTCGGCCGCCCCCTCCTCTGTCTCTGGAGCCTTGGGCTGAACCGACAGCTGGGGTAGGGGCTCTGGGAGAGGGAGAATGGGCTCAGGACCCACCCAGTCCTGGAGCCCATCTTTGGTCCCCTTAGAGGGAACCCCAGCCGCTGCTCCCTCTAAGCCCCTGGAGTCTCAGCCCCCATCCCTCTCCTCTCATAAACCTATGAGTTTGAGCCCCCAGACACCTCCTCTCCGGGACCCAGGAGTTCGCCAGAAGAGGCTCCTAGCCTCCTCCTCCTCCCTCAGACCTGGGAGTTCAGGCTCCCAGGAGTCTCCATCCCAGGTCCACCTTTGCTCAGACACCCCTGCCTTGACCTCTAGCTCTTTTTCTCCCTTCCTCAACCCAGAAGTCCTCTTCTCCTATCCAGGGACCCCACAGCACCGTGACTTGCCCAAAGCCTGGCAGAGCAGAGCAGCCCCTGCCGCCTGCACGCCGGACGCCAGGGCCCACTTACCATACACACCCACCGTGAACTCGTGAGTCTGCTGGGAGACCCCTGCCCGGATGACCTCAGCCGTGTAGACCCCTGCATCGTCCAGCTGGGCAGAGGCGAGCTCCAGAACCCCCCGGGCCTGGTCAAATCGCAGGTGGTCTCGGTGAGCAGGGTCCAGGCTGATCAGAGGTGCCCCTGGCCCCAGGCCCCCAGCTGCCAGCACCTTTGAGCCCCGGCGCCAGACCACCAGAGAGGTGGGGGGCCCAGGGTTGGGGATTGGGACTAGGGGGAGCCGGATGGTGGTCCCCACCAGCACAGCGAGTGGGCCCCCCACCTGCTGGGGAAAGCTTGCAGCTGAGTGGGTCTCTGCAGAAAATTTGGATTCAGGGCTCTGGGCAGAGAGTTTAAGATCCATATCATCCGGGGAGAATTTTGAATCTGGGGCCTCAACAGACAGTTTGGTATGGGAGACTTGAGTAGAAATGTTTGAAGCTGGGGTCTTAACAGTGAAGGAAGGCTTGGGGTCTTTGGCAGGAACTTGAGGATCCGAAATATCAGGAAATACTTCAGAACCAGGGGTTTCAGAGAAGGGGGAAACCGGGCTCAAATCTTGGCCCTCAGCAGAAACATTTGACCAGAAGGACCCAGACATGTTGGAACTCAGGGCCTCAGGAAACCAGCTGGAATCAGAGATTCCAGCAGAGGCTTTTGAATCCAGGAACTGATCTGGAACTTTCCAGCTGGGAGGTTTGATGGAGGGAACTTCCACACCCAGCCCCTGGGAAGAGCTCTTTGAGTCTGAAGAGAAGGCAGAGGAGAAGTTGGTTTGCTGAAGTCCAGAAGAGGCTCTGAGGGTGAGGATCCCTACCAAGGAGGCTGCAGAGAAGAGAGGAAGGCATTGGGGGAGGCTGCTGAGGGAGACTGACAGGGAAGGGACTGAGCAGGGAACTTACCCAGGAGTAGGAAGAGTGGCAGAGCCTGTGGGTTGTCCATGGTGCTGGCCTCACTGAAAGGACACTGGAGAGAGACCCAGGACTGCACCCATCCCTCCCGGGTCAGACGAGTCCAACAGGACTGGTAGCTTAGCTTCCTGGGAGGGGAAGGGAGCCAGACCCAGAGGGAGGTGCCAAGATCCTCAACCCCAGTGTGGTGGCTGAGCTGCCCACCTCATCCCACTCTCTTCATTAGCTGGTCCCATCTGCAGAGAGGCCCAGCCTGATCCCTGCCCTCCCCACCCCCAGGGGGAAGCTGGAGAAAACATTCCCAGCTAAAAATGTGGGAGCAAATTTGTGAGACAAAGCCAGGAAGACTTCCTGGAGGAGGGTGAGGTGACCTTTCCGAGAGCCCCACCTCTGATGGCCACAGCTTCAGAGCAGGCTTCCTCCTCCCCAGCCTCCTGGCTCCTTCCACTCTGTCTTGCCTGCAGCCTCAGATACATCTGACCCTGCTCCTCCTCTGCTCCAAACCCTCCCACGGCTCTCTGTTGCCCTCAGAACCAAGTCTCCAGGTGCTATCTCCTGCCAGGGCCTCTATCCTGAGACCAGAGCTGCATTTCCGCATCCCCGAGGCCCTCACATGGCCTGTGTCCCGCTAAACTCAGACTCTTTCCTCTAACCCAAACTTCCTCACACCTCCAGGATGGCTTCACTGTCTTCGCAAATGCTGGAGAACATTCCCACCTCCTCCCTCCCTGTCACCACTGTCGATCTGAGTCCAACCCTCCTCCCCCTAGTTCTCACTGGCCAGGCTCTGTCTTCTCTTCCTGCCCCGTCTCCCTCCTCTGCCCAGTCTCCTCCATTCCCTGCCAGGGTCCTTCTATACCCAGAGCTGAACCTGCCTCCCCCTGCTCACAGCCCTCCCCTGGCTCCCCAGTGCCCTCTGGAGACATCCAAGGTTCAAAGCAAACTCATGCACAGCCCCCACTCAAGCACTTGAACATCCTGCCATTCTTATCCTGCCCGCCCATCTCACCTCCCAGTCCTCTACCTGGAATGCTCTCTCCCACTCTCCACCTCCCTCCAACCTGGCTAAACCACAACTTGTCCTTCAGGTCTCACCTTATTAAGAACCATAATTACCACTTAATTTGAGCCAGGAACTACGCTAAATGTTTCCTATGCACTATCAGGCTGAACACTTCTAAACACCCTATAAGCTGAGTGTCATTATACTCACTTTGCAGGCCAGGGGACTTAGGCTCAGAGAGGTCAAGGGACCTGCAGGAGGTTGCACAGCCAGAGGGAGAAGCTGGACTTGGGACCAGGATGGTCAGACCATTGACTCCTTCTGATAGCTTTTCCCACCATCCCATGTGGAGCTTAGGGCCTCTGCTCAGCTCCCAGTCCTCTAAGCTTACCCTGGCCCAGTTCTCACCAGTAATAATACTGGTAATATATATATATTTTGAGATGGAGTCTCGTTCTGTCACCCAGTGAGTGCCTCAGCTCACTGCAGGCTCCATCTCCCGGGTTCAAGTGATTCTCCCGTCTCAGCCTCTGCAGCAGCTGGGAGTATAGGTGTGCATCACCACACCAGGCTAATTTTTGTTATTTTTAGGAGAGATGGGGTTTTGCCATGTTGGCCAGGCTTATCATGAACTCCTGACCTCAAGTGATCTGCCCGCCTCAGCCTCCCAGTGTTGGGATTACAGGCGTGAGCCACCGTGCCCGGACTAATATTGGTAATAATATATATTTAGCATTTTTTGCATAGCAGGTGTGGTTATGGGGGTGCTACATAAATTAACCTTTCAAAACTCCATGGAGTAGATGATGTAGCTTAAAGAGGGCTGCAAATTTGAGCGTCCTCCTGTTAAGATGCGGGGTCTATGTCCCCTCTGCTTGGATCTGAGTAGCTGTGTGACTGCTGGACCAAGACGTGGAAGTGGCCCTGTGCCAGGATCTGCATCTAGGCCGGCATATGCCACTTTCTGTATCATAGGACACTCCCTCATGGAATCCAGCCGCCACACTGCGAGGATCAGCAGCCCCATGGAGGGGAATCATGGCCCCTGGTCAGCAGCCCCAGCCAGCTTGCTGGCTATGTGGGTGAGCCCTCTTGGAAGTCAATCCCCTGGCCCCATTTGAGGCACATGAACTGATCCTGAACTGGATCCAGGAATGGATCCAGTGGGATTTGACCCAGGGCCCTGGGACCCAGAACCCATACCCTTAACCTCTACATGATGCTGTTACTATTTTCATCTGCAGATGAGGCAACTGAAACTCAAAATAGGAAGGAACTCACCCAAGATCTAGCTGGCAAAGGTAAGAGTGAGCATATGAAATCAATATATCTGACTCTATCAGAAGGCCAGAGGAATGGAACACAATTTTTTAAATAAAAAATTAGTCCAGGCGCTGTGGCTCACGCTTGTAATCCCAGCACTTTGAGAGGCTGAGGCGGGCGGATCACTTGAGGTCAGGAGTTCAAGACAGCCTGGGCAACATGGTGAAACCCCGTCTCTACTAAAAGTACAAAAATTAGCCGGGTGTGGTGGTGCAAGCCTGGGCAACAGAGCGAGACTCTGTCTCAAAAAACATAATTAAAAAAAAATTAACCTGACTGTAGACCCAGGCTGTTCATTGCAACGCTAAGTTTTGATTCTCTGTGGCTTGTCTGTCTCACACCAGAACCACAGCTTCTGGCCTCATTCTCTCCTGTGTCCCTGCTGAGACTGGGGACACAAGAGAGAATGAGTGTCCTGCAAACATCGTGGATAAAAGCCCTTCTTCTCACCCACCTCACTGATATTTGTGTTCCAACACTCAACTTGGAAGTCATCTCCCTGGGAAATCTCTGACCCCACCGGCTGGGCCAGGCCAGGTCCCCCAGTTGGGTTCCCAAGGGCCCAGTGTGCCTCCACGTCTAGCATACTTCACCCCGAATTACAGCTGCCTTTGTCCTCATTGTCCCCCGCATCAATACAGAGGCTCCTCATGGGCAGGGACTGGATCCACAGGGCCTGGCACACAAAAGACTCAAGTAAATGTTGAATGAACCAAATAATGGGTCTCTAGGAAATAAGTTAACAGAGATAGATGTTGAGAGTCAGTTTTATTGCCATCTCTGGGAGGGGCTCAAATCCGCCCAATCTCCTTCAGCTTGGCCACCAGGTCCTCAGTGGTCTCCACCTTGACGCCGGCCGTGCGCTGGGGCGGGTCCTCCACACTGATCACAGAGAGCTTGGAGGTCAGGTCCACACCCAGGTCCCCAGGCTTGATCACCTCGATCTTCTTCTTCTTGGCTTTCTGCACATGGGAAGCCATTGTTCACAGGGCTGTGGAACTCCTGCCACCCTTCCTGCCACCTCCTTCCCATGGGTGCCAGGCCTGCAGACCAGTCCCATGGGCTGAACCCTCTGGACCCACCCACTGGCCAGGACACGCGAAACTTCTCACAGGGCCACACCTGGTGTGGACAACTCCTGCTGGCTAGGAGGCCCTGGGAGGCCCAACTACTGCAGCAGTCCTCCTTTAGGTAACCAAATCAGGAAGCCCTTCACTGGCTGCAACAGAGTGGCAAACCCATCCTTTTGGTAGTAATGACTCAGTGGACTTTTGGTTGAGATGGCATGCTGAAGGCTCCCAATAGGCTGAGATGATGCACTGAACCCTCCCTATAGACTGAGATGATGCGCTGAACCCTCCCTATAGGCTGAGATGATGCGCTGAACCCTCCCTATAGGCTGAGATGATGCGCTGAACCCTCCCTATAGGCTGAGATGATGCGCTGAACCCTCCCTATAGGCTGAGATGATGCGCTGAACCCTCCCTATAGGCTGAGATGATGCGCTGAACCCTCCCTATAGACTGAGATGATGCGCAGAACCCTCCCTATAGGCTGAGATGATGCGCTGAACCCTCCCTATAGGCTGAGATGATGCGCTGAACCCTCCCTATAGGCTGAGATGATGCGCTGAACCCTGCCTATAGACTGAGATGATGCGCTGAACCCTCCCTATAGGCTGAGATGATGCGCAGAACCCTCCCTATAGGTTGAGATGATGCGCTGAACCCTCCCTATAGACTGAGATGATGTGCTGAACCCTCCCTATAGACTGAGATGATGCGCAGAACCCTCCCTATAGGTTGAGATGATGCGCTGAACCCTCCCTATAGGCTGAGATGATGCGCTGAACCCTCCCTATAGGCTGAGATGATGTAGTGAACACTCTGTAATGGCTGAAATGACTCATTGAACCCTCCCCATTAGTTGAGATGATCCAGTGAACCCTCCCTGTTGGCTGAGATGAATATTCTCTATTGGCGGAGATGACCCACTAAACTGTTAATATTGGCCAAGATGACCCAGCGAACCCATCTACTGGCCATGATGATTAGTGAACTCTACCTGTTAGCCAAGAGACCCCATGCACCCTTCCTAGTTAACTAAGATGATCTACATGGTAACTTCACATTGGCAAAAATTACCAAGGGGACCCTCCCTAATGAACCTAGATGACCCAGTGAACTTGTTCCACTGGCTGGAATGACAAAGGGAACACCTTCTGCTGCCCAGCGAAGGCTTTCTACTGGCCTAGATACCAGCAAGCCCTCCCTGCTAGCCAAAGCAGCCCCCATGAACTCTCAGTATTGGCAGAGATGACCCAGCAAACTCTCTCTATCAGCCAAACTCCAGGTGACGGCTTCCTGTGCACGAGACCTCCTTTGGATCCTTCCCTCCCCACGTGCGACCACCGGGGGGCACTGGGCTGGCAATGTGCTTGCCACCCCCAGGCCCTCAGTGCCCGCTGGCCAGGGGCTCACCATGATGTTGGGCAGCGTGGCGTAGCGGGGCTCGTTGAGCCTCAGGTCAGCTGTCACCACAGCTGGCAGCTTCAGGCGCAGGGTCTCCAGGCCCCCATCGATCTCCCGCTCCACTTTCAACTTGTCCCCCTCCAGCGTCACCTGGGAGGCGAATGTGCCCTGGGGAGGGACAGTGTAGGAGGAGAGTGGGTGAGGCTAATTCAGGTCCGACCCGAGCAGTCTGCTTATGCCACTACTGAGTACACGCATGGACTAGTGAATGAATGAGGGAGCGAACAATGCAGGGTCCCATGAGGTTTAGAATCGAGCTTGTACACCTGGGAGAGGGTCTTTTTCCTTTCCCTGAGAGCCACGGTGTATGTCCTGATGTCCCATGTCCTGATGCTGCCAGTGAGGCCTCCCTGCCTTCCTGACAGGGAACATGTACTGAGTGCTGAGCCCTGTGCTAAGCAACTGATGTATCAAGTCATCGAATCCTCGCAGGAACTTTATGAGGTAAATGTTATTATCCCCACTTTACAGATGAGAGAAACTGAGGCAGCAAGATGCTGAGTTACACGCCCACTGCCACCCACAGCTGGTAAATCCAAAAGCTGACAATCTGGCTCCCAACGGCCCCCCGTGAGGCCCCTCCGCTGGGCAGACAACAGAACTGTGTGTGTCCACACCAGTCCTTAAACCACCTTCTGGGACCCCGTCCTCTAGCCAGGTCCCTTTGCCTCTCAGTCCTGAATCAACATTTCCTCCCCTGGTAACTGATGCCACCTACACTCCTCTTTGTCTAACGACCTTTGTCCCTGTCCACTTATTAACTGGACACATTTTTCAGGTCTTAGTGTGAACATCACCTCCCTTCATTCACAACCTCCTCCTAGTGCCCTTATGAACCTGCCCCTGGAGACACACTGTGAACACGACCAGTGAAGCACCAGCTTGGGTGGGCTCATATTCTGCCAGGGAAGACAACCAGTCACCAGGGAAAAACACACACACACAAATGAGATCATTTCCAATCAGAAGGAATAAGAAGAAAATAAGACACATGATATGAGAGCAAGAAGGGCGCACGTTGGAGAAGCTAGTCAGACAGTGGTAAATGCTTTGAAGATAAAACAGGATAATGGTTTTGAATGTGTTGTCCCATCCAGTAGCCACTGGCTGCGTGTGGCTGTCCAGCCAGTGCAGCTGAGGAATGAATTTTTACATTTTATTTAAATTTAAATACTGATAATTTGGCCAGGCGCAGTGGTTCATGCCTGTAATCCCAGCACTTTGAGGGGCCAAGGCGGGTGGATCACTTGAGGTCAGGAGTTCAAGACCAGCCTGGCCAACATGGCGAAACCCTGTCTCTACTAAAAATACAAAAATTATCCAGGTATGGTGATGCACGCTTGTAATCCGATCTACTCGGGAGGCTGAGGCAGGAGAATCGCTTAAATTCGGGAGGCGGAGGCTGCAGTGAGCCAAGATCGCGCCACTGCACTCCAGTCTGGGGACAGAACAAGACTCCACCTCAAAAAAATAAAAATAAATAAATACTGAGAATTCAAGACACATTATCATGATTGTGGTGATGATTTCATGGATGTAACACATATCAAAACTTAAATTTTGGAGGGCTGAGGTGAGCAGCTTGCTTGAGCCCAGGAGTTAAAGACCAGCTTGGGCAACATAGTGAGACCCCCATCTCTATCTAAATAAAAGAGTTTAAGAAAAGCAAACTTAACAAATTGTGCAACTTAGATATGTGCGGTTTATTGTAGGTAAATAACTCAACGAAGCTGTTTAAAAAAAAAACAAAAACAAACAAACAAACAAACAAAAAAACACAGATACCCAATGCAGTTACTGGAAATGCAGTTACTAGAAAACTTTTAAGTTTGTTTTGAACAACTTGGGTGTGTAAATCTATTTCAACTGTCATCTTTAGGAATGTGTTTCTCATAGAAATTTAGCACCTGAATTGAGATGTGCTGTAAATATAAAATACATGCTGAATTTTGAAGATTTAGTACAAAGAAAATCCAAAAAACGTAAAATACAGATGGTCCCTGACTTATGATGGTTTGAATTAAGATTTTTCAGTTTTCCGATGATGTGACAGTGATAAACATTCAGTAGAAACCATACTGCCAGTGTCCGTACAACCATTCCGTTTTTTTAGTTCCAGTACAGTATTTGATAAATTACATGGGATATTTAGCACTTTATTATAAAATGTGCTTTATGTTAGATTATTTTACCCCACTGTAGGCTAACGTTAAGTGTTGTGACATGTTTAAGGTAGGCTGGGCTCAGCTATGATATTTGGTAGATTAAGAATATTAAATGCATTCTCTCAGTTATAATATTTTCAATTTATGATGGATTTATCAGGACGTAACCCCATTGCTTGTAGAGCATATGTATCTTAATATTTTTATGTTGATTACATGTTAAAATAATATTTTAGATATAATGGGGTGAAATAAAATATAATTTTGTCTGTTTCTTTTTACTTTTTTATGTAGCTGTGAAAAATTTTAAATTTGTCTATGTGCCTTGCTTCTTTTTTTTTTTTTCTTTTGAGACAGGGTTTCCCTCTTTCACCTAGGCTGGAGTACAGTGGTATGATCACAGCTCACTGCAGTCTTGACCTCCTGAACTCAAGGGATCCTCCCACCTCAGCCTCCTGAGGCTGGTACTACAGGCATGTGCCATCACACCCAGCTAACTTTTCTTTTTTGGTAGAGATGGGGTCTAACTATGTTGCCAAGGCTGGTCTCGAACTCCTGGGCTCAAGTAATCCTCCCACCGTGGCCTCCCAAAGTGCTAGGACTACAGGTGTGAGCCACTGTGCCAAGCCTGCATTTCTTTTTTCTTTTTTTGAGACGGAGCCTCCCTCTGTTGCCAGGCTGGAGTGCAGTGGCGTGCGATCTTGCCTCACTGTAACCTCCGCCTCCCAAGTTCAAGCAATTCTCCCTCAGCCCCCTGAGTAGCTGAGACTACAGGCGCACGCCACCACACCCAGCTAATTTTTAAATTTTTAGTGGAGACGAGGTTTCAACATGTTGACCAGGCTGGTCTCAAACTCCTCCTGACCTCAAGTAATCCACCTGCCTCGGCCTCCCAAAGTGCTGGGATTACAGGCATGACTCACCATGCCTGGCCCCAGCCTGCATTTCTATTGGACTGGCAGAGATGGGGACTGGGGAACCTAGAGTTGAGCGGGTGGGCATGAGTATTTCACGTAGGATGGCAAGGAAGGCCCCTTTGAAGAGGTGATACCTCAGCAGAGACCTCAAGGAGGGGAACAAGAAAGCCATGAGGCAATCCGAGGGAACAGTGTTCCAGGAGGAGAGAACAGCAAATGCAAAGGCCTTGAGGCAGAAATGAAGTTTGAGGGATGAGGGCCTGGCCCTCAGCAGGTGCTCCCCACTCCAGTCTCACCTGTGGCCAGTCAAGAAATCCAGCTGTCATCTGCCCTGTCTGGTTACAGTCATCATCGATGGCCTGAATGGGGAGAGACAGAAGACTGTATGACAATCAGTGGAGCTCATGGACCATTCAGGCCTCTGTCTAGAACAGGGGTTGGCAAACTTTTTCTTTCTTTTTTTTCTTTTTGAGACGGAGTCTTGCTCTGTCACCCAGGCTGGAGTGCAATGGTACAATCTTGGCTCACTGCAACCTCCGCCTCTTGGGTTCAAGCAATTCTCCTGCCTCAGCCTCCTGAGTAGCTGGGATTACAGGCACCCAACACCACGCCCAGCTAATTTTTGTATTTTCAGTAGAGACAGGGTTTCAACATGTTGGCCAGGCTGGTCTTGAACTGCTGACCTCAGATGATCCCCCAAAGCTCTGGGATTACAGGCATGAGTCACCGCAGCCAGTCGGGTTGGCAAACCTTTTCTATGGTGGAACAGATGTAGTAAATATCTCAGGCTCTGCAGGTCATACGGTCTCTGTCACGGTGACTCAGCGCTGCTGTTGTAGCACACAGGCAGCCATAAATAATATGTAAATGAATGTATGTGGTGATGTTCCAATAAAGCTTTATTTACAAATCAGAGGTCGCTCTGGGCCATAGTTCACTGACTTTTGGTCTAGAACGATCCCCTCACTTGGGCCCAGAGATAAGCAGCCACTTGTCCAGGGACATGTGGGGCCACCTGGCATCCCTGTCGTCAAGTCTCTGCCCTCTGTATAAAGCCTCTCAGGAGTCCCACCCTATGTGGCCCCTGGGCAGCTGCATGAACAGGGTCTGGGCCAGCAAGGACATTCTAGCCCCAGCCCAGTGATTGGTTCAGGGAGGGGCACATGACTCAAGCTGCACCAAAGAAGAGTCAGCCCTGGGAGTTTGCTGGGGCCCTTGGGAAAGATGCTCCTTTCTTTCTGCTGGGGTCACTGGGCTGGTGGGATCTGAGCCTGGAGATGCAGACAGTGAAGACAAGGTAGAGGGGAGCCTACAGCTCATATGTGACCCTGGATCAAGCTGTGCCTGAAGCCCCTGATTTACGTGAGATAATAAATTCGCTTTCTGGCTTAAGCCAGTTTGAGTTGTGAATCTGCTTCCTAGAACAAACAGCATCCTGACCAGTTCATCCGGCATTTCCCCAGCTGGAGGCCCTGGCCCCAGGAACTGTCCCTGGCCCAGGACAGGTAGGACATCGGAGTCTGAGAACGACCAGCAAATGCAGGGGGCTGCAAAGGCCATGCTTCCAGCACCTCGGCCTCTGCAGCCCCACCCAGGCCCTGCCTTTTTGGCCTGTTCTCCGGGTAGGCCCTTCGGCCACAGTTGACTGATCTGTACTCTGATGCCCCTGCTGTTGATAATCTCTCTCTGTTTTCTTCTGACTTTCTCAGGGCTGGGCAGGACACCCAGTGACCTACCTGGACCCATCAGCCTCCTCTTTGTCCCAGAACTGACCTGGCCCTGGGATCCCCATCTCTCTCCGGGGGCCCCAGCTCTACCTGAGCCTGCTGTGCTCTGCTGTCTCCGTGCTCTGCTTGACATACCTTGCAGTCTTTGGCCTTCCTTCTCAGCCTCATCCCTAATTCCCTGCCTCTTCTCACTCCCATCTGCCTGTGGCTCTTCTGACGTCCCTCTTCTGCCCCTTCCCTGGTTGAGGCCATGAGGTTTGCCCTCAAATGAGATGAGCTACCCCTGAGCAGAGGTGGTGCCCGAGGGTCTCCTGGGGGAACAGATGAGCTCCATGTACCCCTATCTCAGTGGGGAGCACCAGTGTGGCAGGGAAGGTTCTGGTCGGGTCCTCACCCAGCCCTAACCTCCTTCCCTAACTCCTGGCCTCCAATTTCCCATTCCAGTCCATTCTCAAAGCCCAGGGGGGCTCTTTCTGCACCTAGTGCTGATCCCACCCCTCTTCTGCTCATAGAACTCCCATAGCTCCCCAGTGCCCTCCAAAATTCTCAAGTCTTTGTTTCAAGCCCAGGCCTGTCTCCTGAACCTGCATCGATGTCTCCTGGGCTCTTCACACTCCCCTTGTAGGATCCTCCTCTAACCTCCTGTTCTTCCTGGGTTTCCTACCTGTGTTACCAAGGCAGACCCAGGCACTGTCCTTGCCTCCTCCCTGCCCTCCCTCCCCATGCTAAGCCCAGTCTCTCCTGCCACATCATGTCTCTGCTCTGTCCTGTCACCTTTGGCTGAGGCCTCATTCTCCCCCATGTGACCATCACCTCGGCCTCCCAGCCTCTAAACTCACCCAAAAGGATCTTTCTTCTTTTTTTCTTTTTGAGACAGAGTCTCGCTCTGCTCCCAGGCAGGAGTGCAGTGGTGCCTGGAGTGCAGTGGTGCGATCTTGTATCACTGCAACCTCCGCCTCCCAGGTTCCAGTGATTCTCATGCCTCAGCCTCCCAAGTAGCTGGGATTACAGGCAGGTGATACCACACCCGGCTAATTTTTATATTTTTAGAAGAGATGGGGTTTCACCATGTTGGCCACGCTAATCTCAAACTCTCGACCTCAAGTGATCCACTGGCCTCGGCCTCCCAAAGTGCTGAGATTACAGGCGTAAACCACCGTGCCTGGCCCAAGAGGATCTTTCTAACACCCAGAGGGACTCTGTCCTCCCTGCTCAAACTCTCTGTCAGAAGGGTCAGCAAAGTCCCAAGCTGCTCAGCCTGGAGTGGTGAATGCCCTGGGCCTGGCCAGCTGCTGTCTCACCCCGTATCTCCACCACCCTCCTCCCGAGCAGGGATGAGCAAGGGGGCACAGGGAGGGCTGACCACAGCTACCTGTTTGCCCAGCAGCACCAGGTCCACCTTCTCCTTCTCTGCCAGCTTGGCCAGGACCCGAGCCACCTGCAGGGGACCCAAGCGTTCTGCTTCTGCTGGGGGCACCTCCACGTGGATACCTCGGTCTGCACCCATGGCCAGGGCGGTACGAATCGTCTCCTGCCAAGGACAGAGGGGCTTGACTTGGCTGCTATCCTCAGGGGGACCTAGGAGTCTGGCTCGCAGCCCCTCCTTCCTCAGACCCAGGAGTCCAGGGCCCCATCCCCTCCTTCCTCAGACCCAGGAGTCCAGGCCCCCATCCCCTCCTTCCTCAGACCCAGGAGTCCGGGCCCCCATCCCCTCCTTCCTCAGACCCAGGAGTCCGGGCCCCCATCCCCTCCTTCCTCAGACCCAGGAGTCCGGGCCCCCATCCCCTCCTTCCTCAGACCCAGGAGTCCGGGCCCCCATCCCCTCCTTCCTCAGACCCAGGAGTCCGGGCCCCCATCCCCTCCTTCCTCAGACCCAGGAGTCCGGGCCCCCATCCCCTCCTTCTTCAGACCCAGGAGTCCAGGCCCCCATCCCCTCCTTCCTCAGACCCAGGAATCCAGGCTATCAGCCCATCCTCCCTCAGACCCAGGGGTCCAGACTTCCAGCCTCCTCCTCCCTCAGACCCAGGAGTCCAGGTCCCAGCCCCTCCTTCCTCAGACCCAGGAGTCCAGGGCCCCATCCCCTCCTTCCTCAGACCCAGGAATCCAGGCCCCCATCCCCTTCTTCCTCAGACCCAGGAGTCCAGGGCCCCATCCCCTCCTTCCTCAGACCCAAGAGTCCAGGCCCCCAGCCCCTCCTTCCTCAGACCCAGGAGTCCAGGCCCCCATCCCCTTCTTCCTCAGACCCAGGAATCCAGGCTATCAGCCCATCCTCCCTCAGACCCAGGGGTCCAGACTTCCAGCCTCCTCCTCCCTCAGACCCAGGAGTCCAGGTCCCAGCCCCTCCTCCGTCAGACCCAGGAGTCCAGCCCCCTCCCCAAGACCTTCATCACCTGGCACTGTGCAGGCCCACAGCTGACGGCGATGACCTCCTTCACCAGCTTCTTCTCCTTGAGCCGCACAGCCTCCTCCACCGCGATCTCACAGAAGGGGTTCATGGAGTGCTTCACACCATCCGTGACCACACCGGTCCTGTCAGGCTTCACTCGGATCTGCCCAGCAGGAGGGGAAGGGGTGGGGTCAGGAGGAAACAGGCAAGAAGGTGGGGGCCTCAGCGCCAACCCTCTCCCAGGCTGGATGAGGACAACGACAGCCTGGAAAGGGGCAGGGCCTTGTCCGGGGTCACACAGCTCCAGGGACAGAACTGGGTTAGAGTTTGTAGGCAGGGGCAGGTCACCCTGTCTCCTTCTCTCATCCAGCCATTCCTGGGTACCAGGGACATCTGACTTGATCATCCCTACTGTTGTCACTGCTCCTCTCAGGCCTGAAAGAGTGTTTCTCAAATTTACAGTATTTATGGTAACCCACAGTGAGAGGTACATTTTACTGTATCTCCAAGTGTATATAAATACATAATACACTGATACATAAATACAAATGAGGAGAAGAAAAGGAAAAACCAGTTAGGTAGACAGTTAAGGGTGGTCCTCAGAGGAGCAGCCTGCCTGAAAAATCACAGCTACAGGCAACAATAGAGCAGCCTGGGGAAAACTCAAGCTGCCCAGCACAGAAGCCTTTTGTTCTTTGCGTGACTGACAGGCTCCCAGGAAAAGTTCCCTCCCCTTTTCAGGCACGTACATGGTGGTCTCTGTGGGAACTTGCACGGGGAGGGGCGGAGCTTACCTAAAACAAACCCACGGTTACAGAAACAAGAGAAGCGGAGCTTTGTGCTTGCCTAAAGACGTACCCACAACTACATAGATAACGGAGAGTTATGCAGATAGCTTTACAGATAAGATACTCAAACAGCTACAGAGATGAAAGGAGTTTCTTATAAAAGCTTTTGGTGTCTTTTGCTGTGCAGAAGCTCTTTAGTTTAACCATCAGAGTGAACAGGCAACCTACAGAATGGGAGAAAATTTTTGCAGCCTACTCATCTGACAAATGGCTAATATCCAGAATCTACAATGAACTCAAACAAATGTACAAGAAAAAAACAAACAACCCCATCAAAAAGTGGGCGAAGGATATGAATAGACACTTCTCAAAAGAAGACATTTATGCAGCCAAAAAACACATGAAAAATGCTCATCATCACTGGCCATCAGAGAAATGCAAATCAAAATCACAATGAGATACCGTCTCACACCAGTTAGAACGGCGATCATTAAAAAGTCAGGAAAGAACAGGTGCTGGAGAGGATGTGGAGAAAAAGGAACACTTTTACACTGTTGGTGGGACTGTAAACTAGTTCAACCATTGTGGAAGTCGGTGTGGTGATTCCTCAGGGATCTAGAACTAGAAATACCATTTGACCCAGCCATCCTATTACTGGGTATATACCCAAAGGATTATAAATCATGCTGCTATAAAGACACATGCACACATATGTTTATTGCGGCACTATTCACAATAGTAAAGACTTGGAACCAACCCAAATGTCCAACAATGATAGACTGGATTAAGAAAATGTGGCACATATACACCATGGAATACTATGCAGCCATAAACAATGATGAGTTCATGTCCTTTGTAGGGACATGGATGAAGCTGGAAACCATCATTCTCAGCAAACTATCGCAAGGACAGAAAACCAAACAACGCATGTTCTCACTCATAGGTGGGAATTGAACAATGAGAACACATGGACACAGGAAGGGGAACATCACACACCGGGGACTGTCGTGGGGTGGGGGGAGGGGGGAGGGATAGCATTAGGAGATATACCTAATGCTAAAGGACGAGTTACTGGGTGCAGCACACCAACATGGCACATATAAACACATGTAACAAACCTGTACGTTGTGCACATGTATCCTAAAACTTAAAGTATAATAATAAAAAATAAATAAATAAATAATTTTTTAAAAAAAAAGCTTTTGGAATCAACTGTAAAAATGGCAACCCGCTTGGGCTTCCCTCTCCTCTGTGGAGAGCTTTCTTCTTTTGCTTATTAAACTTTCGCTCCAACCTCACCTTTTGGGTGGTCTATGCTCTTTAATTCTCTTGGTTGTGAAACGAGCTCGGATAACACCTTAGACAACGTGACCAGTGACCCTGACCTATTTCACAAATGCCACTGCAGTGTAAGGGTCAGTGACCAATACTGACCCTGCCTACACACACACCATACTCTGACATTTTCTACCCTTTTTCGGAAAAATGCCAGCCCTCTGCCTGGATGTCATGATCACACATGGTCACAACCTAATTTGGAAAACACCAGCATGAAAGACCTCTTTGCTAAACAGACAAGGGAGGTAAGGGAGGTGGGTGGCAAACCCCACCCATTTGCTTCTGCACATCATTTTTGTCTCTCCTGGGCCCCACTGTGTGCCTGGCTCTGAGCTGGATCCTGGGGACACCATCATGTGCCAGGGAGAGAGGCTTCCGGTGTAGACCAGGGTGTAGCGTGAACCACTAACCACTCTCCTATTAGTTTCTCTCGGCTGCCGTAACAAATCACCATATATTTGGTGGCTTAGAATCTTACAGCTCTGGAGGCCAGAAGTCCAAAGTCAGTGTCACCAGGGTGAGACCAAGGGGTCTGCAGGCCCCGGGAGGAACACGTTTCTTGCCTCCTCCAGCTTCTGCTGACACTCCCTGGCTTGTGGCTGCATCGCTTTATCTTCAATGCCAGCATCCTCAGCTCTGTCTTCACGTGGCCTTCTCCTCTCTCTGCGTGTCTAGTCTCCCTCTGTCTCTCTCTTATAAGGACTCTTGAGATGGCATTCAGGGCCCACCTAAATAATCCAGGATAATGCCCCCATCTCAAGATGCTTAATTTAATCACATCTGCAAAGACCCTGTTTCTAATTTCTTTTTTTTTTTTTTTTAGATGGGCTCTCGCTCTGTCGCCCAGGCTGGAGTACAGTGGTGAAATCTCGGCTCACTGCAACCTCTGCCTCCCGGGTTCAAGCAATTTGCCTGCCTCAGCCTCCCAAGTAGCTGGGATTACAGGCATGCATCACCACGCCTGGCTAATTTTTGTATTTTTAGTAGAGACAGGGTTTCACCATGTTGGCCAGGCTGGTCTTGAACTCCTGACCTCAGGTGATCTGCTCTCCTCGGCCTCCCAAAGTGCTGGGATTACAGGCATAAGCCAACATGGCCAGCCTGCAAAGACCCTGTTTCTAAGTGATTTCCCCTTCTCAGGTGCCAGGGATTGAAACCTGGCTGTTTTGGAGGGCTATTTTATTTCTTGGCCCACCACAATCCTTTTTTTCTTTCTTTCTTTTTTTTTTTTTTTTTGAGATGGAGTCTTGCTCTGTTGTCCAGGATGGAGAGCAGTGGCATGATCTCAGCTCATTGCAACCTCTGCCTCCCCAGTTCAAGCGATTCTCCTGCCTCAGCCTCCTGAGTAGCTGTGATTACAGGTGCCCACCACCACGCCCAGCTAATTTTTTGTATTTTTAATAGAGACAGGGTTTCACTATGTTGGCCAGGCTGGTCTCGAACTCCCGATCTCTGGTGATCCACCCACCTCGGCCTCTCAAAGGCAGGGGATTACAGGCGTGAGCCACCGCTCCTGGCCCAACCTGAGTTTTTATAAGGTCATTCTGGATTCTTGGTGGAGAAAATTGGAAAAGGATGAGAGGAAGTGGGGAGAGAGCTGGGTGGCTGTTTGTCACCAAAGTGAGAGGTGACAGTGGCTCAGACAGCTGTGACAGCAGAGACAGATGCAAGAGGTTTCTGGAGGTGCAACTGACAGGCCATGGTTCGTGATGGGAAGATGACACCAAAAAGGGGCTTCCAGTCAGTACATCAGCCAGAGCCGGGAAGACGGCGAGTTTGGTTTGGGGCACAAATTTTTAAAAAGCCTCCAGGGACATCCACAGAAGCCTTGCTAGGGAGCTGCCCCATTTGGCCTGGAGCCTGCCCTCTTCCTCTTCTCCCATGTGGCCGCCACCCAGGGCTTGGCCAGAGCAGATCTCGGGTGGCAGCTGAGCCTGGTGAGGACACTGGGATGCTCTTGCTATTTCCCTGCCCCTTTTTCTCTGGGGCTGTGGGTGTAACTGTTCCTCCCACAGGCAGGACAGAATCCGAGATGAGAAGGTGGGACCCATAAGGGGCTTCCCACTCTGGCTGTGCCTCATGGAGAGGGTAACATTAAAAGATGGAGGACTGAGACCGGGCGCAGTGGCTCCTGTCTGTAATCCCAGAAATTTGGGAGGCCAAGGTGGGAGGATCACTTGTGCCCAGGAGTTGGATACTAGCCTGGGCAACAGGTTCTACAAACAACAACAACAAAAACAAAAACAGCTGGGCGTGGTGGCTCATGCCTGTAATCCCAGCACTTTGGGAGGCCAAGGTGGGCGGATCACCTGAGGTCAAGAGTTCAAGACCAGCCTGGCCAACATGGCAAAACCCCATCTCTACTAAAAATAAAAATAAAATAAAAAATTAGCCGGGCATGGTAGTGCACGCCTGTAATTGCAGCTACTCAGAGGCTGGGGCAGGGAGAATTGCTTGAACCCAGGAGGTGGAGGTTGTAATGAGCCAAGATTGCGCCACGGCACTCCAGCCTGGGCGACAGAGCAAGACTCCGCCTCAAAACAAACAAACAAACAACAACAAAAAAAAAAAAAAAAAAACAGCCAGGTATGGTGGCACACACCTGTAGTCCCAGCTACTCAGGAGGCTGAGGCGGGAGGATCACCTGAGCCCAGGAGGTCAAGGGTGCAGTGAGCCGTGATCATGCCACTACATGTAACCTGGGTGACAGAGCAAGACCTCATCTCAAAAAAGAAAAAGAAAAAGAAAAAGGAGAAAGAGGAGAAGGAGCTGGAAGAGGAGAGGAAAGAGAAAGAACTGTTATTTTCATCTCTCTCGTTGCCCAGGCTGGAGTGCAGAGGTGCCACCTTGCCTTACTGCAACCTCCACCTCCCGGGCTCAGGTGATCCTCCCACTTCAGCCTCCCCAGTAGCTGGGACCACAGGCGGGCACCATCATGCCGGGCTAATTTTTTTTTTTTTACTTTTTGTAGAGAAAGGATTTCCCCGTGTTTCCCAGGCTGGTCTGGAACTCCTGGCCTAAAGTGATCCGCCTGCTTCAGCCTACCAAAGTGATGGGATTACAGGTGTGAGTCGCAGTGCCTGGCCTTTTTTCTTAAAAAAAAAAACACAACATAGGAGTTGCCCCTTTAAGACAGAAAAGAACCTCATCCACCCATCAGTAAGAGGCCCCAAGCTTCTTGCTGTGAGTCAGGGAGGCTTCTGAAGGGCCTCAAGCCACATCTTGCTCTTGCTCTGGCAGAACTCCCAGCCCTAAGCTCCTGATTCCCAGGCTCCTGACTCCTGAGGAGAAAGGGTAAGAACTTTCCAGACACACACACACACACGCACGCACACACACCTGAGGAAACAAACTAGCTCATCTTCTCAATTAAGCTTGAGTTGATTTTAAGCTTCAAAAACAGTTTAGTTATATTACATAAGTCAGGAAACAATGGTAGGGCTGAAAAATGATAGCTTGTTTGTTTTTTAAATAATGATGGCTCATGCCTGTAATCCCAGCACCTTAGGAGACTGAGGAAGGAGGATCACTGGAGCCCAGGATTTCAAGACCAGCCTGGGCAACATAGAGAGACTTCATCTCTACCAAAAAACAAAATTAGCAGGTCATGGTGGCGTGCACCTGTAGTCCCAGCTACTGAGGAGGCTGAGGTGGGAGGACGGCTTGAACCCAGGAGGGTCGAGGCTGCAGCGAGCTGTGACTGTACCACTCTAGCCTGGGTGACAGAGCTAGACCTTGTCTCAAAAAGAAAAAAAAAAAGTTTTATAATTGAGGTAAATCATTCAGCATTAAGTGCTGGCTTTCTCTTAAAGAGACGACATATCCACCAATATCAAAAACAGCCTCAAAGCTGGGCGTGGCGGCTCACACCTGTAATCCCAGCACTTTGTGGGGCTGAGGTGGGTGGATCACTTGTGGTCAGGAGTTCGAGACCAGCCTGGCCAACATGGTAAAACCCCATCTCTACTAAAAATACAAAAATTAGTCGAGCGTTTTAGCACATGCCTGTAATTCCAGCTAGTTGGGAGGCTGAGGGAGGAGAATCACTTGAACCCGGGAGGTGGAGGTTGCAGTGAGCAGGGATCACATCAATGCACTCCAGCCTGGGTGACAGACCAGATTCTATCTCAAAAAAAAAAAAAGAAAAGAAAAAAAAAATTTTTTTAAAAGCAGCACTGACCCATGCAGACAACGAGTCAAGGGTTTTATATGCATTAACTCGTTTGACCATCCTAGTAGCCTGTGAGGTTGGTTACTGCCATTACCTCTCATTTTACAGATGAGGCAACTGAGGCACAGAGAGGCCAAGTACCTTGGCCAGGGCCACTGAGCATGGAAGTGGCAGGACCACGGGTCTAACCCCAAATCTGTCTTGGGAACTGTGAGACTCTGAAAGAGGCTACGTGTGCCCACGGTGTTAGGAGAGCCAGTCTTCCTATTTGTTGTCCACTGCAGGCAAGAGGGATTTTCTTCTCTTCTCTTTTCTTTCTCTCTTTCTCTCTCTCTCTCTCTCTCTCTTTCTCTTTCTTTTTGATACAGAGTCTTGTTCTGTTGCCCAGGCTGGGGTGCAGTAGTATGATCTTGGCTCACTGCAAACTCCACCTTCTGGGTTCAAGCGATTCTCCTGCCTCAGCCTCCCCAGTAGCTGGGACTACAGGCGCCTGCCACCACGCCTGGCTAATTTTTTGTATTTTTAGTAGAGACAAGGTCTCACCGTGTTAGCCAGGATGGTCTCAATCTCCTAACCTTGTGATCCACCCGCCTCAGCCTCCCAAAGTGCTGAGATTACACGTGTGGGCCACCGCGCCCGGCCCACGCCTGGCTAATTTTTTTATTTTTAGTAGAGATGGGGTTTCGTCATGTTGGCCAGGCTGGTCTCGAACTCCTGACCTCAGGTGATCCGCCCACCTCGGCCTCCCAAAATGCTGGAATTACAGGTGTGAGCCACCACGCCCGGCCCAAGAGGGATTTTATAAAGTGATTTTCGACAGCTCTTCCTGAACCCCTGACACAGCTCAAGGACTTGTGTGGTTCTGTCCTCTAGGCTTTTCTGTCAAGCGAGTCCCTGGGCACGTGCTAGGGCACTCAGCAAGCAGGACAGCCAAGGCCAGGGAGCCACCCCAGTGACAGATCACTAACTCGGCGGGGGGCAGACAGAGAACTCGTCCCTGAGGTGACATGTGAGCCCCACGTGTGCCCTGTCAGACAAGGTGGCCTTGCTGAGAGCAGGAGGGGCAAGTGCGTGGAGCCCAAAGAGGAAAACCTGAAGAAACACCAGGCGCTCCCAGACGAGAGGGTGTGGCTGGTCGGGGTTGGGCCCCGAGATGGAAACACGTTTTCTGGGCCTGGAGTTTCTATCCTGTGGGGTCATCTCTAAGAAAATGAATCCCAGATAATGAATACAAAATTGCCCAGCCTCTCCTGGGTTTTTTTTTTTTTTTTTTTTTTTGTGAGACGGAGTCTCCCTCTGTCACCCAGGCTGGAGTGCAGTGGCACGATCTCGGTTCACTGCAACCTCCGCCTCCCTGGTTCAAGCGATTCTTCTGCCTCAGCCCCCCGAGTAGCTGGGACTACGGGCACGCGCCGCCATGCCCAGCTAATTTTTGTATTTTTAGTAGAGACAGAGTTTCACTCTGTTGGCTAGGATGGTCTTGAACTCCTGACCTCGTGATCCACCCACCTCAGCCTCCCAAAGTGTGTGTTTACAGGCGTGAGCCACCAGGCCCAGCCTTTCTCCTGGGGTCTTGAAAGAGGCCCTGAAGGTTAAGCTTCATCAGCTTCCTGTAAAATGTGCCCCTGAACAGGACAGGGTGTTACTGAGTTGCCAAATACCTATTAAAATGTTAGATACACGCACATACCCAGAAACATACACACAGCCGGACACACATACACACACACACACACACACACACACACACACACACACACACGAATACACTCTGAGCACAGCATTTGTTATGTTTTGAATAAATGACTAACTAAACATCCATTACTACTACTCCCAATAAAAACACTTATTGCAGCTGGTCACAGTGGCTCACACCTGTAATCCCAGCACGTTGGGAGGCTGAGGCGGGTGGATTACCTGAGGTCAGGAGGTCTAGACCAGCCTGGCTAACATAGCAAAACCTCGTTTCTACTAAAAATACAAAAATTAGCCAGGCGTGGTGGCTCACACGTGTAATCCCAGCTACTCAGGAGGCTGAGGCAGAGTTGCTTGAACCTGGGAAGTGGAGGTTCCAGTGAGCTGAGATCATGCCACTGCACTCCAGCCTGGGCAACAGAGATAGACTCCGTCTCAAAAAATAAAACAAAACAAACCACTGTGTGCCAGGCACTGTTCCAAGGGCTTATTTAATTTTCATTACAACTCAATAAAGTAGATAGTACCATCATCCCCATTGTACAGAGTAGAAAAATGAGGCTTAGAGTGGTGAAGCAATTTCCTCAAGGTCACACAGCAGGAAGTGGACGCAGGCGCTGGGCTTGGAGTCTGAGGTCTGCACTATTCTAGTAGTGAACCCACTGTCTCAGGAAGCAGTGACCACATCAAACTGTCTCCCCCACACCTGGAGCTCAAATTCCAGAAGGGGCGACAGACACCAGAGCAATCAATAAGTAAACAACACTGTGGATTACAAAGTGTCCACACCAGCTTCCCTCTGGGGACAAGCTGGGCTCTCAGAGGGTGCCCCTGCTCCCACCTCCTTCATGGAGAATGTGAGTCACTCCCTCCACTCAGTTAGGTTGGCTCCTTGAACTTTCATCTCTAGCAAACATACTTTCCTCTCCCTTTCTAGTTGCTAAGTATAGGGGAAAACACAGCAAAACACAGGGACCTGGGGCCTGTGATTTTAAGGAGGCAAGCAGGGAAGTCCTCCCAGAGAAGGTGATGTTTGAAAAGGAGGTGAAAGAGGTCAGGGAGTGAGCACGTGATTCTGGGAACAGAGGTGGATCAGACATGGCCCCTCTCTGCAGGGAGCTACCAGCCTGGGGATGATGGAGTAGGGCAGTGGGGAACATGGGGTAAACAGAGGATCCCAATCCAGTCTGGCGAGGGCTGATGGAAGCAAATCTAGGGACTGCAGAAGCCCCCAGGGATATACCAAGGCAACCTGAGGGTGTAGGGTCAGGGGCTTCCTGGAGGAGGCGATGCCAGGGAGAATCACTAAATTATTATTATTATTATTTTGAGACTGAGTCTAGCTCTGTCACCCAGGCTGGAGTACAGGGACACAATCCTGGCTCACTGCAACCTCTGCCTCCCAGGTTCAAGCGATTCTCCTGCCTCAGCCTCCCGAGTAGCTGGGACTACAGATACGTGCCACCATGCCTGGCTAATTTTTTTATTTTTAGGAGAGATGGGGTTTCACCATGTTGGCCTGGCTGGTCTCAAACTCCTGACCTCAACTGATCCACTCGCCTCAGCCTCACAAAGTGCAGGGATTAGAGGTGTGAGCCACCGCGCCTGGCCGAGAATCACTAGATTTTGATATAATCCATGAGTTGGAGTTGGGCAGGACAAAGGACAGAAAGCAGAGGTAGGAGGGTGGTGCTGGAAGAAGGCATGGAACGGGCAAGCCGCGGCCTGGTCTGTCAGGACAGGAGGAGCAGGTCACAGTGGCAGAAGCACAAAGGGTAAGGGAGGGTCCAAGGAGGGAAGTGGACGGCTGAAGCAGACCATGAAGAGGAGGCTGGACCACAAAGCATCCCAAATGCCAGGCAGAGGGGCTGCGACTCTGTCCTGAGGGTGCTGGGGAGCCACAGGCAGGCTGGGAGCAGGGGAGAGCAGGGTGAGCTCTGGGTGCAGAAAGGCCCCTAAGGCTGGGTAGAGGTGGGCTGAGAGGGAGAGACTGGGAGTGAGGGAGGACCCGGGTGAGGGTCCAGGTGAGACAATGACACCAAGAGACAATAGGGCAAGAAGGGTGGGGGGTGGAGAACTGACAGCTTTGGGAGAAGGGAAAGAGGGTGGGACAGTACCCAGGTCTAATCTGGTGTTTAGGAAGCTGGCAGGGTCTGAATCATTTATTTGTTCTGAAAAGGACATCAACAGACACATCCAGTGAGACAGGATGTAATGCAGGGAGCCCTGGGGCACTGCGGGAGGGGAAGGCAGCACCCTCTGGAAAGGACAGTAGCTGATTCAACGCGGCCTTCACGCTTCCCCTCTGTTCTCTCCCTGAGCACACCAGAGACATCCATGTGCCAGGCTCTGTGCTGAGTGATGCTGGGACCAGAGCTGAGTCAAACGTGGGCCTGCACCATGGGGGAGACGGATCCAATCCCAGACATGCCAGGCGTGGAAGGCCAGGGCTGGGATGGAGAGAAGAGGCCCAGGGAGCTGTAGGACTCCAAAGATGTGACAGTAACGAACAGTCAGAGCAGGGAGGAAACCAAGTGTTGGGTCCCAGGACCCCAAGAGGAATGTGTCTCAAAAGGGCTACAGGTGACATCCCTGTCATGTGCTGCCAGAGGCATCATTAGGACAGGGGGCATTGAGGGAGATGGGAGAGCAGAGTCTAGAGCCAGACTTGCCCGGGGTTTCGATCGTAACTCTGCCACTTACTGGCTGGGAGATCTGACAGGCCTCAGTTTCCTCATCTATCCAATGGAATTAATAATACAAAGGGTCGGCCAGGCACGGTGGCTCACACCTGTAATCCCAGCACTTTGGGGGGCCGAGGCAGGCGGGTGGATCACCTGAGGTCTGGAGTTTGAGACCAGCCTGACCAACATGGTGAAACCCCATCTCTACTAAAAATACAAAAAATTAGCCAGGTGTGGTGGCACATGCCTGTAATCCCAGCTACCTGGGAGGCTGAGGTAGGAGAATTGCTTGAACTCGGGAGGCTGAGGTTGCAGTGAGCCAAGACTGCGCCATTGCACTCCAGCCTGGGCAAAAAGAGCAAAACTCCGTCTCAAAAAATAAAAATAAATAATAAATAATACAAAGGGTACTGAAAGGACTGAATGGGTTAATCTCTGCAAAGGACTTGGAACGATGCCTGCCACGTAAGTACCCGCTAAATGCTGGCTGCTATCATCACTGACACTTTCATGCTCAAGTCTGGCTCCTGTACCCTCTTCCCCAGCCCACTCCCTAAGCAGGCAGGGGCAGTATCAGTGTCAACTTTGTGACCCTGGTTTTGCCCACCCTGAGGCCTCCAGGGTGCCAGGCCCTGCGCTAGGTAATGCTGGGGACACGGAGGTAAGTCCCCAGGCTGATGGGAAGGACAGACATGGACAGACAGTCACCATCTTCAGTCCAGTTCAGGCCAAGCATTGAGAGAAACGGGCCTGAGAGACCGTGTCTGATTCACCTCTGTCCACACCAGCTTCCCTCTGGGGACAACAAGCCAGGCGCTGAGAGCACCCTCCCCCACCTCTTTCATGGAGAATGTGAGCTACCCCCAGCTCAGTCAGGTTGGCTCCTTGAACTTTCATCTCTAGCAAACACACTTCTCTCTCCCTAGCTAGAGCCTCCTGGCTCACCCTGTGGCTATGGAGGGTGGAAAGCAGCTTCTGGGGCCCCACAGGACCCTGTCTGACTCCCTCTATAGCACATTTCGGGTAATATAAGAGTACAATGGTAAGTAATGCAGCCTAGTGGGTGAAAGCAGTCAGAGGAACCTGGATAGAACTCTCGGCTCTGCCCTTCTCTAGCTGGGTGACCTCTCTGTGCCTCAGTTTCTCCGTGCATTAAACAGGGACCGTGACTTCTTCCAGTGGGTAAGAAATAGAGAAAGCAACTCACTCTGAACAGTTATCAAGAGAGTGAATCCAGAACGAGGGAAAAGAGAACATGGCCGTGACCCCGGAGGGATCGGATGTTAGAACTTCACTCTTGGATTTTTGCCCTCAGGTGACTTTGACGTTTGGGGGTTAAAGCGGCAGAGGTCGGGGGTTACGAGAAGACCCCCACCCAGTGTGCGCTCGTGGCCCCGGAAGCACACGGCTGCGGGACTCAGGGATGTGGGAGAGGGGGGCCCGATCACCTTCACGGCGTAGTCGATGACCCTCTTGACAGCTACGAGCACGCGCAGCTCCGCCATCTTCCCGCCGCAGCCACTTACAGGGTCAGCCCGCACCCTCAGCGGCTCAGTCCAGAAGCCCCACCACCCCCGCCCCCCGCGCCCCTCTCTGCGCCTGCGCGCAGCACGGTCAGCCAGTCAACCGCTGCAGAGCCCGCCTCCCCGACAGAGGACCAATCGAGAGGCCGGAAGGAAGGGAGGTGTGGCAAGCAATGCAAACCAATGGGAAGCGGATCTCGGGGAGCGAGCGGGACCTGGAGAGAGAAGGAAAGGCCTGGCGGAGAGGGCAGGGCAGAGAACTAGGGGAAAGGTCGTGCACTGGAGGGAAGCGCGCCCGGAGTTTATAGATCCTCCCGGTCCTATAAACACTTCCCGGTATCCCCGGATCTGCTCTCCCTCTCCAGATCCCCCACTTCTTCCCGGCCTCTCCAAGTCGCGGTACTCGTATTCCCACGCCTCTGAATCCTCGCGCGTCGGTCTCTCCACTCTCTCCATCCCCGTGTTCCCTGTCCCTTCCATATCCGTATCCTCCCCTGTCCGTGTCTCTACTTCACCTCCATGTCGTCCCCACAGCCTCTCCACACCCTCTCCAAAGGCCCACGTCCCCTCCTGGCCCCGCCCCTCCCACATGTCCCTGTTCCCATCCCAATCCATGGAGACTTGTGTCTCCATGTCTGTGTCTCCCTGTCTCCACGTTCCCTATGAGTTCATGTCCTTATGTCTTCCCTGAGCCTCTATGCAACCCCGTGCCTGCGTCCCCACGACCCGCAGAAAAGCACGCGGAGCCGCAGCGCTAAAAAAAGCCGTTCCTTTATTCTGCCCCAGGCAGGCTGCAGTCACAGACACACGGGGAATCCACTGATGGCGTCGGTGCTCTGCATGATCATGTCTGCCAGCAGAAAGCAGAAGCCTGGGGGGACGGGGGTGCGGAGCAGGGAGAGGAAGGTGGGCCCTGGGGCGGATGGCCGGGAGGGCCCCGGGGACTGGGGTTTGGGGCTCCAAGGGGGTCTCTGCCGGGTCTGCGGGAGTCGTTAGTGTGTTGGGGAGTCCCCGAGAGGTCCCCGGGGTTTCCTGGGAGGGCAGCTGGGGAGCCTCTGGGGTGAGGGTCTTCTGGGCAGTCTCCTCCACCCTCTTCCCGCTGTCCAGTTTACCCGCGAGAATTGAGAAGGGTAAGGCCAGCCACCCAGAAAAATAGGACCAAGAGAAGAAGACGTTGTTCTTCCACGCATTCTTCACGGTGTAGCCTATCAAGGCGGTCAGCAGCAGCAGTCCTGGGCCCCGCCCAGCCGCAAGATGAGCTAGCTGGGCCTGGTGGGGGCTGCACCCAGGCCACGCCCCTTCAGACCCGCCCCCTTCTATCAGACCACGCCTATCGCCTCTCAGCCCGCCCCTGGCCCAGGCCCCTTCCTGCTCCTCCCGCTCTGAACTCTGTCTCGAGCCCCGCCCACCTCTCTCGGCTTCTTCCAGCCCTGCCCCTCGGATCCTGGCCGAGTACCTCAAGCCCCTCCCCTGGCGACCAGGCCCCTCCATCACCCAGGGCCCGCCCCTGCCTGCCCGCCTGGGGCGGTCTGCAGTCTCACCGCCGAGGAAGAGGAAGGCGCTCGTGGTCTGGCCCCGCAGCGACTCGCCCTCGTCGCACCGAATCCGCAGTCCCATCACCATGCCCACCACGCCGACACCCACCGCCAGCACCATGCACGCCACAGTCACCGCCAGCGTGGCTGGGGAGAGCGGGCGCATCAGCCCCCGCGGGCGCCGCCCCAGTCACTACGGGTTCGGCCGCAACCGGAAGCTCTCCCGTCTCCTGCCCCCAACCCGGTGTGTGGCCAGGAGCCGAGCTCCACCGACCGGGAGTCAGGCGTTTGGATTGAGACTTGGAGGTCACATCAGGACCTGCGGTTACTGCCGCTACCAGGACGGGGAGGGGGTCGGGGACAAGCCCACAAGTCGAGGGGCGGGGTTCGTGGCGGCCTCGGCCGACAAGGGACAGCTGCAACTGAGCCCGGGGTGGAAGGGGTGGGCGTCTCGCCATGGGCCCAGCTGTGTGTCCCGAGCCCTGGGGGTCTGAAATGCCCTCTGACATCTGGGCGGGCGGAGCCTCACTCTGGCAGGGGATGCTGGAGCAGATGCCGTGGTTGCATTCCTGCCACAGGCCACTGTGGCCCTCTTGTTGGCGGGTCCAGTAGTTGGTGGCCGTGGAGAGCACCATGAGGACGTTGGCCACGAGGCTGAGCAGAATGCCCCCACTCTGGAGGCTCCGCTTCACCCCCATGCCACTGAGGCTGCAGCCGGGGGCCACAAGGGCAGGATGGGCCCAGGCCTTTCCTACCCCGAGGCCCCCAGCTGAGGAGCCCGCTTCCTCCACACTCCTCCCCTGGTACTCCTGCCTGAGGTCCCTGCTTCTGGGGACCTGGAGACCCCCCTCCCTCAACAACCCTGCCTGAGGATCCACAACCTCCTCCCTCCAGACCTCGTTCCCCTTACTGGAGACCTTGAGACTTCCCCTGAGAGGCCTCTGAGACCTTCACCACAGGCTTTGCTGTGAGGAACCTGTCTTCCCAGAGACCTCCCCCGACAGCCGAACGCCCTTTCAGCCCAGCCTGTTCAATGTCCTCCCCAGACACCCCTCCACACAGGCCCACCTAAGTGACTCACACCCAGTGCCCTAGGGCTCCTTAGACACAGAGCCCAGAGAGACGGGGGGAGGGAGGCTGGGTCTCTGTGAGGCCAGGGGTTCCAGAACCCCCTCCCCCAGTGGCTGTTTAAAGGGATAATCACTCCCCCCACCACCATCGCATACACCCCCGCAGCTCTCAACTGAGTGACTGCTTAGATTCAGATCTCAGCTTTGGGGGCCGTTACATGATAGGCCGAGTCCTTCTTTTATCATTATTATCATTATTATTTTTTGAGATGGAGTCTTGCTCTGTCACCCAGGCTGGAGCGCAGTGGCACGATCTCGGCTCACTGCAACCTCCACCTCCTGGGTTCAAGCAATTCTTCTGCCTCAGCCTCACAAGTAGCTGGGACTGCAGGCGCACACCACCACATCTGGCTAATTTTTGTATTTTTAGTAGAGACGGGGTTTCACCATATTGGCCAGGCTGGTCTTGGACTCCTGACCTTGTGATCTGCCTGCCTCAGCCTCCCAAAGTGCTGGGATTACAGGCGTGAGCCATCTCTCTCTCCCAGGCTGGAGTGCAGTGGCACCATCACAGCTCACTGCAGCCTTGAACTCCTGGGCTCAAGGAAACCTCCTGCCTCGGCCTCCTGAGTAGCTGGGACTACAGGCATGTGCCACCACACCTGGCTAATTTTCTTAAGATTTTTTGTAGAGATGGGGTCTTGCTATGTTGCCCAATCTGATCTCAAACTCTTGGGCTCAAGCGATCCTCCTACCTTGGCCTCCCAAAATGCTGACATTATGGATGTGAGCCACCACTCCCAGCCCTTTCTTAGAAACTTCTCTTTCCCTTGGCCGGGTGCGCAGTGGCTCACGCCTGTAATCCCAGCACTTTAGGAGGCCGAGGCGGGCAGATCACCTGAAGTCAGGGGTTTGAGACAAGCCTGACCAACATGGCAAAACCCCGTCTCTACTAAAAATACAAAAATTAGCCAGGCTAGCCGGGGGTGATGGCAGGTGCCTATAATCCCAGCTACTGGGGATGCGAGGCAGGAGAATCACTTGAACCCGGGAGGTGGAGGTTGCAGTTAGCTGAGATCGCGCCATTGCATTCTAGCCTGGGCGACAGAGCAAGACTCCATCTCAAAAAAAAAAAAAAAAAGACAAAATTAGCCAGGTATGGTGGCGCACGCCTGTAATCCCAGCTACTCAAGAGGCTGAGGGAGGAGAATTGCTTGAACCCGGGAGGCAGAGGTTGCAGTGAGCCAAGATCACACCACTGCACTCCAGCCTGGGTGATAGAACAAGACTCCGTCTCAAAAAAAAAAAACAACCTTCTCTTCCCTTGACATTCTAGGCACCGCAGAAGCTCTCCAGGTCCCCAGCTGTCTGACTGCAGACTTCTGCTCCTCTGCCTTCTCCCCTTCACTTGTAAATCTGGGTATCCCTTGAAGCTCCACCCTGCACTCTCTTGCCAGGCAAGCCTCCTCACGGCCAAAGTTTCAGTGCTCCTTAATGCTCCATCCAAAACTCCATCTCCAACCCAAGGTCTCTCCCCTGAGCCTGACTCAAGTTCTCACCTGCTCCTGGCTGCCCCTCAGGGCCTTAATAGTCAACCATATTCCAACTGAGCTTAGTGTCTTCCACCATATTAGGGATGGCCCTGCCATCCCATCCAGTTCATCGAGCCAGACCCTTGGGCACTGTCCTCACCTTCTTCTTGCCCTTCACCCTGAAAAGCCTTGGGTCCCTAAGTCCTGCTCCTCCTGCCCCTGAATCTGTCTGGCTCATTCCCTCCTTTCCTGGTCCCAGGTCAGGCCTCATCATGTCCCACCTATTGCATTGCCAAGTTCCTCCCTCACCTTCTGGCCTCCCCTCCATGTCTACAGGGGGGTCTTTCTGGCACCCAGAGCTGACACTGTCCCTCCCCTGCCCACAATTTTTCTCCCAACTCCCCATCATGTTCAAGAGAAAGTCCAGCATGACATTAGAGGCCACAGCCCCCACCTGCCTCTCCCTCTTCATTTTCCATCCCCCGCCCCCCACATTCTATATCCTGACCCTAAATTACCGATCTTCATCCCCACAAGACTCCTGACTTTTCTGCACGTTCATCTTTGGGCCCCTCTGCCTGGATATTACCTTTCCCTGGCCCTTAAGAAGCTCCTAAATGTTCTCTCTCCAGAAAAGTCGTCTCCATCCCTCCACAATATGGTCAGTCTTTTTCCGGCATTCTCCCTGCACTGGGACTGCTGTCTGGCCTGTATTAACTGCTTCTGGTCTGTAAGTGCCTCCTCCCCACCACCCCACAGACTGAGCCCCTGCTGGGCAGGGCCTGGGTCTGACCCGTGCCAGTGTCCCCAGCATGGGGAAATGTGCAAAGAGAACTGACTGAGTGCAAGGAAGGGCTGAGTTCTGGCAAGGGGGACAAAATCAGAGAGGGAGAGAGAAGGAAAGAGAGCCAGCTAAAGGGAGAAAGACACAGGGAGGAAGAAAAGTGCTGGAGAAGGGGAGACATAGACACGGGTTGGAGCCTGTGTCCACACGGGCCGGGCACTCGTACTGGGCAGGAGCGCCCTGCAGGCTGGTCGGCCTGGTGGGCCCTCACCTTCCCTTGGTGCCCAGCTCCTACCATGGAGCTGGCAGACAGTTGGCTTATGTCTTGGCAGAATTAATCTCAAAATAACCAGATTCCAGCCAAATTTTGTTGAATGAATGAAGAAACAAGAGGAGGGGCTGGGGAAGGGCTGGAAGGGCGGGCAGATGTGGGACCAGACTTTCCCGAGGCTCCAGATGAGGCCTTTGGAATACAACGCTCAAAACTCATCTTGCCGCTCTTGCCTTCTGCTCACAAGGTTTCATAGCCAGGACGGGGACCGCCACAGTGAGCACCCAGGCTCAGGGCACCTGGGGAGCCAGAAAGAGTTTAAGCACTTGCCCCTGCCCTCTGTCCTCAGGGACCCCAACTGGACCCTCCCAAAGCTCCCCAGGGCAGTGGGCAGGATAGTCACCTGTACAGAGCAAGAGGATAGCTGAGACCCAGCCCAGGTAGAAGGACCAGGAGAAGAAGGTCTGGATCTGGGGGTGTGGAGGCTGGTCCCACCGCTCGCTGGTGTACACCGCCATGGCCACCACCATGGAGATGGCTGGGGACAAGGACAAGAGAGATGGCTCAGCTCCTCGGCAGGAATTCGCTGGCTCGCGATGCCCCAGTCCAGTCCAGAGTCCTTACCTGCAGCAAAGGCTGCGGTGGTTGAGACAAGCGGGCCGTGGCCTGGGGGGAACAGTGAGGGGAAGCAGGACAGGACCAGGAAGCTCACGGACACCAGGGCCCACAGAACAGCCATAATGCTGAAGGTCTGCGTCACGTGGATGTAGCCTGATCGGGAGAAGACCACTGAGCACCCATCCCCGCTGGCAACCCCTCTGTAGGACACCCATTCCCCTTACCTGATATGATGTCCCCATGCCCTGTTGGCCAGAGGCCCGAGTGAGCTGAGTGGGTGGGACCCACAGCCTCAAACCAGAAATCGGTGCTCAAAGCAATCAGGCAGAACATCAGGCCCAGGGAGCCCCCCAGCAGGGCCAGGGACCGGCAGAGCTCCATGGGGATAAGCTCAGGGCTTCTGGGTCCTGGAGGAGGAAGAGGCTGCTGATCAGACTCTTGAATCTCAGAGAGAAGGAGGCTGTGCACCCAGACTCCTGGGTCCTTAGAGCCCAAGAAAGAGAGAACAGCAAGCAGTTGGGGCAGTGAGGGGTCCTGCGCTTTGTCACATGAGGCTGGTTTGGTTTCACACAGTTCCCGGTAGCTTTTCACATACCCTCCCTTCCTGGATTGCACAGGCAACGTCCTCCCTCCCCTCCCTGGGGTCCAGTTCCCCGCTTAGTGTGTGATGGGGGAGGGCACTGAGGGTGTCAGATCATCAGTGGTTTGGGCGGTGGTTTAGTACTTGCCTCTGTCACAGATTCTACAACTCCCACCCATGGAACCTTCAACACCAAGTCGGGGCTTCCTGGAAGAGGTGAGAGAGAGAGGCTTGGGGGCCCTGAGGTGGGAGGAAGCCAATCAGGCTAGGGTGTACATTAAGGGGGAGGGCAGATGTGGCTGGAGGGGACAGCTGGGGATGTGTCATGCTTTCCTGTGGGTTATGCAGTCTTCCATTCTGGGAGAGGAAGTCCCCAAGTCTAGGGTCTCTACTGAAGGAGGGGACTTGGGAGTTAGAACTCCTGGGGCTTAAGGAGGAAGGAGCTGGGGGCCTGAACTCCAGGTCCTGAGGGAGGAAGAGGCGGGCAGGAGCTCAGAATCCTGGGCCCCAGTTTGGAGCATATGCCAAGGGCAGGCAAACAGCAGAGAATCACAATTCTGAAAGGTTTGCAGAGAGTCAGACATACCCACATCCTCATCTGATTAATGAGTTCAGTGGCATCCCTGCTTGGGTGGGGGCTCCAGCCTGGTGGCCTTTATCACCAGGATCGGGGGGCCTAGGGGGTGTTGGGGGACATAAGGATTTTGGTTTAGGGTTCTCCAGCCCCCCAAACGCTAGCCTCTTCCATCCACACCATCAGGTCCTGGCAACACCTCATCTACGAGCAGGTATAAGGTGACGGTACCACAGCCCAGGTAGAAGGCCCAGGAAAACTTGACCTCTGTGAAACGGTGATATGGTTAGGGTTTGTGTCCCTACCCAAATCGCACCTTGAATTGTGTCCCCATAATCCTCACGTGTCTAGGTAGAGACCAGGTGGAGGTAATTGAATCATGGGGCCGGCTTCCCCCATGCTGTTCTTGTGATAGTGAGTGAGTTTTCACAAGATATGGTGTTTTTTTAAGGGGCTCTTCCTGCCTTCGCTTGGCCTTCTTCCTGCCACTCTGTGAAGACAGTGGCTTGCTTCCCCTTCACCTTCCACCATGATTGTAAGTTTCCTGAGGCCTCCCCAGCCATGCTGAACTGTGAATCAAATAAACCTCTTTCCTTTATAAATTACCCAGTCTCAGGCATTTGTTGTTGTTGTTGTTGTTGTTTGAGACAGAGTCTCACTCTTGTCACTCAGGCTGGAGGGCAGTGGCAAAATCTCGGCTCACTGCAATCTCCACCTCCCAGGTTCAAGCAGTTCTCCTGCTTCAGCCTCCCAAGTAGCTGGGATTACAGGTGCCCGCCACCACACCCAGCTAATTTTTGTATTTTTAGTAGATTTCAGGTTTAGTAGATTTTCGGGTTTTCACCATGTTGGACAGGCTGGTCTTTAACTCCTGACCTCAGGTGATCTGCCCACCTTGGCCTCCCAAAGTGTTGGGATTACAGGTGTGAGCCACCACGCCCGGCCAGGCAGTTATTTATAGCAGTGTGAGAATAGACTAATACATAGGGAGTAGTCTGGAAGAGGACCTCTGTCTTGGAGATGAACTGGTCCAGCAGTCCCAGGACAGCTGGCAAATGTGGAGAATGGGAAATGACCTGGAAGACTGGTTCCTCTCCTTTATTGGAGAGACTCAGATCGGCAGCCCCCATCCTTCACTCAGATCTGCACCACTCTGAGAACACATTTATGAGCACAGGCTCCCAGAGGTGGCAGAGGCCATGAGCAGGCCAGGTCTCCGGAAAACCTGCCATGGTGTGCAGTGAGTAGCAGGTCAGAGCACACAGCCTATCTATCTGTGACCCTGACCCCCTCCCAAACCCAAAGCCATCCTTAACCCCAAACCCAACTCCATCCCCAAACTCAGTATCAAGCCCAGTTCCAACCACAAATTCAACCCATCCCTATCCCCAAAGTTAACCCTATTCCCATTCCTGAACACAACTCCATACCCAATCCCATCCCTATTCGTAATCTCCACCCTAGCTCCAACCCCCATCCTCAAATAGAACTCCATTCTCAGTCCCAACTACACACTCAACCCCATCCCCCGATTCGCCCCCATCCCCAAACCTAACGTCATTCTAATTCCCAAACTCAACATCATCCTTATTCCCAGTTCCAACCCTTATACCCTTCCCACCCTCAAATCTAACTCCATTCTCATTCTGAAACCCCACCCTATCTCCAAACCAAACCCCTCTCCATTATTAACCCCAGCCCCTACTCCAAACCCAACCCCATCCTCTTCCTGAAACTTGACCCTATTCTCATTCCCATCCCAACCCTTTTTTTTTTTTTGAGATGGAGTCTCACTCTGTCACCCAGGCTGGAGTACAGTGGCATGATCTTGGCTCACTGCAACCTCCGCCTCCTGGGTTTAAGTGATTCCTGTGCCTCAGCCTCCTGAGTAGCTGGGGTTATGGTTGTACGCCACCACACCAGGCTAATTTTTTTTTTTTTTTTGTATTTTTAGTAGAAATGGGGTTTTGCCATGTTGGCCAGGCTGGTCTTGAACTCCTGACCTCAGGTGATCCACCTGCCTCAGCCTCCCACAGTGCTGAGATTACAGGAGTGAGCCACTGCGCCCAGCCACTGTCTTTTCATTCTTCTCTGCAACCTCTATAATTCATACCTAACTCCGACCATTTTCATTCTCCTTTCACCTCCAGGTCCAAGCCTGTAACCTCATTTCTCATCTCCCCAAGTGGGTCCCACTACCACCACCATCACACCCATGCATGCATGCATACACAGAGGTGACCTGTACCTGGCTCCAGTGAGTCTCTGCACATGTAGGTATCACAGGCTGATCACAGGCCCAGGCCCTCTGACAGACACCACAAGCCAGTAAGAGCGGGTGAGTGAAGGTCATCTTTTTTTTTTTTTTTTTTTTTTTTTTTTGAGACGCAGTTTCACTTTTGTTGCTCAGGCTGGAGTGCAATGGCATGATCGGGGCTCACAGCAACCTCTGCCTCCCAGGTTCAAGAGATCCTCCTGCCTCAGCCTCCTAAGTAACTAGGATTACAGGCATGCGCCACCATGCCCGGCTGACTTTCTATTTTTAGTAGAGACGGGGTTTCTCCACGTTGGTCAGGCTGGTCTCGAACTCCTGACCTCAGGTGATCCACCTGCTTCAGCCTCCCAAAGTGCTGGAATTACAGGCGTGAGTGACCGCACCCAGCCAGCCAAGACCATCTCTTAAGAGCACAAAGGCAAGGCAGCTGGGGCCTTGAAGACAGAATTGCTCGCAGGATCTCCAGCAGCTTTCTCAACCAGATGTGGTCTGTGGTTGCCAGAGGAAAACCCCAGGCCTCCTTCTGAAGCTTTTCCTGAGAGCTCTGTGAAAGGAAAATCTTGGGGCCCCAAAATTACTGAGCTAAAGGGGAAAGTCAGGCTGGGAACAGCTCAGGGCAAACCTGCCTCTCATTCTATTCAAAGTCATCCCTCTGCTCACTGAGATCGATGCATATCTGATTGCCTCCTTTGGAAAGGCTTATCAGAAACTCAAAAGAGGCCATGCCTGTAATCCCAGCACTTTAGGAGGCCTAAGCAGGTGGATCACCTGAGGTTATGAGTTCAAAACCAGCCTGGCCAACATGGTGAAACCCCATCTCTACTAAAAATACAAAAATTAGCCGGGCATGGTGGTGCACGCCTGTAGTCTCAGACTCAGGAGACTGAGGTAGGAGAATCACTTGAACCCAGGAGGTGGAGGTTGCAGTAAGCCGAGATTGTGCCACTGCACTCTAGCCTGGGCAACAGAGTTAGACTCCATCTAGGAAAAAAGAAACTCAAAGAATGCAACAATTTGTCTCTCACCTACCTGTAACGTGGAATCCCCCTCCCTGCTTTGAGTTGTCCCCACCTTCCTGGATGCACCAATGTACTTCTTACATCTATTGATTGATATGTCATGTCTCCCTAAAATGTATAGAACCAAGCTGTGCCCCGACCACCTTGGGCACATGTCGTCAGGACATCCTGAGGCTGTGTCACGGGCGCATGTCCTCAACTTTGGCAAAATAAACTTTCTATTGTTCTTTTTTTTGAGATGGAATCTCGCTCTGTTGCCCAGGCTGGAGTGCAGTGGCACGATCTCGGCTCACTGCAAGCTCCGCCTCCCGGGTTCACGCCATTCTCCTGCCTCAGCCTCCTGAGTAGCTGTGACTACATGGCAAAATAAACTTTCTAAATTAACTGAGACCTGTCTCAGATTTTCGGGGTTCACAGCTCACGTCGCCTGCTTGGCCACTTGGTTCTCTTAGGTCTCTGTCAGTCTTGTCTAAGCACTGTCAGTTTTTTTGAATCACCCAGGTCTCTTCCAACTTTCTCCAGCCCCTTCCAACCTCTCCCGGGCTTGAAAGCTCCTCAGTAGCCCCCATCTGCCACGGAAGACCCCAAAAAATTAGCTGGGAGTGGTGGCGTGCACCTGTAATTCCAGCTACTCGGGAGGCTGAGGCAGGAGAATCGCTTGAACCCGGGAGTCAGAAGTTGCAGTGAGCCAAGATCGCACCACCGTACTCCAGCCTGGGTGACAGAGTGAGACTCCATCTCAAAAAAAATAAAATAAAATAAAATTTAAAAAGACTAATCCTCAATTAACCTACGTTCTATTAAAGAAATGAATGCTAATGGTAAACAGTTATTATGGAAGGCATCATCATTTCTATTGAGGTGCACTCTAGTCATAATATTTAATGGCTATTATAATGATAAAAAGATATTAAATCTCAGTATCATTAGAGTACATTTCAATAAATAATACTTTATGTAAGTCAATAAACAGCACTTACTTTATGTAAGTCAGTTGGCCTGAATAAAGATTTATTGTTCAACAAATGTTCTTTTGAGTGATTACCATGTGCCAGGTGCTGTCTTTGAGGATTTACAGGAAACCAAAAGCAGACACAGGCCAGCTGGGGTGGCTCACGCATGTGATCCCAGCACTTCGGGAGGCCAAGGTGGGAGGATCACTTGAGACCAGTAGACAGAGACCAGTCTAGGCAACATAAGGAGACCCCATCTCTACAAAAAATTAAAAAATTACCCAGGCATAGTGGGTGGTGCATGCCTGTAGTCTTAGCTGCTCAGGAGGCTGAGGTGGGAGGCTCAGTTGAGCCTGGGAGGTGGAGGCTGCAGTGAGCTGTGATCACGCCACTGCATTGTAGCCTGGGCAAGAGTGAGACCCTGTCTCAAAAAAAAAAAAAAAAAAAAAAAGCCAACATTGAATCCCAAAGTTGTTGGCTTGAGTAGCTGGATAAAAATGGGGTTGTTTGGCCGGGCGTGGTGGCTCACACCTGTAATCCCAGCACTTTGGGAGGCCGAGGCGGGCGGATCACGAGGTCAGGAGTTTGAGACTAGCCTGGCCAACATGGTGAAACCCCGTCTCCACTAAAAATACAAAAATTAGCTGGGCGTGGTGGCAGACGCCTGTAATCCCAGCTACTTGGGAGGCTGAGGCAGGAGAATCACTTGAACCCAGGAGGGGAGGCGGAGGTTGCAGTGAGCCGAGATTGCACCACTGCACTCCAGCCTGGGCAACAGGGCGAGACTCCATCTCAAAAAAACAAATAAGTAAAATAAAAAATGGGGTTGCCATTTCCTAAGATGGGGAAGACCATGGGAGGAACACATAGGCTGTGTGTGAGATCAGGAACTTATTTTTGGATATGTGAGATTGGAGATGCCTCTTCTTTTCAAGTGGGAATGTTGAGTAAGTAAGTTGAGCAGGTAAGTTGGAGTCCTGAGTCTGGAGTCATAATTATATCATTATTATTGCTAGAGTAAGCCCCTATAAATATGATTACTAGAATAAGTCTCGGCAAATATTTCTATTTAAATAGGCCTCAATAAATTATTAGAGAAATCTTCAATTGTCATTATTATTAGAGAAAACCTCTATAAATACAGTATTTTTATTTGAGGAGGCCCCAGTAAATATTATTTTAGGGAATAAGCCTCTATAAACATAACATTTATTAGCATAGCTGTAGTAAATAGTCTGATTAGAATCAGCCTTATGAAATAGTCTTATGATAGACATCAGTAAATCTCATGGCAGTTAGCAACCATTTATTTTCTTTTTCTTTTTCTTTTTTATTTTGAGACATAGTCTTACTCTCGCTCAGGCTGGAGTGCAGTGGTGCTATCACAGCTCACTGCAACCTCCGTCTCCTCGGACTCCAGCGACCCTCCCACCTCAGCCTCCTGAGTAGCTGGGACAGGCACACACCAACATGCCCAGCTAATTTTTTTTTTTTTTTTTTTTTTTGTAGAGATGGGGTTTTCTCATGTTGCCTGGGGGACTCCTGGGCTTGAGCAATCCACCTGCCTTGGTTTTCCAAAGTGCTGGGATTACCGGTGTGAGACACCACACCCAGCCAGCATCAATTAATAGAATGAATTACTAATGAGTGAATGAAGAGAAGATCACGGTCATGAATGGTGTGTGAAGAGCAGGTGCCGGAGGTAAGGCTCAGGGTTCTGGTGTTTCCTTTGAAGGGACGCATCAGGGGAGGAGAGAGGAGGCTGGGGAGAGCCAACTGGAGGCGGGGTGGGCAGGGAGTTTTTTCAGAGATCTTTTCATTTGTCCGATTATCCTACACATCCATATCCTGGAAGTTGAACTGTGGTGAGCTCCTGGACACGGACTGTTGATTCATCTCTGTTCCCCTCCGTGCAGAAACTGAGAAGGTCAGGCCTCCATAATACAGCACCCCTGGGCCGGGTGCAGTGGCTCACGCCTGTAATCCCAGCACTTTGGGAGGCAGAGGTGGGTGGATCATCTGAAGTCAGGAATTCGAGACCAGCCTGGCCAACATGGTGAAACCCCATCTCTACTAAAAATACAAAAAGTAACCAGGAGTGGTAGTGGGCCCCTGTAATCCCAGCTACTTGGGAAGCTGAGGCAGGAAAATCACTTGAACCCAGGAGGCAGAGGTTGCGGTGAGCTGAGATCGCACCATTGCACCCCAGCCTGGGCAACAAAGGCGAAACTCCGTCTCAAAACAATGAAGACAACAACCACAAGAAAAACACACAAAAAAGCACCCCTGCCCACACCCACCACCCTTACAGCTGTTTCTCCCCATCCTAGTCCCTCAAGTATTAACACTTTAGTAGTTTCACATCAGTTTTATTAGGCCCCAGAAAGTTGCTCTAATGGATAGTCCATTTTTCTAACAACCTGCCAGGCAGACGGGGACTTGAGTCTTCTCAGCTCCCTCCCATGGGCCCTATTCTTCCTCCTTCCAGCCTAGGACCAGGAGTCAGCCTCCCCCCACAAACCCACAGTCCAGAACTGAGCCCCCTCATTCCCCTAGGAACCAGGATTTCAGGCCTCTAGACCCTCCTCCTCCTCTTCAGTGGCCTCACTTTAACTTCCAGATGAAGTTGGGGGACACATTTGGGCTCAGCGGGGTGTAGACAGGCGCCGGCATTCATGCACCCGGTAGGCGCACATGTAGAAAATCCCTGCATGAGAAGAAGTTCAAATTCACCCCCTCAAACCTCCCCCAGCTCCATTTCCACCCCAAGAGAGCCCAACACCCTACTCTCTTTCTCCCTGGGTATCCCCGACCCCAGACTCCATAGGCCTGGAGTCTTCCTCCTGACCCAGTGCTGTGGGACTCATGTGGGACACCCTGTCATCTTCCACTCTATCTGCTGCCCACTCTGCCCCAGGCACTGACCTTCCCACCCCTTGCCCCCAGTACCTGCGAAGAACGTCATGAGCACTGCCACCCAGCCCAGGATGTAGGACCAGGAAAAGCGCCAGTCCCCAAAGCGGCGGCCCAGGAAGCTGACGGTGACTCCAGTGTAGATGGCCAAGGCCAACACGACGAAAAGGGCTGGGGAGAGAGGGCGGGAGGATGCAGGTGGGACTAAGGCTGGGTGTGATTTTGGAGGTGGGCAGAGAGCTGATGATGGGGGTGGGAACTAAGATTGGGGAAAGGGGTGGAAATGGGTTGGGGGTGGGGATAGGAGTGAGGATAGGGGTTGAGTTGAAATTAGGGGTAAAGATGATTGGGGGATAGGTTTGGGATGGGGTTGGACACGCTTGTGTTTTATAATGTAATTGGCCATTGTCTCTGGTTCCTGGGAGGGAGAAACAATATTTGGAACTTCCTGAGTAATAGGAGGGTCTTTGTTATTCTTGAGCCTCTTGGGCCCAACCTGAGTTTATGGTAATGAGATGAGATGACTCAGGGTTGGGTGTGGTTGTCAGAAAAACCAACCAGGTCAGGCACAGTGACTCATGCGTGTCATCCCAACACTTTGGGAGGCTGAGTAGGGTGGATCACTTGAGGTCAGGAGATCAAGATCAGCCTGGTCAACATGGTGAAACCCCGTCTCTACTAAAAATACAATAAAAAAAAATTAGCTGGGTGTGGTGGTGGGTGCCTGTAATCCCAGCTACTCAGGAGGCTGAGGCAGGAGAATCACTTGAACCCGGGAGGGGAGGTGGAGGTTGCAGTGAGCTGAGATCGAGCCACTACACTCCAGCCTGGGTGACAGAGTGAGACTCCATCTCAAAAAAGGAGAACAAAAAAGAAAGAAAGAAAGACCGACCATGATATGTTGAGGCTCTGAACCACTTGATATCAGGGAAGAAAGGAAGTTGGAAACTGCATTCCATCAATGACCAACGATTCAATCAGTCATGCCTATTTTACAAGACTCCAATAAAACCTCTGGACACTGAAGCTCAGTGGCGCTCCCTATTGGTGAAAACATCTGTGTGCTGGGAGGGTGATCCCTGGCTCCACAGGAAGAAGGCTTGGAAGCTCTGCATTTTGGGCTCTCCTAGACTCTGCCCTCTGTGTCTCTTCATTTGCTTGGACCTGAGTTGTGTCCTCTATAAGGAAACTATAACTGTAAGTATAGCACTTTCCTGCATTCTATGAGTTATTCCAGCAATTTTTGTTGTTGTTATTGTTGTTGTTGTTTTTGTTGAGACAGAGTCTCGCTCTGTCGCCCAGGCTGGAGTGCAGTGGCACAATCCCAGCTCACTGCAAGCTCCGCCTCCTGAGTTCATGCCATTCTCCTGCCTCAGCCTCCCAAGTAGCTGGGACCACAGGCGCCCGACACCACGCCTGGCTAATTTTGTTTTGTATTTTTAGTAGAGATGGGGTTTCGCCATGTTGGCCAGGCTAGTCTCAAACTCCTGACCTAGTGATCCACCTGCCTCGGCCTCCCAAAGTGCTGGAATTACGGGCGTGAGCCATCGCACCCGGCCTCCAGCAAATTTTTGAATCTGAGTGGGTCTTGGGAACCTCCTAGTTTGTAGCCAGTGGATCAAAAGCATGGGTGGCCCAGGCACCCTGCTTGCAGCTTGTAGCTGAGGTGGAAGCAGTCTTGCTAGGGACTGTGGTCTTAACCTGTGGAGTCAAACACAAATTTTAGGTGATTCATGCCAGAACTGAACTGTAGTACACCAGCTAGTGTCAGAATAGACTGGAACTAGAAATAGTCATGAGGTTGGTTTTGAGTGTGGGGATGGGATTAGGGTGGGGTGGGGTTGAGTGTGAGGAGGAGTAAGGGGTGAGAATGGTGTTGAGGGGTGGGGACAGATTGGGGTTTGAGATGAGAGCGAGGAGAGGGGTAGGGAGAGGGTGGGCTTACTCACTTGAGGAAAAAAACATGATGCCAGCAGAGAAGGGCCGGGAGATGCGGGAGAAGGTAGGCTGATGAGCGAAGGCCATGATGCCCATGATGATGCCGGAGATGGCGCATAGGGCAGACAGGATCATGAAGGCCCGGGTGGCATTCCAGTATGCTGTGGGAGCACCCCATGGTCATTCCCACACCTCCCCTGCTCTAAGTGAGAGATGCTGCTACCTCTGAGATGAAAATGCCTTGCCCCTTTCCATATCCCTAACCCAGCTCATCCTTCCCTTCTTTGCAAATGCCCTCTTCTTCACCTGGCAAACTCCTACTCATCCTCCAAAGCACAGCTCCCGTGACCCATCCTCTAGGAAGCATCTCCCCACCCCTCAGTCATCATCTTCACCCACGGCTAAGGGTTGTGACTCTCTTTGTCTGTCTCCCCCTCCAGCCTGATTGCTCCTTGAAGACAGGCGGTGGGTTGGTTCTGTGTCATAAACACCCCCACCACACATTTGGTTTGCATTCTGGCCTTGGGAAATGTTTGTTGAATGAATGAATGAATGAATGCTGATTCCTTATATTTTCCTACTAATTACTATTCTCTCTCACATTTCTTTTTTTTTCTTTTCTTTTTTTTTTTTTTTTTTTTTTTTTGAGACCGAGTCTTCCTCTGCCACCCAGGCTGAAGTGCTGTGGCACAATCTCAGCTCACTGCAGCCTCCACCTCTGAGGTTCAAACGATTCTCCTTCCTCAGGGTCCCGAGTAGCTGGGACTACAGGTGCGCACCACCATGCCCGGATAATTTTTGTATTTTTAGTAGAGACGGCATTTTGCCATGTTGGCCAGGCTGGTCTCAAACTCCTGGCCCCAAGTGATCCACCTGCCTTGGCCTCCCAAAGTGCTGAGATTACAGGTGTGAGCCACTGCGCCCAGCCTACTCTTTCATTTATTTTATACTACTTGCTTATATCTGAAAATGTCCTATTTACTTGTTTTTAACTTATTTATAATGTCTGTCTCTCCTCAGTAAATCCTTAGCTCTCAAGGACAAGCACCTTGCTTTCTCATTCACCACTGTGTCCCCAGCACCTACACCTGGTGCATAATAGGTGCCCAATAAATGCGTGAAATGAATTAATGTTGAGCACCGGGGCCATTCTTCTCTTGTGCTTTGCCCAGGGATGGCCCCTCAGGAAAGATAATAATAATCTCTTCATCCTTTAGCAACGGCTAACTATATGCCAGGCTCGCTACCCAGGTGTGATGTTGTTTATTCCTCCAGAGCCCTACTCTATAAGTACCATTTTTATGCTTCTTTTTCAAGTGAAGAAATGGAGGCCCAGAGAGGTAAAGTGACTTGCCCGAAGTCTCATAATTAGAAACAGGGCTGGAGTCAGAATCCAAGCTCCAAGGCCCACGCTCCTAACTGCTTGGCTATTCTGTCTGCTGGAGCACCTGGGAAATGGTGCACCTCAAACCTTGCATCTTGCCATTGAAAAGTAAAAAGTCTAGGATCTTTGTAAAACCCAGTCTTCTGCCTTGTAGAAGCCTCGGTGAGAGAAATTCCTGGCTGTTTCTCCATGGATTTTATGGGTTATGCCTTTCTGTCCCCCGCCTCAAATGTTTATGTTGAAATTGTAACTAGTGCCTTAGAATGGTAACTTATTTGGCAATAGAGTCTTTGCAAATATAATTAGTTAAGACGAGATCATGCTAGAGTAGGGTGGGGCTCTAATCCAAAGACTGGGCTGGGTGTGGTGGCTCCTGCCCAGTGTAATCCCAGCACTTTGGGAAGCCAAGGCAGGTGGATCACCTGAGGTCAGGAGTTTGAGACCAGCCTAGCCAAAATGGAGAAACCCTGTCTCTACTAAAAATACAAAAATTAGCCAGGCTTGGTGGTGGGCACCTGTAATCCCAGCTACTCAGGAGGCTGAGGCAGGAGAATCACTTGAACCCGGGAGGTGGAGGTTGCAGTGAGCCAAGATCATTCCACTGCCCTCCAGCCTGGGTGGCAGAGCGAGACTCCAACTCAAAAACAAAACAAAACATAAAACAAAGACTGCCGTCCTTATAAAAAGAGGAATCTGGACACAGACATGCTTTTAGGAAAAATGCCATGTGTGAGGAAGGTAGAAATTGGGGTGATGCATCTCCAAACCAAGAAACACCAAAGATTCCCAGAAAATCACCAGAAGCCAGGGAGGGAGGGACATGGAACAGATTCTCCCTCACAGCCCTCAGAAGGAACTGATTTTGCCCACATCTTCATCTCGGCCTCCAGAACTGTGAGACAACACGTTTCTGTTGTTCAAGCCACCCAGTCTGTGGGGCTTTTTTATGGCATCCCTAGCACACTAATTCAGGCTGGTCACAGCGGCTCAGGCCTGGAATCCCAGCACTTTGGGAGGCCGAGGCAGGAGGATTGCTTGAGGCCAGGAGGGTTTCTTTTTGATTATTTATTTTATCTTATTATTATTTTTTGAGACAGGGTCTTGCTCTGTCACCCAGGCTGGAGTGCAGTGGCTCTATCTTAGCTCACTGCAGCCTTAAACTTCTGGGCTCAAGTGATCCTCCCACTTCAGCCTTCTGAGCAGCTGGGGCCACGGGAGCACACCACCACGCCCAGCTAATTTTTTATTTTTTGTTGAGATGGGGTCTCCTTACGTTGCACAGGCTGGTCTCAAACACCTAGGCTCAAGTGATCCTCCTACCTCAGCCTCCCGAAGTGCTGGGATTCCAGGCTGAGCCACCACGTCCATCTGAAGCCGGGAGTTTGAAACAAGCCTGGGCAATACAGTGAGATGCTGTCTCTACAAAAATCAAATCAAATGAAATAATGAGGCCAAGTTCGGTGGCTCATGCCTATAATCCCAGCACTTTGGGAGGCCGAGGCGGGTGGATCACCTGAGGTCAGGAGTTCGAGACCAGCCTGGCCAACATGGTCAAATCCTGTCTCTACTAAAATACAAAAATTAGCCAGGCATGGTTTTGGGCGCCTGTAATCCCAGCTACTCGGGAGGCTGAGGCAAGGAGAATTGCTTGAACCCAGGAGGCAGAGGTTACAGTGAGCCGAGATAGTGCCATTGCACTCTGGCAGGGGTGACAGAGCGAGACTCTGTCTGAAACAAAACAAAACAAAACAAAAACAAACAAACGAAAAAACGAAAGACCTTCACCAAGGCTCCCTGTCTCCTGCATCCCTGGCAGAGATAAGACAGAGAGGTGGCTCAGGGCTGTCCCTCGGGGAATTCCCAGCCCGAAGCAGGAGAAATGTAGAAGTGTCACAAATGAGACAGCCAGAAAGGAGAAGGATGTGTGGAGTCAGGCAGAGCGGACTCTGAAGCTGATGGCCCAAGGCAAGTCTTTTCACTTCTCCCTGCCTCAGTCTACCTCTCCAGCAAACAGGCATCGTCCTGCCTCTCTCTCAGGGCTGGCTCCGGGAGAGATGAGTGGGCGAAGTCTCCCATGCCTGTCACGTCCGGCACTCAGTGACGCTTAGCTCTTCTTCTCAGCTACTCAAGAGGATGTTTGAATTTTGAGATCAAATCTCATGTCTCACTCTTACATACAATTGAACTGCCCGTAGTGTTGTTGGGGATGGAAGTGAGTTTATCCATGTAAAGTGCTTAGAATAGCACATAGGGCATAGTAAGCACTCAATCAATGCCAGTTATTATTATTACTGTTACTAGTAGTAATACACAATATATTATATATTATTAATTAATTTTTATTTATTTTTTAGACAGAGTCTTCGTCTGTTGTCCAGGCTGGAGTGCAGTGGTGCCATCTGGGCCCACTGCAGTCTCCGCCTCCCAGGTTCAAGCGATTTTCCTGCCTCAGCCTCCTGAGTAGCTGGGATTACAGGTGCTCACCACCATGCCTGGCTAATTTTTGTATTTTTAGTAGAGACCGGGTTTCACCTTTTTTGCCAGGCTAATCTTGAACTCCTGACCTCAGGTGATCCGCCCACCTCAGCCTCCCGAAGTGCTGGGATTACAGACGTGAGCCACCACGCCTGGCCAAATTTATTAATATGTTATATAATAAGTGTGCAATATAATATACTCTACATTATTAATTTATTATATAATATATTGTATAATATATACATTATTAATTTATTATATAATGTCATGACATATACTATTTATTAGATAATGAATGTGTAATATAATGGATTCTACATCATATATAATATATTACATGTGCATTACTTATATAATATGTAGCATATTATATACAATATATTATGTATTAGTAATTTATTATATAATAGAGGTGCATGTATAATACACTATACTGTATATTATTGTCTATATGTAGTTATATATAATACATCATAAATTATATGTAATAATATAAATTGCATATATTACACATAATATAGTATACATTAACTTAATATATTATAGATGCTATGCAGCAAGCAATATACTATATATCTCTATGTATCTCTCTATCTATGGCCTGGCACATTATAAGTAGGCAAAAATACTTTATGCTACTTTATGCAGTATTTAGCAAATTCAGTATCCACCAGTACCTAACATAGTTCTTGGTCCATAGTACATATTTAGAAAATGCTGTTTCGTGACACTAGCCCCAATTGCTGTGCATGACACCTCTGAAGCGTCAGGAAATGCCACCTCTCCCAACTTAACCTTCAAACCAGCACCCCGTGAAACTGCAGCTAGAAAACAACCCTGTAGTCCCAGTTCTGCCCCCTCCATGCTGAGTGACCTTGGGTTGCTCCCTTTCCCTCTTTGAGCCGCAGAGTTCTCCATCTGGAATACAGGTGTCCTTGGGCCCCGAGGTCCGCCCTGCTCTTTCCCCAGGCGCGGCCTGGACCCTGGCCGGGGGGCTCACCGATGCTGTCTGTCTGCAGGTAGCACTTGTTGCCCAGGCAGTACCGCCACAGGCCCTGGTGGGCGAAGGACCCTGACAGCCGGTACTGCATCCAGTGGTCTGTTGCCATGGCCACCACCAGGAGGATGGTCCCCACCCAGGCACAGAACAGGCCACCACCCATGAAGCTGTACATGGTGATCTGTGGGGAAGGGGAGAGATGGGATTGGGAGCTGAATTCCCGGGACTTGAAGGGAGGAACTGGGGGGAGAGAGGGCTCAGGAGTGGGATGCCAAGTGCTTGGGAGAAGGAGATGGAGACCTAGACGCCTGGGTCCTGGGCGAGGAGGGGACTGGAGCCCGGACTCCTGGGTCTGAGGGAGGAGGATGGTAGGGATCCTGGAAAGACAACAGGGAGAGCGGGGCTGGGTTCTGGGAAGAAAAGGCCGGGGGCCTGGACTTCCAGGTTCTGAGCAAGGAATAGGCTGGAGGCCTAGCTTCCTGAGTCCTAGGTGAGAAGGGGCCCAGGAGCCTGGATTCCTGGGTGGTGGGTAAGGAAGGGGCTAGGGGCTAGGGGGTAGGACACCAGGTCCTGGGAGAAGAAGGAGCTGGGACCCTAGACTCCTGGGACTTGGGGAAGAGGGGGCTACAGGTCTCACGCCTGGTGCCTACCTGAGTGGCAGAGCCTGCCCGAGCCCTCCTTCTGCCACGGCCCCTCTGTGCAGACTGAGCTGAGCCTGGTCACTGGCCTCTTTGCCCCCTTAGGTTCCCCAAATCCCTTAAGCCTCCCTACACAATGGTCCCACTACCCAGCAGCTTCCAGCAGGCAGAAATGCAGCGGTGGCAGAGGCCTCAAATGGAATTCGCTGAAGCAGGCATCCAGGGGGCTCCCCCCACCCACTCACTGACCTCTGTGACCCTCCCCGGAACCCAATACCTTGTCGCCAGCCTTGCTCAAAGCAACCCTGGCTTTGTCCGAGCTGTGTAAGCACGCACACACGCACACACACACACACACACGGGCGCGCGCACACACGCAAGATTCAGGGAGAGTCATGCGTTTATTGTTCAACCAGGGCTTTCTACCTGAAGAGCAGGCAGTGGGGTGGGGAGTCACAGGTGTCTGGGTATGTGGGGCCAATGCGGTTCTTTGTGGGGATGGACACAGGGCTGTGGCTGAGGTTGAGGATGGAGCTCTTTGGGGCTGTAGATTCAGAGGACATTAAAGATGGGCTGAGGTACACAGGCAATGAGGAGAAAGGGGTTGGTAAAGAGGGTGGGTTAGGGTTGAGGCGCAGAAGTGGAGCTGGGACTGGTGACAGGGATGGGAATGAATGGGTTTGGGAACAGGGTATTGAGAGTGGGGAAGAGAGAGGCAGGTAGGAGTGGCTTTGGGATTAGGGAGAGGATAGGGAATGGGGTTGGAGGAGCCCTGGGGGTTGAGAATGAGGTAAGGATTGTGGTTGTGGTTGGGGATGGCATTGGGAATGGGGTTGAGGCCATCAAGGAGACAGGTTTGGGTACGAGGTTTAGGATTTTCTTCTCACTTGGGATTCAGGTGACTTAGGTCAGGTTCACCAAGTGCCTCACAGGAGCTACTCCTGGGATTGTGGTTTTGGGGAGAGGGGAGGATGGAAGATGTTTCTTGGGGTTCTTCTGACAGGGCTGAGATCACTCTGGGCCCCAGGAAAACCCTCCTGGGTGACTGCAATCTCAGGTGCCTGACCCTCCAAGGTCCTAGTACTCTGTCTCCCAGTCCTCAGCAGCCAGTGGTGTTTCCAGGGGTGGCTCTGGACCTCGAGCTTCTTTCTTCCCATCCTGGGCAGGCAGTGTTGGTGGTGATGGCAGTGTCATTGGTGGGGTCCTGGGGCCAGCCCCAGGGCCCCCCGCCCGGCCCCTCTCTGGCTGCTCAGCTCTCCCAAGGCCCCGTCGATGCAGGCCTCGGCCCCAGCCTGGCCTGTGCCTGACTTCCCAGCCTCCGCGTCCCCTGGGAGGCCTCCTAACTGCCCCCGGCTGGGAGTGGCCTGCCTGGGAGCAGCAGGGGCAAGAGGGCAAGGCCTGTTGGAAGGTGTAGGCCCCCAGCAGGGCGCTGTGCAGGAGGCAGGAGAGGGTGTCCAGGCGTATGGGCACGGTGACAGAGGCCACGCTCTCCGGGAGCCCCAGGTGGGTGGGGTCTGTGGAGTTCAGGAGCAAGGGTGGAGGGGCTGGGAGAGGCGCAGGGGGCCATGGCTCGGTCCCAGATGACGGCAGGGACAGGTTGTTCCTAGAACAACAAAAAGACAGGTCAGTGGGGCTCAGCGTCTCCGTACTTTCTTGTTTCTCGCTGCCAGGCTGTCTCTGCACCTCTGCAGAAGGCAGCCATCTCTCCATCCTCAGTGCCCACCTGTGACTTCCTCCCCCGCTTCTCTCTTTTTGTTTCTAACCCGGGTCTCTCTAAAGAAACAGACAGCTCTGCCATGAACTTCGGCACCAGACAGAACTCAGTTCCAATTCCTGGTGGCCTCGCTTTTGGTGGTGTATCTTTGGACAAATCATTTTCCTATTCCGAACCTTAATTTGTTTATAGTCACAGATGGCTTTGGATGGTATCAAAGGTGCGTATGACAGCGCTGGGTCTGGTAAGTGCTAAAACAGTGGACAGCTACGATTTCTCCAGCCTTCTGGGGATCCCTGGAGTCTTCACATTTCTTGGTTTATTCTTGGAAATTTCTGTTCGATGAGTATCTGTTTCTAGCTCTTTTTTTTTTTTGAGATGGGGTTTCACTCTTGTTGCCCAGACTGGAGTGCAATGGCGCTAACTTGGCTCAACGCAACCTCTGCCTCTCGGGTTCAAGCGATTCTCCTGCCTCAGCCTGTCGAGTACCTGGGATTACAGGCACGCACCACCACGCCCGTCTAATTTTGTATTTTTAGGAGAGACAGATTTCTCCATGTTGGTCAGGCTGGTCTCGAACTCCCGACCTCATGTGATCCACCCGCCTCGGCCTCCCAAAGTGCTGGGATTACAGGCATAAGCCACTGCACCCGGCCTCCGCCTGTTTCTAAGTATCTCGCTCAACTCTCACCAAGATCTTCTAAGATTCTGTACCTATGTGATGATACCTGAGCCTTTTTTGTTTTTCCTGATTCTCTATGCAGGTCTGTTCAGCGCGCCCTTTCTCTCTCGTTTTCTCTGTCCCCTCCTCTCTCTGGGTCTCTGTCCCCCTCTCAGGAGGTCTTTGTTTGTCTCACCCTTCAGGCCCAGCCCCGTCCTTTGGTTGTTCCATCTCCACTGGGGCCCTCTTACGTATCTTCTAGCAACTTCGCCTCCGAGATCCTTCGGGGGCCCGGGAAGGTTGGGGAGGGGCCGAGGCCGAGAGAGGCGGGGCTTGGCCGGGTCAGAAATGGGGCGTGGCTCGCGGAGTTATCCGGGATCCCAAAAGAAAGAGCTCAGGCGGGGACCTGGATCTAGTTCCCCAAGATCACTTACTTAAGGCCTCCAGCACCCTGTAGCCCCTCCTCCCTCAGACCCAGGAGTCCAGATCCCCAGCTCCTCCTCGCTCAGACCCAGGAGTCCAGATCCCCAGCTCTTCCTCCCTCAGACCCAGGAGTCCAGATCCCCAGCTCCTCCCTAAGACCCAAGAGTCTAGATCCCCAGCCCCCTCCTCCCTCAGACCCGGAAGTCTAGGGCCCCAGCCCCTCCTCCCTCAGACCCGGGAGTCCAGATCCCCAGCTCTTCCTCCCTCAGACCCGGGAGTTCAGATCCCCAGTTCCTCCTCCCTAAGACCTAGGAGTCCAGATCCCCAGCCCCCTCCTCCCTCAGACCCGGAAGTCTAGGGTCCTAGCCACTCCTCCTTCAGACCCGGGAGTCCAGGCTCCAGCCCCTCCTTCTTCAGACCCCGTACTCTGGTTCCCCAGCCCCCTTCCTCTCTCAGATTCAGTAGTCCCGGGACCCCTGCCCCCTTCTCTCTCTCTCTCTGTCTTTCTCTCTCTTTATTCCTGCCATATCCTCAAGACAGATTCTTTAGGACTCAAGGGACGTTTTAGGTAGGGAAATGTGGACACTCCCTAGGGCAGAGGGCGTGGTAGATGGTCTGGAGGTCTTAGCCATTCTAGGCGCTGGGTTCTACTAGGTGCCGTGTCTCTAACTTGCTTTGTTACTTTAGGTGCTTCTACTCTCTATGCCCTAGTTTCTCCATCTGAGAAATGGGGCTAATATTACTGTCCAGGTTCTTGTGATATTACTTGTGTATTAGTAGACACAGAATCTGGACCACAATTAGGCTGAACACATGAGATTTACTTATTGTTATTGCTGGTGGTTGTGACAGTGTTTTGCTGAGAAGCAATCGTCATTATTACATGCATTCATTTAAGAAATATTCAATGCCTGCTATGATTTGGGCTCCAGGCTGCACACGGGACAGAATAGACATGGCCCCTACTCTCAGGAAACTTGCATGCTTGTAAGGGAGACAGACGAGACATACATAGCATATATTCTGTAAGAATATGTACCTGAAGATGTCAAATCAGGGCAAGAGGATATAGAGTCACCGAGGTAGGGAGATAGAGCAGATAACGTGGTTAGGGGCCTGGCCCGGTGGCTCACGCCTGTAATCCCAGCATTTTGGGAGGCCGAGGTGGACGGATCACTTGAGGTCAAGAGTTTGAGACCAGCCTGGCCAAGATGGTGAAACCCCATCTGTACTAAAAATACAAAAATTAGCTGGGCGTGGTGGCAGGCACCTGTAATCCCAGCTATTCGAGAGGCTGAGGCAGGAGAATCGCTTGAACCTGGGAGGCAGAGGTTGCAGTGAGCTGAGATCGTGCCGCTGCACTCCAGCCTGGGCAACAGAGTGAGACCCTGTCTCAAAAATAAATAAAATAAATAAATAAATAAATAAAAATACAAAAATTAGCCAGGCATGGTGGGGCATGCCTGTAGTCCCAGCTACTTGGGAGGCTGAGGCAGGAGAATCACTTGAGCCCAGGAGGCGGAGGCTGCAGTGAGCTGAGATGGCACCATTGCACTCTAGTCTGGGCTACAGAGTGAAACTTCATCTCAAAAAAAAAAAAAAAAAAAAAGAATAAAAAATTAAGTAGATAAGATGGTTAGAAAAGGCTGTTATGGGAAGGTACTGGAAGACTGGAAGTTGAATATTCCTGGGGAGGGAACAGCTTCTGAAAGTAAAACAAATGTAGTGATTCAGGGACTGGAAAATAATCAGCTAAGAGGAGTGGCATAGGTATTTATATTTTTAAATAAATGCTTTATGTTGCAATACTTTTTGCGTGTGTTTTTTTTGAGACAGGGTCCCCCTCTGTCACCCAGGCTGGAGTGCAGTGGTGTGATCATGGCTCACTGCAGCCTCAACCTCCTGGGCCCAAACCATCCTCCTACCTCAGCCTCCCAAGTAGCTGGGACCACAGGCACACACTACCACACGGGGTGCCTTATTTTGTAGAGACAGGGTCTCAGAATGTTGTCCAGGCTGGTCTCAAACTCCTGGGTTCAAGAGATCCTCCTGTTTTGGCCTCCCAAAGTACCAAGAGATTACAGTCATGAGCCACCATGCTTGGCCTGGAATACTTTTATACTTAGAGAAAAGTTACAAAGATAATACAGAGAGTTCTCATTTACTCCAGACAGGAGTTCCCCTAATGTTGCCATCTTACATTGTCATGTAATGTACATGGTACATTAGTCACAACTAAGAAACTGACAGGACTATTAGGTAAACTGCAGGCTTTATTTGGATTTTACCAGTTTTTACACTAATGTCCTTTGTTTCTGGTCCTGGATCCAATCTGGACTACCACATTGGATTTAGTCATCCTCTCTCGTTAGTCTTCTCTAATCTGCAGCACTCTCTAAGTCTTTCCTTGTTTTTCACAACCTTGAGAGTTGGGGGAGTTCTAAATTATTTTGTAAAATGAAGGTCTTTTTTTTTTTTTTGAGACAGGGTCTCCCTCTGTCACCTAGGCTGGAGTGCAGTGGTGCTATCTCAGTGCACTGCAACCTCCACCTCCCGGGTTCAAGCGATTCTCCTGCCTCAGCCCCCTGAGTAGCTGGGATTACAGGCGCCTGCCACCACGCCCCGCTAATTTTTGTATTTTTAGTAAAGATGGGGCTTTACTATGTTGGCAAGACTGGAGATCTATTTTAATGAATAATATGAACTAATTTAATCCACATTTTAAAAAATTATGTATTTATTTTAATAGAGAAGAGGTCTCTCTATGTTGGCCAGTTGGTGTTAAACTCCTGGCCTCAAGCAATCTTCCCACCTCGGCCTTCCAAAGTGCTAGGATTACAGGGTATTTTAAAATTTTTATTTATTTATTTATTTATTTATTTATTTATTTATTTATTTAAGACAGTCTTGTTCTGTCGCCCAGGCTGGAGTGCAATGGCACGATCTCCGCCCACTGCAACCTCCGCCTCCTGGGTTCGAGCGATTCTCCTGGCTCAGCCTCCCAAGTAGCTGGGATTACAGGCATGTGCCACCATGTCCATGTCCAGCTAATTTTTGTATTTTTAGTAGAGATGGGGTTTCCCCATGTTGGCCAGGCTGGTCTCGAACTCCTGGCCCCACGTAATCCTCCTACCTTGAGTGCTGGGATTACTGGGATAGGCCCCCGTGCCTGGCCCACAACATTGCATTTTAAGGAGGAGAAGTCCCAGGCAACAGGATCGCCCTATGCTGGACGATGTTAGTGGCACTGAGTGGCCGGAATAAGATTTTTGCCAAGAGATCTGGCTTGCTTTTCTTTCCTGGAGACTGATGAGAACCCAGATCTTCAGATTTCAAGTCTGGGTCTATCCATTCGGTTACTTTAAATCCCAGAGGCAGATGGCGCTCACTGCTCAAGTCTAGCGTCATGGGATTGTTCTAGCTTGTTCTTTTATTGCTTCTCCTATTACTAAGATCAGGATCTGACGCCATTTGGAAACCAGGGTCTGACCGCTTACCACGTACCTCGCCCTTTAAGGCTTTTTCTGTCCCGTCCCCCGTGCCCCTGCGGCGCTAGGAGACTGGAGGCGGGACCTTGTGTCGCTAAGGAAATGCCCTTTACTCAGCTTCCAAAATTGACAGGCTAGTTCTGAAAACTGGCCAACCAACTTCTGCTTAAGGGGAAGCGAGACTTCCGATTTGTAGGGGAACGCAGCGGCGATTGGTTAGAGTCCCGCCCACTTGTTAAGCGTCGCGAGCCACTATTCTCGGCTCTGATTGGCCAGAGAACTCGCGCCGCTTTTGAATCCCCACCCTGCGGACCCCGCGCGCCTCGCCTTCTCCCTCTGGTTGGCGAGCGCCTTTCTGCGCCTTCAGGCATTTTTGCTGAGGCTTTTGTCTGCGCATGTGCGGGTAGGTTCCGGTAGCATCCGGGAGACCCGGCCCAGGCCTGGAGATGCTGAGCGGAGCTTGGAGGGAGAGAGGGGACTGGGTTGTTGAGGGGAGAATCCCTCTCGGCATCTCCTTGGCCCACTGGGGAGCCCCATTGCCCCATCCACCGCTTAGAACCAGACCCTTCCTTTCACTCTCCACTCCCTATCCCTACCGGCTTTAGACCTTCAAAGTTCCAAGATTCGACCTTCGGGGTCTCCCCATTTCGTAGGGGCTTACAGATTTCCTAAAATCCCCCTCCTCCCCGAACCCCCTTCCGTCCCTGGAGATTCTGGGGTCCCTGCTCTTTCCCATTCATTCCACCCCATCTACTTGGGACCCTTCCAAGGGCAAGGGGGGCCTCTCAGTGCCTCTCCTACCCTCATGTCCTTTCTCCTCTTTTAGGTCCAGGAGGTCATCTTTGCCTCCCTTCCTTGAAATCTCCCCAGATTTAGAGGCCCTCACCCAGCTTCTCCCCTCTCAGCCCTGTCGAGGTGTCAAGGTTCGGGGATCACCTTTGTTGTTGTTATTGTCGAGGCGTCAAGGTTCGGGTGTCACCTTTGTTGTTGTGTGTTTTTTTTTTTTTGAAACTGAGTCTCGCTCTGTCGCCCAGGCTGGAGTGCAGTGATGCGATCTCGGCTCACTGCAACCTCCGCCTCCCGAGTTCAAGCGAGCCTCCTGCCTCAGCCTCCCGAGTAGCTGGGATTACAGGTGCCTGCCACCAGGACTGGCTAATTATTGTATTTTCAGTAGAGACGGGGTTTCACCACGTTGGCCAGGCTGGTCTCAAACTCCTGACCTCAAGTGATCCACCCGCCTTGGCCTCCCAAATTGCTGGGATTACAGGCGTGAACCACAGCGCCCGGCCTAAGCCCTAGCTGTTCATTGCCACAATGAGAGGAAGTACAGGAAGGTGTTGAGATCATGGGCGTGGAGTCCAACTGACATGCTTGACTGATGTCACATACTGCTCTGCCCCTGAAAAGCTGAGTCACCTTGGGTAATTTGCTTAGCCTCTCTGAGCTTCAGTTTCACTCGGGAGCTGGCCAAGAACACTTGTCTCAGAGTTGCTATGACATTCGAACATGGCAGTGTACGTAAAGGGCTCGGCATGGAGCTTGTTCTCATTAAGCCCCATGGCACGTGGGCATCTATGCTTTTTTTTTTTTTTTTTTTGTAGAAAAAAGTTTATTTGCTGGTTATTGTTTGATCCTTGAAATACAATTCCTCACTGGTGATACTAGTATAAAATGGTGGTTATGAATCCATGCTAGCCCAACGAAAACTAATTTAACAAATTGGTAAAAAAAAAAAAAGAAGTCGTTTTTGAATCTCTATTAAGATTTGAACTAATACATAAGCAAATCTGTGCTAAAACTGGAACTGCTGGGCCAGGCGCGGTGGCTCACGCCTGTAATCCCAGCACTTTGGAAGGCCAAGGTGGGTGGATCACGAGGTCAGGAGTTCGAGACCAGCCTCACCAACATGGTGAAACCCCGTCTCTACTAAAAATCAGCTACTGGGGAGGCTGAGGCAGGATAATCACTTGAACCCAAGAGGCGGAGGTTGCAGTGAGCTGAGATCGCGCCATTGCACTCCAGCCAGGGGGACAGAGCAAGACTCCATCTCAAAACAAAACAAAACAAAAAACTGGAACTGCCTTCTCACACTACATATAATTTGCCTTCCAGCTTCAACCATCTGATGTTGAAATCTAAAGCACTCTCATGAGTTAAATGTCCCTGACAAACCATGTAGATGGACAAACCAGATTGGTGGTCTTTAACTGCTGGTGATAGAAAAAGGCTGCAGTTTAGTACTTAAACCTGCAGTTAGTGGTCAACTTTCCATCTAGGTAGAGTAACTAAGGAGAGCTGTGAAATATCAAAAGAAAACTAGAGGCCAGGACAAAGAGGCAATGTCAGTCAAGCCACTGCAAGCTGGTATGCACCCTTGTATTTCAGCCAAAGGCAGGCAATCCAAAATTACAGATTGCTTTCCTTAACTTGACCAAACAGTGCATTTTACCTCTGAAAGTCTTGTCAAGGGTTGCATTTCATTGTACCTAGTAAAACACAAAGTCCACTCTCATAAAAATATTATATTTTCCAGAAGAAATATTATATGTAATACACTGAAAATCACTGATTGCTTTTGCTTCTTTTTTTCCGTGAATGTGTAGGTGTTTGAGTCTCTTGTGTTTCTTATTTTACATAGGATATGGGCTGTTTGAAAACTATTTCATTAGCTTCATCATCGTCATTCATTTCAGCCATTTCAGATTTTCGTCTCTCCAAAAATGTTGGTGTACAAACTGGTGTGAGGCCCTGGATATCCACAGTCTTCTCAGGAGTGTCAAGAGTGCCTAAAACCTTTTTCTTCTTCTTATGTAAAAGATGGCCTTTTGTAGACGTCTGACAATTAGTTTTTGAAATACTTTCTGTTTTCTGGAAAATCAAAGAAGGAAGAAGGAAAATCATAATCAATTCCTTTTTTTTTTTTTTTTTTTTTGAGATTGAGTCTTGATCTATCGCCTAGGCTGGAGTGCAGTGGCCCAATCTCGGCTTACTGCAACCTCTACCTCCCAGGTTCAAACAGTTATCCTGCCTCAGTCTTCCAAGTAGCTGGGATTACAGGTGCCTGCCACCATGGCTGGCTAATTTATGTATTTTTAGTAGAGATGGGGTTTCACCATGTTGGCCAGGCTGGTCTCGAACTCCTGACTGTTGGGGTGATCAGACCCAACACTAGACTGTGGGGGCTATGAAGTCCGGCGGAGTCAAAGGAATGAGAAAAGACAAGAGTGCATAAGATGGGTCCAGGGGACCAATGCTAGTATGGAGGCTGCGAAGGCCGCAAGCTCTGGAAGCCCGCACTGTTTATTGGTGATCAAACAAAGAAGCAGGTAGTGAGGATGTGGGGGTTGAAAGAAAGTGGTGCATCAAGCGCATGATTTACAGCTGTGACAGTTTAGCATTTTCTTTGACGCATATGGAACATGTTCTGCTACTTGAGATAATGGGAAACATGTTCTTCTAGTTTAAGATACACTTGATCTATGAGCCTGGGAATGCTAGAAGCAAGGAGCCGGCAAGTCTAGACACATTCCAGAGGCCACGAGGGGTTTCATGCTCTGAGCCCTGGATTCCATCCAAGCCATGAGGGGTTTTATGCCCTGGGCTTAGATTACGGTGCCGCAGGGCAGCCTTCCACCCTTTAGCACAGAGCTTGGTGTTCCAAAGACCACAAGGGCTTTTAGACCCTGGACCCCGGCATGTTCCAAGACTCTTTATATTATGTCAGACTAGCAAGCCCTGCCTCAGCTTTTTTCTCACTACTTAGCTTTTCTCCAACATGACCCCCTTTTCTTTTTTGTAAAACCACCACAGCTATCATTGCTTGTTCTCGATGGTGGCTTTCTCTCCAGAGGTGGCTTCCGCATCTGCAGACTAAAAGGAGACAGCACAAGCACATAATTATTAGAACAGGATTTCCAAGTGTAGAGTTTTCAATGGCCTTAATCCGTTTAAGAGGATTGATTGCAGACAACCCATTGGCTGTCTTGTTCAAATTATCAGTTCCAGGGAGCAGGGCTAAGTGAGTCTGAGAGGCTTCAAAATCCTGCTCTTTTAGTTTTACAATTTAGAGGGTGAGATTTTCCTCTCTACCCTCTAGATGGCGTTTAACCTTCTTCCATCAGTGTTCTGTCTCATTGTAACTGAGGAGTAACACAAAAGTCAGATGTATTCCAGTCACATTGCATTTGAATTCTACTTTCTAAATTCATAATACGATCTCCCATCCAAATCTCTGTCTGACGGAGATCATTAATTTGGTTAACTATTTTTTTTTTATCTATTTGAGCTTGGGAGTTCCATAATTTTGTGGAATTCTTTTGCCACTTATTGACAAATTCAGCAGTTTTCACAGATGAATGTACAGCCACACCGGCTATTGCAGCGGTAGTAGTAACAGCAATGAGGCCAATTATAGCAAAGAAAAGAGCAACTATAAATCTTTGGGATAAGAGTTTTTTAAGGATTTAGTTACAATACGAATGGATGATGATGCCTCCCATGGTCTATTTAGAGACACATAGGGATCCAAACTCCTTCTCTGGCTTTAATTATCAGGATAGTCTGATTTTTATTAAAAGTTGGTAACATTTCCTGTTGCTAGCATAAAAGATGGCCGAACACAGCTTTGAATCCAAAAGGTCCTGTTGGAAAGAAAAGAGAGAGCATATTTATTTTTACCTCCCTCCCCTCTATACCTTTTATATGTACCCTCCCAACTTTTGATTGAACTTTCAGCCATAGCTAATTTCCATAATTCAGAATGTTCCTGTCTTATGGCAGGAGATATCATTTTTGGACTAGGGGCAACAATGCCAGCAGGACTCTATATGATAGGGGCATTAGCTTCCGTCCGAACATACTGTGTATGATTCCTTTGCCAGCGATTCCTCTGGTTTACTACATTTGTTCTACAAGAAGGCCTTCCGGTGCAATTTTCCTTAAAGATCCCCTTAGGGGACTAATCAATGGTGATTCCATAGGAATTATTTTGTAGCACCTCAGCCTTACTTGCTATACAATCTTCCCAAGTTCAAGCATCCACACCTTCAAACCAAACTTTGCTTCGCTCACATTCACGCTTATTAGGATGGAACTTCAGGGTTTTAGGATTGGAATAATTATATTTTAAACTACTCCCCCAAATCATATGCAAAGCAGCCTGTGATTTATTTTTTCCGGGGACTACTGCCAACCAAGCTTGTGTGTCAATCTGTAAGCATCCAACAACAGGTCCCAGGCATATGGGGGATATTTATATCCTATAGATATATTCATTTTATCATCCCTTCCTCATTAGGATGCATTGGCCCTTATTCAGAATGGAGTCGTTCTGGTTTGAATGCTTCTTACATATTTCCACTTTCCCTTTTACAAGAGGATCCTTAATCCTAAGGCTTGCAGAAGGATGAAGGTCCGTCTTCTGCAACTTCTTCATGCTGAATAGGGGTGATGATATTCCTGCCTAACTATTAGGGTCTCTTGTATTCAGGTAGAGAGGAGCTCAGTCAGAAAGCATTGGTCCGTTAAGCATCTATTGTACCTCTGAATCCCAGCAAAAGGTACAACCTTGGTGTTCCAGCAGTTTTTCAGCTTCCTGTGTGGTTTTTCTTGATCTGTCCCCATGTTATGGGGGTGGATGTCAGCATGACTCCGGTCGGTCCTCGTTCCGTCTTCGCATTCAGACTCAACTGGCTCATGGCTTGTACTGGGGGAACCAGGTCCACGGTTGGGATCCATGGATCTCTCCAGTCTCCCATTCCATGGTCGTACACATCTTGAGGGCATCCGCACGGTTTGTTCATCTCCTGCAAAAACACAAGCATACCCTCAAAGCCATGTTAGTAAATCTAGCGAAACAGAAGCAAAAACTTTTGTGGCTGTAGCCGGGAGGCATGCCATTGCTGAAGCATTTGTTCTACAAGCTGTAACTCAGCTTCTGCCTCTGTGGTTAATTACCATGGGGTAAAACTTTCCACTGATAATGAGAAACAGGCCCCTTCTAACAGAAGGCACAGAAAAAGCAAATCGAGGCTTATCCTTCTTGTGCAACAGTATAGCAGAAAAGCAATCCTTAAGCCTTCAATTTGCACTGTACAGGTGGGTCCACTAGATGCTGTAACTGATGATACATCTTCGGATGTTTGGTGGGCACCACACAGGCACCTGACTGTCACCTGGAGAGACACAAGCAAATCCTCTTCCCCATATAATTATCTTTCCTTTTTCTCAGCTCTTTGTATGTGCTTCCCTCCACCATATATCTTGTCCAGACTTTTTATTTTCCTTTTCTACATTCCTTTTTTGTGTGTCCAAATTGCCCACAATTAAAGCAAGAGCCTGAGAAACGGGGCACATTCCTTCCTACTTTCAATCCAGCCATAGCCTGAGCTAAAAGAGGAGCCCTATGCAAGGTATCTCCAATGCCATCGCAAGCCCCAGTATATTCAGCCAAATGAGCCTTCCCTCTCATAGGTCTGATGGCAGTTTGACACTCTGCATCAGCATTTTCATATGCAGGAAGCTGTATTACAACATCCTGAGCTGTTTTATCAGTTATGGCTTTATACACAGCCTCTTGGAGCCAAGCAATAAAATCAATATATGGTTCTTTAGGTCCCTGTCGGACGAGCTGAAAGAAGGATATTTTTCCGCTGTAACATTTATCCTTTCCCATGCCCGTAAGCATGCAGGGCACAGCTGAACAATGGCAACATCCTCCATTACTGCTTGATTTTCTAATCTACCCCAGTTGGGGCCAACTCCCATGAACTGTTCAAAGGAAACAGGCACAGGTGGCTGCGCTTGTGTGTTTTCCCTTGCCTGAGTTTGAGCTTCATCAGCCCACCAAGTTTTAAACTGTAAATACTGAGACGGAGTGAGAACAGATTTTGGTAAAGTATCCCAATTATACGGTATTAACCTAGTATCAAGAGCCACATTTTTTAACAAAGTTTGCACAAAAGGAAAGTTCGGTCCATATTGAGTAATGGCTTACTTAAATTCCTTTAATAACTTAAAAGGAAAAGTGGCCCAATTAGTTATATTCTGTCCTCCTTGCTGGATTATAGTAACTGGAAATTGCCATGCTTCAAGGTCTTCCTCAGTTCTAGCTTTTTTTTTTTTTTTTTTTAACAGAGTCTCGCTCTGTTGCTCAGGCTACAGTCCAGTGGTGCGATCTCGGCTCATTGCAACCTCTGCCTCCCGGGTTCAAGCGATTCTCCTGCCTCAGCCTCCCGAATAGCTGGGACTACAGGCGCACACCACCACGCCCGGCTAATTTTTGTGTGTCTTTAGTAGAGATGGGGTTTCACCGTGTTAGCCAGGATGGTCTTGATCTCCTGACCTCGTGATCCGCCCACCTCGGCCTCCCAAAGTGCTGGGATTACAGGCGTGAGCCACTGCGCCCGGCTTGCTCTAGCTTTTTGAATAGAATTTTGCATAGCACCACCAATTGCTCCAGGTTTTAATGTTGCAACTACAGGAGCAGAAAATTTTATAGCTAATTCACTTTCTCGCCCATTAAGGGGAAAGGGAGGAGGTGGCCATTCACTTAATTCAGCAGGTAGAGCCGATGGGCTAGTAAAATATACTTTTTTCGGTTTCCCCTTTTTTAACCTCTTCTCTTTTTTGCTCCTTGCATTCAGAATCTGAAGTTAGTTTTTTACACTCGTCCTCCTCTTCCTCATCTGAATCTCCCTCATCATCTGTTTGAAAGGGCTCAAGGGCTGCCTTTATTAGTGCCCACATTGACCAAACGGAAACTGGAATTTTTGCTCCCTCTTTATACGCCTTTTTAAAATCTCTGCCAGTTCTCTCCCATTCATCCAACTCCATAGTCCCTTGTTCTGGAAACCATGGGCAAAACTGCTTTACTGTACTAAAGAGTGATAACAAATTTTGAGTACTAACTTTCACTGCCCCTTTTTGTAATAAATGCCTTAAGAAATTCAGATAAGCAGAATGTTCGCTTTCACTTTGTCTGATTGTTACCCTGGTTCTTCTGAGCACTCAGCTTTCCCACCGAGCTTCTTTCAGTCATCCTCGGGTGTCCTCTGATGATACTTCCTCCACTTTCATGTCCTCTAGCGTTCCTTCACCGGGATCTTCATTGTCCCATGTTGGGCGCCAGGAATGCTGGGGTGATCAGACCCAGCACCAGGCCATGGGGGCTACAAAGTCTGGCAGAGTCAAAGGAATGAGAAAAGACAAGTTAAAAGTGCATAAGGTGGGTCCAGGGGTCCAACACTAGTATGGAGGCTGCGAAGGCCCCGAGCTCTGGAAGCCCGTACTGTTTATTGGTGATCAAACAAAGAGGCAGGTGGTGAGGATGTGGGGGTTGAAAGAAAGCACTGCATCAAGTGCATGATTTACAGCTGTGACAGTTTAGCATTTTCTTTGAAGCATATGGAACATTTTCTGCTACTTGAGATAATGGGAAACATGTTCTTCTAGTTTAAGATACAATTGATCTATGAGCCTGGGAATGCTAGAAACAAGGAGCCGGCAAGTCTAGACACATTCCAGAGGCCATGAGGGGTTCCATGCTCTGAGCCCTGGATTCCATCCAAGCCACGAGGGGTTTTATGCCCTGGGCTTAGATTATGGTGCCACAGGGCAGCCTTCCACCCTTTAGCACAGAGCTTGGTGTTCCAAAGGCCATGAGAGGTTTTAGACCCTGGACCCCAGACATGTTCCAAGACTCTTTTACATTATGTCAGACATGCAAGCCCTGCCTCAGCTTTTTTCCCAACACTCAGCTTTTCCCCAATACCTGACCTCAGGTGATCCACCCACCTTGGCCTCCCAAAGTGCTGGGATTACGGGCGTGAGCCACCGTGCCCAGCCAGCTAATTTCTTCCTGAGTAATCTTTATTTCTTTTTAAATCACTCCTCATCTGTAGCTTTTGTGTTAGTGTCCGATTCTGATTATACCATTTCGCTGATGGATTTGATGGCTGCTTAAATGGAATATTCCAGTGTTTAAAGAGTTCTTTATGTACTTTTCCAGGTGGCATAAAATGACACTCCAAGAGTCTTTCACCAAACAGGTAGTTGTTCATTGTTTCAGCAACTATCTTGGCAACATCCTCAGACTCAAACTCCACAAATGCATAGCCTTTGCCATTTCCAGTCATTTTACTTCTGGACAGTCTGAACTGTGTCACAGTGCCAAACTGGGAGAAATATGAAAAGATCTGGGTTTCGTTAAGTAGGGTTGTTCTTGTTTTTTTTGCTGGGTTATGTGCTTGCAAACCTGCGCCACCTCCTTTTGAAACTGGACATCTTCCTGCGGGTTAAGCAGTGAGATCTCAGCCAGGCCAGAAAAAGCTGCCATGCCAAAAGCGGCCGACACTAACTCCACGCGGTGCTCCTGGAAACGTCGGGCTCCCAGCTCCCATGAGGCAGAAAACGGGCATCTATTCTTTTAACATACGTATGTATACACAGTCCAAGTGATGGAACATCAGGATCAGTGGCAGCTGGGAGGGTGGGGGAGGCAGCACCACCTGATATTTAGGAGGGAGAATGACCGGGAGTTGCCGATACGTGGAGTGAGGGATAAGTCAGAGTTGTTCCTAAGATTTTGAGTTTGGGCAATGGTGGCATGGTAAGCTAAGATCAAGGATATGAAGGGAAGAAGGGCTTTCAGGCTGGGAGCATTTAGGAGAGCATGAGAGGATAATGCATGTGTTTTGGACATGAGGTACTTGCAGGGTGTCCACATACAGATGTCTGGGAAACAATAGATGCAGGCTGGGTGTGGTGGCTCACGCCTGTCATCCTAGTCGCCTGGATAGCTGAGGCAGGAGGCCTGCTTGAGGCCAGGAATTTGAGATCAGCATCGGCAACAAAGCAAGACCCCATATCTACCAAAAAAATTTAAGGTCGGGCATGGTGGCTCATGCCTGTAGTCCCAGCACTTTGGGAGGCTGAGGTGGATGGATCACGAGGTCAGGAGTTCGAGACCATGCTGGCCAACATGGTGAAACCCTGTCTCTACTAAGAAAAAATACAAAAATTAGTCAGGGGTGGTGGTGCATGCCTGTAATCCCAGCTACCCAGGAGGCTGAGGCAGGAGAATCTCTTGAACCTGGGAGGCGGAGGTTGCAGTGAGCTGAGATCGTGCCAGTGCACTCCAGCCTGGGAAACAGAGGGAGATTCCATCTCAAAAAAAAAAAAAAAAAAGTCAAGAAGAAATAAACGTGGTGCTCTCTGGAGCTGGAGGCTGTTGATGTAGGTGTGGGAATTACCACTTGGGAGAGTTCATCTCTGCCTGTTTCAAAATCCATCGTGAGCATTGCCAGTGCTTTCTTGAAGAGCTCTCATGAGCGTGGGGCAGGATTGGTGCCATCTTCATATCACAGGCTGTCTTAGTTCATTTGTGTGGCTATAGCAGAATACCACAAACTGGGTAATATTTAAATAATAAAAAAGTACTTCTCATGGCTCTGGAGGCTGCGAAGTCCAAGATCAAGGCACCAGCAGGTTCAGTATCTGGTGAGGGCCTGATCTCTGCTTCCAAGATGTGCCTCTCTTATGGAAGGTGGAAGGGCAAAAAGGGGCCAACACTGCGTGAAGCCTCTTTTATAGTCTAAATCCCATTCATGAAAGAGGATCCCTCATGACATAATTACCTCCTAAAGGCCCTGTCTCTTCATATTATTGCATTGGGGATTAAGTTTCAACATGAATTTTGGAGGGACACAAACTTTCAATCCATGGCAGAAACTCTTTGCAGAGCCATTTTGCTGCAAAAACTTGAGGGTGGGGGTATGACTTATTTAATAAAGATGACATTTTCTGTATAAATGATACCTAAGTCCTCCTCATTAGCAAATGTCGAATAGGACATTTTCTTTTTTTATTATTATTATACTTTAAGTTCTAGGGTACATGTGCACAACGTGCAGGTTTGTTACATATGTATACATGTGCCATGTTGGTTTGCTGCATCCATTAACTCATCATTTACGTTAGGTATTTCTCCTAATGCTATCCCTCCCCCATCCCCCAACCCCACCACAGGCCCCGGTGTGTGATGTTCCCCGCCCTGTGTCCAAGTGTTCTCATTGTTCAATTCCCACCTATGAGTGAGAACATGTGGTGTTTGGTTTTCTGTCCTTGCGACAGTTTGCTCAGAATGATGGTTTCCAGGAATAGGACATTTTCTTTCTTTTTCTCTTTCTTTCTTTCTTCTTTTTCTTTTTCTTTTTTTTTTTTTTTTTTTTTTTTTTTGAGATGCAGTCTCACTCTGTTGCCCAGGCTGGAGTGCAGTGGTGCAATCTTGGCTCACTGCAACACCCACCTCCTAGGTTCAAGTGATTCTCCTGCCTCAGCCTCCCAAGTAGCTGGGATTATAGGCACCCGCCACAACATCTGGCTAATTTTTGTATTTTTAGTAGAGACAGGGTTTTGCCATGTTAGCCAGGCTGGTCTCGAACTCCTGACCTCAAGCGATCCACCCGCCTTGGCCTCCCAAAGTCTTGGGATTACAGCCGTGAGCCACTGTGCCCCGCCCCGAATAGGACTTTTTCTGTTGCCTCTTAAATGGTTTAAAGAGGGCAGCCAATAATGGGGTCAGAAAGCTTCTCTCTGCCTAGCTTCCCAAAAAAACAAAGCTGCCAGCTGGCTGTTGGACAGGTGAGAAGTCTTTGGTGAGATGCTTCATCATCCTCTCTTTCCTGAACTCTTCACGTGTACCAGGGCTCTGGATAGGAGGGGGTGCTCCAAGAAAATGTTTAGGAAAGACTAGGGTTTCCTGATAGAATGGGAGGAATCAACACACTATCTCCCCATTGGGTGTCTGTGTGGGCAGCCAACTTCTTGCTGTGCCCTGCATCTCCCTGCGCAGGGGAGAGGAGCATTAGAGAGGAAAAGCTGGGGGCAACGAGGAGCTTGGGGCAGTGTAGCCTGCACTCCACAGTCCAGCATGGTTAGGATGTGTGGGTTTCTGAGTCCTTTCTGGCTACTATAACAACAATACCATAGGCTGGATGGGTTGTAAACAATGAAAATTTATTTCTTATAGTTTTAGAGGCTGGGAAGTCCAAGATCAAGATGTCAGCAGATTCAGTGTCTGATGTGGACTCACTTCCAGGCTTACAGATGGTGCCTTCTGGTTGTGTCCTCACTTGGTAGGAGGGACAGCTCTCTGGGGTCTCTTATTAAGGGCACTAATCCCATTTATGAGGGCACCACCCTCATGACCTAATCACCTTCCAAAGGTCTTGACTTCAAATATCATTACATTGGGGGTTAGGAATTCAACCTAGACTTTGGAAGGACACATACATTTTGTCTATAGCAGGGGGTGGATGGACACGAAGGAGGGTAGCTGGGCTTCTGCAATCTAGGTGATATGTCACCCAAGAAAGCGGTAAGAGGCTGCATGGTGTCTGCCAATGGTGGAATTGGAGAAGGTATGGGAGAAGCAGGGGACACAACTCTCATATCAAGAAACAGAGGAGGCTGGGCACGGTGACTCACATCTGTTATCCCAGCACTTTGGGAGACTGAGGCAAGCAAAGCAGTTGGGGTCAGGAGTTGGAGACCAGCCTGGTGAACATAGCGAAACCCCATCTCTAGTAGTAAAAATACAAAAATTAGCTGGGTGTGGTGGCGCGCACACGTGTAGTCCCAGCTACTCGGAAGGCTGAGGCATAAGAATCGCTTGAACCCGGGAGGCAGAGTTTGCAGGGAGCCAAGATCGCACCATTGCACTCCAGCCTGGGCAGCAGAACAAGACTCTTGTCTCAAAAACGAAAACCAAACAAGCAAACAAACAAAAAAACATGATTGACTCAGTGATCAGAAAACATATAACTATTTTATATTCATACTTCCTGCAGTTAATGTCCCAGTTGACTGGTTAAAAAGAATATTTGGGGGCCAGGCGCAGTGGCTCATGCCTGTAATCCCAGCACTTTGGGAGGCCGAGGCGGGCGGATAACAAGGTCAGGAGATCAAGACCATCCTGGCTAACACAGTGAGACCCCGTCTCTACTAAAAATACAAAAAATTAGCTGGGCGCGGTGGCAGGCACCTGTAATCCCAGCTACTCGGGAGGCTGAGGCAGGAGAATGGCATGAACCCGGGAGGCGGAGCTTGCAGTGAGCCAAGATTGCACCACTGCACTCCAGCCTGGGCGACAGCGAGACTGTCTCAAAAAAAAAAAAAAAAAAAGAAAAAGAATATTTGGCAATACGGAAAGTTCCCCTTGGGTTTTCTGACTCCAAGCCTGGTGTTTTTGTTTGTTTGTTTGTTTGTTTTCATTTGCACAACATTGCCTTTCCCCAAGAGTACTGGATAACAATGCCCTCCCTCCAAGTCCCAAGTCACTATTGCAGAAGTCAGGACCTTAACACACACATTTCAAAGTTACTGACACCTAGTCAAACCTGGTGCCTTAGCAATGCAATCTTGTAATTTCCCAGGTCAAACAGATCTTCAAGGGTTGCTCTCATGGCAGAATTTGGTGGTAGAAGGAAGGAAGCAGAGTCTCAGTCTTTGTGCAGCTTGTAGGGAGTTCCCTTTTTCTCAAGCCCTTGCAGCATCCTTCCCACTCTAAGCTTAAAGGAGACTGTGTAACCAGCAGTGCTCACCCATCCTGGGCCTGAGTTTGAATCCCAGCTCTGGAGTTCAGCTGTGTGACATGCAAGACCTTGTCCCTCTCTGAAGTCCTTCTGTAAAATGAGGTGGCTGCATTGGGTGATCCCATTCCACACCATGAGTCTATAGTCCTATCATCCTGGGTATACCGACGTCTGGTGGCCAACTTTGGTCCTTGCAGCTAATTCAGGTTTTTTCTTTGTTTTTGAGACATAGTCTCGCTGTGTCACCCAGGCTAGAGTGCAGTGACGCGATCTCAGCTCACTGCAGCCTCTGCCTCCCAGGTTCAAGCGATTCTCATGCCTCAGGATCCTGAATAGCTGAGGAATACAGGCACCTGCCACCACACCTGGCTAATTTTTGTATTTTTAGTAGAGACAGGCTCTCGCTCTGTTGCTCAGACTGGTCTCGAACTCCTGAGCTCAAGTGATCCGCCTGCCTCGGCCTCACAAAGTGCTGGATTACAGGCGTGAGCCACCGTGTCCAGCTCAGTTTTTAATTTTTTATTTTTCAGTATCTGGAGTGTTTAGCACAGCCAGGAAACAAAACACACCAGAGAGGGCCACCTTGCCATGTCACCAACGATGCAATAACTACCGAAGAAAGGCCCCTTGGGTGGCTATGGAGGAGCAGAGGTCAGCAGAGGAGATGGCCAGCAAAGTGCTCTCCTTTGCTCTATTTCTTTTCTTTTGAGACGGAGTCCCACTCTATTGCCCAGGCTGGAATGCAGTGGCATGATCTCGGCTTCTGCAACCTCCATCTCCCAGGTTCAAGCAATTCTCCTGCCTCAGCCTCCCGAGGAGCTGGGATTACAGGTGCCCGCCACCACACCTGGCTAATTTTTGTATTTTTTTAGGTGAGACGGGGTTTCACCATGTTGGCCAGGCTGGTCTTGAACTCCTGACATCAGGTGATCCGCCCACCTCAGCCTCCCAAAGTGTTGGGATTACAGGCGTGAGCCACTGTGTGATTCTTAGCATGTTGTAAGTTTGTCATTGTTCCATTTCCAAAGCATTCCAACCTCCATCCCCGCATGCGTTTGCACTTCTTTAGATTTGTGGGTCTGAGAGCGCATTAGCACCCCATCCACATGCAGTCTCCTGCCCTTCCAATCCTCACCCTGAAAACCTTCCTGTAGTCACAGACCTAGTCATTTTTCCCACGGCTACTCTTGAACTCTTTATGGACCTCTGCGCTCGCTTCCTCTTCTGTGAAAACAAATGAGTTTATGTAGATTAAGATCTAGCCAACTTCTGTAAAGGATCAGATGGTAAATATTTTAGGCTTTGCAGGCTAGTGACTCAACTCTGCATGAAAATAACTGCAATGTGTAAAGGAATGAGCATGGTTGGGCACCACACTGAAATTTGAATTTCATCTCCTTCCCAGGGGCCCCAGAAGAGTCTTCTTCTTCGGACTTTTTCCCCAAGCATTTAAATGTAAAAACATTTCTAGCTTGCAGGTGGTATGAAAATAGGCAGCAGGCTGGAGGTGACTGAGGAGCCTATCTAGTCTTTTTTTTTTTTTTAAACAGAGTCTCGCTCTGTTGCACAGGCTGGAGTGCAGTGGCGCCATCTCAGCTCACTGCAACCTCGGCCTCCTGGGTTCAAGCAAATCTGCCTCAGCCTCCCGAGTAGCTGGGACTACAGTTGCGCACCACCACGCCCAGCTAATTTTTGTATTTTTAGTAGAGACGGGGTTTTACCATGTTGGCCAGGCTGGTCTCAAACTCCTGGCCTCAAGCGATCCATCAGCCTCAGCCTCCCAAAGTGCTGGGATTACAGGCGTGAGCCACTGCGCCTGGCTGTATCTAGTCATCTTTAAAGACCCTCCCATCTCTGAGAACCCATGAAACTGCGCAGTCCTCTGGACTGGAGCTGGGGTGTGTCAAAGGCAAATCTTTGCCTGCCTTCTCAGAACACCATATTCAGAGAAGGCCATTCAGGACAGATTTGTCAGGCTGTTCCGAATGCCCAGGTCTGGGATGAGATGGCCTATCCATGGAGGATTTTTATTTTTTCGAGACAGGGTCTCACTCTGTTGCTCAGGCTGGAGTGCAGTGGTGTGATCTTGGCTCACCACAGCCTCTGCTTCCTGGGTTCAAGTGATCCTCCTGCGTCTGCCTCCCAAGTAGCTGTGTTACAAGAAAGGGGTCCTGATCTAGACCCCCCAAGAGAGGGTTCTTGGATCTCACACAAGAAATAATTCAAGACGAGGCGGTAAGGTGAAAGCAAGTTTATTAAGAAAGTAAAGGAACAAAAGAATGGCTACTCCATAGACAAGAGCAGCGCCTAGAGCTGCTGGTTGCCCACTTTTATGGTTATTTCTTGCTTATTTGCTAAACAAGGGGTGGATTATTCATTCCTCCCCCTTTTGGGACATATCGGGTAACTTCCTGATGTTGCCATGGCATTTGTAAACTGTCATGGTGCTGTCAGGAGTGTAGCAGTGAGGACGACCAGAGGTCACTCTCGTGGCCAACTTGGTTTTGGTGGGATTTGGTTGGCTTCTTTACTGCAATCTGTTTTATCAGCAAAGTCTTTATGACCTGTATCTTGTACGGACCTCCTGTCTCATCCTGTGACTTAGAATGCCTCCACTGTCTGAGAATGCAGCCCAGTAGGTCTCAGCCTCATTTTATTCAGCTCCTATTCCAGATGGAGTTGCTCTGGTTTAAATGTCTGACAGCTGGGACTACAGGCACACACCACCAAGCCCAGCTATGTTTTGTATTTTTTGTAGAGATGGGGTTTCACCATGTTGCCCAGGCTGGTCTCGAACTCCTGGGCTCAAGCAATCCACCCACCTTAGCCTCCCAAAGTGCTGGGATTACAGACACCCAACCCATTTGGAGGATTTTTTTTTTGAGATGGAGTCTCGCTTTGTTGCCCAGGCTGGCGTGCAATGGTGTGATCTTGGCTCACTGCAACCTCCGTCTCCCAGGTTCAAGTGATTCTCCTGCCTCAGCTTCCCAAGTAGGTAGGATTACAGGCGCCTGCCACCATGCCCAGCTAATTTTTGTATTTTTAGTAGAGACGGGGTTTCACCAAGTTGGCCAGGCTGGTCTCGAACTCCCGACCTCAGGCGATCTGCCCACCTCAACCTCCCAAAGTGCTGGGATTACAGGCGTGAGCCACTGTGCCCTGGCCAGATGTTTTTTTAAAAGAGAGAGAAAGAGAGAGAGAGAGAGAAAGAGAGAGAGAGAGGGAGAGAAGGAAACTTTGCACTCTGTTATCTTCAACCTCTTACTCTACCTTCCTCCCTAGCCGAAGTCCCAGTCCTAAAGCCTAAGAGACCCTCATTGGAACTTGACTTCTGCATAATCCGCCTGGGTGCCCTTGGGCATCCGGGCCTCAGGCCTGGGTCTGACGCCTGGGAAGTTGAGCGTGGCATAATGGAGCTCCTCTTGGCTCTCCTGGGATTCTGGGGCTTGAGTGGATGATTTGGGTTCTGGGAAACTGGGCAACTGATACTGCTTTTTCTGGTTCTTCTTTGATTCTGGGGAGGGAGCACCTGGTGGAAGAGGGGTCCGAGGACTGTTTGGTGTGGCTTTCTGATTCCGCTTCTGAGCCTGAGGGAAGAACCACCATCCTTCATTCATTCATTCAGCAAATATTTGAGCACTTACCACGCGTCGGGCACTGATTTACAGCACAGAGTGAAACTAAGTCCCTGCCCTTGCCTTGCTGAGCTTGCATTCCATCTTGGAAGGAGGAACAGACAATAATTAGCAAAAGTACAATGACTGGTAAGTGACAAATGCCATCAAGAAATTTGAGCACCTTTAGAAGGCAGCGAAAGGGAGGGTGGGATGACTGTTTAATAGGTCATCCAGGGAATTTCAAGACCGGCCTGGCCAACATAGCGAAACCCTGTCTCTACCACAAATACAAAAATTAGCCGGGCGTGGTGACACATGCCTGTGGTCCCAGCTACTCAGGAGGCTGAGGCAGGAAAATCACTTGAACCTGAGAGGTGGAGGTTGTAGTGCGCTGAGACTGCGCCACTGCACTCCAGCCCGGACAACAGAGACAAAATCTGTTTCAAAAAAATAATTGATAGCCGGGTACGGTGGTTCACACCTGTAATCCCAGCACTTTGGGAGGCTGAGGCGGGTGGATCACCTGAGGTCAGGAGTTTGAGACCAGCCTGATCAACATGGTGAAACCCCGTCTCTACTAAAAATACAAAAATTAGGGGGGCATGGTGGTGGATGCCTGTAATCCCAGCTACTCAGGAGGCTGAGGCAGATGAATCGCTTGAACCAGGAGGTGGAGGTTGCAGTGAGCCGAGACCTTGCCACTGCACTCCAGCCTAGACAACAACAGTGAAATCCCATCTCAAAAAATAAAATAAAATAAAAATAAATAAAATAAAGAATAGCATGCATGCACGGAGAGAAAGACTGGAGGGGGTGAGAACGGAAGCAGAGAAGGCATGCAGAAGGGGCCAGTGGTGCCCGGGGTGGGGTGGGGGGTGTTGATGCATGGCTTGTAGTAGTGAGGGAAGAGTAGGGAGAACTGGCTTGGTTGTATTTTGAAGGGAATTTGCTGATGGATTGGTTGTGGGGTGACAGAGAAGAGAGGAGTGAAATATGATTCTAAAGCTTTAGACTTGGCTGGGAAAATGTGGTGTTATTTGCTAAGATGGGGATAGAGATGGAGCATAAATGGTGGAATTAGTCTTTTTTTTTTTTTAGATGAAGTTTCGCTCTTGTTGCCCAGGCTGGAGTGCAGTGGCATGATCTCACTGCAACCTCCACCTCCTGGGTTCAAGTAATTCTCCTGCCTCAGCCTCCCGAGTAGCTGTGATTACAGGCACCCATCACCATGCCCAGGTAATTTTTTGTATGTTTAGTAGAGATGGGGTTTCACCATGTTGAACACGCTGCTCTTAAAATTTTGACCTCAGGCGATCCACCCACCTCGGCCTCCCAAAGTGCTGGGATTACAGGTGTGAGCCAGCAGGCGTGGCCTTTTTTTTTTTGAGACAGGGTCTCACTCTGTCACCCAGGCTGGAGTGCATGGTGTCATCATGGCTCACTGTAGCCTCCAACTCCCAGGCTCAAGAGATCCTCCCACCTCAGCCTCCCAAGTAGCTGGGACAATGGGCATGCACCACCACACCCGGCTAATTTTTTATTTTTTTTGTAGAGAAGAGGTCTCACTATGTTGCTCAGGCTGGGGAATTATCTTAAGTTGGTTTTGGACAGGCTAAGTTTGAAGTGCTGATTAGACACCCACATGGAGATGTTGCATAGACAGTCTTCAGGGAAGGAGCCACGAGATACAATTTTGCAGTCATCAGCATAAGATGTTATCTCTTAATAATTTCCAGAATTTACAGAGTATTACCCAGGGGCCAGGTGATATTCTGAATATTTTATTATGCAAGTACAATATATTTAACACCCAGCATCATCCTAGGAGGTGGCCGCTAGTATTGTCTCCATGTTACAGCTAAAGAAATTGAGGCACAGAGAAGTTAAGACACTTGTTTCATGACACAGTGATGACAGCAGGATTTGAACCCATGCAGGCTGATTTCAGACCCCCTGTGCTGAATCCCTAGGATGCCCAGCCTCCCGATGATACACATAATTGTTAAGCAGTTAAGTGTAGTCATGTCAATGGTGGCAGTAATAATGGAACAATGGCTACAGATTGAGAAAGTGCATGTATTCTAATCCTCAAACCAACTCTCAAAGGAGACAGAGGAAGAAATGAAGGCTCAGAGGGGGTGAGTGACGTGGCTGAGGTCTCATAGCTAGTAAGTGCCAGGCAGGATTTGAATTCAGAACTATCGGTGCTTTTCCCACCTTGATGTCGCTAAGACAAGGGGTGCAAAAGTCAGAAAGTGGGATGTCAGCTTTAGAGAAGAGAAAAAGTGGAAGCATGGCCCAGACACTCACCAGGGGGCCAGCCGTCGGGACCACATTGATGTAATCCAGGATCGTGCTGTGCCGGGAGAACCTGGGCCTCGGGGTTTCTGTCTGAGTCCGTCTCTTCGGTAGAATCTTCATGCTGAGGAAATGAACCCACCTGTTTGTGCCCTGCTGCACCTCCCTGTGACAGACTGCCACGTTTACTACCTGAGACCGTCACTATGACAGTTACTACTGTTACCACTTGAGACCGTCATTATGAGACTGAAAGAAGGAGGACAAACGTAGAAATGAAAACTTAAGACAAAAGAAATTATTTTAAAGGAAGGGGTCAGGGGAAGAAGAAGAGGGTTCCCTGCTACTAGTGAGCCAGGGCAGCTGTCTGAGCCTCTACAGCCCTTTGTATTTATTGGGTAGAAAGAGCAGAGAGCAGGAGGTAACAATTGGTCAGCTGTTTAATTGATCACAGGTTCATATTATTACTAACAAGCTTCAGCTGTGCCTAATTACAAGAAACACTTCGCTTGGGGCGTGACTGCCCTCAGCATTCCCTCTGGGAAGCAGACGCAGTTTGTCAGTTGGACAACATTCTGCATTTATGAGAACAGTTTGCTGTTTACTCATGTAACCTCCAGAGGTATACTGCGTTGATCACGACCTTCACTCTTTCGGCCTGCAACACCTCCCCTCTTCCTGGGTCCAGGCCCCAGACCCCGCCACGCCTCCTCTTAACCTACATGATCAGGGCCAGGCAGAGGAAAAGAAGAGCCGTGATGCCGATTCCCAGAAACGCTCCGTTGGAGAATGCCGTTGAGATGAGTCCCTTCTTATCTGCACACGGAGAGGGCAAGGTGAGCATTTCCCATCCACGCAGGGCTCACGAAGCCCGCTCATCACTCGGCATTAAGGCTTCCGGTTCCCATGGCGGACATTGTATCTGCAACCCCTCTGTTTACTTTTAGGAAACCCTGCCACACCCCGGCCCAGGTGTTAGGACTTCCCATTGTGTTTTCCTGTCTACATACAGATGCCACGGGTCTGCTGTGTCCCTCCAAGCTCCTGCTCCAACCACAGGACCCTACTCTTTGCCCCAGTCAGCTTCTCCTCCAAGAACCTTGGCATCCAGGCGGCCCCCTAACCTGGCAGCTGCAGGATGGATCCACTCTGGGCCCCATGGACGTTCCAGGCCTCACAGCGGAGCCTGAGGCCGGAGCTGAGCCCTCCATGGAGGCTCAGGGAGCTGTTGGCCCAGGGCCCGGCTGAGCTGGGGGTGACCTCGAAGGAGTCCTGGCTGCTGTTCCCCTCCAGCAGCTCCTCCCCAAGCCACCAGCGCAGAGAGGGGGCCGGGCTGGCCTGGGAGGAGCAGCTGCAGTGCAGACCCTCAGCCTCCCAGGAGCAGGAGGGGCCCAGCAGCTTCGGGGAGTCTGAGGGGAGGGAGGACAGGACTCAGCAGGGTCCCCTTCCTGGGACCCAGGTGTCCCCTTTCCCCCACTCACAGTGCACGGAGAGGCTGAGAGAGACGTGCTGGGAGCCCAGTGGGTGCCGAGCGTGGCAGGTGAACTCTCCTTCGTGCTCCACTTGAACCCGAGGCAGCTCCAGGACCCCGGGGTCTGAGGGCTGGGAGGGGCTCAGAACCTGTCCCCTCTGGGTCCAGCTCAGCCTGGCTGGGGGGCTGCTGTGTGTGACACAGACCAGGCACAGGCTTTGGCCCTCCAGTACTGGGAGAGACGTGCCGTTCCCAAGGTTTTCCAGGACTAGGGAAGGAAGAGGCAGAATCGATGAGCAGCTCAGGGCTCAGGGACCCTCCTGCGTGGGGACCCTCCAGACTCCTGGGCCCCCAATTCGGCACTGAGAGGCCTTGGCTCCTCTGTCCCCTTTCCTACCTGTCCTGTTTGCTTGGGAAACCATCACTCTCAGGTTCTCTGGAGGATCTGAAATGGAGACAGGGGACCGGCTCTAGACGGACCAGGGGCTTCCCTCTGGGTAAAGGGAACCATCCTGGACACTGAGGTGGGGGAAGTGGGTGGGATAGAAGGGCAGGGCAGAATCACCCACTGAGTCCCAGACACAAACTGCATGAGGGTCTACACAGGTAAGAAGGTCGGTCTCCGAGGCCTGGGGCTCCAGGCCCCCTCAGCTCTGGGACCCTGAGCCCAGCCCCTGTATCCCTCTGCCCTCCCAATGGACTCCAGGCCCCTGCTGGGCACACTCACACTGCACAGAGAGGTCCAGGGCTCGCTGCTGGGAGCCAAGCCTGTTCTCCGCTCGGCAGGTGTAGCGCCCTGAATCCCCAGCCTTCACCCCGGGCAGCTCCAGCCCCAGGGGTCTAGGGCCCCAGGGATGGGACGAGGAGAGGACTCTGTTCTGCAGGACCCAGCTCAGTGTGGCAGGGGGCTGGCTGTCAGCAGCACAGAGGAGCCGCAGGAACTGGCCTTTTTGGGCTTCCAGGTATGGGACATTTCCCTGGGGCTGGGGCTCCAGGGCTGGAGTGGGAGGAAAAAAAAAAAAGAGAGAAAGGGAGGGAGAAAGAGAGAAGGGGTACAGGGAGGAGCACATCCCCTCATCCCCTGAAGCCTTTTCATCTAAAGACAACTGGCCCAGCCCCAGCCCGACGGCCCTCAGTACCTGGCGTGTTGTCACGTGAAATGCTGATAACAAGGTCTCTGGGGGCATCTGCAACAAGATTGTGAGCTGGCTTCAGGGAGGGACAATTTATTCCTCACACCTGGAAAAAACTCCCTCAGGGAAAAGAAAGTGGGACTATCCCGGGAAGACAAGTGACAACCAGCGCCAGGGCTCACGTGTGTGGACCAGACGCCATTCCCATCCCCCTCCCAGGGCTGCGGCGGCATCCTGGGACCCCACAGCTTCCTCTCCCTGGATGCTCCTGAGCTGGGAGCCGCTCACTGTCCCACTGGGCTCCTCCACCTCCCCACCCACCGGGGCTGTCTGCACACCCCACCCTCCCAGGCCACACTCACAGGCCACACGGAGTCGGACGGTCCTCTGTGCGCTCACACCCTTTCTGGAGAAGTCCACATGGCAGGTGAGGTCGGTGTTGTGGTCCTGGGGTCTGGGCGTGAAGCTGAGCACTGAGAAGTGGGAGGTCGTTGGTTTGGTTCCTTGGGAGGAGAGGGCAGCCCCCGTCCAGGAGAAAGAAGGGGGTGGACATTCCTCAAAGGCCCAGTTAAACACACAGATGACCGTCACCGGCTGCCCGGGCTCCAGGGTCTCGGGGATGTAGACATCAGGCTTCTGAGTCAGGGCTGGGACAGAGACCGTGGTGGGAGATTCTTGTGCTGCAGGGGTCCCTGAGAGCCCTCTCTGCTCAGCCCATAGGCTGTCCCCAGGGTCCCTCCCCAGTGTGAGAGGCAGGGGTTCCCACCCCATTCCATACCTGTTACTTTTAGAAAGAACCCATCGTTCATGAAATTATATCTCACATAGCTTCCTCTCTCCACCCGAAAGAAGTACTGTGACTCATCCTGCATCTGCGCGTCTCTGATCACCAAGGAGCAGTTCCCCTTGGCGGGATCCCCAGTGAGCTGGAATCGGCCCCGGGTGCTCATTTCCACCTCTCGACTCTGGTGGTTTGTGGCCACAGGAGCACCCTTGGTTGTCTCAGTCACTGCTTTGAACCAGTAGCCATAAGCTGGGGTAGACCCTGTCCAGTCCTGTCGGGGGTAGGAGAAAGAGCAGGGCACAGAGATGCACAGGCCCTCCGGCACCATCACTGACTCCTGCACTCGTATCCAGAATCTCCCATCCATAGCCTGGGACCCTGTGGGGAGACAGAGGCTCAACCTGCAACCCCAGCCCTAGCTCCGCCCCAGGTCCTTTCCGGCCCTTGGCCCACTCACCGCCCAGCAGCGAGGACAGCAGCAGTGGCAGTAGCATCTCCGCATAGGAGGCGCAGGGCCTGCCTGAGACAGGCCTGTTCTCTGGTCGTGCTGTGAGTGGCTCAGGGCTCTTGGCAGAAGGGGAAGCCGAAGGCGGAAGCTGAGCCCTGGGGCCTGATGCATGAAATGAGCTTCAGACGCTGAGCTCACAGAACTCCTTTGCCTTCCCCCACACTCTCCGGCCCACCTTGCCCAGTTGTCCTCTGGGTCTCCTGGGGGCCCAGCCTGGCCTTGGGCTTGTTGAGCTGGTCCTTCCAGAGCTCCCTGTGTAGGAGGAGAGGGCAGGCTTGTGTCTATCCTGGGGGCCTGGCTGGGGGTGGGGTAGTGGGGTGGGGGCTCTCCCTCTGGGCCCTGGGTCATCGGAAAAGCAGAAGTGAGAAGTCCACAGTGAGCTACCCTTATCTGGGCCACTGGTGGTGGAGGTGGTGGGTACAGGGGAAGGGACCGTTACTGGAGGGGGCTGGTCTTGTCAGGTAAAATGCAGGATGCCTGGTTAAAGCTTTCACAGACAATATAAAGTATTTTATTTTATGTTTTTTGGTATAAGTATGTCCGAAATGCTGCATGGGATATACTTATACCAGAAAGCAAAATAAATTTATCTGAAATTCAAATTAATTAATTAATTAATTATATTTTGAGACAGAGTCTCACTCTGTCACCCAGGCTGCAGTGCAGTGGTGCAATCTCTGCTTACTGCAACCTCCACCTCCCAGGCTGAAGTGATTCTCCTGCCTCAGCCTCCTGAGTCTGGGCTTACAGGCACGCGCCACCACGCCAAGCTAATTTTTGTATTTTTAGTAGAGGTGGGGTTTCACCATGTTGGCAGGGCTGGTTTTGAACTCCTGACCTCAAATGATCCACCTGCCTTGACCTCCCAAAGTGCTGAGATTACAGGTGTGAACCACCGCACCTGGCCTAAAATTCAAATTTAACTGAGCATGTTGAATTTCTTTTTTTCTAAATCTGGCCACCGTAGGGTGGTGTCAGCTCCACCTCTTCATGCTTCCTGGTGAGCTCACTGACCCTTGGTCCCCAGAAGCAGTCTCCTGCCCCAACCAGGCCCTAGTCCACTTCCCAGTCTCCCTTCCTCCTCTGTCATTCAATTGGGACACCCATTGGGATTAGAACACATATGTCCAAAGCTAATGCTGATGGGAAGAGTTTGAGGAAGGCGGGAGTGAGGGGCAGAGTGGGGGGAACAGACTAGGGAAGGGGTAATTTGCAATGAATGGAGTAAACTCTACAAGATGTTTTCCCCTCACTGAGCTCTTCCTGAAATGACTCTGTTTGGGTCACACCGAAACACAGAACTCATCCTTCAACCTCCACATACCTTGGGTATCAAGCACTGAGCTTTAGGGGGACTTGGAGGTGAATCCTCCATGGTGAGTCAGCTCCAGGGCCCCAGGTTAGCAAATGAAGATTCTTAGAAACAAAGTACAGAAGGTCCCCTAAATGAACTGGATGCTGGACAGACATTCAGGATGGGACCTGGGGAAGGAGTGGTCAGCTCTTCCTGGTGGAGGGAAGTCAGGAGAGGCCTCCTGGAGGAGATGACCCAGCCTCTGCCCTGTCCTGGTTCTTTCATCCATGGCATTTTTGTTTTTTGTTTTTGAGACAAGGTCTTGCTCTGTTGCCCAGGCTGGAGTGCAGTGGTGTGATCATGGCTCAGTGCAGCCTCCATCTTCTGGGCTCAAGCGATCCTCCCACCTCAGCCTCCCAACTAGCCGGGACTATAGGCACACACCACCACGCCCAGATAATTTTTGATTTTTTTTTTTGATAATTTTTGTAGAGACAGAGGTGTTTGTTTGTTTGTTTGTTTTTGTTTTTTGAGATGGAGTTTCCCTCTTGTTGCCCAGGCTGGAGTGCAGTAGCATGATCTTGGCTCACTGCAACCTCCACCTCCGGGGTTCAAGCGATTCTCCTGCCTCAGCCTCCCAAGTAGCTGGGACTACAGACATGCGCCACCATGCCTGGCTGATTTTGTATTTTTAGAAAAGATGGGGTTTCTTCATGTTGTTCAGGCTGGTCTCGAACTCCTGACCTCAGGTGATCCACCCGCCTCAGCCTCCCAAAGAGCTGGGATTACAGGCGTGAGCCACTGCACCTTGCTGAGACAGAGTTTCACCATGTTGGCCAGGCTGGTCTTGAACTCCTGGGCTCCAGTGATCCTCCCGCCTCGGCCTCCCAAAGTGCTGGGATTACAGGTGTGCTCCACGGCCTCATCCACTGTATCAGTCGCTTGAGCTGCTGTAACAGCGTGCCCCAGACAGAGGGGCTGAAACAACAACATTGACTTCCTCACAGTTCTGGGACTAGACGTCCAAAACCAAGATGTGGTTCCTTCAGAGGCTTCTGCCTGGCTTGCAGATGCCACTTCTCCCTGTGTTCTCACACAGCTGTTCCCCTGTGGGTGTCTGTTTCCTCAACTCCTGCTCTTATAAGAACTTACAAGAACTCAAGTCATATTGGACTAGGCCCACTCTAGTCCAAATGAGTGACCTCATTTCAGCCGGCCCTCAGTATGCACAGGTCCCACATCCCGGAATTCAACCACCTGCCCATCACGGCATTTAAATACAAAACCAACAAAAGCCAACATAACCATAAAAAACAGCATGAATTAAAAATACAGCATAACAACTATTTACACCGCATTACACTGTATTAGGTGTGATAAGTAACCTGGAGATGGGAGGATGTGCAGAGGTCCCACGCAAACACTACTGTATAAGGCAGCTGAGCATTGTAGATTTTGGTATCCAAGGGGTGGGGATCCTGGAACCAATCCCCAACTAATACAGTGGAACAACTGTATCTCTTTAAAGACTGTCTGCATGTACAGCCACATTCTTAGGTACTGGAGGTTGGGACTTCAACACAGAAATTTGGTGGGGGGAGGGGGGACACAATTCAGACCCTAATATCCACCTCTCCCCATTTTTTTTTTTTTTTTTTTGAGAGAGAGTGTTGCTCTGTTGCCCAGGCTGGAGTGCAGTGGCATGATCTTGGCTCGCTGCAGCCGCTCCCTGTCTGATTCAAGCGATTCTCTTGGTGCAGGCTCACGAGTAGCTGGGACTACAGGCGCCTGCCACCACGCCTAGCTAATTTTCATATTTTTAATTTTATTTTTATCTTTTTTTTTTTTTGAGACTGGGTTGTGCTCTGTCACCCAGGCTAGAGTGCACTGGCATGATCTCAGCTCACTGCAACCTCTGCCTCTCGGGTTCAAACGATTCTGCGTCAGCCTCCCGAGTAGCTGGGATTACAGGCGCCTGCCACCATGCCCAGCTTATTTTTGTATTTTCAGTAGAGACAGGGTTTCACCGTGTTGGCCAGGCTGGTTTCGAACTCGTGATCTCAGGTGACCCTCTCACCTCGGCCTCTCAAAGTGCTGGGATTACAGGCGTGAGCCACCAAGCCCAGCTTCACCTTCCCTTTGATCCCTGCTTCCCTGTGACCTAATCTGGGCCTTCTCTGAGGACACCAGCCTCCTTCCCGCAGGGGAGCTCTTGTGGTGGGACACATCACACCTTCCTCTCCACAGAGCTCAGAAAAGGGCCTCTCCCAGGGAGGAGTGAGGGGAGGAAAGGTGCCTGGGTCCTGGTGGAGGTGGGTCCCTAAGGAGCTGATGATCTCTAGGGCCCCCAGCCTGGGCCCAGCCCCACCTCTGCCTTTGAACATTTCACACCCATGGGATCAGCCGACAGGAGCCAGGAGAGCGGCACCGTCTTCCTCCTCCCGCGGGTTTCTCCACATCGCTGCCCCCTCCCATTCCCCCCTCTTCACTTTTCTGAGTTCCTGTGGTTTCTGTGGCCTCCTCACCACGTCCCCTTCTCCAGCGAGGCCAGAGCCCCCGACGCCCCGACTTGCTCCCAGCCCTTCCTACCCAAGCCGCCCTCCCAGCCTTGGTCAGACAGGACTGGAGAGGCTGCCTGGGGCCCCGGGACTGGTTTCTGGGCAGCCTCAAGTCTGTTTTCTGGCCTGAGAAGGTTCGGGTTTTCCCTGAGCTGCTTCCCTCCAAAACCAGCTCCCTCAATACCAGCCTCCCACCCCCGCACCCGCCTCTCCTTCATTCAGCAGGGGCTAGGCGCCTGCTCTTCCTCCATAATTCCACACGGAGGGGTTTAGGAAGCCCCACCCAGGCTCCAGACCCCGGAGCTGCACGAGGGCACAAGTGGGCGCTGGAAGGAAGGGCGGGGACGGTGGGAGGTGGGGGAGGGAGAGGCGGGGGTGTCTGACAGGGGTCGGGGCAGGATCTCGCCCCGGGGGGCGCAGGTGCGGCGTGAGGACCGCGTCCTGAGGAGGGAGGGGCGAGGGCCAGGGTCCTGGAGAGGATGGAGAGCCCACGAGTGGCTGCAGCTGAGACCCCGAGGGAGCCCAGGAGGTTTTGTCGGAAGAAGGGCGATCTGGACCTTCCCTGACCAGCGTCTTTGTGTCCTTTGAGCTCCGGACCTGGTCCTGGGTTCCTCCCACCTCGGGCTGTGCTGCAGTTCAGGACGCCGCCCCCAGGGGGCGCTCCACCTTCAGAGCAGGCGGCACCGCGGAGCCTCGGGCCCCAGAGCCCGCGCTGTCCATGGTCCTGCAGAAGGGAGGCTCCCAAGGGAACGAGTCCCAGGCTCTGGACACGTTTGCAGACAGTACTCTCTAAAAAGGCTACTTTTCGCCACACATTAGAACAAGATCTCCTCCGGGGGAATCACATTAAAGCAAAAACGAAGTCACCATCGTCACTCCACTTCTCTCATCCCAAACCCACCCTCCCCAAGATATAAAGCCCTTCAAAATATTCACACTCTTTTTTTTTTTTTGACAGAGACTCGCTCTGTCGCCAGGCTGGAGTGCAGTGGTGCGATCTCGGCTCACTGCAAGCTCCGCCTCCCGGGTTCACGCCATTCTCCTGCCTCAGCCTCCCGAGTAGCTGGGACTACAGGTGCCCGCCACCACACTCGGCTAATGTTTTGTATTTTTTTTTTCTTACTAGAGATGGGGTTTCACCGTGTTGGCCAGGATGGTCTCGATCTCCTGACCTCGTGATCCGCCCGCCTTGGCCTCTCGAAGTGCTGGGATTACAGGCGTGAGCCAACGCGCCCGGCAATATTCACACTCTTTACAGCGTTATTCCCAAATGACTTCCACCCAGGCACATTAAGCATGTGATGTCCACATAAGAAAATGCGCTCCTGGGGGCTTTTCAGGTCATTCATCTTTGCTTTGTCTGGATTGGGGTCGTGTATATTTCAGGGGCTCTTAGCTGGGCCTCCGTCCTTTCCTTTTCAAGTCAGAATAACACGTTGCAGGGCAAGAAGAGTGAAATATCACTAGAGGATAGACTTGGATTCACCCTAATTTCTAGTGAAGGAAAAATTTTGCAAGTGCAACACTTTATTGTCAGATATAATAGTGACTTACTGGTGTGTGAGTGTGATATGACACTCACTTCAAGCATTAGTTTTCCAAAATAAGATTCAACTCCTTATGTCAAACCCCTAAGTTGTCTGTGATCTGACACCTGTTACATATGTGCATTTCAGATATTTTCCCCCATCTGTTAACTTTTCTTTTACTCTCCTGTTATTTACAGAACAGCAGGACTCTTGCTCCCCAAAACATGAGTTACCCATGAAATGATCCCCTACTGTGGATGGAAAAGAAGAGCCAAGAAGATAAAAATAGCCCTGGAATAAAGAGAACACTAGGTCCATCACAGGAGAGGGTGAAAGGTAAAGAGCCTTAAAAAGGCCAACCTAGGCCGGCATAGTGGCTCACGCCTGTAGTCCCAGCACTTTGGGATGCCAAGGCGGGAAGATCACCTAAGGTTAGCAGTTCGAGACCAGCCTTGCCGACATGGTGAAACCCCATCTCTACTAAATATACAAAAAAATCAGCTGGATATGGTGTCGGGCACCTGTAATCCCAGCTACTTGGGAGGCCGAGGCAGGAGAATCGCTTGAACCCAGGAAGCGGAGGTTGCAGTGAGCTGAGACAGCACCAGTGCACTCCAGGCTGGGTGACAGAGCAAGAATCCATCTCAAGAAAAAGAAAGAAAGAAAGAAAGAAAGAAAGAAAGAAAGAAAGAAAGAAAGAAAGAAAGAAAGAAGTCAACCTAAATGCAAGTGACTTTCAAGAAGAAACACCAATGCTGTTTAATGGAATATAACAAAATCAAGCAGCCAATCACATAAAAATCACAATGTCCAGTATATAGAGAGAAGAAAATCAGAAAAAAATTACATAAATATCACTTTCAATTGTCCAAATTTGACCAGAACTGTAAATTTACAGATCCAAGATACTCAACCTACTTGAAACAAGATATCACTCTCTCTCTTTCTCTTCTCTGTCTTTTTCTATCACACACACTCCTGCTCTCCACACAGAAAGGGACATAATAATCAAATAATTAAAACTCAGTGACAAACAGAAAATATTAAAATTAGTCAGTGAAAAATGCAAACTTCCAACCAAGAAGTAAAAATTAAAATTAGGCTGGGCCCAGTAGCTCACACCTGTAATCCCAGCACCTTAGGAGGCCGAGGTGGGCAGTTCACCTGAGGTCAGGAGTTTAAGACCAGCCTGGCCAACATGGTGAAACCCTGTCTCCATTAAAAATGCAAAAAAATGGCCAGGCGCAGTGGCTAACGCCTGAATCCCAGCACTTTGGGAAGCTGAGGCAGGCAGATCACGAGGTCAGGAGATCAAGACCATCCTGGCTAACATGGTGAAACCCTGTCTCTACTAAAAATAGAAAAGAATTAGCCGGGCGTGGTGGCGGGCACCTGTAGTCCCAGCTACTCAGGAGGCTGAGACAGGAGAATGGTGTGAACCTGGGAGGCGGAGCTTGCAGTGAGCCAAGATCACACCACTGCACTCCAGCCTGGGCAACAGAGCGAGACTCCATCTCAAAAAAAAAGAAAAAAGAAAAAAAATACAAAAAATTAGCTGGGTGTCATGGCGGGCACCTGTAATCCCAGCTACTCAGGAGGCTGAGAGAGGAGAATCGTTTGAACCTGGTAGGCAGAGGCTGCAATGAGCTGAGATGAAGCCACTGCACTCCAGCTTGGGTGACAGAGTGAGACTCTGTCCAAACAAACAAACAAACAAAAAAACCCAGAAAACTACAGTAGAATGCCCATAAATTTTGCAAGTCAAGGGATTTTAAATACAAAAGGGAAAAAATGTTAACCTAGACCCAATTTCATTAAAAATATCATCCCTGGTTCACACCTGAATCTCAGTTCTTTGGGAGGCCAAGGTGGGCAGATTGCTTGAGTCCAGGAGTTCAATACCAACCTGAGCAACACGGTGAACCCCCATCTCTGCTAAAAGTACAAAAATTAGCCAGACATGCACCTGTAGTCCCAGCTACTCGGGGGTACTGAGGTGGGAGGATTGCTTGAGCCTGGGAGGCAAAGGTCACAGTGAGCCAAGTTGGGGCCACTATACTCCAGCCTGGATAACAGAGGGAGACTCTGTCTCAAAAAAAAAAAAAAAAAAAGGATTATTCCAAAGTGAAAGTAAATGAAAATGTTTCAAAACCACAGCTGAGAGAATTCATCACCAGCATGCTAACACTATAGGAAATGAAGTCTTCAGGCTAAAGAAAAATGATACTGTAGAGAAAATTATATGAACACATAGGAATGAAGAGCAATTAAAATGGTTAATAAGTGAATAAATTTGAAACAGCTTATTCTGTAATAAAACATCTTTTTAAAAAACAAACTCTTTTCAGGCAGGGCGCAGTGGCTCACGCCTGCAATCCCAGCACTTTGGGAGTCCGAGGTGGGTGGATCACAAGGTCAGGGGTTTGAGACCAGCCTGGCCCACATGGGTGAAACCCTGTCTCTACTGAAAATACAAAAAAAAAAAAAACCACTTAGCCAGGCATGGTGGCACGTGCCTGTAATCCCAGCTACACGGGAGGCTGAGGCAGGAGAATCACTTGAACCCGGGAAGCAGAGGTTGCAGTGAGCCAAGACTGCACCATTGCACTCCAGCCTGGGCGACAGAGCAAGACTACATCTCAAAAAAAAAAAAAAAAAAAAAAAAAAAAAGAACTGTTTTCAATAAACATGGAGTTTATACCAACATATTATGGGGATGAATTCGTGGCCTATCAAAATCACATTAAAGTAAGCATGGAGAACAAGATATTGCATGGATTATAACTCAAATCAGTGATAACACATATCAGTCTGTTTCCTCTCCTGCCTTCCCAACCATTCCTATAGAGCCATAAGGAAGAGGTGTGGAAAACAGAGGTGAGGGGTGGAGAGAGGTTGTTCTGCCCAGGAGGTGGGACCGAGGCACCCAGGCGCTCCTTGCTCCAGCCATCTGCAGAGTGAGAGTCTTAGGACACATGGTCTGAAGGACCCTCACCTCCACTGGGGACCTGGAGCCCAGACCTCAGCTCTGCTGTGAGGAGGGAGCTCAGTCACCGCAAGCAGCCGTATCCCCTTGGGAGCCCGTGAGCCTGTGTGGGAAACACAGTTCTGAGAGGAGAGACCAGTGCTGTGGAAGGTGTGCTCTGGGGAGGAGAGGATAGGTGAAGCCACTCAGGGATTTGAGGGCTCAAGTTATAGAACAACTTGAGAAGGGCTTCTCCCCTGTGCAGACATCCAGGTGATGTCACAGGTTAAAAGAAAGCCATCCCCATTATGGCTCCCCTGAGCAGGGTGAGGGGCAGAAGCCAGGAGCCCCACTGCTCTCCAGAAATTTGAGAGCAGGAACAGGCGGTACGGGGAGGGGGCTGGGGGAAGGAAGACAGAGGTGGGGGTGTCCTCAGCCCACTCTTCCCTTGCCTAAGGCGCCCCCACCAGAATCAGGTGTTCTGCTAACACTCACCCTGCACAGCCAGGCTCAGGGAGATGGGGTGGGAGCCCAGCAGGGCCTGAGCCCAGCAGGTGAATTCTCTTCCATCCCCTAAAACCACCTGGGGCAGCTCCAGGACCCGGGGATGCAAGGGTTGGCAGGGGCTCAGGATCAGGCTGCCCTGGGACCAGCTCAGGCTGGCAGAAGGGCTGCTGTCAGCATCACAGACCAGGTGCAGGGACTGCCCTCCTGCACCAGCAGAGAGGCAGCATTGCCCAGAATCTATGGGACTAGGGAAACCGAGAGAGCTGGAGGGGAGGGCTGAGAGGCCCTTCTCTCCCTGCGCCTTCCCCCAGACTCAGGAGAGGAAACTGCGTTTCTGAGACAAGCATCACAAGCAAGGGCAAGTAGGGGCGAAGACCCCCAGCATGCAGGGGTCGGGAGGCTCCTTAATGGTCCCGGGACAGGGGCATGGAAACATGCGGAGGACTTGGCCGTATCGGGACACGGAGAGAACGTCCCAGGACGACCGGCCTTGATGTGCAAAACCGTGGAGGGCACTAACCCTCGTGGTTCTGGCCACTTGGAGGAACCAAGACAGGTGACACACTTGGGCTTTCTCCAGGAGCCACAGGAGCCAGGGGAGGAGCTGAGTAGGGATGTGACTGGGAAAGATTTGGTTAAAGAGAGACTCCTCTTTGGGGCCCGAATTGTGGTCATTGAAGGGAGCAAGACCGGAGGCTGCTAGGCCAGGAGGGAGGCTGCTGCAGGTCCAGGCATCACCCGGGTCCAGGTAAGCAAAGTTAGACTTTGGCTAAGTGGGACTGTGGCTGTGAGAATGGAGGAAGGGAGGGATTTGAGACATTTTCCAGTAGCCAAGTTTGTGGAGCTCTTGCCTCATGGGAAGACTTCGGTGAAATTCTGAGATGTGTAAAGAACTTTCCAGGACATTGACTGAGCTGACTCACATGGGTGGGGGCGCCTCTCAAGGGGAAGTGATTTGTGCTCAGAACAAGCTGCACCAGACAGAAATTTGTGGGCATCTTCCAGGCAGAGGTAGGGCTAGGATACAAACTTCCTGAAAGGGTCATGCAGAGGGAGGCTGGAGGCCTGGGGCGCCACTTTGAGCTAGTAGCCATAGCTGGGGTAAAGTCATTCCAACAAGGATCATTGTTGCCTATTCCATTCATTAATTCCACATTTCCTGGACCCCATTTATTTCTTCTTTGTTCACCATTTACATAAATATTGACTAATGACAATGCCTAGACCTGATTAGATGAAGTGGTCGACAGGGTAATGGCCCCCAAAGATGTCCACTTGCTAATCCCTGTGAAAGGCGTTAGCCAGCTTGCATTAGGCAGACAGTAAGGGAAGGGTCCCCTGAGAACCTCTGACCCACCTGATAAGCAGTTACACCAGATGTTTTGTGCAGATAAGGGAACTTGCACAGGGGGCTTGCCTAAACACCCCAGCAGGGGACTAAGGGCCCACAAACGCACTGGGGGAATGGGGTGGAGCCATCAGGAATTTTCACCTTATACAAACAGGTAACCCAGCCCCATCAGCTTATATAAAAGCCCTTGTGGCTGGTTGCAGTGGCTCATGCCTGTAATGCCAGTATTTTGGGAGGCTGAGGTGGGTGGATCACCTGAGGTCAGCAATTCAAGACCAGCCTGACCAACATGGTGAAACCCCATCTCTACTAAAAATACGAAATTAGCCGGGCACCGTGGCTCACAACTGTAGTCCCAGCTACTCAGGAGGCTGAGACAGGAGGATCGCTTGAACCCAGGAGGTGGAGGTTGCAGTGAGCTGACATCGCACAACTGCACTCCAGCCTGGGCAGCAAGAGCAAAACTCCTACCCCACCCACCTACAAAAAAACACAAAAAAACAAAACAACAACACCTTGTATTCAACTGTGAGGGGGTAACCGAGAACCTGCTTTCAGGAACCCTCTCTTTGCTGAGAGCTTTCCTTTCACTTAATAAATTCTACTCCACTCCATCTTCAAGTGTCCACATGCCTAATTTTTCCTGGTCATGAGACAAGAACCTGGACCTAGCTGAGCTAAGGAGCCAAAAACCCTGCATCACCTGGAAACTGTGAATATGTTGCCATACAAGATAAAGGAACTTTTATCCTTCAGAGCCAACAGCCAAGAGTTGCAAAAAAAAAAAAAAAAAAAAAAAAAAGACAAAGGGACTTTGCAGATGTGATTAAGTTCAAGTTCAAGATCTTGAGATGGGCAGAAGATCCTGGGTTATCCAGATGGGCCCAGTGTGATCACAGTGTCCTTATAAGAAGGAAAGGGGGAGAATCAGAGTCCGAGAGACAAGATGTGAGGATGGAACAAAGGTCAGAGAGGAGAAAAGATGCCACGAAGTTGGCTCTGACAACCAAGAAATGGGCCATGAGCCCGGAAATGCAGGTGGCCACTGAACGGTAGAAAAGGTGAAAGAACAGAGTCTCCTCTGGAGCCTCCAGAAGGAATCAGCCTTAATTTTATAGCCCAGTGAGTCCTCTTCCATCCTTCTGACCTCCAGAACTGTAAGAAAAGAAATTGTCTTGTTTCAAACCACGAATCCTGGGGTAATTTGTTAGAGCAGCAACAGGAAAATAGCACAGGTGAGGACTAATTGCACTGCTTCCTCCCCAGATCCTACAATAAACTCAATGCTATTCTTTCCATTTTATGTAAAAGGACATTAGGGCTGAGGAATTACGGATAATCTCTCTGAGTTGGCGCACGTGGTGGTGATGGATTGAGGATCCAAATAAAGAGTCAAAAAATTATGGAATTCAATGGAGGGCCCCTGAGGCCTGGGCAGGGCAGGTGTGGCTACAGAAAGAGCCCCTGGAAGATGCCTGCCTGACCCTGATCCAGGTTACTCTCCCGTGCAGGGAGCAGACAATAAACCATGAACATAATTATGCAGCTGCGAGTTATTAAGCTTGATGGAGGGGAGCCGGTGCAGTGAGAGAAACAAGGTCCCAACACAATGCAGCCTCTGGGGTCCAGGAGCCCCACTGTTGTGGGGAAATGGGGTCTGGATCCCACGGTAAAGGGACGTCCATAGGAATAAGCGGGGAGGCTGACACAGCCGGGTTCTCAGGTGCGTCTTCCTCATTGGATTCTCCTGGGGCTCTGTCCTGTGAACTTCTCTTCTCTACCTGCAATCAGCTCTTACCCTTTCAAATACCTTTTAATTTTGGTAAAAAGGAAATGCAGAACATAAACATCACCATTGTCATTATGTTTATGTGTACGGTTCAGTTCTGTGAAGCATATTCATTCTGTTGTACAACCAATTTCCAGAACTCTTCCATATTGCAAAATTCACTCTGTACCCACAAAACAGCGACTTTCCATTTTCCCTGTCCTGGGTGCCTGGCAAACACCACTGTACTCACTGTTTCTGTGAATATGACTCCTTTAGAAATCTCAGTAGGTGGAACTGTGCAGTATTTGACTTTTCATGACTGTATTTCCCTTAGGATAATGTCCTCAAGGCCCAGCCTTGTGGTAGCAGGTGTCAGAATTTCTTTTCTTTTTAAGGCTGACAGGTTCAAATGTATGATTTTACCACCTTTTGCTTACTCATCTGCCTCTCCAGAAATCCACCTCTTGGCTCTGGCGAATGATGCTGCCATGAACACGGGAGTATAAATATCTATTCAAGTTCCCACTTTTTTTTTTTTTTTTTGAGACGGACTCTGGGACTCTGTTGCCCAGGCTGGAGTGCAATGACATGATCTTGGCTCACTGCAACCTCTGCCAGTCAGGTTCAAGTGATTCTCCTGCCTCAGCCTCCCGAGTAGCTGGGATTACAGGAGCCTGCCCCCATGCCCAGCTAATTTTTTTATTTTTAGTAGAGATGGGGTTTCACCATGCTGGCCAAGCTGGCCTCAAACTCCTGACCTCAGGTGATCTGCCTGTCTCGGCCTCCCAAAGTGCTGGGATTATACTCGTGAGTCACCATGCCTGGCCCTCAAGTTCCCACTTTCACTTCTTTTCATGTAGACCAGAAGTGGAGTGGCTGGATCCTATGTGAATTCTATTTTTAATTATTGGAGGAATTGTCATACTCTTATCATCCTCTTTCCCCATCATCTCTTGTCATCACTTTATAAAGATTTACTCTAGAGTAGTCCCCCATCCACAGTGGATAGCTTCCAAGACCCCCAGTGGATGCCTGAAACCACAGACAGGGCAAACCCTATATGTGCTACATTTTTATACACACACACACGTATGTATATCGATGATAAATTTTATTTTATTTTATTTTTTTGAGACAGAGTCTTGCTCTGTCACCAGGCTGGAGTGCAGTGGCGTGATCTCAGCTCACTGCAAGCTCCGCCTCCATGGTTCAAGAGATTCTCCTGCCCCAGCCTCCTGAGTAGCTGGGACTACGGGCATGCATCACCATGCCTGGCTAATTGTCTTCTTTGTATTTTTAGTAGAGACAGGGTTTCACCATGTTGGCCAGGATGGTCTTGATCTCCTGACCTCAAGTGATCCACCCACCTCAGCCTCCCAAAGTGCTGGGACTACAGGTGTGAGCCACCGTGCCCAGCCTCCTACTCTTTCTCTTTCTCCTACTCTGGCCTTGTAAGACCTGCCTGCTTCCCCTTCACCTTCCGTCATGATTGTAAGTGTCCTGAGGCCTTCCCAGAAGCAGAGGCTGCTATGCTTCCTGTACAGCCTGCAGATCCTTGAGCCAATTAAGCCTCTTTCCTTTCTGAATTACCCAGTCCCAGGTATTTCTTTATAGCGGTGCTAGACCTGACTATACAATATGTAACATATAGTTTGCAATTTGTAACATTCTACAGGGTACAATTCAGTGACATTAAGCACATTCACCATGTTGTGCAACCACTATTTACCGAATTTCCTCATCATCCCAAACAGAAACTCTGCACCATTTGCACAATCACCCTTCTTCCTTGCCCTGTTCCCCAGCCTCTGATACGCAATTCTACTTTCTGTCTCCATGAATTTGCCAATTCTAGGTAAGGCTACATAAGCAGAATTATATACTATTTGTCATTTTATGTGTGGCTTCTTTCATGTGGCATGTTGTTTCAAGGTTCACCCATGTTATAGCATGTATCAGTTCCATTCAATTTTTAAGGCTAAAGAATATCCCATATTATGGATATGGAACCTTTTTTCTATCCACTTATCAGTCAATGGACGCGAGTTTTTTTTTTCCCCACCTTTTAGCTCTTGTAAATAATGCTGCTATGAACATTGATGTATAGGTATCTGTTTAAGTTCATGCTTTCAATTCTGGGAACATATCTAGGAATCGATGGCTGGATTACACTGTATTTCTAGGCTTAACTTTCGGAGAGAATTCCAAAGAGTTTTCCACAGGGTCACACCATTTTACATGCAGTGCAAAGGGGCTCCCACTTGTCCATATTCTTGCAAACAATTAGTATTTTTTTTTCTTTTGAGACGGAGTCTCAATCTCTCGCCAGGCTGGAGTGCAGTGGCACCATCTCGGCTCACTGCAACCTCCACCTCCTTGGCTCAAGCAATCCTCCCACCTCAGCCTCCCGAGTAGTTGGGACCACAGGTGCTCACTGCCACGCCCGGCTAATTTTTGTATTTTTTGTAGAGATGAGGTCTCACCATGTTGCCCAGGCTGGTCTTGAACTCCTGACCTCAAGCAATTCTTCCTCTTTGGCCTCCCAAAGTGTTAGGATTATAGGCGTGAGCCACTGTGCCCAGCTTATGCTTTATATTTTAAGAGTTCTAGTGACAGTGCAGTGGCATCTTATGTTTAATTTTTAAAAATTTACTTAAAGTTAGATATGGTTGAATTCATTCTTTATCATATGTAATTTTATGTGGGTTGACCGATGCATATAGTTATATACACAACCGCTGTGAAGACAATGAAAAGTGTCATTACCTGAACATTTCCTCCCTCTGCTGACTCTAGGTAGTCAATCCTCCCTCTACACTTAGTCCCTGAGAAAACACGGATCTATTCTCCATCCCTGCCATTTTGCCTTTTTATAGAATGTCATATAAATGGAATCATACAAAATGTATCCTCTAAAATCTGGCTTCATTTACTTGGCATAATGCTTTTGAGGCTCATCTATGGGGCTGGGTATAAATCTGTCATTTTAGTTTAATTGTTGACTGGTGCTCCATTGTTTTCATGGTCTCTCATTTTGCATGTATTTGCCATTTGCGGAGCATTGCAACTGTTTTCAGGTTCTGGTGACTCTAAAATAATGTTGCTATAAACATTCCATTCAACTTTCTGCGTGTGAACATAAGTTTTTAATTCCCTTGAGTAAAAACCTAGGAGTCGAGTGCTTGGTCAGACGTACACTTGGTCAAGTGTAAGTTTAAATTTATACAAAATTGACAAACTATTCTCCAAAGTGTATATACCATTTTGTATTCCTACCAGCAGTAGACATGAGCTCTGATCACTTCACATCCTTGCTAGCATGTGATATCATCCACATATTTTAAAATTTCTTGTTACCTTTGTTGTACTTTTCAGTCATTTTTCTTAGGTATGTAATTCTACCTCATTCTTCTTCTATTCTACAATTACCTAATGACAAATTATATTGAGGCTATTTTCACGGCCTTGTTCGCCATCTGCTTTTCTTTTTTGGTGAGGTGGCTATGAAATCTTCAGTAGCTTTTTTCTTAATTGTGGTAAAATATACAGAAGAAAAAAATTACCGTTTTAACTATTTTTCAGTGTTTAGAGAAGTTGCACCAAGTACACTCACGTTGTTATGAATCACTATGATTTATCTCCAGAAGTTTCTTCACCTTCCCAAACTGAAACTGCATCAAAGAGGTGAAAACCCCCTATTTCTTTCTGATCACAGCCCCTGGCAAGCATGGCTCTACTTTCCGTGTCTGTGAATTTGCCTCCTCTACACACCTCATATAAGTGGAATCATACAGTGTTTGTCCTGCTGTGACTGACTTAGAATATATTTAAGGTTCATCCACGCTGCATCATGTGCTAGCTTCTCCTTCTTTTTTTTTTTTTTTTTTTTTTTTGTTGTTGTTTGAGACGGAGTTTCACTCTTGTCGCCCAGGCTGGAGTGTGATGGCGTGATCTCAGCTCACTGCAACCTCCACCTCCCAGGTTCAAACAATTCTCCTGCCTCAGCCTCCTGAGTAGCTGGGATTACAGGCACCTGCCACCAGGCCCGGCTAATTTTTTTTTTTTTTTTTTTTTGAGACAGAGTTTCGCTCTTGTTGCCCAGGCTGGAGTCCAGTGGCGTCATCTTGGCTCACTGCAACCTCCACCTCCCAGGTTCAAGCAATTCTCCTGCTTCAGCCTCCCGAGTAGCTGGGATCACAGGTACGTGCCACCACACCTGGCTAATTTTGTATTTTTAGTAGAGATAGGGTTTCACCATGTTGGTCAGGCTGCTCTCAAATGCCTGACCTCAGGTGATCCACCCGCCTCGGCCTCCCAAAGTGCTGGGATTACAGGCGTGAGCCACCGTGCCCGGCCTGTATTTTCTTTTCTTTTTTTTTTTTTTTTTAGTAGAGATGGGGTTTCACCATATTGGCCAGGCTGGTCTCGAACTCCTGACCTCAGGTGATCCACCTGCCTCGGCCTCCCAAAGTGCTGGGATTACAGGTGTGAGCCACCATGCCTGTCTCCTTGGTTTTTTTGTTTGTTTTGTTTTTTGTTTTCTTTTTCTTTTTCTTTTTTTTTGAGATAGGGTCTTGCTCTGTTGCCCAGGCTGCAGTGCAGTGGCATGATTGGGCTCACTGAAACCTCTGCCTCCCAGGTTCAAGCGATTCTGCTGCCTCAGTCTCCCGAGTACCTGGGATTACAGGCACATGTCATCATGCCTGGCTAATTTTTATATTTTTAGCAGAGATGGGGTTTCATCATGTGGGCCAGGCTGGTCTAGAACTCCTGACTTCAAGTGATATGCCCACCTCGGCCTCCCAAAGTGCTGGGATTACAGGCGTGAGCCACCATGCCCCAGCCCAGCTTCTCCTTCTATTTTAAGGCTGAGTAATATTCAATTGCATGTATACAATACACTTTGTTTATTCATTCACTTTTTAGGAATAGCAGGGTTGCTTTTCCCTTTTACCTACTGTGAATATGCTTCTGTGAACACAGATGCATAAAACTATGCTCAAGTTCCGGCTTTTGATCTTTTGGGCCATATACCCAGAGGTGAAATTGCTGGATCATAAGATCATTCTATTTTTAATTTTTTTGAGGAACCCCACTACTACTCTCTAGAGCAACTTCACCATTTAACTTTCCCATCAGCAATGCACAAGAGTTCCAATGCATAAGAGATCACATGGACAGCTCAGCAAGCTGAATAATGGCCACCCAAAGAAATACAGTCTCAGCTCCTTGAACTTCTAAATATTACCTTACAAATAAAGTGTCTTTGTATAATTTTTTTTGAGACAGTCTCACTCTGTTGCCCAGGCTGGAGTGCAGTGGTGCGATCTCAGCTCACTGCAACCTCCGCCTCCCAGGTTCAAGTGATTCTCCTGCCTCAGCCTCCTGAGTAGCTGGGATTACAGACGCCCGCCGCCACACCCAGCTAACTTTTGCATTTTTGGTAGAGACCAGGTTTCACCATGTTGGCCAGGCTGGTCTCGAACTCCTGACCTCGAGTGATCCACCAGCCTCAGCCTCCCAAAGTGCTGGGATTACAGGCATGAGCCACCATACTTGGCCACTGTGCAGAGAATACTGTAGCCACATGGAATACATGTGGTTAGGGCACTGTGTTAGCTAGTCTGGGCTGCCATAGCAAAATACTATAAATTAAGCCTCCTATAAACAACAGAAATTTATTTCTCACAATTCTGGAGGTTAGAAGTCCAAGGTTAGAAGATCAAGTTGTCAGATGATTTGTTTTCTTGTGAGGCTCTGTTTCCTGGCTTGTAGATGCCACCTTCTCACTGTGTCCTCACATGGTTGAGAGACAGCAAGTTCTGTGGGGTCTCTGCTTATAAGGGCACTGTATTAGTCCGTTTTCACACTGCTGGTAATGACATACCTGAGACTGGGCAATTTACCAAAGAAAGAGGTTTAATGGACTTACAGTTCCACGTGGCCGGAGAAGCCTCACAATCATGGCAGAAGGTGAAAGTCATGTCTCATATGGCGGCAGACAAGAGATGAGCTTGTGCAGGGAAACTCCCCTTTTTAAAACCATCAATCTTGTGAGAATTATTCACTATCATGAGAACAGCACAGGAAAGACCTGCCTCCATGATTCAATTACCAGCCGCAATGTCCCTCCCACAACACGTGGAAATTCATGATGAGATTTGGGTGGGGACACAGCCAAACCATATCAGGCACTAATTCCATAGTGGGTCCCCACCCTCATGACCCCATGTAACATAATTACCTACAAAAAGCCCCATCTCCAAATACATCACATTGGTGGTTAGGGCTTCAACATATGAATTTTGGGGGAACATAAACATGCAGTTCATAACAGGCATTTTACTGAAACCTTGTCATCTCCCATGCCATGAGTTTAGATCAACAAATAATCATGCGGAAAAAAAATCTATATAGAAATTTCTTACAGCAAAGCCTCTGCTCATTTTTTCGATAATCTCATTTTTTTAAATTGCAAGGAACAGAAATGAAAACCGATAGCTTAATCTGGAAAAGAAGGGTTTTATTAAAAAAACACGTTTGCTTAATTTTTGGCCCAGGCAGTGGGGAATCTGGGAACATCTCCTAACTCAAGGTCAAGATCAGCACATCACTGATATCCAATGTGACCCTCAGGGTGCTGTTTCTTGCTCTCCGCATGGTGGGCTGCAGGTGCCTGAGCCATCTTCATTCTCTGGCTAGCAATGTTCGTGCAATGTGAGGTCTCCCCAGCTCAAGGCTCATGCCGTTCCTGCAGCTGAAAGGGAGAGCAACACCTCCATCCTGTAAGCTCCAACAGCATCTTCCCGACAGCCACGAGGAGCCACATCCAGTTCTTTCCTCCATGTTTTTATGAGCGAATAGGTTGACTGGAGTTTGAACTTCTGGGTTCAAACCCTCAGAAGTTCAAGGTTCAATCCCCCATTGACCTATTCCCACACTCGATATCCATGATAAGAATGATTCTCAGGGTACATTGGGCTTGTTGACAAAGAAAGGAGGATTTTTTATAAGAATTTCCATCTCTGACTTTTGTCCAACAATTAGATTCTATTCCTTGTTTCTAAATGAAAATATGAAGAAACACATCCTTTCGGAACTAAAATAAATAACACTTTGAAGTTGAAACAGAGAAAATATGAGGCTGCACATGGAATTAGTAGGAAATTATGCTCTCATTTGAGGTTATTCTGATTTCGCCAAGGAAGATTTAAGCTCAAAAGGTAAGGTGGACAGGGAATCACCCCATGGTGAGACACATAGGGATATTCGGGCATAGAGTACAAGCTAATTAAGCTTGATATGTACGAGGAATTTCTCTTAGTAATCAATGAGAATGTGAAGTGTACAGAAAATAACTTTTGATGAACAAGGAAGAGCACATGAATTTACATACAAGAAATCTTTCCTCACTGGGCAAAAAGCTCATTCAATTTCTTTCTTTTTTTCAAGCCAGAGTCTCTGTCACCCAGGCAGGAGTGCAGTGGCATGATCTTGACTCACTGCAGCCTCAACCTCCTTGGTTCAAGAGATTCTTGTACCTCAGCCTCCCAACTAGCTGGGATTACAGTCGTGTGTCACCACGTCCCACTAGTTTTTTGAATTTTTGGTAGAGATGAGGTTTTGCTATGTTGGCCAGGCTGGTCTCAAACTCCTGGCCTCAAGTAATCCTCCCAGCTTGGCCTCCCAAAATGCTGGAATTACAGGTGTGAGCCATCATGCCCAGCTTTATTCAGTTCCTTAAGGAGGATGAGCAGCATTGAGCGGATGGGAATGTGCCTTCTCTGGAGACAGGTTTGCATGTAGAGATGCCATCATAATTTATAAGGACAGGTTTTCTCTTTTTTCCTATTTTTTAGAGATGGTGTTTTGCCATGTTTCCCAGGCTAGTCTCCAACTCCTGGGCTCAAATGATCCACTTGCCTTGACCTCCCAAAGTGCTGGGATTACAGATGTGAGCCACTGTGTATGGCTTTCTTTTTTCCTTTCCTTTTCTTTTCTTTTCCTTTTTAGACGGAGTCTCACTCTGTCACTCAGGCTGGAGTGCAGTGGTGCGATCTCGGCTCACTTCAACCTCCACCTCCTTGGTTCAAGCGATTCTCCTGCCTCAGCCTACCGAGTAGCTGGAACTCCAGGCGCGCACCACCATGCCCAGCTAATTTTTGTATTTTTAGTAGAGACAGGGTTTCACCATGCTGGCCAGGATGGTCTCCATCTCTTGACCTTGTGATCCGCCCACCTCGGCCTCCCAAAGTGCTGGGATTATAAGCGTGAGCCACCGCGCCCGACCCCAGGACAGGTTTTCTAAGGCTCATGGCCCTTGGCCATTTGCTGCATGATCTCCATCTCCATAGGGCTTTGTAGCAGCTCTCATTGCCTCTCCCACAATTCATGCATCAGGCAATGCCCAGGAACCACAAGAGTATAATTAATATTCACATTCAAAATCATAGTTGTTTCTATTCAATGTTATAGCATGCTTTTTTTTTTTTTTTTGGCTTTTAATGAAAAAAAGCATTGATTTCTGTTGTCTTGGAAATCAGAGGGGTAGACCTGGCTTCAACGGTGGCTGGATTTCAGGGTCCGATGATATAAGGGCTCATCTCTCTGTTTGCTTTTGGCTCTTGTTCTTGTTTGTTGTTGCTGCTGTGGTTGTTCATTTATTCTGCCTGGTTTTTGTTCTCAGGCTAATAAATGTAGGAGCTCTGATGTCCACTTTGCAGATGAGGACGCTGAGGCATACAGAGATCAAGTAATTTCCCTTCTGAGGCAGAGTCCGTGGACTTCCCACAGCCCCATGACACCCCCTTATGGCTGTGTATCCAACTCAACATTCCCTGCCCTGATCAGGGCGCCCCCTGCTGCTCACCCAGAGATTTGCCAGGATCCCTGCACCAATCTCCTCCACCCTTTTTGACTCCCAAATGCTTCTTGACACCTGACTCCCACCCTGTCACTCAGAGACTAACCTATGTCAAGATTTACAAACTCCCCGGGTGCGGTGGCTCACGCCTGTAATCCCAGCACTTTGGGAGCCCGAGGCGGGCGGATCACCTGAGGTCAGGAGTTCGAGACGAGCCTGGCCAACATAGGGAAACCCCCATCTCTACTAAAAATACAAAAAGTAGCTGGGCGTTGTGGCAGGCGCCTGCAATCCCAGCTATTTTGGGAGGCTGAGGCGACAGAATCGCTTGAACCTGAGAGTCAGAGGTTGCAGTGAGCCGAGATCGCGCCATTGCACTCCAGCCTGGACAACGAGAGAGAAACTCTGTCTCAAAAAAGAAGAAGAAAAAAAAAAAAACTAAACAAACAAAAAACAAACCCCCAAAAACAAAGATTTACAATCTTACCAAACAGGAATGGTAACTACAGGAAGTAGTTACTATCTGAGGTTATTGGTAATGTTATTGCTATTGTTAATGTCACTTTTTTTTCCCACTCCCATTTTCTCTGGAAGCCGTTTGGGAGGTCCTGCCTCTCACCTTCTCTATCCACTTCTTACTCCTACCAGAGGTTGTAGACAAAGATGAGGGTTGATGCATTGTGCAACTCTGTGGCTCCCCCTAGTGATATGATACATTTGGGGTGATGGGGTTTGCCTAGACAGGGCCCCAAGGATGCTGGTAGGGAGCAGGTAGGGAACCCCACCTTGTGTACAGCTCCTCAAAAATCCCAGGTTAACATTCCATTTGGTCTCCAGGCCTGATAAATGGGGAGGAGTGGCTGTTCATTAGTGTGCACTCTGGCTGCACCGGGCAGGACTTTGCCCCGGGAGGGACTGTGACGTTCTGCTCTCTTGGTAAGAAGGTACAAAGCTGGGCTCCAGAAATGGATTGAGAGCTCCTTGGGTCTGCTCCCCAGGCTGCCACCCGCCCCCAGGTGAGCCCTGGATACTGCTATTCCTGACTGAAGAGACAGGGTTTTGGACAAGGTGCTCCAGAAGGCCAGATTTCTCTCTGGGCAAGGTTCATGTGTTTCCCACACAAGTCTACTTCTGGGATTCTTCATGGATCTACAAATCGGACTAGGCAAAAGCTGTGCATGCTGCTGTGTATACAAAATAGTAAACCCTGATATAGACGATGGACTTTGGGTGCTAATACCGTATCAATGGAGGTTCATCAAGTATGACAAATGTACCACTCTGGTGGGAGATGCTGATAATAGAGGAGGTTATGCATGTGTGGGGGCAGGTGGTATATGGAGAATCTCTGTACCTTCTGCTCAATCTGTGAACCTAAACTGCTCTAAAAATTATGTCTATCCCGTCATATGCTTCTGGGAAAAATTGTCTATATATATTTTTTAAATGGAAAGAACTGGCTGGGCATAGTGGCTCAAGCCTACATCTCAGCACTTAAGGAGGCTGAAGTGGGAGGATTGCTTGAGTCCATGAGTTTGAGATCAGCCTGGGCAACATAGGCAGACTCTGTCTCTACAAAAAAAAAAAAAAAATTAGCTAGGCATGGTAGTGCATGCTTGTGGTCCCAGCTACTCGGGAGGCTGAGGCAGGAGGACTGCCTGAGCCTGGAGGGTTGAGGCTGCAGTGAACCATGATCATGCCACTGCACTCCAGCCTGGGCAACAGAGCAAGACCCTGTTTCAAAACAAATTGAAAAAAGCTTAATGCTCCTAAATAGGGTATTGGTTGAATAAGTCAACACACATCAAATTCAGTGGAATACTATGCAGCCATGAATAATTAACAGTAGTGGTGCAGAGCTGTTGCTTCTCCAGTGGGGATCCAGGACCCAAGGGCAGGGCGTGAAAAGTGCTTCAGAGGAGCTAAAGGCAGAAGGTCCACTTTGCATATCTTCTGGGGATGTCATTTATACTCAAATACTGAGTCAGGTCAATCAGACAACTTTAGTGACAATGAATGCATTATTTTCCCGTTGAAACTAACAGAAACGTGTTTTTCCATAGGCCACAAACATTCATAGGGACTTTCAGAGTAAAACAGAAGACTTCAGAGATATTTTGTAATTATATCTAGATACAGAAGACTTGAGATATTTTGTAAATATATGCTAGACACTCAGAGCTGTATATTCACCTTCCTCTGATTAAATTTGCCCTTAATGTTTCAGAATTCCTAATAAAGGACATTTAAGAATATGATCCCACTTTGGTAAACATTATGTATATGTGCATGAGTGTATATAACACATCAAAACTGAAAAGAGAGGATGGCAGATTGCAGGCATTGTTAGCCGGCCTCTCCCACCTTGGAAAGATGAAACAGTGTATAAAGATTTATGTTGTGACCTTTTCACCAGGGACCAACACAGGAACTTAACAGGAAAACTGGAAGAAACCACAGACCTTTCTAAAGAAACGGTGGGCAGCAGCCTACACCACGAGCCAGACAGAAAACTGTGAGTCCCCACAGTGTGAGAAGGGGAGAGACTGACTCAGGGATGTGCACTCCCACTGGGGTGCCACGCAGTCCAGGCCACAGGAGGGGGAAGCCCTCACCCTGCCCAGCACTGGAGCTGAGTTAGGGAGCGTTGGGGAGTAGATAAGGAGTCACATTGGGATGTGCTTGGCGTGCAGTCCTGGGCTCCAGCAGGGACAGAGGGAAGCCATTCCCGATGCTACCTCACAGGGGGCCTTGCAGAAGCCAGCTAGCTGACTCAGGAGGCGGTCACGGGTTGAGAGAAGCTCCCGACTGAGATCTGCAATGTCATCTTGAGTGGGGAAAGTAGACTTGCCCGAAATCTAAGACTCATAGGTGTTCTTGAGGGAGAAGAAAAAGCAAAAAGTTGAGAAAATTCAATGATTGGAAAGATACAGAATCAACCTAAGTGCTCTTCAACCCGAAGGAAAGGCTACAAAAGAATACACATCCCTGAGTCAGTCTCTCCCCTTCTCACACTGTGGGGACTCACAGTTTTCTGCCTGGCTCGTGGTGTAGGCTGCTGCCCACCGCTTCTTTAGAAAGGTCTGTGGTTTCTTCCAGTTTTCCTGTGAAGTCTCTGTGTTGCTCCCTGGTGCAGCTGCAGCGTAAGTAGGTTAGACAGGCGTTTCACAGCCTCCCTTACACAGCCTCCCTTAAAGGGAAACACATTTGCTAAATAGACGGAGAGAACAATCCGCCGGACAGCTCGCAAACCCCGACAGCGCATAAACCGCATCCTGGGCTCGTGGTCAAAACATCCTGTAGCAAGGAGGTAGAAGGGAAGAAGGGACAGTCCCCATATCCGTGCAAGTGCAGAAACCCATGCTTAGGTAGTGTCCTTGGGCTGACCTATGCTCATTATAATAGTGAAAACACACCCTCACGTGGAGACTTAAGGTGCTACTGAGACAGCGATGTATATGCACTAGCATGTACAGCCATTGCGCATGCGGGCCTAACAGACCACCCAGAACACGCTTAAGAGCAACACCGTCCCACCCACGCATGAGTAATCACGGAAGATTCCCCTAAAGGGAGTTTCCCCAGCGTCAGTCAGCGCTGTCTCACCTTTGAGCAGCCGCTCTGACCAGCTGTTAAGAGTGCACGTTCACTTTGCAATTAACTCTCTTGCTTACTTTTACCTTGGACTCACTCTCGAATTCTTTTCTTGAGGCAAAGTCAAGAACCGGAACTGGCCCACCAGCCATAGCAGGGGAGACTGTGTGTGCCGCGGTGCAGGCAGCACTCATGCCGGGAATGGTGAGGATGGCACCAGCTTGTCGGATTTTTTGTTGGCATTTGTGTTTGTTTCTCTACTCACCACCCAAGTGATAAAATAGGATCCTTGGTGTGGAACTTAGAATTATGCCAAAAAGCTAACAGTTCTCCTTTCTAGCCAGCTACAAAGCCAGACCATGCCCACCACTGCCATGCTTGCAAAACGGGTCACCACGGCCTGTAGGTGAGCAGTTGTGTAGGAGAAAAGAATCCAATTTTTTTGTGTGCTCTTTACTATTATGTAGACAGCTCCGTCTTCAGCCCACACTTTGGTTCCCTGTGGATTTCAGTTTGTGTCCTGTGTCTGAGGACAGCGGACTGAATACAGTGATTTTTTACCTCCAATAAATGTCATCCCGCTGCCCTTCCTGTGCCTCGAGGGTTGTCTGTTTTTCTCTTTCTTTTTCTTTCTTTCTCTTTCTTTCTTTCTTGCTTACTTTTCTTTCTTTCCTTCCTTCCTTCCTTTTCTTTCTTTCTTGTCTCCTTCCTTCCTTCCTTAACTCCTTCTTTCTTTTTGACAGAGTCTTGCTCTGTCACTCAGGCTGAAGTGCAGTGGCATTATCCCAGCTCACTGCAACCTCCACCTTCCAGGTTCAAGCGATTCTCCTGCCTCAGCCTCCCGAGTAGCTGGGATTACAGGCGCTCGCCACCACGCCCAGCTAATTTTTTGCATTTTTAGTAGAGACGGGGTTTCTCCATGGTGCCCAGGATTGTCTTGATCTCTTGACCTCGTGATCTGCCTACCTCGGCCTCCCAAAGTGCTGGGATTACAGGTGTGAGCCACCGCACCCGGCCCTGTTTTTCACTTTCTTTTTTTTTTTTTCCACAGGATTAAAATTATTTATTGAATAGACATTTATGGAGCATCTATTATAACAGGAAAAAGTACCAGGCCCTGAAGACACAAGAATAAAATCAAGCGTTTACAACTTACAAAAGGAGAAAGACAAGTACACCACAGTGTACAGCAATATTTATAGTACTGACATAAAGTAGTCATAGATATGGTGTTCGGGGGAGCAGTGAAGGACAAGGACCAGGACAGGGAACTCCATTTTGAGCAGAGTATTAAAAGATGACTAGGATAAAATCTTAAAGAAACGATATGCTATGCATTCCATGAAAACAAAACGAAAAACACCAGTGTGCTCTGCCTATCAGGATTCAAGCTGCCTTGTAAATATTACTAATTATTCATATTAGGAACACACTAGTCAACTCCATTAAAAAGCCACTTTCCATCCCTGCATAATGGTAGCTCTATGAATTTGTGATTCAGACCATATTCCCTCAAACAAATGCATTACTAAACTTTGACTAGACATCAGAATTGTTAAACAATAACAAAATAAAATTGAACAACTGAATAAAGCTGAAGCCCTGAACAGCCTAACTGGAAAAGGAGAAGACCCTTTAATTGGTCATATACACCTCTTGACCTGTATTTGGCAATCTGCTCTCCGACCGTCAACAGATAAGCAGCACAGCCCTCAAGGTTGGAGACTGATCTTTGGTAAAGCAGGCATCCATCCCAGATGCTGCTGTCTCCCGTACACAGCCCTCAGAGCCAAGGGAGGCCTGGAACCTGAGAAGTTTATTTCCAATTAGGACAGTTGCCTATACTTCTCATTCGAAGCATCCAGAGACAAGGGCCAGCCCAACCCCCAATGCCAGGAGCCAAGGCAGCATTATCTTCTGTATGAGTTCCTGACCCAGAGGTGACCTGCACGATTTCTTCTGTGTCCGCTGAGGGCCATGGAAGAATTTTCTCAGCTCGGCTATTATGTAAACTCTAATCTTACCAGTGGCAACATGGCAACCACAAATCCCAAGTCCCAGGAGGATTATACTTAATGGAGAGAACTCACTGGTCTATTGGGACTATTGGCACTGCAAAAATGCCATAAAGAGCTATTTATGACAAACCCACAGCCAATATCATACTGAATGGGCAAAAACTGGAAGCATTCCCTTTGAAAACTGGCACAGGACAGGGATGCCCTCTCTCACCACTCCTATTCAACATAGTGTTGGAAGTTCTGGCCAGGGCAATCAGGCAGGAGAAAGAAATAAGGGGTATTCGATTAGGAAAAAAGGAAGTCAAATTGTCCCTTTTTGCAGATGACATGATTGTAAATTTAGAAAACCCCATTGTCTCAGCCCAAAATCTCCTTAAGCTGATAAGCAACTTCAGCAAAGTCTCAGGATACAAAATCAATGTGCAAAAATCACAAGCATTCTTATACACCAATAACAGACAAACAGAGAGCCAAATCATGAGTGAACTCCCATTCACAATTGCTTCAAAGAGAATAAAATACCTAGGAATCCAACTTATAAGGGATATGAAGGACCTCTTCAAGGAGAACTACAAACCACTGCTCAACGAAATAAAAGAGGACACAAACAAATGGAAGAACATTCCATGCTCATGGATAGGAAGAATCAATATCATGAAAATGGCCATACCGCCCAAGGTGATTTATAGATTCAATGCCATCCCCATCAAGCTACCAATGACTTTCTTCACATAATTGGAAAAAAAGTACTTTAAAGTTCATACGGAACCAAAAAAGAGCCCTCATTGCCAAGACAATCCTAAGCCAAAAGAACAAAGATGGAGGCATCACACTACCTGACTTCAAACTATACTACAGGGCTACAGTAACCAAAACAGCATTATACTGGTACCAAAACAGAGATATAGACCAATGGAACAGAACAGAGCCCTGAGAAATAATACCACACATCTACAACCATCTGATCTTTGACAAACCTGACAAAAACAAGAAATGGGGAAAGGATTCCCTGTTTAATAAATGGTGCTGGGAAAACTGGCTAGCCTTATGTAGAAAGCTGAAACTGGATCCATTCCTTACACCTTATACAAAAATTAATTCAAGATGGATTAAAGACTTACATGTTAGACCTAAAACCATAAAAACCCTAGAAGAAAACCTAGGCAATACCATTCAGGACATAGGCATGGGCAAGGACTTCATGTCTAAAACACCAAAAGCAATGGCAACAAAAGCCAAAATTGACAAATGGGATCGAATTAAACTAAAGAGCTTTTGCACAGCAAAAGAAACTACCATCAGAGTGAACAGGCAACCTAAAGAATGGGAGAAAATTTTTGTAATCTACTCATCTGACAAACAGCTAATATCCAGAATCTACAAAGAACTCAAACAAATTTACAAGAAAAAAACAAACAACCCCATCAACAAGTGGGCGAAGGATATGAATAGACAGTTCTCAAAAGAAGACATTTATGCAGCTAACAGACACATGAGAAAATGCTCATCATCACTGGCCATCAGAGAAATGCAAATCAAAACCACAATGAGATACCATCTCACACCAGTTGGAATGGCGATCACTAAAAAGTCAGGAAACAACAGGTGCTGGAGTGGACGTGGAGAAATAGGAACACTTTTACACTGTTTGTGGGACTGTAAACTGGTTCAACCATTGTGGAAGACAGTGTGGCAATTTCTCAAGGATCTAGAACTAGAAATACCATTTGACCCAGCCATCCCATTACTGGGTATATACCCAAAGGATTATAAATCATGCTGCTATAAAGGCACATGCACACATATATTTATTGCAGCACTATTCACAATAGCAAATACTTGGAACCAAACCAAGTGTCCATCAATGATAGACTGGATTAAGAAAATGTGGCACATATACACCATGGAATACTATGTTTTTCACTTTCACTGTGGTTGTTTGGCAACTGAATCCACTCAATATGCAATAGACAAGACAGAGATCGAGAGAAGGAGAAATGAGAAGCCCATGTGGGAGCAGAGGCTGCAATAGGAAAGGATGAAGCCTGTTTTTGTGGATCCCCCTCACTCCCCTGATGAATCCCTTCTTCAGCTACTGGTTTAGGCGACTGCTGATGAAACCCAGAAGAGGAAGACTGGGTTTGTCCGTATGAGGCCCCTCTCATCAGGCTGGAACTTGGTAACTGGCTTTCACTTATTTATTTGGAGTCTGAAAGGAATCAACAGCTCTTTTGGGACCAATGGGGCAAATGGAACCTACACAAACCAATCGCTTGCAGCAAGCCGTGTTTTATAGATCTATAAATCTATAAAACATTTACAAATGCAATGTTTTTAATATATTTATAAATATATAAATTTGGATTTTCCAAATCAGGTGAAGCTCTCCTCAGTCCCCACCTGTATAACTAAAGAAAGATGTGTGGCTATGCAAAGAAGCCAAACGTCATTACCTTCCTGTAGAATTAGGGTTTTTGTTAATAATACTTCGCAATTTCTAAGAAGTTGTTTGGGATATTACATGGGTTATTAAAATTCTGTGTACTGAGTTATTTTTCAATCATGAAGGAAAAAAAAAGTCAATCCACTGAACAAGAATTTACCAAGCAGTCATTTCAGGGAGTTCCCGTTGAACCTGTGATTCGGTAGTGCACTCCCTTGATCACAGCAGGGACGTTTAAAGAGAAAGACATTTTGGTCTGGATTAGCTCTAACGCTAGACACTGAAGTTACAAGAAATCTGTATACTGAATGGCAAAGGCGACTTCCAGTACACTCCCCGCTGTCTGGGAAGAGGCATCCTTTGACCGTTTTAGCAAATCTGTTTATGTGTCTGTGCACGTGTGCACGTGCATGCCTGTGTCAAAATTGGGAGTGTTGCTTAGGCAGTGTAACGTTTCACAGTTGTGTGCAGCAAACAAGCTGGTTTTTAGAAACTAGCAGCCAGCGTTTCAGGGAGGAGGGAGAGCTGCCACAGGGTCCTCCCTGTGGGTTACTATGAATGCACTGTATATTGGAGAATATCTCGATCCAAACAACAGTCATTCCTGAGTGGTCCTTTTGTATCTGGAATTGGTTCCTTCTGGTGGGTTCTTGGTCTCGCTGACTTCAAGAATGAAGCTGCAGACCCTCGCGGTGAGTGTTATAGTTCTTAAAGAATGGTGTGTCCAGAGTTTGTTCCTTCAGATGTTCAGATGTGTCCGGAGTTTCTTTCTTCCAGTGGGTTCGTGGTCTCGCTGACTTCAGGAGTGAATCCGCAGACCTTTGCAGTGAGTGTTACAGCTCTTAAAGATGGCACGTCCGGAATTCTTTGTTCCTCCCAGTGGGTTCCTGGTCTCGCTGGCTTCAGGAGTGAAGCTGCAGACCTCTGCAGTGTTACAGCTCATAAAGGTAGTGCGGACCCAAACAGCGAGCAGCTGCAAGATTTATTCTGAACAGTGAAAGAACAAGGATTCCACAACATGGAAGGGGACCTGAGCGGGTTCCTGCTACTGACTAGGGTGGCCAGTGTTTATTCCCTTCTTTGGCCCCACCCACATCCTGCTGATTGGTCCATTTTACAGAGTGCTGATTGGTCCATTTTACAGAGTGCTGATTGGTCCATTTTACAGAGTGCTTAGTGGTCTGTTTTTACAGAGTGCTGATTGGTGCATTTACAAACCTTTAGCTAGACACAGAGCACTGATTGGTGCGTTTTTACAGAGTGCTGACTGGTGCATTTTTACAGAGTGCTGATTGGTGTGTTTACAAACCTTTAGCTAGAGACAGAGTGCTGATTGGTGCATTTTTACAGAGTGCTGATTGGTGCGTTTACAAACCTTTAGCTAGACAGAAAAGTTCTCCAAGTCCCTACTGGACCCAGGAAGTCCGGCTCGCTTCACCTCTCACTTTGTTGCTCTCCTGTTTTAATTTTATTTTGAAACTCTTGGGTGCGTCAGGGTCTTGGTACTGATTTATTGTTGTTGATCCAGCCAAATTAGCCATGTAAAAATAGCACCTGTGTAAGAGACGAGCAGCATCTTGGTAGCCTGATACTTTGGGCAGCTTGATGCTGATGGTGGTGTGTGGGAAGAGAGGGGATACCAATCACAAGATAGGAGAGGAGGGCCTGGCCCTTGGGCACCTCTGGGAAAGCGTAGGGAACACGAGGCAGCCAGCCCCTGGCAGGGGAGACTGTGTGTGCCGTGGTGCGGTGCAGGCAGCACTCATGCCGGGAATGGTCAGGATGGCACCAGCTTATTGGATTTTTTGTTGGCATTTATGTTTGTCTCTGTACTCACCACCCAAGTGATAAAATAGGATCCTTGGTGCGGAACTTAAAATTATGCCAGAAAGCTAGCAGTTCTCCTCCTTGGGGACTTGTCTTAAACTTGCCTGGTTTGTACGTTTCTGGCCGGACACGTGAAGAAGCAATCTGTGACAAGTCTGAGGGTCTTCCTTTCAACCTGCCTCCCACGCGAAGAAAAGTCGGTGTTTCCCTTCTGGGAACTGTTGTGAATTTCTCTTTATCTGTGAACTGTTTTGGTTTTGTTTTTAATTGCTCTGTACTCCCTCTGAATCAAGGCTTCTACCACTGCCGGTGAAAACCACAAAGGGATCTGCTTGAGGCGCCATCCTGGCCAAGAGAGCAAACCTGCAGGAGGTTTGGAAATGGACTCAGTCTCTGCAAAAGCGTGTGCACTATTAGGGGATGAACTGTGTCACAGCCAGGGGCACAAAGCTCGTGTTGTAGGTGATCCAGGAGACGTGAGTTCCCAGAGATTGTTTTGTGCATTCATTTGCACACTGTTGTCGGGGTTGGACTTGTGTTTCAGGCTTCAATGTGAGGCTCGTGATATGCATGTCCTGTTTATCAGTAAAAAAAAGTTATCAAAGTGGTTGAATCCTGTGACTTGGCAAGTATGTGAGAATCCAGTACACATGACTCTTCAACTTCTTCCTTTAATGTCACTTTTATAGGAAATAGAAGTAACCAATATGACAGTTCTCAAAAAAATAAAACAAAATAAAAATTAGGTCCTGAGCAGGAAAACCAAATGAAAAAAGTGGAAACAGGGCACCTGGAAATCTAAGGCTTTGCTGTGCTTTTCTGTATTTCCCAATTTTCCCAACAGTGAGCTTTGATTTTTGTGTTTTTGTTTGTTTTCTTGCTTGTTTTATAACCAGGTCAAAACAATGTAAGCAAATATAAAAATAAATAAATAATAAACTAAAGGAAACATAAAGTGAGTGCTGGGTGAGAGGTGCCTCTGTTCCCCTGATTAAGGCACCCTTTGTGCCTTGGGGCAGCTGCCTGGATTCGACCTGGACCCTCTACTTGCTGGCCTGTGTGGTGCTGAGCAGCTTACCCGGGCTCCTCTGTGACCTGGGTAGAGCCAGCCCTCTTGAGAGTCACTCTGAGGCCTGCAGAGACAGGATGGGTCCAGTTCCCAGTGCATAGCAGGTGCCAGCAGGTGTGTTGGTGTCAGGTGTGTTGGCTTCTTAGGGCTTCCATATCAAATTCCCACAAACTTGGTGACTTAAAGCCACAGAAATTTATTCTTTGACGTTATGAAGGCCAAATGTCCCAAGTCATGGTGTCATTGGGCTGTCTCCCTCGGAAAGTGCTGGGAAGACTCTTCCTGGCGTCTTCTAGCTTCTGGGGGCTGTGGCAGCAAAACCCCAACCTCTGCCTCCGCTGTCACGTGGCCTTCCTCCCTATGTGTGTCTTGTGTTCAATTTCCCTTATTGCATTAGGACACCAGTCATGGCACTTAGGGCCCACCTCATACAGTATGACCTCCTAATATTAGCTTGGCTACATCTGCAAAGACTATTTCCAAATAAAGCCACAGACATAGATACTGGGAGTTAGGACTTGAACATATCTCTCTGGGGGACAAGATTCAACCCACAACAACTCCATTATCAGGATGATGAGACCCTCTGATGTTTCCTGTGTCCATCTCCAGCCCCTCCCTCTGTCCCTCCTGAGCTGCTGAATGTCATCTCCACAGGACATCCTGGATACTCTCGAAAGGCCAGCATGGGAATCCAACCTCATTGTTCCTATCTCAGCCCTGCCCCAAATCCTAGAGAGAAATGGAAACATCTCAATACACTATCATACAAATATGTTCACAGCAGCTGTCTTGATAATTGCCACAACCAAAACAGTATCAATGAATAGGAAAAAATAAGGGAATGAATTGTGATTTGCTCATACAATGCAATGGTGTCCTACTCAGCAATAAAGAGGAAAAGATACTGACACACACAGCATGGATGAATCTCAAAACATGCAATGCGGCCGGGTGCGGTGGCTCATGCCTGTAATCCCAGCACTTTGGGAGGCCGAGGTGGGTGGATCACAAGGTCAGGAGATCGAGACTATCCTGGCCAACATGGTGAAACCATGTCTCTACTAAAAATACAAAAATTAGCTGGGTGTGGTGGCGTGCGCCTGTAGTTCCAGCTACTCAGGAGGCTGAGGCAGGAGAATCACTTGAACTCGGGAGGTGGAGGCTGCAGTGAGCCGAGATCACGCCACTGCACTCCAGCCTGGGAGACAGAGTGAGACTCTGTCTTCAACAACAACAACAACAACAACAACAACAACGCAACACTGAGTGAAAAACAAAAGACACAAGAATACACATTGGGTGATGCCAATTATATGAAGTTCAAGGGACATGGAAAATAATATCTGGTGATAGGAATCAGAAAGTGGTGGCTCTCAGGGCTAGGGATTGACTGGGAAGGACACCAGGATCTTTCTGGAGTGAAGGAAAATTTCTCTATCCTTGATTGAGAAGCTGGTTACACAGGGGTGCATGTTTGGCAACACTCATGGCATGGCACATGTAAGAGCTGCGTGATTCAACTGAAAAGCTAACGCTATTTTTAAATTTCAAAGAACAATGTGTTAGCCTGTTTTCACACTGCTATTAAGAAATACCTGAGACTGAGTAATTTATAAATGAAAGAGGTGTAATTGACTCACAGTTCCACATGGCGGGGGAGGCCTCAGGAAACTTACAATCATGGCGGAAGGGGAACCAGGCACATCTTACATGGTGGCAGGCAAGAGAGAAGAGCAGGGGAAACCACCACTTACAAAACCATCAGATCTCGTGATAACTCACTCACTATCAGAACAGCATGGGGGAACCACCCCCATGATCCTATCACCTCCCACCAGGTCCCTCCCCCAACACATGGGGATTATAATTCTGATTACAATTCTAGATAAGATTTGGGTGGGGACACAGCCAAACCATATCAAACAAACAACCTGCAATAAAAAAAAACGTTTTAAATTGGGGGTAAACAAAATAAGTACAGACCCGCCATACAGGTTGGGCAGGGGGTCCCGGCCTTCATCTCCTCAGTGCACCTGTCTTGTTCCTGAGACTCTAGGCCATTGCTGCTCCCTCTTTTGTAAAAGTCAATGCCCTCAAGGAATTTATTTCCTGAAAACTTATGGCTAAGGGGTGCCCAGCCTGCTGATTGCTTGACTCAGTGCTAGATGAGAGAAGAGACCTCAGAATCGGACAGGCTTTAAATTCCAGCCCTGTCCTGAGTAGCCGAGTGGCCTTGAGAGAGACCCAGTGAGATTTCCACACCCGGATACATCGTGGAACCATCAAGGCACAATGATTAGCACACCCATCTGTGCAAATATTTATCTGTTTTTGTGAGACCATTTAAAATCTTCTTTTAGCTCCTTGAAAATATTCAATGCAAGCTGGGTGCGGTGGCTCATGCCTGAAATCCCAGCACTTTGGGAGGCCAAGGCAGGCAGATCACTTGAGGTCAGGAGTTTGAGACTAGCCTGGCCCACTTATAGTGAAACCCCGTCTCTACTAAAAAATACAAAAATTAGCTGGGCGTGGTGACACACGCCTGTAGTACCAGCTACTTGGGAAGCTGAGGCAGGAGAATCGTTTGAACCCAGGAGGTGGAGGTTGCAGTGAGCAGAGATTGAACCACTGCACTCCAGCCTGGGCAACAGAGCGAAACTCCATCTCTCAAAGAAAAAAAAATATTCAGTGCTTGATTCTGTCATTTGAGAGAACATGGATGAACCTAGGGGATATTTTTTTGTGTAAAATGAGCCACACACAGAGAGGCAAGTACCACATGACCTCATCTCTATGTGGAATCTAAAATAGTCAACCTCAGAGAGGTCGAGAGGAGAATGGTGGGTAGTAGAAGCTAGAGGCAGGGATGGGTCCCTGGTAGCCGGGGAAAGGGGAGACATTGGTCCAAGTTTTGGTTAGACAGGAGGAGGGAGCCCTGGTGACCTACTGCATAGCATGGGGCTCTAGAGGGTTCTTGTTCTATGAGAATCAGCCTCTGACTTCTTTGCTGGAGGGGTTGTGATTCCTCAAACAGGCCTGAGTCTCTGCAGTTTCTCGCTTGTGGATCTTGATCTCCGAGTATTCACTGTCAGTGGCCTCCTGTCCCTGCGGGTCCTGAGGCTTCACTTTATGGAAGCTGAGGGTTGCATAATGGAGCTCTCCTTCCTCCCCTGACGAGGGGGCAACAGCTGGGGGAGGCTTCTTCAGGGGGTTGCCATCTTTCCAGGATTCAGTCAGGGGTCCCTGGACAGAGAGAGAGAAGGGAGTCAGAACAGAGCAGTGGGGCCAGGATGAGGCAGGGAGAGTCCAGGAAGGAGGCCCAGGAGGTCCGTCCTCCATTCATCCCACCTGCATTTTTGTCGAAGTGTCTTTCATGCTTTCCTCCAACATTTAACACTTACTGAGCACCTGTTTGGTGTTTACTAATCTCATTAACTTCCCGCAACAACTCCATAGTGAGATATTATTATTATCTCCACTTTATAAATATGAAAACTGAGGTCGAAACAGTCAGCACTGCGCCCAAAGTCCCTGTTGCAGCAGGACCCAATCCATCTGTTCCTTCTGACCCCAAAGCCTGGAGTCCTGCTGAGGCCCCCGTGTGTGAGGCCCTGAGCCGGTGCTGGATAAACTATGATGGACATGGTAGGTGTGGGCCCTGACCTCCTGCAGCTCAGTTTTTGTTTTGTTTTGTTTTGTTTTTTGGTTTTTTTTTTGAGACAGAGTCTGGCTCTGTTGCCCAGGCTGGAGTGCAGTGGTGCAATCCCAGCTCACTGCACCCTCCACTTCCTGGGCTCAAGGGATCATTCCATCTCAGCCCCCCAAGTAGCTGGGACTGCAGGAACTCACCACCATGCCTGGTTAAGTTTTGCATTTTTTTGTAGAGATGGGATCTCATTATGTTGCCCAGGCTGGTCTCAAACTCCTGGGCTCAAGCGATCCTCCTACCTTGGCCTCCCAAAGTGGCAGCTCAGTCTTTAATTGAGGGAGGTGGCAACAAATGACTGTTAAAGAAATGAATATCAGCTTGGGTGCGGTGGCTCATGCCCCTAATCCTAACACTTTGGGAGGCTGAGGCGGGCGGATCACGAGGTCAGGAGTTCGAGACCAGCTGGCCGACATGGTGAAACCCCGTCTCTACTAAAAATACAAAAATTAGCCTGGCTTGGTGGCGCGTGCCTGTAATCCTGGCTACTTGGGAGGCTGAGGCAGGAGAATTGCTTGAACCTGGGAGGCAGAGGTTGCAGTGAGCCGAGATTGCCCCACTGCACTCCAGCCTAGGTGACAGAGCAAGATTCTGCCTCGAGAAAAAAATAAAAATAAGAAATGAGTATCTACATGTAAATTATGATACAACGGGCAAAACGAGAGTAAATGAGAGAGAATTACAGGGCCTTAATTGAGACATGATACCTGACCTGGGGAAGCTCACAGGTTAGTGGCGTAAGGATGACAAGCCGGTCAAAGAAATCAGGTCCCGCCAATAGGAAAAATAATGAGAGGGGTCAGGATGGCTGGGGCCAGGGAGAAGAGATGCCAGCTATTCTTGGGGAGGAAAAATGGAGGAGAGATGGTGAATCGGGGCTATAGAGAAGAAAAGGAGGACAGAGAGGAGATAACTCCTACTCAGTGCCTGGCCTGGGAAAAATTGGGGGTAGGGACTGCCATGCTGTCAGCAAGATGGGGGAGTCCTGTAGAAGCCGGCCTGTGGGAAGGAGGAGGAGACGAGGAAGTGACTTTGGCCATACCAAAGAGAGCGATCCTGGGGGCCATCCTGTCAGAGGTGTCCAGGCTGGATGCTCGGTGTGGAGAAGCCCACATCACTCACCTGAGAGGCCGAGCCCCTGATGGCCTTTGCATCTTCCATGCCTGTATCCCCCACGCCCGCTGCTGGCCTTGCCGATTTCTTCCTGCAGGACCTCACTCTGAGTGAAGAGACCAGAGAGCCTTTCAGTGTGGTCAGATCGGGGTGCAGTGGGCAGACCAACCCCTGCCCTGTATTTCCTACTGGGGGCTTGAGGGGTGACCGAGGCGCAACGGCGGTGGTCCAGTTCCAGAGACCCCAACGGTGAAAACAGAGGCTCCTGCCTCATGGATGGTGGGGCCCGAGGTTGCTACAGATGTGGAGCCCCACAGACAAGGACGCTCGTGAAATGCTCACCGTGCACCCGTGAGCTCATTCTTGCCCCAAGCCCTGGACCCATCCAGGTCCTTCCAGCTCTGGCTTCAGGGATTCTGTTCCCGGTCTGCCCTGCCCCAGGTCTCTCTCTCCCTCCCCAGGGTCAATGCTCACATGATGAAGATGATGCAGAAGGACAGGAAGGCCAGGGCTGTGGCTCCAGCTCCCCCGACTGCTGCCAGTGTCACTTGTGATACAGGTCTTGAGGTGCCTGCAGATGGATTGGAGTTGCTTTGGGGATTTATATCACGGAGAAGTGGGTCTCTTCCCCTCCCACTGTCTGCAGGGCCCTAGACTTCCATTCCCCTCTTCTCCTTCCCAGACACAGAATACGAATGGGAGGGAGGAAAGGAGACTACTTCTGAGGCCAGTGAGGCATGAGAGTGCTGGATGCAGCTTGTCTTGCCTTTATTTACAATTTTGATATTGTGTTCTTGTGGAATCATTTTGCATTCAATTTTAGTTTTTTCAAAAGATCATGGCATTGCAATATTACTTTACTTGCTTTCTGAGTTGGGTTTTTCTTTGGCTTCTTAAATTTGGTGCCAAGGCAAGTGCCTCATGTGCCTCATCCTAGTCTAAGCACTGCAAAGCAAGGCGCTTGTCCCTCCAAACACACCTGGCCGGGCCCCAGCTCCTCCCCTCCAAGACCCACTCCTCCCCTCTCCCCACCCCGCACCCCTTTCCTGGCGGGGAGAGGACAGTGATGCTCTGGGTCGCAGGGAAGTTCCAGGCCTCACAGCTGAGCACAGACCAGAGCTGAGCTCCCCCTTGAAGCTCAGGGGCAGTGGGTGGTCCATGAGGGTGGGGCAGGTGTGTTCTCCTCCTCCAGCCCCTCCCTTACCCACCTGTGCCCTCATTCTGCAGGGAGAGGCTCAGGGAAATGTGCTGGGAGCCCTGAGCGTTCTGAGCTCGGCAGGTGAATTCCCCTTCATCCCTCACGTGCACTCGAGGCAGCTCCAGCAGCCCAGGGTTTGAGGACCGTGAGGGGCACAGGGTCAGGCTCCCCCGGGTCCAGCTCAGCCTGGCAGGGGGATTGCTGTTGACAGCACAGACCAGGCGCAGAGACTGGCCCTCAAGGACTGAAAGAGATGAGCCATTTCCCAGGGCTGTGGATGCTGCAGAGAAAGAGACAGAGGGTCATCCCATTACTGGGTATATACCCAAAGGATTATAAATCATGCTGCTATAAAGACACATGCACATGTATGTTTATTGTGGCACTATTCACAATAGCAAAGACTTGGAACCAGCCCAAATGTCCAACAATGATAGACTGGATTAAGAAAATGTGGCACATATACACCATGGAATACTATGCAGCCACAAAAAATGATGAGTTCATGTCCTTTGTAGGGACATGGATGAAGCTGGAAACCATCATTCTCAGCAAACTATTGCAAGGACAAAAAAACAAACACCGCATGTTCTCACTCATAAGTGGGAACTGAACAATGAGAACACATGGACACAGGAAGGGGAACATCACACACCGGGGACTGTTGTGGGGTGGGGGGAGGGATAGCATTAGGAGATATACCTAATGCTAAATGACAAGTTACTGGGGGCAGCACACCAACATGGCACATGTATACATATGTAACAAACCTGCACGTTGTGCACATGTATCCTAAAACTTAAAGTATAATAATAATAATAATAATAAAAGGAGACAGAGGGTCAGAGAGACAAATGGATCCAGAGAAAGAGGAAGGACACAGAAAGAGACTAGTGAGAGGGACTGACACACAGACATAGACTGAAGTGCAGGAAAACGCACACTCAGTGCTGGGAATGTAAACTTGTCCACTTTTAATTGAGAACAACTTCACTGCATCTTTCAAAATTAGAAACAACATACGACACTGGTATATTTTGCTTTTAGGAATTTATCCCATACACTTAGATATTCCTGTGGAAGTAGATACAAGACTATCCACTGCACAGTTTCTGCGGAAGGATATTTGTGCCATGATTTTCCTTAAGGGATGCCACAAAGTCAGAGTCCATCTGTGCAGTGAAATCACACACGGTCCTAGAGGACGGGGTGGACAGTCTCACTACGATGTCAAACCACCTCTGAGATCCTCCAGGTGCACAAACCAAGACTCAGGGCAGCCTGGACGGACGCTGGTCAGTTCCGTGGAGGGGGATGGGCACTGGAGGACAGACTTTGCTGTGCATTTTGAATTTCTGCCCATGTGACTGTATCATCTGGGCAGAAGTACTTAGATCGAAACTACTGGGAAAACAGAAAGATCAGACAGAGGAAGTATTCAGGAGATGCCTGACAAGAAACTTGAAAGTCTGGTCCCAAAATAAAAACGAACAAAAACCAAAAAAATTGGGAGTCTGATCCAGCTGTGTGAATGTCACCCTGTCCTTGCTGTGGGGCCAAGGAAGGGGTGTGTGGAGGAGTCTAAGGGGAGCAGGGACAGGATGGGGACAGGGGCTCAGATGGTCACGCGGGCTGGAGATGTGGGCTCTTGTGCCCTGGGCTCACGCACAGTGGCAGCTCTGTTTCCCAAAGTGATTCCAGGATGAGGAGAGACCCAGCCCCATCCTGAGCTGAAGGCCCTGCTCCCCCAACCCCAGGGAGGGGGCTCTGTCCTACCTGTGGCATCTCCTTGGAAGACAGTCATGGTCAAGTTCCAAGGAGGGTCTGGGACAGAAAGACATGAAGACCCACATTACTATAAGGACTGGGGACATTGGCCCTGTCTTCCCAGGAGCTGCAAATACAGGGAAAATGGAGTCGGCATTCTCCTGACCCCACTCCCAGCCCAGATTCTGGGACCCAGAACCCAGTGTCCAGGCTTGAACCCCATCCCCTGCCCTCAGGAACACCTCCCAACCCATGAGGGACCTGGGCATCTTGGTCCAGCACTCACAGGACACATCGAGGCGGACGGTACTGGTCGTGGTCACACCTGTCCCAGGCAAGGTCACCTGACAGGTGAGGCTGGTGCCGTGGTCCTGGGGCTTTGGGGTAAGGGTGAGCACTGAGGAGCGGGCAGTAGTGGGGCCCGGGGAGGACACGGAGGCCCCAATCCAGGAGATCATGGGGGGTGTCCCCTGCTTACAGGCCCAGGGCACAGAGCAGGTCAGGTTCCTGGAGTGGCCAGACTCTAGGGTCCCTAGGATGAGGATGTCAGGCCTATGGGTCAGGGCTGGTGAAGATGGGGACACAGGATCAGGAGGAGGTATTTCAGGTGCAGCCCTGGAGGAAGCTCAAGCTCTGGTCCAGCTCCTCCCCGGAGACCGACTTATTTCAATCCCAACCCCCTCCCAGGCCCCATCCCAGCCCTGCCTTTCAGCCCCTCATGACCTTCCCCTGTGGCCTGTGCTGGAGCCCGTGCCTTACCTGTCACAAACACAGACAGCTGCTTAGTTTTGTAATTCAACTGTGATTTGTAACTCCATTTCATGCTTCCTCTCTCTAGCCGAAAGAAATATGACCCCTTATCCCTCTTCCTGGCGTCTCTGATGCTCAGGGAGCAGTCGTTGCTCCAAATGTCCCCAAGGAGTTGGAATCGGCCCTGGGTCTCTGCCTGCACTTCTCTGTCTGGGTTGTTTGTGGCCACTGGAGCGTCTTGGTATGGTCTGTCTCCTGCCCGGAACCAGTAGCCATGAACTGGGTCAGAGTCAGTCCAGCCATCCTGGGGGTAGGAGAAGGAGCAGGGCACATGGACACACAGGCCCTCCTGCACCGTCACCAGCTCCTGCACTTGCAGCAAGTAACCATCCCCATATTGTCTGTCTCCCTCCATCCCCTTTGTCCCCCAGAGCAGGGGCAGCAGCAGCAGCAGCAGCAGCATGTCTGGGTTTGAAGGCGCCAGGGCCGCCAGGGAACGTCTGTTCCTCAGGGTTCTTCTCTCAGAAACTGAGGTCTCAAGACTTAGGGGAGGTCCCGCAGGAGGTTGGGGGTGAAGTCAGAAAAGTGACCTCCTCAGAGGAGGAACTTCACACACAGACACTGTCAGGGCCGGGTCAGTCCTGGGAGATCCACTGTCCACCACCCCATTTCCACTCCTGGGAACCCTGAGGCCAGAGAGGGTGAGAAACTCATCCAGATTCCCACCCTATGCAGGGCCCAACCTCTTTCTTGCTTCCCGGACTTGCCCTTCCATTTGGGTAACATTTTCTGCAAGGTGAAATTGGGTCCCATCTGGCCAGACCCCTGAATCACCCCCGGGGCTGTCACTGTTTGTGGAGGTCATACCAGCCAAAGGTGGAACTCAGGGCCATGAGAGACTGGGGTGCAGGTGAGGTGAGCAGGCAGCCTCTCCTCCCTCTCTCAGCAGCAACGAAGTGGGCACCTCCTCTTTACACAACGAGGTCAACAGAGCAGAGCCAGACACTGTCCTCAAGGAGTCACTGTGCAGAGGGGAGACACGGAGGCTCCTGACGTCTGAGCTCCCCAGGACGGGAGCTTCAGTGGGGGGCACAGGCAAGGTGGGGTCGTTCTCCCCTAGGTCAGGGGTTCAGTCTCAGGAGGCCTGAGCAGAGGGACACGGGGCTGTGGAGGTGAGGATTCTGCATGTTGATACACACGAAGGACGGGGGGCGGGGGGAAGCCTGGCTCGCAGGAGGCCTGGGAAACTGAGGCTGTAACTGTTGTACTGTGGGGTTTGGAAGGGAGAAATGTCAGAAGGGAAAGGGTCAATTTGAAAAGGGCACACACTTCTCCCTTTGTTGCAGCTATCTGGGTATCAGAATGGGTTTCTTCACCACCCGTATCTTACTCAGCCACACTTCCCCTGGTTACTGCACAGCAGGCGGGGTCTGTCAGCCCTGGGGCTTTGCTCCTGCAGGCTCTGCTTCCAGGGGTCCAGGTGAACAGGTGTCATGGAACGAGGACACCAGCCCTGGGGTGTGCACCTTCAGCGATGGGCAGGATTTCTTGAGAGAAGAAATGTGCACCTGAATTCAACAGATGATGATGATGATGATGATGATGATGATGATTATTATTATTATTATTATTATTATTATTTGAGACGGAGTCTCTCTCTGTCGCCAGGCTGGAGTGCAGTGGCGCGATCCCGGCTCACTGCAACCTCTGACTCCCTGGTTCAAGCGATTCTCCTGCCTCAGCCTCCCAAGTAGCTAGGATTACAGGCATACGCCACCACATCCAGCTAATTTTTGTATTTTTAGTAGAGCCGGGGTTTCACCATGTCGACCAGGATGGTCTGGATCTCCTGACCTCATGATCCACCCACCTCAGCCTCCCAAAGTGCTGGGATTACAGGTGTGAGCCACCGTGCCTGGCCTCAACAGATTATTTTAAACTGTGTGGCTGGGGGCTGGGAAGAAGTTAAGGGGGATCCTGGGAGGCGGAGCCTCCTTAGACTCAGGTCAATTTTCTTGAAACATTTTTTGGGGGGTAAATATAAGAAATATAGATAAAAACAACCCCCAAAGAAGACCTCAGTGATTTACATACAACGAGCCCCCTCCTAGAAATGGCACATTGACAAAGTCCCCAGCGCTGCTCATTTGTTTCTCCTTCTTATTGGCCACACCCCACTCCCTCCCAAACGATCCCCTAGCCTCACTTTGGTGCAAATTGCCTCAATGCTTTTCTATATAGTTTTATTATCTGAGCAGGCTGCATTTACTAAGCTTTTGCACGTTTTTCTGAAGACTTTGTATACACAGAAAATCAAACTCTACTTTCTTCCACTCAGCTTCATGGATCTGCCCGTCTCCTATCTTCCCCTCATTACTTATAACCTGGAGTAGATCATTCGGCTGTGATAATTGAGAAGGGAAGGTGCAGGGCTTGGGTGTGCATAGCCGACTCCCACCCCCATCACCAATGCTTGCATTTGTAGCTGGTATCTCATTCTGCAGCCATTTCCCCCTCCTGGGCCTCCTATCCTTGCCCAGTAGAGACAGCTGCAGTATCTCAATAGTCAGAAGGGCCGAGCCATGGCACAGGTCTTTTCCATGGTCCCCAAGTGGTAATTGAAGCCTTCAGTGAAGACTCCTGTGCAGGCCTTGCTCTCCAGCAACTTAGCCAGGCTGGAACTACAATTCCCAGAATCCCCTTCCCTGTTTGCTTCCTGGACAAAGTTCACCACAAGGGAAGGGGGAAGTTGGAGCAGCAGCCCTGAGGGGTCCGTGTAGGGGCAGGAGCTGTTGCAGCTCTCACATATTGACGCTGACCACTGGCCCATCTCATAGGGAGACACGATAGCCGCTCACTTGTTCACCTGCTGGACGGCAAGGAGGGCGTGTGGGACACCACGGGCTATGCCTTAGGGAGCAGAGAATCATTGAATCCTGACATGGGGATTGGTGACCCACATGGACACAGGTGGCCCAGAGAGACACATACAGTGACAGGCAAGGGATCCATAAAATGGCATCCCAAATAGTTCTCTCATCCTAAGACGATGTCCCAGGGTCTCTTTGACCTGACAACTAGCGCCATTCACCTTTTCAGGGGAGACCCAGCTTCCCAGGGCAAAGGGAAGGACACAGCGCATCTCAGTACCCAGAATGCCCAATGCTTGGGTGTGTGTGTGTGTGTGTGTGTGTGTGTGTGTGTGTGTGTGATTGAGAGAGAGAGAGAGACAGAGAGAGAGAGACCCTGTGTGTGAGGGAGAGGGAGTGTCTGTGTGTACCTGTGTGTTTCTGTGTATGAGCTGAGCACTGCCTCCTTGGGCAGTGTGACAGTTAATTTGATGTGTCAGCTTCACTGCCCTGGGAACCCCCATTCGTGTGTCCTTTCATAACCTCATTCCTTACCCTTCACATGCACATAGAGCATTTCTGTAATTACATTCACATAGATCTCCCTTTTCTCCCTAAAGAGGTCTGTCCCTGCATCTCGCCTCTGTGTGTCTCTGACGTCCAGAAAGCAGGTGCTGGCCTGGGGTCTGAAGCAGGTGGAATTGGCTCTGGGTCTCCTCCTGCTCTTTTCCAACTAGATTGCTTCCAGCCACTTGAGGATCCTGATGGAAATGTCCCCTTTCTGGGACAGTAGCCTTGGACAGGGCTGGAGTCAGACAGGTACCCACAGGGGTGGAAGATGGAGCAGTGCGTAGTCACAGAAACCCTCCTGCACCTGCACCAACTCTGGGGCTTCCTGCCGGGATCTCATATCCTGAGCCAGATCCCCTGTGGGGAAATGAGGGTCAGCCCAGCCCAGCCCCATGGTTCCTCTCCCTGAGGCCCATTCTCCTGCCCACAGCAGGGGCAGCAGCTATTGCAGCGTGAGCTTCTTTAGGGTGAGCCTTGGTGTCGCAGGGCCCTAGAAGGGCCCCACAGGAAGCCTGGGGGTAAGATCAGAAAAATAACTGACCACAAAAGAGGACCTTGGCCCCGACACTGCCAGAGCTGTCAGGGCTCCTGGGGAGTGGCCATTTCTACTCTCCGGATGGGTCTTCAGTGTGGGCCACACACAGCAGGGAGGCCCCGACCCACAGCTGCAGGCTCTCTGCCCACAGCCTTTCCCTCCCACAGCACTGTCCACACCAGGGAAGCAGGCACTGCCTGTCCATTACAGCTTCTAGGTGCTCGGGAGGGTCAGTCCTGCCAGAGCTGGGACTCAGGAGGGGCTGGCGGAGGAACCACGAGGCATGAGAGATGGGGAGGGGTCCCCCGAGGCGGGAGAGGTGATGTTTAATGAATGAGCACAATCACCACATCAGGAGCATCTCCTCCTTTCAGGGGGATGGAGGCAAAGGGGAGAGTGTGACAGACTCTGTCTCCTTCCTTGGGAAGTTCCCTAATGAACGAGGGGGCAGAGGAGCCCTGGGCCACCCCAGCTCCTGTTAGTAAGGGCTGTGATGCTTGAAACACAGGCAGGGCTTGTGGAACCCCGAGGGCCCTGTGCAGCTAGAAGGTGCGGTCTCAGGTATACTCGGGCAGAGTGGACGGGACCAGGACTCTGAGGTGCTGTGAGCATGCGGCCCCACAGGTGGTCCCCAGCCTTCCTAACCTTCTCAGTGCCCCCTGCCCAGCATGCCTGGTGGTGACTGCACAGCCGAGGCCCTGTGAGCCCAGCATGGGGAGCAAGGCTGAGCCCAAGATGCTAGGGGAGGCCCTGGCTCTGGAGTGTGAGGGTCCTGGGCCCTCTCCCTCCAAGTCTCAGTCTCCTCATCTGTCCCCTGGAGGGATCACAGCACCCACCCCTCAGCCTGAGGGAGAACCCAGCTCGAGGAGGCGACGTTCTCTGCAGACTCAGGCATGGCCAACATGCTCTGTGTCCCTGGGCAGGCCCGAAGCATCCACGTGTCTGGCCCTAACCATTCTCAGGGGTCACTCGGAGTCCTGCCCTCAGTAAGGAGCTCCTGGTGGTCCACACTGCTCTGGGGCTTCCTCAGCTGAGGCCTCACAGAGAGAGTTCAGGGGTACAGGCTCTGTAGCTGGATGGCTGCTGGCTTGAGCTGGGCTCTGTAAAACCCACGGTGCTGTCTTGGGAGGGGGCTTACCTGCACTGTGCATCGTCGGATGTCAACACTTACGGGGTGTCAGGGATGAACTGTGTCCCCTACAAATTCCTATGCTGAAGTCCTAACCCCCAGCACCTCAGAAAGTGACCATATTTGGAGACGAGGACTTATAAAAAGGTGACTAAGTTAAAATGAAGTTGTTAGCTCTCATCCTACATGAGCTGTGTCTTTATTAGAAGGGGTGATTAGGGGTGGAGTGTGGTGGCTCAGGCCTGTAATCCCAGCACTTCCGGAGACCGACACGGGCAGATGACTTGAGGTCAGGAGTTGGAGACCAGCTTGACCAGCATGGTGAAACCCCGTCTCTACTAAAAATACAAAAATTATCCAGACGTGGTGGCATGTGCCTGTAATCCCAGCTACTCCAGATGCTGAGGCGGAAGAATTGCTTGAACCCGGGAGACGGTGGCTGCCGTGAGCCAAAATGGTGCCACTGCACTCCAGCCTGGGCGACAGAGTGAGGCTCTGTCTCAAAAAAAAAAAAAAAAAAAAAAAAAAGGTGTGATTAGGACAGCGACATACTCGGGAGAAAGACCACGTGGGACACAGGGAGAAGATGCCACCCGCAAGCCACCGAGAGGCCTCAGAAGGAAGCAACGCTGACCACAGCTTGGTCTCAGACTTCCAGCCTCCAGAAGGGTGGGAAAACAAAGGCGTTGGTGAAGCCACTCGGTCTGTGTTCCTTTCTCAAGGCGGCCCTGGCAAGAGAGTCCATGGAGTGGTCGAGAGGATTCGATGTGTTCCTGTGAGCACAGCCCGGTGTGGACCGCGGTGGATGCAGAGTCCCACAGGGGTCTGGGACAGCCTGTAACATGGGATGCTCAGAGGATGGAAGGAGAAAAGGGAAGGGAAGGGCTCCTCACCAGAGGAAACCTGTGCTGCTGCCGCCCTGTCTCTGACATCTGCAGGGCTGCCCCCTCCACCCACACTCTCCCTCCCTCCCCAGGACCGGGCAGGGCTCTCAGCCGCAGCCCCTCGCTGCCCCTGCACCCTGGGCAGTTGCCTCCCATCTATGGGGCGGAGCCGCCTGGGCGTCTGGGCTGGGCGAGGCGGAGCCTGGAGGGGCACCGGCCACGGGCAGGGGAGACAGAGGCGGGCACAGCCTGGCGGGGTCCGGGCTGAGCCAGCGGGGAGGACGGGGCTGTGGGAGCCCAGCGGAGAGGGTGAGGATCCGCGGGCAGGTGGGACAGGTGAGCTGGGAGGTGAGAGATGGGCAGGGCTGCCTGAAAGGCAAGTTCATCCCAGAGCAGCGAGCAGGGCGCAGCCAAAGGCCGTGGGGGAAACAGCGGCGAGAAAAAAACGGCCAAAATTCTGCCCGCAGTGCGCCTGTATCCTAGTGCGGCGGCCACAAAAATATTGTTGAGTAGCAAGAAGTGTTTCGAAAGTGTGCAGTGGGTAAAGTGTGAGAAAATAAAGCCGATTTCATCGAGAAAAAGAGAGACAGAGAGAGAAAGGGCCCATATCAACCCAAAGTCATTACTCTTCATCACGATTATATTGCATTTTTCCCATCTACTACAGCGTTAACTTCATATAAACTTTATGAAGACATACCTTACGTATAATAAAAAGCACACATTGTAAGCATACAGTTAAATTAGTTTTGGCAAATGTAAACACCCTGTAACTATGTCCTCAATCAAGATAGGGAATCTTTTTTTCATCCCTCCAAGCTTTCTTATTTTCTTTCTTTTCTTTTTTTTTTTTTTTTTTTTTTTGAGACGGAGTCTCGCTCTGTCGCCCAGGCTGGAGTGCAGTGGCGCGATCTCGGCTCACTGCCAGCTCTGCCTCCCGGGTTCACGCCATTCTCCTGCCTCAGCCTCCCGAGTAGCTGGGACTACAGGCGCCCGCCACCACGCCTGGCTAATTTTTGTATTTTTTAGTAGAGACGGGGTTTCACCTTGTTAGCCAGGATGGTCTCGATCTCCTGACCTCGTGATCCACCCGCCTCGGCCTCCCAAAGTGGTGGGATTACAGGCGTGAGCCACCGCGCCTGGCGCTTTCTTATTTTCTATCCCAGTCAGTGTTTCACTTGCAGCCATCACTTACGTGATTCTCATCACTATCTATTAGTTTTTTCTATTCTGGAGCTTCATATAAATTGACTCACACAATATTTATGTATCTGGCTTCTATCAGTTTGTTAAAGACGTGTATACGTTAAATGTATATGCACCCAATAACAGAGCATCGTTTATCAAAATGTCAAGTATCTTACCTGACTATAGTTGAAAACAACTCAAAACCAGTAACAAGAGGAACATTAGAAACTACACAAATATATTAAAATTAAACGACATGCTTCTGAACAACCAATGAGTGAAGAACAAAGCTAAAATTGAAATTTAAAAATTCATTGAACAAATTAAAATAGAAACACAACATGCCAAAAACTATAGGACAGAGAAAATTAAGTATTAAGAGGTAAGTTTATAGCAATAAATGTTTACAGGAAAGACTAGAAAGATTTCAAATAAACAACAATGCATCTCAAGAAACTAGAAAAGCAAGAACAAAGCAAACCCAAAATTAGTAGAAAAAAAGAAATAATAGGGCCGGGCGCGGTGGCTCATGCCTGTAATCCCAGCACTTTGGGAGGCTGAGGAGGGTAGATCACCTGAGGTCGGGAGTTTGAGACCAGCCTGACCAACTTGGAGAAACCCCACCTCTACTAAAAATACAGAATTAGCTGGGTGTGGTGGCGCATACCTGTAATCCCAACTACTCGGGAGACTGAGGCAGGAGAATTGCTTAAACCCAGGAGGCAGAGGTTGCGGTGAGCCAAGATTGCACCATGACACTTTAGCCTGGGCAACAAGAGCAAAACTCTGTCTCACAAAAAAAAAAAAAAAGAAAAGAAAGAAAGAAATAATAAAGAACAGAGCACAAATCAAATTGAGACAAAATAATACAAAAGATCAACAAAACACGAAGTTGGATTTTTTAAAAGGTAAACAAAACCAACAAGCCATCAGCTAGAGTAACTAGGAAAAAAAGAGGGAAGACGAAAATAAATAAAATCAGAAATGAAAAAGATGTCACAACGGATACCACAGAAATACAAAAGATCATGAAAGAATATATGAACTATATGCCAATAAATTTGAAGACCTAGAAGAAACTGATAAATTCCTCGACATATAGAATCTGCTAAGATTGAAACAGGAAGAAACAGAAAACCTGAACATATCAATGACATGCAACAAGATTGAATCAGTAATAAACCTCCCAACAAAGAAAGAACAGGACTAGATGGCTTCCCTGCTGATTTCTAGTGAACATTTAAAGAATTAACATAAATTCTTCTCAAAATGTTCAAGAAAAATTGAAGCAGAGGGAACTTGTCCTATATCCTTCTGTGAGGCCAGCATAATCCTGATACCAAAAATAGACAAGGACACAACACAAAAGAAAAACTACGGGCAAATAACCCTGATAAATATAGACATAGAAATCTCCAAAAAAATACTAACAAACCAAATCCAGCAAAACACCAAAAAGATAATGTACCATAATCAAATGGGATTTATCCCAGGAATGTTAAGGATGGTTCAACATATGTAAATCAATAAACATGATACATTATGTCAACAGAATGAAGGACGAAACCTATAAGATCATCTCAATTGTTGTAGAAAATGGGTCTGATAAAATTCAACATTCTTTCATGATAAAATCTCTCAATAAATTAGTTATGAAAGTAAAGTAACTCAACCCCAAAAAGACCACATAGAAAAACCCATAGCTAACATCATAGTAAATGGAGTAGTGTAGGAAGCTTTTCCTCTAAGAAGTGGAACAAGACAAATATATCCACTCTCACCACTCTTATTCAACATAGTACTGAAAGTTCCAGCCAGTGCAATTACACAAGAGGAAAAACAAAAACCAAAACAACAAGGATCATCCGGATTTGGAAGGAGGAAGTCAAATTGTCTCTGTTTGCAGATAAACATGATCTTACCTATAGAAAAACCTAAAGACTACCAAAAAACTCTTAGCATTGATAAACGAATTCAGCAAATTTGCAGGATACAAAATCAACATACAAAAATGAGTAGTGTTGCTATACGCCAACAAAAAATTAGCTAATAAAGAAATCAAGAAAGCATCCCATTTACAATACCTATAAGCAATGAAATACTTAGGAACATGTTTAATCAAAGAGGTGAACGAGCTCTGCAAGGAAAGCTACAAAACACTGATGGAAGAAACTGAGCAGGATACAAACAAATGGAGTAGAATTAATATTGTTAAAATGACCATGCCATTCAAAGTAATCTACAGATTCAATGTGATCTCTATGAAAATATCAATGACATTCTTCACAGAAATAGAAAAAAGTCTTAAAATTTGTATGGAACTGCAAAAGACCTGAATATCCAAAGCAATCCTGAGCAAAAAGAACAAAGCTGGAGGCATCACACGATCAGACTTCAAAATATACCACAAAGCTGTGGCAACCCAGACGCATGATACTGGCATAAAAACCAGTACACAGGCAAATGGAACATAATAGAGAACCCATAAATTAATTCATGTTATCCACTGCCAACTGATTTTTACAAAAATGCCAAGAACACTCATTAGGGAAAGGACGGTTTCTTCAATATGGTGCTGGGAAAATTACCCATACGCAAAAGAATGAAACTACATCTCCACCTTTCACCCTACATACAAATCAGCTCATAATGGATCAAATAGCTAAATTAAAGAACCCAAACTCTAAAACTACTGTAAGAAAACACAGGGGCAATGCTTCAGGTCATTTGTCTAGGAAAAGATTTTATAAATAAGACCGCAAAAGCACAGGTAACAAAAGCAAAAATAAACAAATGACATTCTGTCAAACTACAACACTTCTGCACAGCGAAGGAATCAATCAACGGAGTGAAAAGGCAACCTACAAAATGGGAGAAAATATTTGCAAACTATTCATCTGTCAGGGGATTAATATCCAAACTATACAAGGAACTCAAACACCTCAACAGCCAAAACCCCCCTACAAACAATCCAGTAACAGCTGCATGTAGAGAGGTGCCCTCCTATCTGATCTATCTCCTAGGGAGACACTAGTTGTCAGGTTTTGTGGAACCTCTTGGACAGGAAGAGAGGACTTCCTTCAGTTGGAGGTGGGGAGGAGATAAGGGTAAGCATTTCCTCCTACTCCTCCTAGAAGCCGAAGGCATGCAGAAGGGACAGGGCTTGTGTCCTTCCTGTTCCCCTGCTCAGCCAGTCCTCCAGGATATCAAGTGTCCTCAGCTCCAGCTGTCCTGTCCCCACCACACCCTCAGGAACCCAGGCATCCTGGCCCAGCACTCATAGGAGACATTGAGCTGGATGGTTCTCTCTGCAGTCACACCAGCTCTGAGAAACTTCACCTGACAGGTCAGGTTGGTGCCATGGTCCTGGAGCCTTGAGGTGATTGTGAACGCCAAGGAATGGGTGGTCCTGGGGCTCAGAGAAGTGGGGGCAGCTGACATCCAGGAAATGATAAGGGGGTGTCTCCTGCTTATAGGCCCAGCGCACAGATCAGGTCAGGTTTCAGAGGTGGCTGGACTCTAGGGTCTCCAGGATGAGAATGTTGGGTATATGAGTCAGGGTTAGTGAGGAGATGGGGGGCATGCAGGATCAAAAGGGTAGGTCCAAGGTGAAGCCCTGGGGGAAGCTCAGGCTCTGGTCTAGCTCCTCCCCCAAACCCCCGGCATGCTTTATGCCCAACTCCCTCCCAGGACAGGGACCCCATCCCAGCCCTACCCTGCCCTGCAGCCCCTTTGACTTTCCCCTGTGGTCAGTCCTGGAGCTGGTTTCTTACCAGTCACACACAAAGAGAACTGGGGAGATTATAACCTGTATTTGGTACTTCCTCTCTCCACCTGAAAGAAATGTGAACCATTGTTCACCTCCTTCTGGCATCTATGATACTCTGGGAGCAGTTGTTCCTCTGGGGATTCCTGAAGAGGCAGAAAAGGCCCAGGGTCTCCTCCTTCATTTTTCAATTTGGGTTGTTTGTGGGCTCTGAAGTGTCCCAGAATTCCTTGCCTCCTTCCCGGAACCAGTAGTCATGAACAGAGTTATTCGTGTAGTAGGGTGGAGATAGGAGAATGAGCAAGGCATGAGGGTGCACAGACACTCCTGTACAGTCACAGACTCCTGCACTTCCAGCTAGAAAACTGCATCCTGAGCCAGGGCTCCAGTGGAGAAACGAGGGTCAGCTCAGTTCAGCCCCAGAGTCCCTCTCCCCATGGCCCACTCACCTATCCACTGCAGGGGCAGCAGCGTCTCTTAGGCAGAGGGTTCCTGGACTCCCTGTGTAATGAGAGAAGGGGAAGGGATTGGAGGGGAAGGTTTGAGGGCCCATTGGAGGCTGAGGAGAAGCAGGAGGACTTGGCGGTTCACAGAAGAAAAACCTCAGACCTACACGTGGTCAGAGCTCATCCCCTCTGCACAGAGCAGAGGGAGACTCCAGAGACCTCCCCAGAGGGGAGCAAATAAGGAGCAGAGATCTTATATTTCCTCTCATCTGAGAGCTTCCCTCCACCACCAGAGCCTGGACTAGGATCTCTGGGGACATCTGAGGCATGGGACACTCATGAGGGTCTAAGGTTCTCCCACCCTGAGGTGCTTTTTTGTGCACCACCGTTTATACCTGGGAACATGTCACTCCTGGTCTGGTCCCAGAGAGTCACAACCTCATCTAGAGTCATGAGGAAGTCAGTCCTGCAGGATGGAGGATTCTGTAGGTTCTGTGGGAGTGTCTGGGACAGTGAAAAGAAGAAGGGTCCTGGGTGCAGTGTGGGTGGTAGCCATTCACTCATTCATACATTCATTCATTCACCAAACACACAGTGAGCATCTGTGTGTCAGTGGGGCTGGAGAAAAGATGCCAGGGACCTGGTCCCCACCCTTGAGATGGCCCCCACCCATAGCCTCATGTCCTCACCATACACACACACACACACACACACACACACACTGGCTTTAGAGCTGTGGACACTGGTGAATTTGCCGTATGTCATGGTAGAATTCTAGGTGGTTTTTTTTGAGACTGAGTCTCGCTCTGTCGCTCATGCTGGAGTGCAGTGGTGCAATCTTAGCTCACTGCAACCTCTGCCTCCTGGGTTCAAGTGATTCTCCTGCCTCAGCCTCCTGAGTAGCTCCTGAGTAGCTGGGATTACAGGTGTCTGCCACCACACCCAGCTAATTTTTGTATTTTTTTTTAAGTAGAAATGGGGTTTCACCATGTTGGTCAGGCTCGTCTCGAACTCCTGACCTCATGATCCACCTGCCTCGGCCTACCAAAGTGCTGGGACCACAGGCATGAGCCACCACGCCCGGCCAATACTAGGTATTTTAAAAAAACTTGAGTACTGAATTTTTTTCCCTGACAACTGGTATGCTGATTTACAAAATTTGAATGACATCTTCAGAATAAGAACCATGCAGGATCTTCTTGTAAACCAAAAGGAAGGACACATATTCTATGGACTGCAGTGCAGAAGAAACTTCTTTTCCATGGATGTTGCCATTCTGTGTAGTGTGGACAGAAGTGATTTATTTGAGGTCCTCTTCATAGAGATTAGCATTTCCTTTCATGTAAAAATATGCTGCTCACAGTTAAATGAGGCTCATAAGACATAATATTTTCAGACAACATGAGTATACAGACAAAATTAAAATTTTAGGTTCCATTTTTCATGTTTATGGCTATTTGTATTTTTCTTTTCTTTTTTCTTTACTTTTTTTTTTTTTTTTTTTTTTGAGATGAAGTTTTGCTCTTGTTGCCCAGGCTGGAGTGCAATGGCACGATCTCGGCTCACCACAACCTCTGCATCCCAGGTTCAAGCAATTCTCCTGCCTCAGCCTCCTGAGTAGCTGGGATTACAAGCATGCGCCACCATGCCTGGCTAATTTTGTATTTTTAGTAGAGACAGGGTTTCTCCATGTTGGTCAGGCTGGTCTCGAACTCCCGACCTCAGGTGATCCGCCCACCTCGTCCTCCCAAAGTGCTAGGACTACAGGTGTGAGCCACCGCGTCCGGTCTCTATTTTTCTTTCATGAGTTGCTTGTTTGGGCATTGACATGCATTTATAATTGTCTTGTTGGAATTTAGTTTTTCTGGTGTTTCCTAATCCTCTTCCTCCCTCTTGTCTATGAAGAGTCTCAGACAATGTGGTCATGCTGTTCTCTTATCTGAGGATTTGGAAATTTGCCTCGCTAAATCATATGACACATATCTGACTATACCCGGGTGTGACCTTCCTGACAGTCACACAGTTAAATGTCCTGGCCAATACCTTTAAGTTTCAAAATAAATAAATAAATAAAAATCAAAATAAAAAACTTAATGGATAAAAAGCAATTTTAGGTTCAGCTACGTGATTTTCCATCTCACTCTGTATCGTATGCATCCAACGAACTCTTGAAATCTAGGACATAATACTATTTGGCACCATATATTAGTAAAATATTTATTACAGTATTATCTAGATAAATGCTCATTTGTCCTTATTAACATGGAGAGCTATTTGTATCTTCACTTACTATATAAATAATTGAGGTTTTAATAAGTAATATAATACCTTGTTGTAAGTTATTTTAAAGTTAAGAATATGGCTTGGATTCCTTGGATTCATTCACTCGGTGTAATGCATTTGAGACTCAGCTATGTGATTGGGTATATATATGAATAATTTGTTTTTGTTTTTAAATTGCTGACTCATACTTCATTGTTTTCCACAGATCCCCCATTTTGTATATATTCACTGTTTGACAGATACTCAGAATGTTTCCAGGTTTTGGTGAATATAATATAAAGCTAGTACAAATATTCCCATGCAGATTTCTGTGTGTGGACACTAGTTTTTTTTTCTCTTGCATAAATACCTAGGAGTTGGGTGCTTAGTCACATGTGTAAGTTATAAGAAATCGCAGCTGGGTGCGGTGGCTCACGCCTGTAATCCCAGAACTTTGGGAGGCTGAGGCGGGTGGATCATTTGAGGTCAGGAGTTCAAGACCAGCCTGGCCAACATGGCGAGACCCCATCTCTACTAAAAATACAAAAATTAGCTAGGTGTGGTGGGTGCCTGCTATCCCAGCTACTCAGGAGACTGAGGCAGGTGAATCGCTTGAAACTGGGAGACGGAGGCTGCAGTGAGCCGAGATCGTGCCACTGCACTTCAGCCTGGGCGACACAGTGAGACTCTGTCTAAAAAAAGAAAAAGAAAAAGAAATTGTCAAAGTGTTCTCCAAAGTGTGAGTGCCACTTCATATCCCCACCAGCAAAACATGTGAGTTCTGGTTGCTCTACATTCTCATTAATATTTGGTATTATCAGGAATGTGTAAAATTTATTTTTCTTTTGGTTTGGTTTTGTAGCCATTCTAATAGGTATGTACTGCCACCTCATTCTAGTTCTAATCCACGATTTCATAAGAGCAAATGGCGTTGGGAATGTTTCCATTCATGTGATTATTTGCCATGAGTTTTTCTTCTTTGATGAGGAGGCTGATCAAATCTTTAGTGCTTTTTAAAATCCGTCTTAAAATACACATAACAAAAATTACCATTTTAATCATTTTTCAGTGCACAGGTAAGTGGCATTAAGTACTTTCACACTCTTATGCAATTATCAACCATTGATCTCCAGAAATGTCTTCATCTTGCCAAATTGAAACTCTGTACCCACTGAAAGATAACTCCCTATTCCGTCCTGCTCCCAGCCCACGGCAGCCAACTTTCTACTTTCTGTCTATGAATTTGCCTATTCTAGATACCTCCTATAAGTGGAATCATACAGTATTGGTAACTTTTGTGACTGGCTAATTTCATGTGGCATAGTGTCTCCAAGCTTCATCTAAGTTGCAACACGTGTCAGAATCTCCTTCTTTTTAAGGTATTTCATTGTATGTATATAATATAGAGGCTTTTGACCAGTGTAGCTCATCCTGAATTATCGAGTTGATCCTTAAATCCAATCAGAAGTGTCTTGCTGGGAGAGGAACAGATGGAGATTTGATGTACACAGAAGGCGGCGGTGTCTGGGCAAACCCATCACCTCAAATGCATCTCACCACCAGGGGGAGCCATAGAGTTGTGCGATGCATCCACCCTAATCTTTGTACAACCTCCTGTGGATAGGAGTAAGAAGTGGATAGAGAGGGTGAGAGGCAGGAGCCTCCAGTCAGCTTCCAAAGATGGGAGTGAGATGGAAAATAACAAGAATGACATTAACAATAACAATAACATTACAAATAACATTAAGTTATAACAGCTACCTCTTGTGGCAAAAACCAGAGTAGGGGGCTGTGAGAAACCCACCTTATGTACAGCGCCTCAGAGATCCCAACTTAACATTTTTTGTGATCTCCAAGATAGATAGACAGGAAGGAGTGGCTGTTCATTAGCATTCGCTCTGGCTGTGCCAGGCAGAACTTTGCCCTGGGAGGGACTATGACGTTCTGCTCTCTTAATAAAAAGGTACAAAGCTGGGCTCCAGAAATAGACTGAGGGGCCTCTTGGGTCTGCTCCCCAGGCTGCTTCCTGTCCATAGGTGAGCAGTGGATGCTGCCACTCCTGACTGGAGAGACAGGGTTTCAGAAGAAATTCTCCAAGTTATGGGGGATCCCGGATGGGATGGGTCAGGTCTAGCTCTGGGGTCTGCTTAAGGGAATGAGAGTGAGTCTTTGAAGCTCAAGGCACCCTCCAAACCTGCACTCCTCTCCTAACAGCAGGGTCCTCATGAGGGTGTCGTTGCATGAGACAGTAAGGGTCATGCCATGGGCTCTGAATGAAACCAGTTCTGCCATCTTCATCCTGATTGTTCAGACTAGGCATCACTGACCATGCACAGTCTAGATGGAGGGAGGTACATGTTTCTTCAGGGACATGGCACAATGCTGTGTCTAAAAGGAATGCTTCATGTTGGTGCAGCCAAATGGAGCTGATCGGACGCTCTCTGTGGCTGTGGTTGCTGGTCTCCTCTCAGTATCCACTCTCTCTTTTTCCTTAGTAATAAGGACCTCAGACATGAGAACCCAGCTAAGAAGGATTCTACGTTCTACACTTTCTTCTGTAGTTTTTTCTGAACAGCCCTATGAAGAGGAAACATTTTACATCCCTATTAAAAACAATTTCTTTTTCTTTTTAATTTTTGTGGGTACATAGTAGTTGTAGACCCTAAGATTCTTTTAAATTTATTTAAATTTTTTATTTCTTAACCTTTATTTTAGGTTCGGGGTACACGTGCAGATTTGTTATATAGGTAAACTTGTGTCATGGAAGTTTTTTGTACAGATTATTTCATTACCCAGGTACTATGCCTAGTACCCAATAGCTATTTTTTCTGCTCCTCTCCCTCCTCTTACTGTCCACCCTCAAGGAGGCCCCAGTGTCTGATGTTCCCCTCTATGTGTCCAAGTGTTCTCCTCTTTTAACTGCCACTTATAAGTGAGAACATGCGGCATTGGTTTTCTGTTTCTGTGTTAATTTTCTAAGGTAATGTCCCCATTTTACAGGTGTAGAAAGCAAAGCTTAGCGGAGATAGGAAACTTAACTGAGATCACGTGGCAGGTAAGTGGCAGCATTAGGTTCAAACCAGACAGTGTGACCAGGAATCCCCCCTCTTAACCATGGTCTTTCCTCAAACAGCCTGTACAGCCTTTGACCCAGCAGTCCTCAGTAATTTGGGGGCAGTGCACAAGACCATCCTCACTTCTAACTCCAGCTTCACACTCAGGGGTCCCCTGATCACCTTCAGTTTCGACAGTTCACAAGTAGGACTCACAGAACTCACTGAAAGCTCTTATTCTCATGTTATGTCTCATTACAGCAAAAGGATACAGATTAAAGTCAGCCAAGGGGAGAAGAGCATGGGGCAGGGTCCAGTGAATTCCAAATGTGTAGTTTCCAGTTGTCCCCTCCCAGTACAATCACAGACAGCAGTAATTCCTCCTTACATGACGTGTGACAACATGCATAGAGTGTCACCAACCAGGGACACTCACCTAAGCCTTGATGCCCAGGGTTTTTATTGTGGCTTTGCCATGTAGATATGGATGGCTGTTCACATGGCTGATCTTAGCTTCAGCTGCTCTAGAGATAGAGCTGACAACAGTGACCCAAAGTCCCTACCATTAGTCATATTATTAGACTATTTGGTGGTCATATTATTAGACGAATATAACTATTTAGTCATATTATTATGAATATTAGTCATATTATTGGGCAAGGCACTAAGGTAAATAAAGACATTCCTATCAGGTGAGATATTCCAGGGGCTTAGAGTTCCCTCCCAGTAGCTGAGAGCAAAGTCCAGACCTCTATTTAAGTAGGGTTGAGTTCTTTCCTGTGCAAGTTCACCTCTGGGATTAATCACGGATCTACAAATGGGACTAGGCAAAAGCTGTTCATGCTGCTGTGTACAAAAAAAAGTGGGCCAGGCATGGTGGCTCACGCCTGTAATCCCAGCACTTTGGGAGGCCAAGGTGGGTGGATCACGAGGTCAGAGATTGAGACCATTCTGAACAACATGGGGAAACCCCATCTCTACTAAAACACAAAGAATTAGCCAGGCGTGGTGGTGTGTGCCTGTAGTCCCAGCTACTTGGGAGGGTGAGACAGGGGAATCGCTTGAACCTGGGAGGTGGAGGTTGAGTGAGCCGAGATTGTGCCACTGCACTCCAGCCTGGCGACAGAGGAAGACTCTATCTCAAAAAAAAAAAAAAAAAAAAAAAGAACTCTAATATAAACTGTGGGCTTTGGGTGCTAATATTGCGTCAACGTGAGCTCATCAAATGCAATGAATGTACCACTGTGGTGGGGCTGTTGATAATGGGGGTGGCTGTGCATGCGGGAGGGCAGGTGATATATGAAAAACCTCTGTACCTTCCTCTGAATTTTGCTGTAAACCTAAAACTGCTCTAAAATATCGTGTTTTTTAATTGAAAGAACCCGGCCTGGCCCAGTGGCTCATGCCTGTAATCCCAACACTTGGGATGCCAAGGGGGATGGATCACTTGAACCCAGGAGTTGAAGACCAGCCTGGCCAACATGGCAAAATCCCGTCTCTACTAAAAATACAAAAAATATTAGCCCGATGTGATGGCACATGCCTGTAATCCCAGCTACTCTGGAGGCTGAGGCATGAGAATCACTTGAACTCAGGAGGCAGAGGTTGCAGTGAGCCTGGATCACACTACTGACCTCCAGCCTGGAGGACAGAGTGAGACTCTGTCTGGAAAAAAAAAAACAAAACTTAAAGGACATAAATGATTGCAAATAGAGGATTGGTTGAATAACTCAACCCATATCCAATCCAGTGGAATACTACACAGCCATGAATAATGAACAGTGATGGTGCAAAGCCATGCTTCTCCCATGAGAGTCCAGGACCTGAGGCAGAATGTGGGGAGTGCTTCAAGGGAGCTAAAGCCAGAAGATCCACTTTGTATATATTTCAGAGGCACCATTTACACGGTAATACTGGGGCAGGCCAATTAACTAACATCAGTGGTAACGAATGCGTTATTTTCCTATTAAAACTAACATGGAGGTGTCTGGCTGTAGGCTGCAAATATTCATATGGGTTTTCAGGGCACAGAAGACTTCAAAGATATTTTCTAAACCAGTAGACATCCAGAGGTGCATATTCACCTTACTCTGACAAAACTTGGGTTTAACATTTGAAAAGCCCTAATAAAAACAAAAATTTAATGATATAATTCTGCTCTAATAAAAGAGATTCATATGTGCATGCGTATGCCAGCTATAACATACCCAAACTGAAAAGACACATAGAAAACAGCTGGTTGTATCTCTGGGTGGTTTTAAAAAACGGTATTCTTTAAATGACAATAAATAATTTTATATTTATTTTACATACTTATATAGTTATACATATAAAATATATGTATAAATATGTAAATGTTAATAATATTACATAAATATGTAAGTATGTAAATCAAAAATTTTTATAATAAATTCAAATTCACTCCTTTTATAATTTAAAAAGTAGGGTGTGTTATCAAAATGAAAGACAAACACATTCCCAAGTACGGTTAGAAAGACCTTGTCAATTGGACATTTCTGAGTTGTTCTTTCCCTCTCTCTCTCTCTCTCTCTCTGTTTCTGTGTCTTCCCTCTGTATCTCACTCTGCCTGCATTTTTTTTTATGTCCCTGTCTGTCTGTCTCTCTGTCAGGTTTCAAGGGGCCCATACCTCATTACTTCTGTGCACAACTCCCCTGTCCTGGATCCCTGTTTTTAGAAACAGCCTGACCCTCCAACAACAAAGTGTCAACCTAAATAACAAACAGAGAGAAGCTCTCTAAAAGAAAATGATATGTATTCAGGAATGGGGCATTGCAATGGGAATCTGGGTGCTATAGTAAACTACGTGCATATTCAGGGAGGTAAAAGAACACAAAGGGTTTTCAATGGAAAAATGAGGAGGACCCCATAAATGGTTTGAGATAATTACCCTAGGCTACAAGGATCCCTAATGAGGGTGACGTCAGTCCAAGTTTGGACCGGAGGTTGCTGTCCAAATACTTGTCACAGAAGTATTTTTTTGGTGGAAGGAAGCAATGGCTTTTGTGCAAGACTATGGTTTCTGCAGCGTCTTCTGTGAAAATTTTTGTTGTCAGAGAGCCCTCGCTTCACAGCCTTCCCCACTGTATTTCTCAGGGATTTTTTTGGCTTGTGAGCACTTTCACAAAGGGATCTGGTTATACACACACTGGTTCAGGTCTAGAAGAGCATTCCCTGCAGCCATTCACAATGGTCATGGGAGGAATATTTAGTGACATAGAGAAATAGTCCACTGTTGAGGAGGAAAGCAGCCAGTTGTAAAACAGCCCCAGGCAGTCTAAAAGTTGGGCCCTACACCGGGCACGGTGGCTCACACCTGTAATCTCAGCACTTTGGGAGGCCGAGGTGGGCGGATAACGAGGTCAAGAGATCAAGACCATCCTGGCCAGCATGATGTAACCCCGTCTCTACTAAAAACACAAAAATTAGCTGGGTGTGGTGGCACGAGCCTGTAGTCCCAGCTACTCGGGAGGCTGAGGCAGGTGAATCACTTGGACCCGGAAGACGAGGTTGCGGTGAGCCAAGATCATGCCATTGCACTCCAGCCTGGTGACAGAGCGAGACTCCGTGAAAAAAAAAAAAAAAAAAAAAAAGCTGGGCCCTGCATAGGAAAACCAAACCAAATGGAAACAGGACATACAGTTGAGGAGTTTGATGTCCTATCTTTGAGGCACTTGGCTGTATTTTCTGGTTTTCTTTGTTTTCCCAACAGTGAGCCTGTGTTTTTCCGTTTTTTCATGACCAGAGAAAAAAATGTAAATTATTATAAAAATAAGTAAATAAATAATGAACTAAAGGCAACATAAAGCCATAAAGATAAGGTTGGGCTCTCAAGAGCCGTCTTCCCCAGGCCCCACCCCTGCTGGTCAGAGTGCACCCTGGGGAGGAAAGGCCGCCCTGAAGGCTGGGAGACGAGACCGGCAGCCTCTGTGCCAGGAGACACAGGTCTTGGAGGGAGCAGAGGAGGTGGCTGTGTCTCTGGAGGGACCCCTCCTCCTGGAGGACCCCAGGCAGCTCATGGACCTTTCCAGACCCAGATGGAGCCTGTGGAGGAGGGTCTTCCTCATGGGTAAGAGATGCTGGATGCTGGATGAGCTTCCCAGGACTGAGGGAAGGGCAGCTAGGAGCAAAGCGGCGGGGAGGGGGCTGGGACCATCCCCATCCACGGGCACATCAAGAAACTCCCAGAGCAGGGGTCGGGGAGAGGAGAAGGGGGAGGACCCTCAGCACAACTTTCATGAGCTCACACACGTGGGCACACTTTGCCCCTAGACACACCCCTGCACAGACCCACACATGTGGTGTTACACACACACGCACACGCACATGCACACACACACACGCGCGCACACACAGAGAGAGAGAGAGAGAAACTGTGTTTCTATCTACGCCCAGGAATCAGGAGCTTGGACCTTCACCCTCACCTCCCTGCACTCACCTCCCACTGGGTGCCCCAATCTGCCCCATCCCCTCCCCCACCTCTCAGGCCAGATTCCTTCCCAGCCCCTCACCTTTGCCCAGGACCTTCTGTGCCCCCTACAAGCACAACTGTCCTGCTTTACCACGTGTACTGTCCTTGAACAGGTCCAGTGTGTCCATACGTGAGGCCTAGAGCCGGGGTCTCAGGCATCTCTGCCTCCTCCACATAGCCCAGGCTTGGGGTTCACAGGGCAGTGGACAACTGCCCATGTCATATGTGGTAACAGGCTGCCGCCTCCATTCACACCCACTCCAGTGAATTTAGATGCAAAATCAAAGACATGTAGAAATTCTCGGGGGAGTATTTCTCACCCAGACAATCATTACTGAACTCCCCCTGTGTCCAGCCTGTGCTCAGGGGCGCTGGGGACTCAGTGGTGACTGAGACAGGGCAGTCCTGCCCTCCTGGAGCCCACAGTCCAGGGCGAGATATAGATATGTGCCCAGACTCTGAGGACCCCCAGAGGTCATGGCTGGGATGGGGGGAGCCCAGGAGGAGCTGGGGGAGCCCAGAGGGGACACCTGACCCAGGCTGGGGTGGAGGAGACATCCAAGCTGAGACCTGAGTGATGAATAGAAGTGAGTCAGCAAGGAGGGTGCAGATGGAGAGGAGGGAGAAGGAGTCCCTGCCGGGAATGGGGAACAGCGTGTGCGAAGCCTGGAGTTAGGAGAAGGTGTGGTGCACCAAGAGAGCTATGTAGAGGCCTGGGGCATACAGCGTGGCAGTCATGTCTTCTGATAAATAACTACAGGAATAAATGAGTAAAAGGTGCATAGTGGGGACAGGATGGGGTAGGTGTGCACCACAAGGAGGCTCGATGAGTCACAAACACCAGCTCTGGCTGAGAGTGTTTCATATACCCACCTAAGAGTTTGGACTGTATCCTAAGAGCACTGGGGAGCCATGGAAGGTGTTTGAGCAGAGGAGAACAGGGTCGCAACTTGGGCTTATTAACATTTACGTAACTGTGATGTGAGGATGGATTGGAGGCTGTGTGGCTAGCGAGGAGGGCCTGGGAGAAGATAAGGGTAAAATGGACCACGGCAGGGGCTGAGGGGAGGCACAGGAGGGGACAAGCTGGGGACTCTACCAGGAGCCAGAAACTCTTGCCTGGTTCACCAGCGTCTCTGGGAATCGTTCCCGGATGGTGTCTTTTTTCCTTGTCTTCTCAGCCAGTCTGAATCTCTTTGTGAATTTCTCTCTGTCTTTTTTCCTTGTCTTCTTCAGCCAGTCTGCTGGCCTGTGGGATCTGCCAGGCCTCTGGCCAAATCTTCATCACCCAAACCCTGGGGATCAAGGGATATCGGACTGTCGTGGCCCTGGATAAGGTCCCTGAGGATGTTCAGGAATACAGCTGGTACTGGGGTGCAAACGACAGCGCAGGAAACATGATTATCAGCCACAAACCGCCCAGTGCCCAGCAGCCTGGGCCCATGTACACTGGCAGGGAGAGAGTGAACAGAGAAGGCAGCCTGTTGATCAGGCCGACTGCATTAAATGACACGGGAAACTACACTGTTCGGGTGGTTGCAGGCAATGAGACCCAAAGAGCAACCGGCTGGCTGGAGGTTCTAGGTGGGTTAGCAGGTGCTGTGTTTCCCAACCCCCAAGGAGAGCTAGATGTGACACATTTGAGAGAAGGACATTATACAGAGCATGACACCGGGAGTGGAAATCACGGAGCCGCCCTGGAATCTTGTGTACCATGGACAGCTCCTGGGGGATCTGAGGGCTAGTGGGAGGAGAGGGCGGAGTTGGAAGACAAGCAGTCCTGTATTTGACAGTGGCTGCAAATACATACTGCAGGACCCTGGCCCATTTGTGTTCCTTCTGTGTTCTTCAGTTTCCTCATCTGTAGAGTGGGGAGGAACCCACCATTGTGGTTTGTCGTAGCGTTGGAGGGAGTATTCGTAAAGTGAATGGGACTCAAATAATGGAGTAGTATTGTGTAGCCAAATGCCACCTCTCACTCAGAACCTCTCGTGTCTCCTGGATGAGGGTCCTGGTTTGGAGGATCAGAAACAATGATTAGGCCACATGTTTATGCCAAGAGCTCACCATTATGGCAGCAGACAGCACGGCAGTGGCTCAGGCAAGGCCCACACCTCAGCAGCCTCATTGCCCTGTGCCTATTCCTCTGCCCTTCTCAGCTCCCTTGCCAGGATGCCAGATCTTATCTTACAGCTCTTGGCTTCTCTCCAACATGCCCAGAAGTCCCCTGGAGAGGAGCAGAGCTTGGGGAAGCAGACCCCACTTGTAATTTTTTTCTCTTTCCTGCTTCACCCAGAGTTGGGAAGCAATCTGGGCATCTCCGTCAATGCCAGCTCCCTGGTGGAGAACATGGATTCTGTGGCTGCTGACTGCCTCACAAATGTCACCAACATCACGTGGTATGTGAATGATGTGCCTACCTCTAGTAGTGACCGGATGACAATTTCCCCAGACGGCAAGACCCTCGTCATCCTCAGGGTCAGCCGCTATGACAGAACAATTCAGTGCATGATAGAGAGTTTCCCAGAGATCTTTCAGAGAAGTGAACGCATCTCTCTGACTGTGGCCTGTGAGTGGTCTGGGCTCCTGGGACTGAAGCCAGGGCTGGTCTCAGGGCTTTCTAGGGATAGGAATATGTTAGGACAGGCTGAGCTGGAGAGAGGGGGCATCCTGGGCCAGCCTGCAGCCAGCTCACTCTGGATTGGAATCAGCTCAGGCTCTTGAGCCCTGTGAACTTGGGAGCTGCCCCTGCTACTCAGAAACGTGGTACACTCGAGTTTGAAATGAAGACGCCAGTCCCCACTTCTCAGATTAGAAATGGTCAGTGTGCCTTTGTTGAGGTCTGCTTTTGTGTAAAGAGGGGACTACTGAATACCATTGTTTCTTAAATTGATGTTCAATTATTAAGTTTTCAAGCCCCTTGAGCCTTGAAATTCTGCTCATTAATTTCTTTCTTCTTTTCTACTAAATTTAGTATAGTCCCTGTCACTCTCTTTCACTGAAACTGAACAGGCTATGCTCCCTTAAACAGAGAGCTTTATTTAAAGACTCAATTATGCATTCCATACATTCTTTTTTTTTTATAGCCTTTTAGCTGCCTACCGGGGCAAGTTCACCACCCAGGAAGACCTCCACAAATTCTCAGACAGCTCTTGGAAATCGAATACGCTGAACTTATAAATACATTAACACTTAGATTTTTCCCCAGTATTCCAGGACTGCTCACAGAGTTTAATAAACTCTTCCACATCTTCCAACTGAAAACCATAATCACACATCTAAAATCACTTTCACGTCTCCTGGAACTACTCCAGCGGTCTGTCAGATTTCCTAAAGCGCAGGCTACGGCACCCATCCTGTGGAAGGTGGGGTTGAGGGGTGAACAATTTCTGACCTCCATACAGCTGTTTACAGGTCAGAGGCTTGGAACCAAGACCCAGGATCCAGAGGCTGCAGCTGCTCAGGGCAGTTGCTCCCAGGCCCTGAGACTGGCTCAATCCTTCTGTGTCAGTTGGAGTCATAAAGTCCTAATCCTCTCCTCCGAGCCTCATTGTTTTCCATCTATAAAATGGATCAATGGTGGAACCAGTCACATGGGTTGTTCTGGGAATTCAACAAATGTGGGGACAGGCACAGAGCTTAGAACAGTGCCTGGCACACAGTAGGCCCCATGTGTTGGCTTTTACTCCACTAATTTTATTACAATGTAAATGGCACCATGGGCCTGGCCTCTAGTAGTTCCTTAATCATAGAAGATGCTCTTATGGTTATTGTTGTTGACACAGCTGCCTTGCCTGGGGCAGGTCTAGGGGTTAGCCCGAGGTGCACAATGGGGAACCTCCTGGCTGGGGGAGGACTTCATGAGACGGGACGCCGAGGGGTCAGAAACATAGCCTGGGCCTCCTACCCTGTCTCTACAGATGGGCCCGACTATGTGCTGCTGAGGAGCAATCCTGATGATTTCAACGGCATTGTGACAGCTGAGATCGGCTCCCAAGTGGAAATGGAGTGTATCTGCTATTCCTTCCTGGATCTCAAGTACCACTGGATCCACAATGGCTCCCTCCTGAACTTCTCAGATGCAAAGATGAACCTCTCGAGTCTTGCCTGGGAGCAGATGGGCCGTTACCGATGCACTGTGGAGAACCCCGTGACACAGCTGATCATGTACATGGACGTCAGGATCCAGGCCCCCCATGAGTGCAGCAGCTCCCCTCCAGGCTCATGCTTTGCACATCTCCCTGCCTCCATGCCCTGCTAGGCAGTGCCCACCCTCAGGAGTGCCACCTCCACTGTGCCATGACATGCTCTCAACCTCTGGGTGAAATCTCCCAGTTCTCTGAGGTCTGGGTCCAAAGCTGCCTCCTCTGTGAATCCTCTGGAGTCCTCAGATCAGAGTCAGGGTGACTCCCAGGGGGATAAGAGTAGCAGACATTGGCTGAGCACTTACTATGTGCCCGCCTTTGTTCTAACCTGTGTGACTCTCACCATTTCTCTGGAGTAAGTGAATGCGATTGGCATCACCTCCATTTGACAGGTGAGAAACTGAGCCCCATGGAGTTTGAGTGCTTATTCAAGGCTCTATTGCTTTGTAACCCATGGAAGAGGTGGCATTCAAGCCCAGGCAGGCATAGCCTACACCCTCAACTGCTCCCTTCAGCTGCTTCAAGATGAGGAATTAGAAAGACGCAGGGACGGGATGGGTGGACGGGGAGTAGAGATTTGGCATGGCCATGGCGTCAGAAACTTGGCTTGGGAGTGAATTTGTAAATGGGGAAAGCATCTTCTTAGCAACCATGCGTCCAATCTTCTGCATCAAGGAGAGAGACTGATGTGCTCAGGGAGACTGCAGAGGAGTGCAGCAGGTAAATGCAGGGGCTCTACAGCCCAAGGTTCTTGGTCCAAATCCCCATTCTGCTGCTGCCTATCTCCATGAACCTGGGACAAGCAGCTCCATCGTTCCGAGACTCAGTTTCCTCAACTGTAATGAAAGGATAAGAATCCCTGCAGGGAAAGGGTGCTGTGAGAATAAAATGAAACTGTGCAAGAAAGTACAGAAGACATTACAGGATGTGGTCTCCAGACTTTACTTCAGCCACACTACCTCCTAAGCACCTACTATGCACCAGACACGATGTGTGCATGCAGCCCTCCAAGTCATCGATTCACATTTTTCTCTTCCCCTGGACTACAAGATTCAGGAGGGCAGAAGCTGGGGAAGCTTTTTTTTTTTTTTTAACAGAGTCTCGCTCTGTTGCCCAGGCTGGATGCAGTGGTGCAATCTCTGCTCACTGCAACCTGCACCTCCCGGACTCAAGTGATTCTCCTGCCTCAGCCTCTTGAGTAGCTGGGATTACAGGCACACGCCACTGTGCCCAGCTAATTTTTGTATTTTTACAAAATAGAGTAGAGATGGGGTTTCACCATGTTGCCCAGGCTGGTCTTGAACTCTTGACCTCAGGTGATCCACCTTGGGCGAGCTTTCTGTTTTCCATTTGTCCTCAGTGCTTGGCACAGTGTGTAGCACATAGTTGGTGCTCAGTGAACATTTATGCAATGAGTTAATGACCCTGTGTCACACACCCCCCTTCCAGTCACTGTCTCTCCCCTTATGAGGGTTTATTCTTCTCTATTCACTTATGGTTGCTTGCAGTGTGAGACATCTCTTTGCTTAATTGTCCACTGTCCACTTCCCAGCTAGAATGTCAGGCCCATGGGTACAGGGAGTTTGTTTTGTTGGCTGCTGAATCCCTCGTACCTGGAACAGTGCTTTGCTGATAATAGATGTTGACAAATCTTTGAAGAATGGATATGTGGGTGGGTGAAGAGATGAGTGAATGCATGAATGGGTCAATCGTGGTCCTGACCCCCAGGTGTCCTCTTCCTTCAGGGATCTTACCTGTTGTCCACAGAGATTTCTCCATCTCAGGATCCATGGTGATGTTCCTCATCATGCTGACAGTGCTGGGTGGCGTTTACATCTGTGGAGTCCTGATCCATGCTCTGATCAACCACTACTCAATCAGGTGCCCTCATTGCTCTGGGACAAGGGTGGGATGTTGGCTGGGGGCTGGGACTCAGGAGCCAGCCCTCCCTCCAGAGGGGAAGCAGAGCCAGAAGGGGAGGGATAAGCCAGGAACTAGGTTGTCAGGGATCATCTGGGGCAGACAGATCAGCCCCCAGGACCTGAAGCTGATGGGAGCAAGAGAGGGTTTAGAGTCGGCCATGGTTCTAAATAGCTGTGGGGTTTCTTCTAGCAACTTCCCTTCTCTTTGTGTTTATAAGGGATATTAAGGTTTACCTAGAGGGACAGGTAAAAAAATGAGAGGTCTGCATGTCAATTCCTGGTACATAGTCATCCTTTGCTACCAAGTGAAGTTGGGGAAACAGGTATCAGCGGTGAACTATGCAGGGAGAAGAGATTGGGCAGTGGGATGGTTAAGGTCTGGGTTCAAACCCCAGCTCTGCTACCTGTAGGCTAGGTTACCTTGGGTAGGTCACTTCTCCTCATAGCTCATCCTCAGCCCAGCTGAAGAATGAACGGAGCAACAACTGCCTGAAGGGTGATGTGGGGATTAGAGACACGTCTTGGAGGAAAAGGGGACTTGCAGCATTCTCAGCATAGAGTAGACCAGAGTTTCTCAACCTCAGCACTATCAGCATTGGGACCATAATTCTCTGATGGGGAAGAGGAGGTAGTAAGGCTGTCCTGTGCATTGTGGGACATTTAGCCGCATAACTGGCCTTTTTCCATTAGATGCTAGTGGTAACAACCACCACCACCCCAGTTCAGAAAACCAAAAATGTCTCTAGACACTATGAAGATCACATGGGAGGCAACTTTGCCCTGGTTGAGAGTCAGTGGAGTAGATGTTAGAAAGTGCAGTGATGCTTGGGAGGATGATGACGTTAATGATGGAGATAATGGTACCAATGGTGATGGTGGTGATTATAGTGGGAATGGCAATGATGATGTAGATTAATAGTGGAAATGGCATTATTGTGATGGTGATGATGGTGATGATAGTAATAGTGGTGGTGGTGATAGTGGTGATGATGATGATGACAAAGATGATGGTAGTGTTGCTAGTGATGGTGACATTGGTAGTGATGATGACAATGGTGATGATGATGGCCATAATGGTGACAATAGTATTATGGTGATGATGTTGGTGATGGTGGTGCTAATGATGACGGTAGCAAATGCAGTGCTGATGGTGATGATTATGATGAAGCACAATGCCTATATTTTTCTGTGAGCTCTGGGGTGACAGGCAGGCCTCTGAGCCTTAAAAACAATCCTAGACCAAGGGTGCAGCTGGGTCAGCAGGTTGCATCATTGTGCCCGGAGGAAGCTGTTTCTTAGGGGATTTTCCAAGGTCAGGGACCGCATCTCCTTCCTACTAAGACTGTAGTAGGAGCAGCCGATGGAACTACTTGAGCCCCCTGGTCTAGGAAGGAGAGCCCTCATCTCTAGGGGCCAGTCTCCTTCACCTGAGATCAACATGCCTAGTGACAGCTCAGTCCTCAAGGACTCTCACATATGCCTAGGTGTCCTGCAGAACAAAACTTTTGTTTATTGAGCTAATTTTCTTTTTTCTTTTTCTTTCTTTCTTTCTTTTCTTTCTTTTTTTTTTTTTATATGGAGTCTCTCTCTGTTGCCCAGGCTGGAGTGCAGTGGCGCGATCTCAGCTCACTGCAAGCTCCGCCTCCCAGGTTCATGCCATTCTCCTGCCTCAGCCTCCCAAGTAGCCAGGACTACAGGCGCCCGCCACCACACCTGGCTAATTTTTTTGTTTTTTTTTTTAGTAGAGACGGGGTTTCACCGTGTTAGCCAGGATGGTCTTGATCTCCTGACCTCGTGATCCGCCCGCCTCAGCATCCCAAAGTGCTGGGGTTACAGGCATAAGCCACCGCGCCTGGCCTTATTGAGCTAATTTTCATCTAAAATTTTAAACTAAATGAAAATGTAATTGAAATATAAACTGTGAGATCAAAATTATATTGAAAGTTCATCTAATTGAAAGATTAAACATTAAGTAAGATTTAGTACCTGTTTCATTTAATATTAAATTGAATTTAAACTGTGAAGAAATGGCCAGGCATGGTAGCTCATGCCTGTAATCCCAACATTTTGGGAGGCTGAGGCAAGCAGATTACTTGAGCCCAGGAGTTCAAGACCAGCCTGGGCAACGTGGTGAAACCTCATCTCTACAAAAAATACAAAAGTTAGCCTGGAGTGGTGGAGTGCTTCTGGAGTTCCAGCTACTCAGGAGGCTGAGGTGGGAGGATCTCTTGAGCCCGAGAGGCAGAGGCTCAGTGAGCCGAGATCGTGCCACTGCACTCCAGCCTGGGCAACAGACACCCTGTATAAAAAATAAATAAATAGGCCAGGCACAGTGGCTGAAGCCTGTAATCCCAGCATGTTGGAAGGCCAAGGCGGGCGGATCATCAGGTCGGGAGTTCGAGACCAGCCTGGCCAACATAGTGAAATCCCGTCTCTACTAAAAATACAAAAAATTAGCCAAGTGTGATGGCAGTCACCTGTAATCCCAGTTACTTGGGAGGCTGAGGCAGGAGAATCACTTGAACCTGGGAGATTCAAGTGCAGTTCAAGTGCAGGTTGCAGTGAGTCGAGATCACACCATGGCACTCCAGCCTGGGCGACAGTGCGAGACTCCATCTCAAAAATAAATAAGTAAATAATCTGTGAAGAAAAGGCCTGTAACATGAATTAACCAATATGGTAGCCACTAGTCATACGTGACTAAGTTTAAAATGAATTAAAATTAAATAAGTAAAAAATCCAGCTCCTCAGTCACACCAGCTCATGGCTATGAGATTGGACGGTGCCAATATAGACCATTTCGTCATTGCCAAAAGTTCTACCGGACAGCACTGCTGTAAACCAATTATGTAGAATGTTCTTAAAGAGTAAAAACAAAACCAAACAAAACCAGAAAAAGTAGAAAGAGACAACCACTAGTCCCTCCTCTGTCCCTCACCCCAACCCCAGGAACTATGCTGCATGGGAAGAGAAGAGAGCTCGAGGTGGAAACAGAATTCTCATATTCAGGGAAGAGCAGAGAAAAGGGGATTGCAAAAGCAGATGGAGAGAGTGGCCATGACATAGTGGGGAGGGGCTCAGGTCAAGGGCAGAAACAGAATGATATGATGGTATTAATAACAATCTCTGAGATTTTATGATGTGCTTACTGTGTACCAACCCTTGTTCCAAGGTATTTACTAGTAAGAGCTTACTTTATCCCCATAGGAGATATCCCTGTGAGGTTGGGACCAGTATTAGTTCCATTTTACACATAGCAAGTAAAGCACAGACAGGCTGACTCCCTGCTATCTCACTGTATGGTCAATGTTGTAGGCTCCTTTGCTAAGGGACCATGTAATAATCATAAATAGGTTCAATATCTAAATACAAGACCTCGCCTGGGAGGTCAGCGAGGTCTTGGAAATGCAGGGTTGTTGGCTAGTCTTCAAGAGAGGTCTCAAGACAAAAGGTCTCAGAGAATTCAGCTGAGAAGGGGTGGGCCCCTGCCTTAGGGTGGGCTCCTCCCTGGGGGCAGGCCCCTCCTGGACCTGGAACCACATTCTTCACAAGGGCTGCAGAAGGTGCCAGAGTTTGGAGTGGGGCAGGGAACTCATGTGGACAGGGCTCCAGAATCCCTCCTCATTCCCCTAAGAGCAGGGCCATTTCTGTTTTACGGAATGGATTCCATCCAGGGGTGCATTTTTGCTTTTGTGGGCCCTCCTCTAGAAAAATATTAAAAATTATATTTTACGACTATCTTGATATAAACATGTATAAAATATAGGGTGGGTTGTATTCAGTTTTTTTCCTTCTGATTTTAGAAGAAATTGAAACATTTTTGTGATCCCTAAAAGTATAATGGGCCTTAGTGCTTCTGTCCATAATGATCCTGCTTCCACTCGAATTTCTTCAGACGAAAAGTTTCCAGGGGTTTCTATCCTTGTGTTCAAAGTCATTGATGGAGACTGAATGAGGGACAAATGAATGAGTCACTGAGGTTGACTTAATGTCAACCTCATCATCCAAAGTGAAATTTTGGATGATTAGGTTGACATTAAGTCAACCTCAGTGACTCATTCATTTGTCTCTCATTCAGTTTCTCGGTCCCCCCACATTTCACCAAGCTCCTGGCTTTATTCTTGGGCCTCTGATGAACAAAAGATGAACAAACTGCTTTCCCTGCCCCCAGTAATATCACAGCTACCACGATCCAGCCCCCTCTTTCAGCTCCCCTTCTCCCTCCCCAAAAGATCACCCTGGAGTTACTCATATTTTAATCATGATTGGATCTGGATACCACCCAAAAGGCACAGGAGTGGCATTTCCTAGAATAAATGGTGGGGCAAGAGGGAGCTGAGGAGACACACAGCATACGTGTATGCGTTTTCACTATGTTATCTAAAGATTTTAGAAGATACATCTTCAATTATCTTAATATTTAGATATTGAGCCTATTTATGATTATTATATGGTCCCTTCACCAAGGAGCCTACAATGTCGACCATACAGTGAGATAGCAGGCAATCGGCCTGACTGTGCTTTACTTGCCATGTGTAAAATGGAACTAACACTGGTCCAAACCTCACAGGGATATCTCCTATGGGGATAAAGTAAGCTCTTAGTAGTAATTACCTTGGAAGAAGGGTTGGTACACAGTAAGCACTTCATAAAATCTCAGATATTATTATTAATGCCATCATATTATTCAATGTGCAATTCTAAACTGATTGTGATAAACTCAAGAAAGTTCAAGGGTATTTCAAAGAGTGTATCTGAATCACCTCATCTTCCACCACCTGGAAGAACCCCCCTGGCCTGGCAGAACCACCTCCACGCCACTGTCCCATTCCTTTCAAAGGCGCCATGTTCTCTATGGTCTGGGGCCTCCCCTCCGATATGAGAGCAGGGATCTGGAATCAGAGAAGCCAGTTTGGGAATATTGGCCTCTGTTATGTTCTGGCTGTGTGACCTGGGGCAAGTAACATCACCTCTCTGGACCCTCATTTCTTCATCTGCAAATGGGTTAAAGTATCTGTCTTGCTTGGCTGTTGGGAGGGTTAAAGATAACCCTGTCATAAGTTATAGTGCCTGGCATATAATTGGTATGAAGTAAATTACTGTTATTACCTCCATCATTGTTGTGATCCCTCATAATTAGGCCAACAGTGCCCACTCCTTCCTCAGCTTCACCCGGCCTCTTTCTCCCCACACAGTGGCATCTTCCTCCAGTGCCCTCGGAAATCTTTAAAAGTATGGAGATGTTGAGGACTCTCGGTGCAGAGGTGCAGCCCTCAGACCATCTCCTCCATTGGGTCCCATGTGAGGAAGACTTAGGCTTGGACTTGGTGGGAAGTCGGGCCCCTTCACCTCTCTCTATCCAGGACTCTCCCATGTTTCTTAGGGACCTGAGATGTGGCTTCTTCCCTGATTTCTCCCCATAGGACAAATCGGGCTCCATGAGTGTCCACCCCAGACCTGAGGACAAGACCAGAAGGGCAAGCAGGTGAGGAGAGGGTGATGGAGAAGGGCTGGGGGTCCCCATAGGGCCAGCGAGGCTGAAAAGGGTCCAGGGTCTCTTTGGAGGGTACTGGCAAGAGAGGGACCCAGCCCAGTCACACGGAAGCCTGGAGATGGAGGCTCCAGTAGGAGGTCTGCAGACCCCACCCGGGACCTGAAGATGATGTCGTGGGTAGCGTGGCCATTGGGCGCTTCATCTGCCAATCAGAGCTGGTCAATGGGTTGCAGGTCGGGGCGGGCCATGCGCAAAGCTGGGCTCTAATTCCAAGCGCCTCCTCCCTCAGCTCCGGCGCTTCCAGCTTCTCAGATTTCTTCACCCATGGAATCAACAGCGATGCTGTAAACTTATGGCCAAGGGGTGCCAATCAGTGGTTGTTCCACTCAGTGCCGAATGAGAGAAGAGACCTTAGAATCAGGCAGGGATTAAATTTCAGTCCTGCCCTGAGTACCGGAGCGACCTGAACGCAGCCCCAGTGAGGCTCCCTCACCTGGATGCACCGTGGAACCATCGTCAGCATGATTAGCACATCCGTCAGCTCAAATATTTAATTTTTTTTTTTTTTTGGTGACAACATTTAAACTCCTCTCTTTTAGCCATTTTGAAATATTCAATACATTATTCTGTTATTTGGAACAACACGGATGAACCTAGAGAACATTATGTTGAGTGAAATAAGCCAGGTACAGAGAGACAAACACTCTACGATCTCACTATATTTGGAACCTAAAATAGTCGACCTCAGAGAAGTAGAGAAGAGAATGGTGGGTACCAGAGGCCGGGGGCGGGGAGTGTGGACCGATTGGATGGAGAAAGGGAGAGTTTGGTCATCAGGCACGCATTTTCAGTTTGACAAGAGGAATAAGTTCTGATGTCCTGTTGCACAGCATGGAGGGCTGTTAATTCTAAAGGAATCAGTCTCGGGCTTCTTTGCTGCAGGGGTCGTGAGCCCTCAAACAGGCCTGAGTCTCTGCAGTTTCTCACTTGGGGATGTTGATCTCGGAGTACTCATAGCCGATGGCCTCCTGTTCCTGTGGGTACTGAGGCCTCGCTTTGTGGAAGCTGAGGGATGCATACTGGATCTCTCCTTCCTCTGGGGAGGGGGTGGCCAGGGCTGGCGGAGCATGGTGTGGGGGGCTGTCATCTGCCGGGGATTCAATCAGGGGTCCCTGAATGGAGGAAGAGAAGGGAGTCAGTGCAGAGCAGTGGGGCCAGCATGCACCAGAGAGCATCCAGGAAGGAGGCCCAGGAGTTCCTTCCTCCATTCATCCCATGTGCACTTTGCTGAAATCTCTTTAATACGTTCCTCTAATGTCTAATACTCAATTATCACCTTATGTGGTGTTTACTAATCTCATTAACTTCCAACAACAATTCCATAGTAAGATATTATTATTGTCTCCATTTTATAAATTTGAAAACTGAGGTAGAAATGGTTAAGTACCCTGCGCAAACTCCCTCTTATACCGGGACCCAATCCAGTCAGTTCCTTCTGACCCCAAAGCCTGGAGTCCTGCTGAGGCCTCCTGTGTGTGAGTTCCTGGGCTGGGTGCTGGATGGACTGTGGTGGACACGGTAGGCATGGGCTCTGACCCCCTGCATCTCACTCTTTAACTGAAGGAGGTGGCAATAAATGACTGCCAAACAAATGAATATCTATGTGTGAATTATGATAAGATGGGTAGGAAGAGGGCAAGTGAGAGAGAATTACAGGGCCTTGATTCAGACGTGGCACCTGCCCTTGAGAAGCTCACAGTTTGGTGGTGTGGGGAAGACAAGTCAATAAAATAAATTATATCCCTCTTATAGGAAGAATAATGACCCCTCCAAAATGTCCATGCCCTAATCCCCTGGAACCTGTTGATCTGTTACCTTACATGGCTAAAGGGGCTTTACAGATGGAATTAGGTTAAGGATATCGAGATGGGGAAATTATCCTGGATTACTTGGGTGGGCCCAGTGGAATCACAGGGGTCCTTACAAGTAGTGAAAGGAGGAGGGCATAGATAGATTGGAAGATGCCAGGCTGCTTGACTTGCAGACAGAGGGAGGGTCCTGAGCCAAGGAATGCAGGTGCCTCTAGAAGCTGGAAAAGGTGAGAAAGCGCATCCTCCCCTGGATCTTCCAGAAGGAACTGGCCCTGCCTGCCAATGCCTTGATTTTAGCCCAGTGACACCCATTTTGGGCTTGTGACCTTCAGAACTTTAAGTTAATCCATGTTTGTTGTTTGAAGCCAGGAAATGTGTGGCAATTTGTCACAGCAGCCACAGGAAACTAATATAGACTCACACGGTGGAGAGTGACAGAGGCTGCCTGGGAGGCTTCTCCTTCATCTCTGAACTTCCCTGCTACTCCCCTGCACAGCAGATGCTCCATGGAACTGTTTGTGATTTCACTCCCCCATTCTGTCTTGATTACTCAAATTAACATTCACACACACACCACATCTCAGCACTGCTGTTATCAAGGTCACCATGACCACTGCTTGGCTGAGTCCAAATGTCCGTCTTGCAGTCTTCTCCTTCTTGGACTTCACAGCAGCAGAGGACCCAGCTGCTCACCTTCCCTACACAGAAGCCCTTCTTGACTTAACTACAGGACATCGTGCTTTCTGGCTCCATCTTACCTTCTTGGCAGCCCTTTTGCTAGATGCTCCACATCTCCCTGACCCTAAATATCAGAGCAGCCCTGAGCTCTTCTTTACTTTTGCTTTGCAATCTCATCCACTGTGTTGTCTTCATGCCATCAATAAACTGACGACTTCCAAATTTACACCCAGCCCTCTCCCCTCTGCTGACTATAGTCCTTGATCCAATAGTATACTTCAAACCCACACATCTTGTCGAAAGGCACACAAAATGCAACCTATTCTATCTGAACTCCTCCTTTTTTCCCCCAGATCTCTTTTTTTGCACAATCTTTTCTGCCTCAATGACTGACCCCTCCATTCTACCCATGGATTGGGGCAAAAATCTGGAAGTCTTCTTGCTCCCTCTCTGTCATTCACATTGTACACCCAATCTATTGGCAATTCTCATAAGTCTAACTTCAGAATTTACCCATAAGACAGCCATGTCCACCACCACTGCCATCTTGGTTCCAGCCAGCACCACTTCCTGCCTGAGATGTTCACCAGCCTCCTCTCTATCTTCTCTGCTCTGTCTTTCCTCTACCACACACAGTCTCTTCTGCACACAACAGCCAGAGGGATCCCATGAAAATAAAAGTTAATCATGGTCTCTTGCACAAAACTCTCCAAATGCTCACAGTGCCCTGTGCAGCCAGACACGATTCACACACAGGCTCAACTTCTCCAAAGTCATTTCCTGTTCTTGGCCTTGCTTCCCTCTGTCTAATCACACAGACGTCCTTGTGGATCCTCTCACTGGTCCCTCCTGTGCCTGAGCCTCACCCTGTTCTTCCCTCTGTCTGGAGTGCTCTTCAATCTCACAGTCAGTGTCAGATCTGAGCCTCCTTCATTCCTGTGCTCAAACATCACTAACAGAAACACAAGTCATCCTACAGAATGGTAGAAAATATTTTCAAGCCATACATCTGAAAAAAGTTTTAATATCCAGAATATATTAAAAAAATTCTTAGAACTCAACAGCAGAGAAACAACACAGTTTCAAAAATAGGCTTAAACTCTGATAGACTTTCTCTAAAGGTGATATACAAATCAAAAGAAGCATATGAAAACATCACTAATTATTAGAAAATGCAAATCAAAGCCTTAATGAGATATCACCTCACACGCGTTAGGATGGCCACTGTCAAAAACAAACGAAAACCAAAAAGTAACAAGCGTTGGTGAGGATGTGGAGAAATGGGAACCCTTGTGTGACATTTGTGGGAATGTAAAATAGTGTAGCCACTGTGGAAAACAGTATGGCAGTTCCTTAAGATATTAAAAAACAGAATAATCTTAGAGTCCAGAAACCCTACTTGTGGATATACACCCAAAAGAATTAAAAGCAGGATATTGAAAAGATATTTGCATGCCCATGCTCACGGCAGCATTATTCACAATAACCAAGAGGTGGAAGCAACCCAAGTGTACATCAACAGATAAATGGATAAAGAAAATGCGGTAAACATACACACAATGCAATATTAATTACCCTTTAAAAAGAAGGAAATCTTGTCACACCTTACAATGTGGGTGAACCTTGAGGATATTTGTTAAGTAAATCGTCCAGTCACAAGATGAGCAATACTGTATGATTTCACTTATATGAGGTATCTAGAATAGTCAAATTCATAGGAAAATAAAGTAAAATTGGTGATTTCCAGTGGCTGCAGGAGGATGAAGAGGATGGGAGGGAAAGGGCGGAGTTATTGTTCAACGAATGTGGAGTTTCAGTTTTGCAAGATAAAAGGGTTCTAGAGATCTAGCACAACCATAAACTTAATAAAGTTGAGGTGGTAAATTTTATGTTATGTGTTATTTTCCACCGTAGATGGCTGGATGGATGGATGGGTGGATGGATGGATGGACGGGTGGGTGGGTGGATGGATGGATGGATGGATGGATGGATGGACGGACGGGTGGGTGGGTGGATGGATGGATGGATGGATGGATGGATGGACGGGTGGGTGGGTGGATGGATGGATGGATGGATGGATGGATGGATGGACGGACGGACGGGTGGGTGGATGGATGGATGGATGGATGGATGGATGGATGGATGGACAGACGGGTGGGTGGATGGATGGATGGATGGATGGATGGATGGATGGGTGGGTGGGTGGGTGGATGGATGGATGGATGGATGGATGGATGGACTGACGGGTGGGTGGGTGGTTGGATGGATGGACGGACGGACAGACGGACAGATGGATGGATGGATGAATGGTTGGATGAATAAACAAAAATAAACCCACAAGCCTTCTCCTTGGAACTTCCTATTTCTTCTACATTGCATTTTCCCTAAAGCATATATCTATCTTTATATTTTATTCATTTGTTGTTTTATTAGTTTTGATTAGTTGATTGGTTTGGCCATATCCCTCTGTATAGAATTAAACTTCGATGAGCCCAAGACTTTTAAATGTTTTCCACAGATGGGTCGCTGGCATCTTCTCTTAGGAGATGCTCTATAACTTTTCCTGAATGAATTAATGAATGAAGGGATGGATGTTACTCTGCTACTCGAAACCTTCCACAGGCTTCCAGTCACATTCAATACAATCAATAAATGATGAGTGTAATATTTATATCAGGGCATGAAGGATGAATAGGAATCAGGGAGTGGGGAGAAAAAAGCATCTGAGGAGGAGGAACAGCCAATGTGAAGACGTAGAGACACAAATAACCTTGTTGGTGATGACACTGGAGTCCAGCGTTGATGGAGCATGGAGCAGAGGCAGGAGTGGCTGGAGGCGGGGCTGGGATTGGAGCAAAGCCAGGGAAGCCCTTACCCAGAGCACAAAATTAAAAGGGTGCCCCAAATCTCAGCAATGAAGATGAATACAATTTTAACACAATATTTAAAAAATCAAAATTAATATAAAAAGTCCATGGAAAGCCTGGGCGCGGTGGCTCACGCCTATAATCCCAGCACTTTGGGAAGCTGAGGCAGGCGATCACCTGAGGTTGGGAGTTTGAGACCAGCCTGACCAACATGGAGAAACTCCGTCTCTACTAAAAATACAAAATTAGCCGGGCATGGTGGCTCGTGTATGTAATCCCAGCTACTCGAGAGACTGAGGCAGAATTACTTGAACCCGGGAGGTGGAGGTTGTGGTGAGCTGAGATCGCACCATCGCACTTCAGCCTGGGCAACAAGATCAAAACTCTGTCTCAAAATAAATAAATAAATAAAAATAAAAACAAAAAATTCCTGGAGAACAAAGATTTAAATAAACCCAGATTAGTGACAGTGCTCTGCTGAGCCAAATGGAACTTGAAGCAAAAGCTATTCAACGTGCAGAGGAAGCAGACAGTGATGGCTGTGGAACGTCCCTCCAGGCCGGGAAGGGGAGGCAAGAGGCAGGGAGGTGAGGAGGTCCCAGACAGAGATCCAGAGGCTTCAGCAGTGAGAGGGGTCAGGATGGGATGGGGAGGGCAATGAAAGCTGTTCTTAGGAGGAAAAAGTGGACAGGACGTGATTTTTCGGCTGTAGGGGAAGAAAGGAAGGACAGTGAGGAAGTAATCCCCTTCCATGCCTGGCCTGGGAGAAAGCAGGGGAGAAGGGCTGTGATTCAATGCTCACTCACCTGAGAGGCTGAGCCCCTGACAGCGTTTGCGTCCTCCATGCCTGTATCCCCCACGCCCACTGCTGGCCTTGCCGATTTCTTCCTGCAGGACCTCACTCTGAGTGAAGAGACCAGAGAGCCTTTCAGTGTGGTCAGATCGGGGTGCAGTGGGCAGACCAACCCCTGCCCTGTATTTCCTATTGGGGAGCTGGAGGGGTAACTGAGGCGGGAGGGGAGTGGTCCCATTCCAGAGACCCCAATGTCGAAAACAGAGGCTCTTTTTTCCTGGGCAGTAGGGTCTGAGGTTTGCCACAGACATGGAGCTCCACAAACAGGGGCGCTCATGAAATTCTTACCATGCACCCATGACCTCATTCTGGCCCTTGCTTCAAGCTCTTGACCCATCCAGGTCCTTCCAGGTCTGGCTTCAGGGATTTTGTTCCCAGCCTGCCCTCCCCCAAGGCTCTTCCTCCCCAGGGTCAATGCTCACACAACGAAGATGATGCAGAAGTACAGGAAGACCAGGGCTGTGGCTCCAGCTCCCCCGAATGCCCCTAGCGTCACTCCTGATATAGGCCTCATTTTGCCTGAGGATGGATTGGAGTTGTTTTGGGGTTTACCCTCCAAGAACTGGGCCTCTTCTCCTCCCACTGCCTGTAGGGCCCCAGACTTGGGTACCCCAGTCCCGCTTCCCGGACAGAAAGAACAAGGACGGAAGGGAACTTCTCCTGAGGTCACTGAGGCATGAGAGTGCTGGGTGCAGTCTGCCTTTATTTAAAATTTTGATTAGTTTTCACCATGGAATTATTTTACAATAATTTTTAATTTTCGAAAAGATAATCACATGGCAAGATTATTTCTCTTGCTTGCTGAGTTGTTTTATTTTTGGTTCTTAAATTGTGTGCCCAAAGTGAGTGCCTCACTTGCCTCACACTAGTCCAGGCACTGGAAAGCAAGGCCCTTGTATCCCCAAACACACTTGTCCAGGCCCCAGCTCCTCCCCTCCAAGATTAACTCCTCCCCTCTCCCCACCCCGCACTCACTGCTTGGCAGCAAGAGGACTGTGATGCTGTGGGTTGCAGGGAAATTCCAGGTCTCCCAGCTGGACCCTGAGGGTGGGACATGTGTGTTCTCCTCCTCCAGACCCTCCCCTACCCACCTGTGTACTCGTTTTGCAGGGAGAGGCTCAGGGAAATGTGCTGGGAGCCTAGAGGGTTCTGAGCTCGGCAGGTGAATTCCCCTTCATCCTTCACATGCACTCGAGGCAGCTCCAGCACCCCAAGGTTCGAGGACTGTGAGGGGCTCAGGGTCAGGCTCCCCCAGGTCCAGCTCAGCCTGGCAGGGGGATTGCTGTCGACAGCACAGACAAGGTGCAGGGACTGGCCCTCCAGGACTGAAAGGGCCGAGCCATTCCTCAAGGTTGTGGATGCTGTAGAGAAAGAGACAGAAGGGCAGAGAGAGACAAAGTGATCGAGGCAGGGAGGAAGGATACAGAAAGAGAGTGGTGAATGGAACAGACACTGATACATGCTGAATTGTAGGGACATATGCACGTTCACTGCTCACTGTTGGGGATGTAAACTTGTCCATCTTTAATTAGAACAATTTCACTCTATCTTTCAAAATCAGAAAGACATATGACACTGCTATATTTTGCTTTTAGGACTTTATTCCATACACTTAGATATTCCTTGTGGGAGTAGATACAACAATATTCATTGCAGTGTTTGTGCTGTAGGATAAAATTAGTGCCATGATCTTCCATTAGAAGATGCCACAAAATCAGAGACTATTCAGACAGTGGAATGACACACAGCCCTAGAGGAGGGTGCAAACAGTCTCACTACTGACATCAAACCACCTCTGAGATCTTCCAGGTGCACAAACCAAGGCTCAGGACAGCCTGGACAGACCCTGGTCGATTCTGGGGACAGACTCTGCTGTGCATTATAAATTTTTGCCCATGTGACTATAGTATGTATCCAAAAGAATATACCTCAGAACTATTGGTGAAAATAAAAGGATGAGGCAATATTCAGGAGCTGGAAGATAAGAGTCCTCAAATCCTTGAGCTGCTGTGTGAATGTCCCTCTACCCTTGCTGTGGGGCCAAAATAGGTGTGTGTGTGGAGGAGTTCAAGGGGAGTGAAGGGGTGATGAGAAGGTGCTCAGGTGGCCAAAAGGCTGAGGCTGAGGGAGGGGGGGGCCGGGGCTCACCCACAAAAGGGTCTCAGGTCACCAGGGTGAGTCCTGGCTCTCCCCTGAGTTGAAGGCTCTGCTCCTCCAGCCCCAGGGAGAGGACTCCATCTTACCTGTGCCATCTCCTTGGAAGACAGTCATGGTCAAGTTCTGAGGAGGATCTGGAACAGAAAGACACGGAGTTCCCATCACTTTGAGGACTGGGGACACTGACCCTGTCTCCCCAGGAGCCCCATAAATGGGGAAGGTGGAGCCAGCATCCTCCTGACCCCCAACTCCCAGCCAAGATTCCAGGACCCAGATCCTTGAGTCTGGGTCCCACATCCAACTGGCCTCAAGGAATCCCGATCAAAGACCCAGACGTCCTGGCCCAGAACTCACAGGATATGTTGAGTCGGACAGCCCTGGTCATGGTCACGCCGGCCCCAGGCAAGGTCACCTGACAGGTGAGGCTGGTGCCATGGTCCTGGGGCTGTGGGATGAGGCTGAGCATCGAGGAGCGAGTGATAGTGGGGTCCAGGGAGGACACGGAGGCCCCCATCCAGGTGATCGTGGGGGGCGTCCCCTGTTCACAGGCCCAGGGCACAGAGCAGGTCAGGTTCCTGGGGTGGCCAGACTCCAGGGTCCCCGGGATGGAGAAGGTGGGCATGTGAGTCAGGGCTGGTGATGAAAGGGAGACAGGCAAAATGAGGGTGTTGGGGTCTGAAGTGTGGTGCTGAGGAGGCTCAGGCTCTGGTCTTACTCCTCCCCTGAGCCAGATATGCTTCACCTCCAACTCCCTCCCAGGATGGGGGTCCCACCTCAGCCCTACCCTGCGGCCCTCGGGCCTTCCCCTCTGGCTGGTCCTAGAGCCAGAGATTTACCTGTCACATGCACAGAGAGCTTGTCATATATGTAGTTCCATTTCCTGCTTCCTCTCTCCACCTGGAAGTAGTACTTCCCTGAATCCCCCTTCCTGGCATCTCTGATGCTCAGGGAGCAGTTGTTGGTCTGTGGGTCCCCAAGGAGGAGGAATCGACCGTGGGTATCCTCTTGCACTTTTCCACTTGGGGTGTTTGTGGCCACTGGAATATCCCATGGTATATCGGCCCCTTCCTTGAACCAGGATCCATAAACAGGGCTAGAGGCAGTCCAGTTGTAATGGGGGTAAAGGACACTGCAGGGCACAGAGACACACAGACCCTCCTGCACAGTCACCGACTCTGGCACCTCCAGCCTGTATCTTGACAGTAGGTCCTGGGACGCTGTGGAGAAACGAGGGTCAGCCCAGCCCCCACTGTCCCTCTCTTCATTTGCCCATAGCAGGGGCAGCAGCATCTCTGAGGCAGAGGCTTCCTGGGCTCCCTGTGTGAGCAGAGAAGGGGGAGGGAGAGGAGGGGCAGGGCTGTGGGACCCACAGGGGGCTGGAGAGGAGCTGGAGACCTCAGCCCTGCATGGAAGAGAAACTGCAAACCCACATGCTATAGGAACTCATTCCCTCTGCACAGAGTGAAGGAAACCCTAAAGCTCAGAGACCCTAGAGACCCACCCAGGGAGGAGAAGAGACCGTGTCCCGCCTCCTACCTCCGGGCTTCCCTGAAGCACCAGGGCCTGCACCAGACACGTAGGTCCTGCCCTCCCGGCCTCTGGACCATCGTGGAGGTCCCTCCTGTCTTTTGAGCATCTAAATGTGGATCTCCGAGGACCTCGGGGCATGAGAGATGGAGGGGCCGTGTGCTGAGTCTCCCTGTCCAGGCTCAGGTGCCTCTGCTGCCCTTGGTTTGCGCCAGGAAGTGCTTCCTCCCTGGCCTGGCCTGAGAGAGTCACGGGGTTGTGTAGACCTAAGGCTCTCAACTGGGGAGGACTTAACCCCCCAGGACGTTTGACAATGTGTGGAGATAATTGTCTCGCTGCATGGGTGGGGTGGGTGCTTCTGGCATCTGGTGGGGAGAGGCCTGGGATGGTGCTAAACCCCGGCCATGCCTAGGACAGGCCCCAAAACAAGGAGTCATAAGGCCCCACATGCCACAGTGCCAGCGTCAGAGGCAGGATGAGGATGTCAGGCCTGTGGGTCAGGGCTGGTGAGGGGAGGGGCTTGCAGGATCAGGAGGGGCATCCAAGGTGCGGTCCTGGGGAAGCTCAGGCTCTGGTCCAGCTCCTCCCCTGAGTCCATCACCCCCGGCCCCCTCCCAGGACATGTGTCCCGTCTCAGCCGTGCCCTAAAGCCCTCATCACATTTGCCTTTGGCCTCTCTTGGAGCCCGTGCCTTACCTGTCACATTCACAGAGAGCTGGTCATATTTATAATTCCATTTCATATTTCCTCTCTCTACACAAAAGACGTATGTCCCTGCATCACTCTCTCTGGTGTCTCTGATGCTCAGGGTACAATCCTTGTTCTGTGGGTCCCCAAGGAGGTGGAATCGGTCCCGAGTCTCCTCCTGCACTGCTCGAGCTGGGTTGTTTGTGGCCACTGGAATGTTCCGGCTTACATGGTCCCCTGCCCGGAACCAGTAGCCATGAACTGGATCGGAGGCAGTCCAGCCATTTTGGGGGTAGGAGAAGGAGCAAAGCACAGAGACACACAGGCCCTCCTGCACCGTCACGGACTTCTGCATTGTCAGCAGGTAATCCTTCTGTTCCTTAGCCCCCACTCTCCCACAGAGCAGGGGTGGCAGCAGTAGCAGCAGCAGTAGCATGTGTCGGGTTGGAGGTGCCAGGGTTGCTGAGGTAAGTCTGTTCCTCAGGGTTCTTCTCTCAGGAACTGAGAACTCAAGATTTCGAGGAAGCCGCACAGGAAGTTGGGGGTGGGTTCTGAACGGTGACCTCACAGGAGGAACTTCACACACAGACACTGTCAGGGCCGGGTCACCCCTGGAAGATCCACCGTCCACTACCCCGTCCACTCCTGGGGACCCTGAGGCCAGAGAGGATGAAAGACTCACCCAGATTCCAACCCCATGCAGGGCCCACCCCGCCCACTGCCTCCCTCTCAGTGCCCTTCCCCTTGGGTGATATTTTCCATAAGGTGAAAATGAGTCCCATGTGGCCAGACCTATGAAGTACAGGCTGTGGATGTCTCTCTGTAGGTCAGAGGTGACACTAGGATATAAGAGATGGGGGTGCAGGTGGGATGAGCAGGCAACCTCTCCTTCCTCCCTCAGCGGCCGTGAGGTGGAGTTCAACACAGCAGAGCTAGACACTGTCCCCAAAGAGTCACTGTGTAGTGGGGAGACACTGAGGCTCCTGATATCTGAGCTCTCCATGGCAGGAGCTTCAGTGGGGGTACCAGGCAGGGTGTGGTCGCTCTCTCCTATGTTGGGGAATCAGTCTCGGGAGGACTGAGCAGAGAGACACGGGGTCGTGGAGGTGAGGATTCCGTGTGTTGATACACACCAAAGACACAGAGAAGAGCCCAGTTCACAGGAGGCCTGAGAAGCTAAGGCTGTGACTGTTGTACAGTGAGGTCTGGAAGGGAGGAATGTTGGATGGGAAGGGACAGATTTCTAAAGGGGCAGGCGTTTCTCTCTCGGCCATGGCTCTCTGGGTTCAGGATGGGATCCTTCACCACTGCTCTCTCACAAGTCCTCCTTACTCCAGAGCATGAGGGGTCTGCTGGCCCTTTGTTCCTGCAGGCTCTGCTCCCAGGGTTTCAGGTGAACAGGAGACGTGGAGCGAGGACACCAGCCCTGGCGTGTCCACGCTCAATGATGGACAGGATTTCATGGGAGAAGAAATGCACCTGAATTCAGCAGAAGAGTTTTTGAAACTGTATGCTATGTACTGGGAGGAAGGTGGGGAAAATCCTGCAAGATTCGCCCTCCTTAGACCCATGTCAGCTTTTCTTGAAACAATGATTTTTGGGGAAATGTAATACAAGTAAATAAAAGTGCCACCTAAAAAAATGACTCAGTGATTTTCACCAAATTATCACTGTTCAAGAAATAGAACATCACAAGATAATTGCCAAATTTCTCCCATGAGATGAAGAAAGAAATTGCATTCATTTATTCAGCCCTGTGTTTCCCCTTCCTATAGGCCACATGCAGTTCCTCCTGAAGATGCCCCAGCCTCACTTTAATGATAATGGTCTCCTTGCTTTTCTATGTAGTTTTATCATCTGAGTGCACTGCCTTCAATACTATGGCTTTGCATAGGTTTTTCTAAAGACTATTTTTACATAAAAACCACAATCTGTTTTATTTTACTCAGCTCCATGGATCTTCCCATCCCCATGTTGTCCCCAATTGCCCATAACCTGGAGTAGAGTCAGTTGGCTGTGATAATTGAAAAGGAAATGTGCAGGATTGGGGCATGCATAGCTGCTCCTCTCCCTGACACCACTAATTCCTGCATTTGCAGCTTGTATCTCATCCTGCAGACCAATCTGCTCCTGGGCCCCCATCCTTGCCGTGTCACTTTCTTCCCGTAAGGACAGTTGCAGCATCTCAATGGGAAGAAGGGCTCGACCACGGCCCATCTCTTTCCCACAGTCCCCAGTTGGCAAAGAAAAGCAGAAAAATGGGAAGGAGAGACATGAGGAAGCCACAGAGAATCTGCAAAGGAAGAACGTTTGAACCACATATGACTCAGAGGAGCTGATGGGCCCTCTAGACCCACTTCCATAATTTGGAGAGGAAGATATTAAGGACCAGAGTGACAAGTGCTACAGCTACATGTCTCTCCTCAAAATTCATTTGTTGACCTTTGAACCCCCATGTGATAGTATTAGAAGGCATGGTGTTTAGATAGGTGGTTTGGATTAGCCTAATAGGATTAGAGCCTGATATGGTTTGGATCTGTGTCCCCACCAAATCTCATGCCGAATTATAGGCCTCAATATTGAAGGTGGGTTGTAGTGGGAGGTGGTTGGATCACGGGGGTGGATTTCTCATGAATGGCTTAGCACCATCTTCTTGGAGCTGTTCTTGTGAGAGTGGGTGAGTTCTAACAAGATCTGCTTGTTGTCTGTGTGCAGCATCTCCCCATTTGCTCTATCCTGCTACTCTGGCCATGTGACATGCTGGCTTCCCCTTTGTTTTTTGCCATGATTGTAAGTTTCCTGAGGAACTCCCCAGAAGCCAAGCAGATGTCAACATCCTGCTTCCTGTACAGCCTGCAGAACCACGAGCCGATTATTCCTCTTGTCTTTATAAGTTACCCAGTCACAGGTATTTCTTTATATCAATGGAAGAATGAACTAATACAGAAAATTGGTACAGAGGAGTGGGGCATTGCTACAAAGACACCTGAAAATTTGAAAACAACTTTGGAACTGGTTAACAGGCAAAAGTTGGAAGAGTGTGGAGAGCTCACAAAAAGACAGAAAGATGAAGGAAAGTTTGAAACTTCCTAGAGACTGGTTGAATAGTTATGACTGAAATATTGGTCGTGATATGGACAGTGAAGGCCAAGCTGAAGAGGTCTCAGACGGAAATGAGGAACTTATTGGAAACCAGAGCGATGGTCCATTTTGTTATGCCTTAGCAAAGAACTTCACTGCATTGTGCCCCTGCCCTAGGAATCTGTGGAGCTTTGAGCACAAGAGTGAAGATTTTCAGTATCTCGTGGAAGAAATGTCTAAGAAGCAAAGCATTGAAGACATGGCCTGGTTGCTTCTAACAGCATATGCTCATGTGTGAGCAAAGAAAGAAATCACTGAAAGCTGGAAATTGTATTTAAAAGGGAAGCAGAGTGTAAAAGTTTGGATAATTTGCAGCCTGGCCAAGTGGTAGAAAAGAAAAGCCCATTTTCAGGGGAGGAATTCAAGCAGGCTGTAGTCCCAGAGACCCCAACATTGAAAACAGAGGCTCTTTTTTCCTGGACAATGGGGCCCGAGGTTTGTCACAGACATGTGGCCCCACAAACAAGGGCACTCATGAAATTCTCACCATGCACCCATGCTCATTCTCTCCCTTGCTTCATACTCCTGACTCAGCCAGGTCCTTCCAGCTCCGGCTTCAGGGATTCTGCTCCCAGGCCACCCTCCCCCAGGGCTCTCCCTTCCTCTCCAGGGTCAATGCTCACACGATGAAGATGACACAAAAGGACAGGAAGACCAGGCTGGGGCTCCAGCCCCCCTTGACCGCCTGCAGCATCACTCCTGGAGGGTTCTGAGCTCTGCAGGTGAATTCCCCTTCGTCCCTCAGATACACTTGAGGCAGTTCCAGCAGCCCAGGATTCAAGGGCTGTGAGAGGCTCAGGGTTGGGCTCCCCCAGGTCCAGCTCAGCCTGGCAGGGGGATTGCTGTCAACAGCACAGACCACATACAGGGACTGGCTTTCCAGGACTGGAAGGGCTGAGCCATTCCCCAAGGTGGTGGATGCTGTAGAGAAAGAGACAGAGGGTCAGAAAGACAGTGATCAAGACAAGGAGGAATGATACAGAAAGAGACTGGTGGATGGAACAGACACTGATACAGGCTGAAGTGCAGGGCCATACACACCTTCTCAGCTCACTGTTGGGAATGTAAACTTGCCCACTTTTAGTTGAGAACAACTTCATTTTATTAAAATTAGAAAGAACGTATAACACTGCTATATTTTGCTTTTAGGAACTATGCTATACACTCAGATATTGCTTGTGGAAGTAGATTTATGATTATTCATTACAGTGTTTCTGCAGTACGATAAAATTAGTGCCATGATTTTCCACTGGGAGATGCTACACAATCAGAGTCCATCCATGCAGTGGAATCACACACAGCCCTAGAGGAGGGTGTGGGCAGTCTCACTATTGATATTGGAGCACCTCTGAGATCCTCCAGGTGAGCAAACCAAGGCCCAGGGCAGCCTAGATGGACGCTGGGCGATTCTGGGGACAGACTCTGCTATGCATTTTGAATTTTCACCCATGTGACCATAACATGTATCCAAAAGAACGTAGCTCAAAACTATTGGGGAAAAGGAAAGATGAGGTAGGTGGTGTTTTCAGGAGATGGAAGAAAACAGGCCTCAAAGCCTGTGTTGTGAATCTCCCCCTGCCTTTGCTGTGGGGCTGAGGGGTGTGTGTGTGGAAGAGTCTTAGGGGAGTGATAGGGAAGTGTAGAGTCATCAGCAGCTTGCAACCTCAACATGGAAAAGCTACAGGCACTCATCTCCAACCTATGAGAGCAGCCACGTGGCCTACACCTGTCAAAGCCACAGGCAGAACTGCCCACGGCCTTGGGAGCTCACCCCTTGCACCAATGTGCCCAGGATGTGGGACACAAAGTCAAAGATTATTATTAAGCTCTAAGGTTTAATGTCTGCCTGCAGGAATTTGGATTTACATGGAGCCTGTTGCCACTTTCTTTGGGGCAATTTCTCCTTTTTGGAATGGGAATATTTCCCCAATGCCTGAACCACCAATGTATCTTGGAATTAAATAACTTGTTTCCTATTTCACAGGGTCATAGGTGGGAAGAACTTGCCTTGAGTCTCAGATGAGACTTTGCACTTTCAGTTGATGCTGGAAAGAGTTCAGATGTTGGAGGACTGCTGGGAAGAAATTATTGTATTTTGCAATGTGAGAAAGAGATGAGATTTGAGGAGCCAAGGCAGACTGATACAGTCTTGATATTTGTCCCCTCCAAATCTCATGTTGACATGTAATCCCTTATGTTGGAGGTGGAGCCTGGTAGGAGGTGTTTGGGTCATGGTGCCCTCCCATGACAATGAATTCTCACTCCATTAGTTCACAGAAGAGCTGGTTGTTGAAAAGAGCCTGGTGTCTCTTCTTGCTCCTTCTCTCACCATGTGGCATGCCTGCTCCCCTTTCACCTTCTGCTATGATTAGAAGTTTTCAGAGGCTTCACTAAAAGCTGAGCAGATGCTGATTCCTTACTTGTACATCCTGCAGAAATGTGAACCAAATAAACCTCTATTCATTCTAAATTACTCAGTCTCAGGTATTCCTTTACGGCAATGCAAAACGGACTAACACAATACTTTAAGTCCTCTCCAGATTATTGATAATACCTAATACAATGTCAATGCTATGCAGCTAGTTGTTATAATGTATTTTAATTGTATTATTTTTCATGATTGTGTTGTTGTTCTTATTGGTTTTTGTTTTTTTGAATATCTTTGATCCCCAGATGGCTGAATCCAAGGATATGGAATGGGTGGATATGGAAGGTGCACTGTATCCATTTGAAATGAGGCCACTTGTATGGGTCCTAATTCAATATAACTTCTGTCCATCTAGGAGAGAAGATTAGGACACAGAGACACACAAACCATGTGAGGACACAGAGAGAAGTCAGCAGCTACAAGCCAAGTAGAGAGTTCCAGAAGGAACCAACTCTGCTGACATGTTCAGCACAAGAACCGTGAGAAAAAAAAATTGTTGTTTCAGCCTCTCTGCCTGTGGCACGTTGCTATGAGAGCTTGAGTGACTAACAAAGTGGATAAGAGAACAAGGACAAGGCGGAGACAGGAACAGCTAGGGGTCACCTCCTCCAGAAGGCCTCTCCTGACTTTCCTCCATTACAAAGAGCTGACCACTCCCTTCCCAGGACCTGTCCTGAATATCTCTCCAGCATCTGGGTCACTTAGGAGACCCCCAGTGCTTTTCTATTTTTAAGAGTCTTCATTTACCAACTTGGGGTCCCTGGAGCTCATATGCCATGTAAGATTCACCTCCATCTATCCTCTTTAACTCAGCATCTGTTTGGTACTCCCGGTGCACGGAGGTTGAGGGATGAGCTCCTTGTCTCTCCGTGACCAAAACAGAGTCATTTCAGGAAGTGCCAAGTGAGGGGACAATATCTTGCCGAGTTTACTCCACTCACCCCACATACCCCAAGCCCTTCATGTTGCCTGAAACTCTCGCCTTCAGTGTTACCTTTGAGTACAAGTGTTCAGATCTCAAAAGCTGTTACAAGCATTGCCCAATTGAATGACAGAGGAGGAAGGGAGACTGGGAAGTGGACTAAGGCCTAGTGGGGGTGGGAGGGTACTTCTGGGAGACCAAAGGTCAGTGAGTTCACCAGGAAGCATGAAGGCGTGGGGCTGACACCAGCCTAAGGTGGACAGATTTATCAAAACAAAAAAAAAAACCATGGAACATATGTGGTTGAATTTGAATTTCAGATAAAAACTTTTTTTTTTTAGCGTAAGCATGCCTCATGCAATATTTGGAACATACTTATGCTAAAAAATATATTATTTATTCTCTATCTGAAAGTCCATTTCAAGCAGGCATCCTGTATTTTATCTGAGACGACCAGCCCCCTCCAGCAACTGTTCCTCCCCTGCATCCATCACCACCACTGCTGGTAGCCCAGATAAGGGGAGTTCCCTGTGGACTTTCATTGCTGTTTCCTCACTGACCTCTAAATTGGGGGCCAGAGGGAGAGCCCCCAAACCCCTCTGCACCCATAGCCATGCCCCCAGGACAGACACAGCTCTCCCTCTTCTCTTCCCTGGAGGGGGCTCTGGAAGGACCAGCTCAGCAAACCCGAGGCCAGGCAGCCCCCAGGAGACCCAGAGGACAAGTGGCAAGGTGGGCTGGGGACTGGGGAGGAAGGGAAAGGAGTCCTTCCACCCTTGGTGGTGTCCATGTGCCCTGCTCCTTCTGCTACCCCCAAGACAGCTGGACTGACTCTGACCCACTTCACAGCTATTGGTTAGGGGAAGTGGCCCTTCCAGCCTCAGATGCTCCAGTGGCCACAAACAACCCAGATAGAAAAGTGCAGGAGGAGACCCAGGGACAGTTGCAACTTTCCAGGGACCGACAGATCAATGACTGCTCCCTGAGGGGTCATACTTCTTTCACATGGAGGGAGGGAATATGAAATGGAGATACAAAATTAACCAGTTGTCCATGCATGTGATGCGTAAGGCATGGGCTCCAGGAGAGGCCATAAGCAAAGGTGCTGTGGCGGCAGGGCAGGGCTGGGACTGGATCTCCATCCTGGGATGGCATGGCGTTGATGGGCTCAGGAGAAGAACTGGACCAGAGCCTGAGCTTCCCCCTGGGTGGCACCTTGGATCCCCGTCCTAATCCTGCTTGTCCCCCTCTCCTCACCAGCCCTGACCCACAGGTCCAACCCACAGGCCCGACATCTTCATCCCAATAACCCTGGAGTCGGCTGCCCCAGCAATCTAACCTGCTCTGTGCCTTGGGCCTGTGAGCAGGGGATGCCTCCGACAATCACCTGGATGGGGCCTCCATGTTCCCACTGGGCTCCACCTCGGTGCCCTCCACAGTCCAGGACCACGACGCCAGCCTCACCTGTCAGGTGACTTTACCGAGGGCTGGTGTGACCACGAACAGTAACATCCAACTCAATGTGTTCTGTGAGTGTTGGGCCAGGATGCCCAGGCCCCTGACTGGGTTTCCCTGAGGGCAGTGGGATGCGGGTCAGGGTTGGACACAGGGATCTGGGTCCCGGTATCTGGGCTGGGAGTCAGGGGTCTGGAGGATGCTGGCTCCACCTTTTCCATTTATATGGCTCCTGGGGAGAGAGGGCCAGTGTCCCCAGCCCTCAGAGTCACCCACCACCATGTCCAGCTAATTTTTATATTTTTAGTAGAGATGGGGTTTCGCCATTTGGCCAGGCTGGTCTCAAACTCCTGAGCTCAAGGGATCCTCCCACCTCGGCCTCCCAAATTGTTGGGATTACAGGCATGAGCCACTGCACCCAGCCTCAGCATGAGATTTGAAGGGGACAAACATTCAAACTATATCAAGTATAGAGGAGGATGTGCTTATGTTACATGCAAATACTCTTTCATTTTCTATCAGAGACTTGAGTATCATGGGTTTTTGTATCCAAGGGGGGTTCACTCCCCCACTAATACCAAGGGACAGACGTATCTCTTTAAAGATGTGTTTCCAAATACAGTCACATTCTTAGGTACTGGACGTTGGATTTCAACAGATAAATTTGGTTGGGGAGAGGAACACAATTCAGACCCTAATATTTACCTTCCCCTTTTCTCTGATCTCTGGTTCCCCATGAGCCACCAACATGTGTATTCTCCAAAAAAAAAAAAAAAGTTATCTTTTTCCTGGGAACGCTCATGTTGGGAAATATCACACCCTCCCCTCCATCCACAGAGCTCAGAAAAAAGGCCTCTCACAAGAAGGTGTAAACGGAGGAGGGTGTGGGTGTGGTTCCCTCAGACCTCAGAGCTGACCCCTGAGGTCCTGCAATCCTAGGCCCAGCCCCACTTCTGCCTTTGGGCATTTCATACCCATATGGAACCAGCTGACAGGAACCAGGAAAGTGGTAACGTCTCCGTCCTCCTGTGGATTTTTCTATGCCATTGTTCTCAGTTGCCCATGGGCCAGAGAAGGGAGAGAGGACCCCCTGCCACCTTGAGGCTGAAAGGTGCCAATCTGGGACTCCCCAGTGGATTCAGAGGCCTCACCATCTCCACTGAGAGTGTGGCCCCCCTTGGGTTAGATCTCCCTTTTAACCTTAGAGCTGATCCCCGTGGTGAGAATGAGGACCTATGGACTTCAGCACTAGGGGAGGACAGTGTGGGGTCAGGCAGCATCTGTGTGCACAGCTGAATTGAAGCAGAGCTGGGTTTGATAGGAAGAGAAAGGGAGAGAGGGGGTCAGGGGCCTTCAGTGGCTCTGCTGTGGGTTGATCCTTCTCACTCCTGGGAGGTGCTGCCAAGAGGGTCCTGGAAAAGTTTCTGAGCCCATCAGCCCCTGTGCCTGTCTCCCTGCAAACTTGTGGGTTCCCTCTTCTCTTCACAGGAGGATTTCTCTGAGGAAATGTCTTCCTTCATTTCCTCTCCACCCTATTTCATCTTGCTCTGTCCCTACCACATCATTCAAACGGTTCTGGTCAGGATTACTAACGACCTCCAAAGTGCTGAACCACCTGTACAATTTCTATTCTCATCTCACTTGGATGCCTCTCTCTCAGTAGCATTAGGCTCAGTCACTCATTCCTGTTTAAAACACTTCATAGATTGGCTTCTGGGCCACCTAGAGCTGCCACCTTGCACCAGTTGTGGGCAACACACACATACTCCTAAGTCACCTGCCTGGATCAAACTATATGTAACATACTAGAAACTTCATGCCTCCTTCTACCTTCCTAACCATCTTCCTTATCTTTCTAAGGGTTCCTCCTCTGTTCCTGACACCTAACTGTTGAAATCCATCCTATTCCAACATGTCCTATTTGAAATGCGAAATATGAAAAGGTTCCTATTTCATATACTGTTTTAAAAACACAAGCTACCAATGTCAATTCTTTGATTTTCAGATCATCATATTCTCATATCCTATGATGATAGTGAAGGAGGCTGAGGGGAGGGTGTGTGGGTCCTCCCTGTACATTTCTTTGCAACTTCCTATGAATCTGTAGTTGTTTCCAAATCAAAAATAAAACAAAAAAACAAAAAACGACCATGAAGGCACATGAGAATGACAACCAAGAGACTCGCTGATGACTGGTAAAGTTGGATGCCAAACCCTGACCATTTCCTGTCTCTGTGGCATCTACTCCGGGAAATGAAGTGGGCATCTCCAGCCTCATATGTTCCAGGCAGCACTCAGTGTTTCTCTCCTCAAACTTCCTGCAGGGGGCGTTCCCTCTGGCCCTTTGGGATGTCTGAGCATCAGTATCAAGTGGTATCTGTTTGCATCTGCCTGCATCCCAGTGTCATCCTGATTTCCAATTCCCATATACAATCTATCCACACGGCCTGTCAGTTAAACTTTTTTTTTTTTATTAGATGGAGTTTTGCTCTTGTCGCCCAGGCTGGAGTGTAGTGGTGTGATTTCAGCTCATTGCAACCTCTGCCTCCCGGGTTCAAGCGATTCTCATGCCTCAGTCTACCTAGTAGCTGGGATTACAGGCATGTGCTGGCACGCCTGGCTAATTTTGTATTTTTAGTAGAGACAGGGTTTCACCATGTTGGTCAGGCTGGTCTCCAACTCCTGACCTTGTGATCCACCCGCCTCAGCCTCCCAAAGCGCTGGGATTACAGGCAGGAGCCACCGTGCCTGGCCTTGTATTTTTTATTTCTTAGTTAATTTCACTGGCTAGGACCTATACTACAATGTCGAATAGAAATAATAGGGCAGATATTCCTTCCTTTCTCCCAATCTTAGGGGAAAAAGTGTTCAATATTTCTTTATTACGTATGATGCTAATTGCAGGTTTTTAGATGCTCTTAATCAAATCGAAGTTTTTCTCTTCTAGTCCTAATTTGTTGAGATTGTTTTAAATTATAAATGTGTTTTAAATTCTGCCCAGCGTTATTTCTGGAGTAATCAAGAGGCACATTTGATGTTTCTCTTTTATTCTGGTAGCGTGGTGAATTACATTTATTTTTGGATGTGAAACCCCACTTGGTCATCATGTATTACGTCAATTTTATTTGTTGGATTGGATTTACTTATATTTAAATGAAGACTTTTCTATGTTCATGAGGTGCAGTGATCTGCAGTTTTCTTTTCTTGTAACGTCCTCATGAAGCTTTGGTATCAGGTTTGAATTTTGCCTCATGAAATGAGTGTTTTCTCCTTCTCTATTTACTGAGGGAGTCTGGGAAAGTTTGATATTATTTCTCCTTTAAATGTTTCGTAGAATTCCACATACAGTGCCATCATGATTAATTAATTACCTATGATTGAGTGGCTATTAAGCAAATGCCTTGAAGGATCGAATGGCGATGCTATTCACTGCTGTGTGAGCATTAATGACCACAAAGACTGTGTGGTAAACTCTCTGCTCCTAACTCTGCTGGAAAACCTGCAAAGGGCAAGTGCCAAGCTCAGGTCTTACCTTGTAGGTCAAGTTATGGTTGTAAACTACAGAAATGCCTTATGACTTCAAACAATTTCATGTCATTTGACTATGGGGACAATCTTGCAAAAAAAAAAAAATCAGACCCCAAATTTAATTGTATTTATTGAAGAATTACGACATAATTTGAATTTAAAGATTTGTCTGCGCTTCTTATAGGAAATTTAGGGCAGTTATTGGAAAGGACTGAGGGGCTTGGGCTTGGAAAGGGGTCTTGCATGAAGATCAAGTACCCAAGAACATGTGGATGACCCCTATGCATGGTCTTTGGATAAAGTCGAAAATCTTCAACCCCCTTGCCCCAAGACTTTTTGAAACTCTCTTGATACCAGAATATAGCCTGATTTCCTTGGTCTGGAGAGATTAGTCTTTCCTTACTGGAAGACTCTAATAATTCTGCTTGGAGAGATTGCCCAAGCACAGGAAGGTGCTGAGTCTCTTCAAAACTCATCCCAATCACTATTCATTCCAGACCAAGAATAAAATGCAAGTCTCTTCCATGGGGTAAATGCAATGCCCGACCCTTGAGAAGATCTTACATTCTAAAGGAATTATTGGATTCTCTGATTTATATCAGCAGACACCTGAGAAATATATGTTAAAGTGGACACTAGGAATCTTAGACCAACAAAGATAAAATATTACACTGGCTTAGCCAAATATATTGATACGGGTGTACTAACAAAAGATTACAGATACAATGTTTTGGCTCAAGAAGCTCTCAGGTGGATGAAGGAATTTGCTTTATGTTTGATTGAAACAATATTATCACTATATTCCAATGAAAATGGACTCAACAATGACCCAAATTTAACGAGGATGATGTCAGAACTTTCTTGGCATAATGGAGAAAAAATAACCCAAAGGTTTAGAGAGTTAAAAATGTTGGAAAATAAAAAATGACAAAAGTTCAACCTGTACCCTCATCTCCTCTGCTCTTACCCCTCAAGTAGTATACTGGTAAAGACAGCACAAGTGTCCATGAAAAGCTCTGTGAAGACTAACCTGGTTCAGCCTATTTTTTTTCACCTTATATATTCTGAAGCCATTCTTTGCCTATTTTTGCCTTACATATTCTGAAGCTATTTTATCATGTGCAGGTAAATTTCTAATGTATCTTCCTAGTATATTGAATATTTAATCCTTAAAAAATTGGCCCTTTTATCTCCATTAACACTTTGTTTGGTAAAAGATATATTTTCTGATATTGACATACTTATGATGGTCAGTTTAATGTGCCAATGTTTCTAGGTTATAGTCCCCAGAACATTCAATGAAACGTTAATCTAGGTGTTGCTGTGAAGGTGCTTTGTACACAGGATTAAGATTTATGATCAGTTTATTGGGGATGACAGAAAGAAATACTGCAACGGATATAATCACACTGCTTTCAATCAGGATGATGGAATTGTCAAAGGCAATGTGTCATTACTTAATCCCTAGAGATAAGTTGAGCACATTAGCTTTAAAGAGGATCAGAGATAAAATGGGAGGTCATCCTACCCCTACCAAAGAAGCTCAATTCTTGATAGTCACCTTTGGATTTTGGAGGAAATGTACAACTATGATTGGATGCTCTAACCCACTTACTACGTAAATCTTAAGACTTCCAGTTTGGAGTTGTTCTCAGTTCAAGGAAAGGCTCTGCAGCAGGTCCAGGCTGTAGTATAAGAAGCTTTACAACTTGAGGTTTATAACTCAAGATTAAATTATACTTGAATTATCTGGAATAATTAAGAATGTCGGTGTGCCCCAGAGTGAAGACCCCTAGGACTTTTGTTGCAAAGCCATGCTCTGTTTTTGAGAACATGATGGATCTCTTGAGAAAGAGCTTCTGACTTATTACCAGGCCTTGGTAGAGACTGATACCCTTACTATGGGATATGAAGCGAATATATAATACAAACTGCCCATCATGAAGTAGGTGCTCTGTGACCCATCAAGCTAAAAGGTTGGGCATGTGAAGCAATAATCCATTATGAAGTGAATTTGGATATGATATAACTGACTTCAAGATGGGCTTCAAGAAGTCCAGAAATCACAACCAAGTGACATGAGCAGGTGACCCAGATTCCTACAACTCCTCCTGGGATATTGCCTTATTTTTTCATGAAATCACATGTGTGACCTCATGGGCAGTTCTTTATGGCCATTGCTTGAGGAGGAAAACATTTCATCTTGGTTTTCAAGTGGTTCTGCTCAATCAACTGGCACAGCAAGGAGTGGACTTTTGCATCATGACAAACTCAACCACAGTGAACCTGAGAGCGGGACTGAAGGAACTCCCCCTAGTGGCAGAATTTCATAAATACATTTGGCTTTTCATTTTGAGACTGAGAGGTCAGAAGGACAGATACAAACTGAACCATGCCTACAGCGTTAGGTAACACATTTTTTCCCAGAAATTTGTCCATTTTCTATAAGTATTCAAAACTTTTCATACAGCTTACTACTTTCTGCTTATTTTGCATTAGATTAAGTAATGTTTTCTCCCTTATATTCCTGCATACTAGTTATTTTTGCCTTCTATATTTCTGGACTAATTGCAACTGAGGTTTGCCCATTTTATTATTTGTATCAAAAACTAGCTGTTCGTGATGTTGTTCCTTTCTACTGAATATGTTTTCTATGCTATGTGCTCTTATCATTTGATATTTCCTTCTCTCCAATTCCTTTTGGTTTTGTTGTTCTTTTTCTAAGTTCTTGAAATTAAAGCTTAGTTTATTAAATTTTAGCTTTTCCCACCCTAGCATATACATTTAAGGTTATATATAGTTCCTCTAATAAATGCTTTAGTTTTACTCTAAAAGTTTTATAGTATTTTCAGTATCCAGTTTTAAATAATTTCTTATTTGTGTTATGATGATAATGATGACAATTTTTTTTAAGATGGAGTCTCACTGTTGCCCAGGCTGGAGTGCAGTGCCTCCCAGATCCAAGCAATTCTCCTGCTTCAGCCTGCTGAGTAGCTGGGATTACAGGCACATGCCACCACACCCAGCTAAGTTTTGTATTTTTTTTTTTTCAGTAGAGACAGGGTTTCGCCATGTTGCCCAGGCTAGTCTTGAAATCCTGACCTCAAGTGATCTGCCCACCTCGGCCTCCCAAAGTGTTGGGATTACAGGCATGAGCCGCCACGCCTGGCTGTATGTTTTGATTATTTAATCTATGACTTATTTTAAGGGATTTTCTAAGTTTCCACTAATTATGTACAGTTACATAGACATTGGTATATAATTACATTTTATTACTTATTTTGAGCTTAATAACATTGAAATCAATTAACATATTCTGTATGGTTTCACTTCTCTGACATATGTTGAAATATACTTTTGGCCCAGTATATGGTAAAAAAAAAATTTTTAATACTCCATGTGTGCTCAAATAGAATATGTTTTCTGCAGTTGTTTGGAGCAGTTTCTACCTATGGCCATAGACCAAGTTTGTTAATCATGTTATTTATGTATACTATGTTGCATATCCTTAACAATTCTCTTGTTTGTGTGTACCATCAGTTATTGTAAAATATGTGTTAAAAATTGCCCTCCATAAATGTGGATTAGGCTATTTTGTTTTCACTTTGCCTATTCTTGCCTTATGTATTCTGAAGCTATTTTATCATGTGCAGGTACATTTCAAATGTATCTTCCTAGTAGATTGAATCTTTAATCCCTACGAAGTGGTCCCTTTTACCTCCATTAATACTTCTTTTTGTAATAGACATATTTTCTGATATTGATATATTCAGTTTTATGTGTCAGTGTGTCTAGGTAACAGTCTCCAGGATATTCAATGAAACATTAATCTAGGTGTTGCTGTGAAGATGCTTTGTACACATGATTAAGATTTATAATCAGTTTAAGGAAGATTATGCTTCATAATCTGGGTAAGCCTGATTCAATCTGTGGAAGACCTTCAGTGCAGAACTGAGGCTGCTCTGAGAAAGAAGAAATTCTCCCTGTGGATTGCAGCTTGAGCTCATGACGAAGTCCTAGCTTGGACTTCCAGATGACCCTCCCTATAGATCTCGGACTTGCCTAGCCAGCTCCCACAAAAGCATACGCCATTTTCTTGCAATGAGTCTTTCTTTCTTTTTTTTGAAGTTCCTTTTTTTAAACTTTTATTTTAAGTTCAGGGGTACAAGTATAGGTTTGTTACATAGGTAAATTTGTGTCACGAGGGTTTGTTGTACAGATTGTTTCGTCACCCAGGTATTAAGCCTAGTACCCATTAGTTATTTTTTCCTGATATTCTCCCTCCTCCCACCCTCCTACCCTCCAAAATGCCCTAGTGTGTGTTGTTCCCCTCTATGTGTCCATGTGTTCTCATCATTTAGCTCCCTCTTAGAAGTGTCAACATGTGGTATGTGGTTTTCTGTTCCTGTGTCAGTTTGCTAAGGATAATGGCCTCCAGCTCCATTCATGTCCCTGCAAAGGACATGATCTCATTCTTTTTTATGGCTGCATAGTAGTTCATTGAGTATATGTACCATATTTTCTTTACCCACTCTATCATTGATGGGCATTTAGGTTGATTCCATGTCTTTGCTATTGTGAATAGTTGAATCTTTCAATACATACATCCTACAGACTTGTTTTTTCCAGTGGAAACTTGACTGACTACATCAGTTTCTTTTGGTTACGGTTTTCATGGTATGTCTTTTTTCATCCTTCTACACACAACCTCCCCTATATTTATCTTTTATGTAGATCTCTTATAAACAACGTATAGCTACACTTTCCCCCAGTCTTACTATGCTGGTATTTTAACTGTAGCATTTAATTCACTTGTGCTTAATGTGATTCTTAGACTGTATTTGAGTCTAAATACAGAATCTTATACTTGTATTCTACATGTTCTATCCATCCTTTTTTTCTTTAATCTCTTATTTCTTGTCTTCTCTGGTTTGACTGAATAATGTTTCTATCACCTTTTATACTTCCTCTAGTTCACAGGTGGTAAACTTGGCTTCGAATCTTTAAGTAAATTTCCTCGAGATTACAATAATAAATTATCCAAATGTAACATTCATCATAACATTTAATTTTCTCTGGAAAAATATAAAGACTTTATGTAATATAAATTCTATTTACACTCTTCTGAACTTTATGTTATTATAGTTTCTGGGCTATATAATATTGGTATTTCAATATTACATTTGATGTTTGACCCCTCTACAAACCATCATTTTTACAACAAGTATTTGTTTCATTTTGCTCACATATTTGCTACTTTCCTAGGTTTTCATTTTTTTTGGATCTCAAAAATCTAATCTGGGATCACTTTCCTAATACCTGAATTATATGTTTTAGAATTTATTTGAGAAATCTTTTCTTTATTAACACTCACATATTTTGGTTTTCCTTAAAATATCTATATTTCACTTTCAGTCTTAAAATGTGTTTTCATTGAGTAGGCTTTCTAAAACAACATTTATTTCTCTTAAGCCATCAAAGACATCTTTCTATTGCATTTAGCCTTCCAATATTGCTCCTAAAAAAGTCAGCTGTCAGTCTAATTGTGGTTTTTTGCTTGTTTGTTTGTTTTGTTTTGCTTTTTCTGAGTTGGAGTCTCGCTCTGTTGCCCAGGCTGGAGTGCAGTGATGCAATCTCAGCTCACTTCAACCTCCACCTCCCAGGTTCAAGCAATTCTCCTGCTTCAACCTGCAGAAGTACCTGGGATTACAGGCAAGTGCCACCACACCGAGCTAATTTTTGTATTTTAGTAGAGATGGGGTTTCACCATGTTGGCCAGACCAGTCTCGAACTCCTGACCTCCAGTGATCCACCCACCTCAGCCTCCCAAAGTGCTGGGATTACAGGCGTGAGCCACTGCTAACTGTGGTCTTTTAAGTGTAATCTATCTTTTTATTTTTCATGGCTACTCTTAAGAATTTTCCTTAATAGTTGGTCTTCATTAAATGCTTTCTTCAATTTCACTGGAATAGTGGAGACTGGGATTTGTAAGAGGAAGCTGTGGAAATGGACATGGGGTATTGGTGACTGGTGAGGAATTGATCTGGGGAAATCTGGATGGACAAGATCATGTAGAGAGCCTTGAGCAGAAAGATGATGGATGGAAACCTTATTTTGGGGAGTCGTGAAGAGTTCTGAACAGGGGGTGACACAGACACCTGGTGCTGTGGCCTCTGGGCCTACTCCTTTTCAGCCTTAGAAGAAATTGCCAGCAGAAACCGTCTGTTAAAACAGCTAATCAAAGCCGGGTGCGGTGGCTCATGCCTGTAATCTCAGCACTTTGGGAGGCCGAGGAGGGCAGATCACGAGGTCAGGAGATCAAGACCATCCTGGCTAACACGGTGAAACCCCGTCTCTACTAAAAATACAAAAAATTAGCCGGGTGTGGTGGTGGGTGCCTGTAGTCCCAGCTACTTGGGAGGCTGAGGCAGGAGAATGGTGTGAACCCAGGGGGCGAAGCTTGCACTGAGCCAAGATCGCACCACTGCACTCCAGCCTGGGAGATACAGCAAGACTCCATCTCAGAAAAAAAAAAAAAAAAAAAAAGCTAGCCAAAGCCAGATACAAGGCATTCATTTACAAAAATATACAGACTTTATGAAAACCTTTGTGTCAGGGCCTTTGTTAGCTGTTTTACAGCTAACAAAGCTGTATGTTAGCTGTATGCTTTCTTTGACCTTTCACAATAATCTGGTTAGATGGAAATTATTTCCCTGCCTTACAGAGCAGGGACATAAAGCGACTTGCTCAATAGCTGGCATAGATGGAGTTGAACTCAGTTCTCTTGGACAGAAGTCCTGTGGTCTGCCATATATACGAAGGTATTTATATAGTCCATTTACAACAAAAACATTAATTTTAAAAGAATTGGACACAGTGTTATGGGCTAAATTGTTCCCTTCTAAAATTCATATGTTGGAAGTCCTAAATCTCAATATCTCAGAAGGTTACTGTATTTGGAGGGTCTTTAAATAGTTAATTTATTTAAATTAGGTCATGGGGAGGCCCTAATCCAATATGACTAGTGTCTTTATAAGAAGAGAAGATTAGGACACAAACACACTCAGAGGAAAGACCATGTGAAGACACAAGGAGGAGACAGCCATCTACAAGCCAACAAGAGAGGCCTTAGAAGGGACCAACCCTGATAACACCTTGTTCTCAGACCTCTAACATCTGAAACTATACGAAAATAAAGTTCTGTGTTTATGTCACTCGGTTTGTGGTACATTGCTGTGGCAGCCCTAGTAACCAATACACTGAGAGGTACCATGTTCTCTCCAATCAAGGTTATGGCTTTGGACAATTCCTCACTTGTGTATCTTGATTTCTGAGTACTCAGTGTCGGTGACCTTTGGTTCCTGAGGTTGCACCTTGTGGAAGTGTAGGACAGCGTAGTGGAGCTCCTGCTCATCTTCTGAGATGGGGCCAGCCTCAGCAGGGTGGTCTGAAACTATGCCTGTCTGGAACTGGTGCTGATGACCCTTAATGGAAGAAAAGAAAAGATTCAGGGCTGGACAATAGGTTCTCAAAGAAAGCAGCCAAGGATCAGAAAGGGAGTAGAACTGATGGAACTTTATTATTTATCCATTCATTTATTATTTTATTTTATTTCATTTTATTTTATTTTATTTTTGAGATGGGGTCTCGCTCTGTTGTCCAGGCTGGAGTGCAGCGGCATGATCACGGCTCAGGCAGCCTTGAACACCTGGGTTCGAATGAACCTTCTGCTTCAGCCTCCTGTGTAGCTGGGACTACAGGCATGCACCCCACCTGGCTAATTTTTGTAGAGATGGAGTTCTACTATGTTGCCCAGGCTGGTCTTGAACCCTGGGCTCAAGGAATCCACCCACCTTGGCTTCCTAAAGTGCTGGGATTACAAGCATGAGCCACCACATCCACCGCATTCATTTATTTTAAAATATTTAATAATTAAGATTGGCAAGCCCTTAGTGAGTGTTTACATTAATCAGTCATATTCTATTCTCAAAAAATGCTTTGCAGTGGATTCCATGATTACATTCATCTTACAAACGGGAACACTAAGGCTAAGAGAGGCTCCACATGTTGCCTATAGACACACATCTATATAAATGCACCACTGAGAAGGACTCAGAACCAGCTTATTGTTGTGTAGGTCATGTGACATGTGCTAGATGTTAAGCCATGAAGAAAGCAGACACAGTCCCAGATAGTAGGCAGTGTGGTTTTCTATGAGATGCAGTTAGTTAAAAACAGGAAACAAAATCACTTTTTTAATTCATGATAGCAGATATTTTGAAATATAAAGCAGGGGCAGGAGTGGCATATCTGATTCCTAGACAGGTACTGGAGGACAGAACAGAGACCGGGTCCTGCAGTACAGGCCACCGGACGCCCTCTCCTGTACCTTCTCTTTCTAATGCCCCTGAAAACTTGAAAGTAAAGCATGGTAAAGAAATTATGTAATGATTCCCAACAAAGTGGGGATTTAACACACACTAAGTGTGTTATATCTCCAAATAAACCAAGAGGCAATACAAGAAATTATGGAATGAGCAAATAAGAAAAAGTGGGAAATCTCTGGGGAAACAAAATATTTTATACTGGAGTGTGTGTGTGTGTATATGTGTGTGTGTGTGTTCAGGGAGGCATTGGTGACAGTGCGTGAATGGCTACAGAAATGAGATTTATGTTCCACTCATGTCTTTCCTCCATCATTGGGATAATATATTCCTGCCTGCATTCTTGCTACACAAATCAGTGGCAAAGTCCGAGACTAAAGGTGTGAATTTCTGCAGGAGAAATGACAGATCAGCACAAAAGCCCTACTGAATGAAGAAAATAACAGGTGGAAATTGCCTCTCCCTGGGCTTCCCCTGGCCACCTTCCCCCATCCACACATCCCAGACTTTTGGAAGACAGTCTAGGTATTACCTCCCCCAGCACCAATTTTTCCTGAGGGTCTGAACAACAGGAATCATGACTTGAATTATTCTTGGTCAGTTCTCACTCAGGCTATGGTAGAGTAACTGGCACCCTCCCAGCATAATTAGAAAACTATACATAGTATGTAAAATATGTGTTTCACAAGGAAAACAGGCAGACAGGACTGTGACATCTGAAAGAAAGGAAACCAATGAGGTGAGTCTCATGATCAAATGACAATTTCCAAACTGCAGTACGTGGAGGATAAATTCAAGCAGAACACAAGAGTCTTATGAAACTGTGGAGGCAGCAACTGCAGTTCAAGTGGGAATGATGTGGGTGGAATTTGTAGAGCAGAGTACAGAGAGAAAAAACTACACAGAGAAAGAACTCCAAAAAATATGCATAGAGGTCCCCTTGAATCTTTGGCTGAATACTAAGCTGTATGCACAGAGTGAAAGGCTGAAAGCCTGGGTACGTGCTGCTGGAGAAGGAACAGCTATGAGAAAGCTGGAATGAAGGCAAATATAAACTCACCCTGCCAAAGCTTTTGTAAAAATCTTTGAATGGTCAAGACAATCCACTAATAAATTAACTGCATTCGAGAACAAAGCTCAACAATTTTTAAAGGAAGATTAAAATATCCGGATAATCAACAATGTAACACGATGTCCAGTATGCCACCAAAATCACTACCTATGCGAAGAAGCTGTGGAATGTAAGCAATGAAAAGTATATCAGTAAATAGAAACATATCACCAAATGATGGAATTAGCAGAAAAGAAGATTAAAAACGGCTATAAATACACATATTCAAAGACTTAGGCCAGGTATGGTTGTTCATGCCTGTAATCCCAGAACTTTGGGAGGCTGAGGTGGGCAGATTGATTTGAGCTCAGGAGTTCGAGACCAGCCTGGGCAACATGGTGAAATCCCATCTCTAATCCCTAACCCACAAAAAAATTAGCCAGATATGGTGGCTCACGCCTGTAGTCCCGACTACTCGGGAGTCTGAGGCTGGAGAATTGCTTGAGCCCAGGAAGTGGAGGTTGCAGTGAACTGAGAACATGCCATTGCACTCCACCCTGGGCAAAAGAGTGAAACCCTCTCTCAACAATAACAAAAACTTAAAGGAAAACAGAACATAATAAGGAAATGAAAACTATAAAGAACTGGGCTGGGTGTGGTGGCTCACACCTGTAAGTCCAGCAATTTGGGAAGCCGAGGCAGGAGTACTGCTTGAGCCCATGAGTTTGAGACCAGCCTGGGCAACATGGTGAGACCCTGTCTTTACAAAAATTTGTTTAAAAAATTAGCCAGGCGCAGTGGTGCATGCCTGTAGTCATAGCTATTTGAAAGGCTGAGGCAGGAGGATCACTTGAGCCTAGGAGGTCGAAACTGCAGTGAGCCATGTTCATGCCACTGCACTCCAGCCTGGGCGACAGAGTGAGATCCTGTCTCAGGAAAAAAAAAATAAACTGAATTGAATTTCTAGAGATGAAAAATGGCAATATCTAAAAAGAAAAGCTAATAGCAGATTAGGTACGGCAGAAGAAAATAGCAATGAACTAAAAAACGTAGCAATAAAAACTTTCCAAACTGAGGCACAAAGAAAACACAAAAACGAAAAATAAATAAGCACAGCTTCATTGGCCTGTGGGACAATATCAAGCATTCTGACACAGGTGCAACTGGGATCCCAGAAAGGGGAAGGGAGTTAAAGAATTATGGAAAAAACAATGATTAAAATGTTTTCACAATACCAAGTCATATATCCAACAATATCTGCAAATACCAAGAAAGATAAAAACAAAGAAAACCACACCTAGGCATGTCATAATCCTATTGCTGAAAACCAACAAGGAAAAGAAATGTGCCCTAGGGAAGCCAGATGATTGGACAACCCTGCTAGAGGATAAAAGTAGTAACTCTCCTCTCAGCAGTCTGATGGAACTGGGTAAACCAAATTTGATGTTCCAGGTCTGATAAGGAGAGGCCCAGTAAACACCTCAAACCTTCCGTTAGGACTCAAGAAGGGTTACAGATTAAAAGTAAGGGTCCGCTGGGCACAGTGGCTCACGCCCGTAATCCCAGCACTTTGGGCGGCTGAGGCAGGTGGATCACGAGGTCAGGAGATGGAGACCATCCTGGCTAACACGGTGAAAGCCCGTCTGTACTAAAAGTACAAAAAAAAATTAGCTGGGCGCGGTGGCGGGCACCTGTAATCCCAGCCACTCGGGAGGCTGAGGCAGGAGAATGGCGTGAACCCAGGAAGCGGAGCTTGCCGTGAGCTGAGATCGTGCCACTGCACTCCAGCCTGGGTGACAGAGTGAGACTCCATCTCAAAAAAAAAAAGTAGTAATATTTTAAAACTATCAAAAAGGCAAAAAAGGGAGATAAATATAAAAGGACAAATATAAATATAAAGCAGAGCAATCTGGTAGAATTAAACTGAGCCAAATCAATAATCACATTAAATATAAATGGTCTAAACACTCCAATTAAAAGGAAGATATTGGCAGACTTGATAAAATAGGTAGAATAAATGTGATATCTGTAAGACAGACACAATACATATGAAGGCACACATGTGTTAAAAGTAAGAGGAGGGAAAATGCATAACAAACAAGCACTAATATTAAGAACACTAGAGTGGTAATATTAAATCAGACAGTGTATTTTAGGAAAAGAAATATTACCAGAAATAAAGACATTTCATAATGATAAACAAGTCAATTCATTACAAGATATAAAAATCCTAAGTGCATATGCAACCAATCACAGAGCATGATTTAACAAAATAAATTGTAAAAATAAGCAGACAGAGAATCACTAAGGATATAGAAGGATTGAACACTAGTGTAAAATAACTTGACCTGATTGACATTTATAAAATACTACATCCAGTATCTTCAGAAAACACATTCTTTGCAATTGCACATGTAACATTCACCATGGTAGACTGATTTTTCATGTACTTATACTACCAGTTACTGAGATAAGAGTTTTTAAAAAATCGACTATGGAGTGTGCGCCACTCTAATGGAGAGGAGATAGAGTGGCAAATAAACATTAGCTCGCCAACTAGACCATCCAGAAGGACACGTTGACATTCATCAAGGAAGCAACATGACCCGGAGAGCAGAGAAGAATGAGACAAGGCAGCTCCCCAGGATTGGCATGGAGCCAAGGGAGGCTCCCCACGATGGGGAAACAGTGAGCAAGTGACAGCCCCCAAGGACCCACACTTCTGCCATGGACCTTTGCAGTCCTGGGCATGAGAGATCCCCTGAAGCCTCCAGACTGACATGGAGAGCTGTGCGGAGTCTGGGCAGGGCCACTGCTCAGGCCCATGTGGAGCCCCAAGGGCCTTGGACCTATGAGCAGCTGGGCACCAGGTGTCATAGCTTCACCAACAAGAGAGGCCAGGTTCTCTCACATGCTCTCAGGGTAGGGACCACATTTATGGTGCTGAGGAGCTGACAGATTGCATACCTCACCTCTGCTACAGCTCGCCAGAGAAAGCCCACTGGCCTGGGACCCCAGCATAGCCACCTCACCCCTGCCTGAGCACTTGGGCCAGTAGCAGCTCTCGACTTCTCTGGGACAGGGCTCCCAGAGGTAACAGACAAGTCTGCCATTTTTTCTGCCGCCACAGCTCCCACTCCTACTCCCCCGAGGCTGGAGAAGGAGAAAAGAGCATAAGGACTATCACTGGCCTCCAACACACCGGAACTGCTTTATGGAAAAGCAGCCAGACCGTATCAGTGTGGGTCCCTGCCCCTGTTATTCCTGACTGAGAAGGACATCCTGACCCGGGCCCCCAGCACAGCTGCCCTGCCCCCACCTGAGTTGGTGGCAGTTCTGTGTTTCTCTGAGGAGGATATCCCAGGGTCAACCCACAGGCTCTTTGCCATTGCCACTGCAGTGGTACTGCCCTTGATGTCTTCAGGCTGGGAAAAGAATAAAGACCTTGATCACTTTGCTGGCACCTCCAACACACTACAAGCACCATACAGAAAGGAGCCCAGTCTCGCTTCCCTGTGGGACCCCTACTCCCTGCTCTTCACCAGGCAGGGCCCCTGGCTGGGGCCTGCAGCACAGCGGCCCCACCCCTAGATGAACGTTCCCATTGGCAGTGGCTCTGTGGCTTTCTGGGGTGGAGCTCTCAGAGCAGCTGGCAGCCCCTCTGCCATTGCTGCTGCAGCCATGCTGCCCTTGCTGCCCTCAGGCTAGGGAAGGAACAAAGAGCCTGATTTATTTGGTGGAACCTCCAGCATGCCACAGCTGCACTACAGAGAGGAGCCCAGTCTCTCTTCCCTGTGAGCCTCCAACCGTTACTCTTCACCAGGTAAGTCCCCCTGCTTGGGCCCACAGCACAGCTGCCTCAACCCAGGGTAATTATTCCAATTGGCAGCAGCTCTGCATTCCTCTAGGATGAAGCCCCAAGAGACAAGGAAAAAGCCCTCTACCACTGGCACTTCCAAGGTCCCTGCCCCTGCTGCTCCAAGCTGGGGAGGAAACAAAATGCCTGGGCTCACCACGGGGCTGTAGTGTGCAGCCTGAGTGCCAAGTCAAGATCTGTAGCCAGCACTTGAGTGAGAGAGGAGCCCACACTCTCAGAGCACTAGGAGGGAGCATGGCTGCAAATGTGAGGAACTACAGAGGATTCATGTGGCTGAACAAGAGCCTACCTGCCAGCCATTATGCTTAAGCACCACCTATTGGATCACATCCAAACTTCAACACCAAAAATACTTTGCTAATATACCCCACTGTGAAACTAAGGACAAGAATTTAGCAACAAATAAAGATCGTGCACAAAGCGTTGGCCTTCTGAAAACGTCCAGAAACAAAGCCAACTGACTATACTCAAATGACAGCACAAGTAAGGGAACATGAGCCCACATAAATGAGAAAGAACCAGTGCAAGGACTCTGGCAAATCTAAAAGCCAGAGTGTCTTCTTACCTCATAATGACCACACTAGTTCCCCAGCAAAAGTTCTTAACCAGAATGAAATGGATAAAATAACAGACGAAAAATTCAGAATCTGGATGACAATCAAGATTATTGAGATTCAGGAGAAAGTAGAAACCCATTCCAGGGAATCAAAGGAATCCAGTAAAACAATTGAAGAGATGAAAGATGAAATAGCCACCTTAAGAAAGAACCAAACTGAGCTGATAGAGCTGAATAACTCACTATAAAAATTTCATAACACAATCAGAAGTATTAACAGCAGAATAAACCAAGCTGAGGAAAGAATATCAGAGCCCAAAGACTGGTTCTTCAAATTAACTCAGGCAGACAAAAGAACAAAGAATTTTAGAAATGAACAAAACCTCCAAAAACTGTGGGATTATGTAAAGAGACCAAATCTACAACTCATTGGCATCCCTGAAAGAGAAGGAGAGAGAGCAAGCAACTTGAACAACGTATTGGAGGATATTGTCCACAAAAATGTCCCCAACCTCTCTAGAGAGGTCAGCATGCAGATTCAGGAAATTCAGAGAACCTTGGTAAGATAATATATAAGACAACCATTCCCAAGACACGCAGTCATCAGGTTCTCCAAGGTCAATGCCAAAGAAAAAATATTACAGGCAGCTAGAGATGCCTGTAATATTGTAATAGTGATGAGCAGTAATGACTTTGGGTTGATTTGGGCTGTCTACTCTAGGGCTTGTGTCTACCACATTCCTTGTACTTAATGCACCTGACACAGACTAAGTTTTGTTCATTTCTTTTTCTCAATAATCAATGCCATAAGAAAAGACTAATATTCCAGGAAATATGATAATCTGACATATGAGGAGCATAAATACCCCCAGCAAATTAACTGGAGTACGTATTTCATCAGAACTATTAGATTCAGTTCCAAATGTTACTATTTTAAATTATTGAAATCAATACTTTTTAAATTATTACTGAGTCAAAAATTTAAAATGTCACATGTGGAACCGCAGGGAATGTCAGGTGTTAATGAAGAAATGCCTCAGGGTCCTTACTTAGGGCAGCATTCAAAAGGGATAATGCTGAATGGAAATTAAGGTCTCTGTCACTCACCCTGGAGCCTGAGACCATGACGGGGTTCACATCATCCGTGTTTTGCACTGGCTGGGCTGCTTTCTTCCTTCTAGTCTTCACTCTGAGGGAACAGCCCTAAGCCTTTCAGCCTGGTTATTTGGAGCCTCTTTCCCCAAAAGAAAACCATCTCCCCACTCCCTATGGAGAGTACAGAAGTAATTAAGAGGTCCAGGTGCTCACATGAGCCCAAGAGTTGGACCACGGTTTCAAAGAGACCCCTTGCTTGGTTCAGCTGGTCAACGGGGTAATTCACACCACCACTACCCTCCCTTTCCTCACTCTCGACTTTCCCAATCACCCCATTTTCCTCCACTCAGGTTTTCTGAGATTCTGCCACCTGTGTGCCCTTCCCACATGAAGTCTTTCTGTGCCTCCCTGGAGCCCACTCTCACCTGAAGATGAAGCAAACACAGAGGAAAACCAGGGTTGTGATGCTAGCTCCCCAGACTGCTCCCAGGACACCACCAGCCCTGCCTTCTGGTTTCCCTATAATTTGAATTTTAAGTGAACTCCAGTTCTAATTCCAGGACATCCTCCCAACAGCCATTCCTCTCCACCTTCCACTAATGTGACCACCCCCATCCAGGACTCAGTCACTCACCATTTCACTGCCCTGTGAACCCGGAACCAGCCTCTTCTCTCTCCATGACTCCCCCTTCCCCCAACTGCAAGACTGAGGACGTTGTGCCCCCAGCCACTCTTGTCTGGGCCTTGGAAACATCTTCTCCAAGCTTCATTTCTCTGGAGCAGTTAGGGGTTGAATTATGTCTCCCCACAATTCCTATTTTGAAGTCCTAACCCCCAGCACCTCAGAGCATGACCTGATTTGGAGAAGGGTCATAGCTGATGTAATTAGTTATAATGAGGTGTTCCTGGATCAGGGTGAGCCCTAATCCAATATGACTGTTGTCCTTATAAAAAGGGGAAAATGTGGGTCGGGTGCAGTGGTTCACACCTGTAATCCCATCATTTTGGGAGGCCAAGGCTAGCAGATCACCAGGTCAGGAGATCGAGACCATCCTGGCCAACATGGTGAAACCCTGTCTCTACTCAAAATATAAAAATTAGCTGGGCATGGTGGTGGGCGCCTGTAGTGCCAGCTACTCGGGAGGCTGAGGCAGGAGAATCTCTTGAACCCGGGAGGTGGAGGTTGCATATGTCAGATTACCATGTTGCAGTGAGCCAAGATCGCACCATTGCATTCCAGCCTGGCAACAGAGTGAGACCCTCTCTCAAAAAAAAAAAAAAAAAGGGAAAATGTGGACACAGACGCACATGTGGACACAGACACCACCATGTGAAGATTAAGTCAGAGGTCGAGGCAATGCTTCTTTAAGCCTAGGAACGCCAAAGACTCCCAGGAAACCACCAGAAGCCAGGGAAGGAGCATGGAAGAGATTCTCTCACAGCCTCAAAAGGAACCAACTCTAACACCATACATGATCTTGGACTTCTGACCTTGAGAACCGTGAGACAATAAATCCCTATTGTTTAAGTCGTGCACTTTGAATTACTTTGTTATGGCAGCCCTAGCAAACTCATACAAGGACCCAGGCTTCTCTTCCCCCAATTGTCACCTCTTAGCAGACTCCTGACCTGGCAGCAGCTGGGACAGAGCTGCTCTGGGATGTTCTGGGCCTCAAAGCTGAGCCTGAGACTTGAGCTGAATCCCTGGCAGGGGCTCAGGGAGCTGTTGACCAAGGGTCCGGCTGGCTGGGGGTGACTGTGAAGGAGCCATGGCTGCTGTTCCCATCCCTCCAGAATCTCCTCCCCAAGCTGCCAGTGCAGGGAGGAGCCACTGCAGTGTGGACTCTAAGCCTCCCAGAGGTAGGAGGGTCCCAGCAGTTGTGAGGGGTCTGGGGAGGGAGGACAGGACTTAGCAGGGGCCTCTTCTCTGAATACTATGGAGCTCTCGCCCAGCTGCCCACACTCTCGCGCACCTCCCCCCACACTCACAATGCACAAAGAGACTCAGAGAGATTTGCAGGGAGCCCAGAGGATGCTGAGCACGGCAGGTGAAATCTCCTTCTTCTGCAGACCCTACTTGAGGCAGCTCCAGGACCCCGGTATTGGAGATGGGGGTGGCGTTCAGGGCGGGGAAGCCCTGGAACCAGCTCAGGTGTGCAGGGGGGTTGCCGTCAGCATCACAGAGCAGCCGCAGAGCCTGGCCCTCCAGGACAGGGAGGGACGAGGTGTTTTGCAGGATTTTGAAGGCTTTGGGGAGAGAGGTGTAGAGAGTTAGAGATGGGGTATAGGGGCAAAGCACTGGTGTCCCTCTCCTCCTGTGGGGTCCACACTAGCTCTGAGGAGGAGACTAGTAAAGTGGGGGCCTCAGGTCTTCAGAAAAGCCCAGACCATTTCCCTGGAGCTGCCCAGGCTGTCCTGCAGAGAGTGGAGCAAGGGCTGCGGACAGCGTCGTGGCAGACAAGTGCCATTCCTGGACCATGGAGACGCCTGAGGCAGTAGGAAAACAAGCAAGAGAGAAGAGGGAGTGCGAGGGGTGTGGCAGCTCCTGCCGAAGAGGCGACAAAGGCTGGGGGTGAGCAAAGATTCAGTCCAGGTCTTTGAAGTCTATGGAGGCCTTAGTCCTGGCTTCTCATATTGATCCCCGTTAGTCCCCACTCTGCTTCCATCTGGCCCTGGAGAGAACAGGACTGGCTGGTTCCTACCTGCGCTGTTTCCTTGGAAGATGCTGATGGCCACTTTCTGTGGAGCATCTGGGGTGGAAAGAGGTGGCCGCCTCAACATCCCTGAGGAGGGATGGTAGGCATGGGGCCTTCCCCTCAGGAGCCATGAAAACAGGGAAAGGGGCTCTCCTCTTTGGCAACCAGGTCCCCAACTTTAAGCTCTGGCTCAGCCCTGCCCTGTCCCCCCACACCCTCAGGGACCCGGGCGTCCTGGCCCAGCACTCACAGGAGACATTGAGCTGGATGGTTCTCTCCATGGTCACACCGGCTCCAGGGAACGTCACCTGACAGGTGAGGTTGGTGCTGTGGTCCTGGGGCCGTGGGGTGATTGTGAGCACCGAGGACTGGGTGGTCCTGGGGCCCAGGGAGGTGGGGGCAGCTGACATCCAGGAGAAGATGGGGGGCGTCCCCTGCTCACAGACCCAGGGCACAGAGCAGGTCAGATTGCTGGGATGGCCAGACTCCAGGGTCCCTGGGATGGAGATGTTGGGCCTGTGGGTCAGGGCTGGTGAGGAGATGGGGACGCAGGATCAGGATGGAGGTCTGAGGTTTCACCCAGGGGGAAGCCCAGTCTCTGGTCCAGCTCCTTCTCTGAGCCCAACATGCTTAATTGTACCCGCCTCCCAAGACGGGGCTCCCGTCCCAGCCCTGCCCTACGGCCCCCATGACCTTCCCCTGTGGCTAGTCCTGGAGCTGGTTCCTTACCCATCACACGCACAGAGAGCTTGGAAGATGTATAACCGTATTTCATCCATTTGGACTTCAACCGAAAGAAGTATGCAGCATTGTCCCTCCTCCGGGCATCTCTGATGCTCAGGGAGCAGTTCTTCCTTCTGGGATCCCAGAGGAGGTGGAATCGGCCCCGGGTCTCCTCCTGCACTTCTTCGTCTGGGTCGTTTGTGGCCACTGGAACATCAGCCCCTTCCAGGAACCAGTAGCCATAACCATAGTACGAGGCTGGAAGGGTAGTGGGCAATCTGCAGGGTACGAGGACGCACAGACCCTCCTGCACCGTCAGTGACTCTGGCCCCTCCAGCTGGAATCTCCGCTCCTGAGCCAGGGCCCCTATGGAGACATGAGGGTCAGCTCGGCCCAGCCCCACGGCACCTCTCCCCTGGCCCACTCACCTGCCCACAGCAGGGGCAGCAGCAGCGGTAGCATCTCTGAGGCGGAGGCTTCCTGGGCTCCCTGCATGAGCAGAGAAGGGGAAGGGAGTGGAGGGGAAGGACTGCGGGGAGGAACGGGTGGCTGGGGAGGAGCGCGTGATCTCGGCTGTTCACAGAAGAGGAACTGCGAAGCCACAAGCCCTCGGAGCTCCACTCCCTCTGCACAGAGCAGACGGAAACTTTGAGACCCAGAGACCTGCCCAAAGAAGAGCAGAGGAGAAGAGACTGTGTCCCGCCTCCCACCTCGGGGCTTCCTGTGAGCAACAGAGCCCGGACCAGGGCCTCCCGGGGCATCTGAGGAATGCGAAACCTGTGTCCAAGGCCCTGCCCACCTGAGGTGCTTTTCTGTGCACCACTGTTTACACCTGGGAGCTGGTCACTCCTGGCCCCAGAGAGTCACAGCCTCATCCCACGCCATGAGAAAGTCAGTCCTGCAGGATATAGGATTCTGTAGGGTCTGTGGGAGTGTCTGGGACAGTGAAAGGAAGAAGGGTCCCAGGTGCAGTGTGGGTGATAGCCACTCATTCATTCACTCATTCATTCATTCATTCATTCATTCACCAAAGACATAGTGAGCATCTGTATGTAGGTCGGGCTGGAGAAGAGATGCCAGGGACCTGGTCCCTACCCTTGAGATGATCCCCATCCATAGCTTCCCATCCTCAGCACACACCCTCACTATCTAGCTTTAGAGCTGTGGACACTGGTGAGTTTGCCAAGTGACACAGTAGAATGCCAGATATTTTTTAAAACATGAGTATGGAGGTTTTTCCTTGACAGCTAGTACGCTGATTTACAAAATTTCAATGACATCTCCAAAATAAGAACCATGCAACATCTTCATGTAAATCAAAAAGGACACATATTTTATGAACTGCAGTGCAGAAGAAACTTCTTTTGAATTAATGTTGCCACTCAGTGCAGTGTGGACTGGAGAGATTTTTTTTTAGGTCCTCATCATAGAGATTAGCAATTTCTTTCCTGTGAAAAATCTGCTTCTCACAGTTAAATGTGGCACAAAAGACATATTTCTGGACAACGTGAGCAGAATATCCTGACAAAATTAAAATTTTTAGGTCTAGCTCACATGGTTTTCTATTTTCCTCTGTGCAGTATGCATCTGGCAAATCTCTAATACCTATGAGGTATTAGAATTTGCCACCATATATTTGTAAATTTTTTTATTTCTACAAACTTAAGGAGTAGATGTAAAATTTTTTTGCATGTATATAATGCGTAATGATTATGTCAGGATATTTAGAGTGTCCGTCACGTGAGTGCAATACATTCTTGTTAACTAAAATCACACTATTCTGCTCTCTAACGCTGAATTTATTCCTTTTAACTGTATGTTTGTAGCACTTCACTCACTTCTCTTCATCTTCTGTCCTCCCCCATCTGACCCTTTCCAGTCTCTGTTGTCTATCTTTCTACTGTCCACCTCCATGTGATAATATTTTTTTAGCTCCCACATGTAAGTGAGAACATGCAACATTTGTCTTTTTGTGTCTGACTTATTTCAATTTAGATAATGAATTCTAGTCCCATCCATGTTGCTGCAAATGACACGATTTCATTCTTTTTTATGGCCAAATAGCATGTATACTATATTTTCTTTATCCATTCATCTGTTAATTGACACTTAGGTTGGTTCCATATCTCTGATATTGTGAATAGTGCAGCAAAAATCATGTGAATGCAGGTATCTCTTTGATGTATTTCTTTCTTTCCCTTCGGGTAGATACCCAGTAGTGGGATTGCTTGAGTGATCGAATAGTAATTCTATTTTTAGTTCCTGAGAAATGTCCATAGTGTTTTCAAAAGTGGCTGTACTAGTTTAAATTCCCACCAACAGTACAGAAGAGTTATCTTTCTCCTCATCCTTGCCAAAATCTGTTATTTTTTGTTTTTTTAGTAATAGTCATTCTGACTGGGTAAGACGGTATCTCATTTTGGTTTAGATGTGCACTTCTCTGATGATTAGTGACGCTGACCATTTTGTCGTATTGGCTGTTCTTATGTATTCTTTGAGAACTGTCTATTCCTGTCCTTTGCCCACTTTTTACTTGGATTATTTGCTTTTTCCTGTTGAGTTGTTTGAGTTCCTTGTATAGTCTGGATATTAGTCTCCTGTCAGAAGAATAGTTTGCGAATATTTTCTCCAATTCAACAGGTTGTTTCTTCACTCTAATTATTTCTTTTCCTGGCAGAAGCTTTTTGTTTATTAAGTCCCATTTGTTTATTTTTGTTTTTGTTGCCTGTGCTTTTCAGAACTTAGTCATAATTTCTGACTCTTCTGACCAATGTTCAAAAGAGTTTTCCCTAGGTTTTCTTGTAGCTGTTTTTTTTTTTTATAGTTTTGGGTCTTACATTTAAGTGTATGATTCATTTTGAGTTTTTTTTTAATATGGTGAGAGAGAAGAATCCAGTTTCATTCTTTTGTGTGTGGGTATACAATTTTCCCAGCACCATTTATTGAAGAAGGTGTCCTTTCCTCAATATAAGTTCTTGTCAGTTTTGTTGACAATCAATTGGCTGTATACATGTGGCCTTATTTCTGGGTTATATTCCATTGGTCTATGTATCTATTTCTATACCAATATCATGCTGTTTTGGTTATTATAGCCTTGTAATATACTTTGAAGTCAGGTAAAGTGATACCACCAGCTTTGTTCTTTTTTCTCCGGATAGCTTTGGCTATTCAGGTTCTTTTTGGATCCATATGAATTTTATAATTGTTTTTTACAATTCTGTGAAGACTGACATTGGTATTTTCATATGGATTACATTAAATCTTTAGATTGCTATAGACCAGTGTGGGCTTCTTAACTATCTTAATTCTTCCAGTCATGAGTATGGGATGTTTTTCCATTTGTTTGTGTCATCTTCAATTTCTTTCATCAGTGTTTTTTAGTTTTTCCTGTATAGATTTTCACCTGGTAGGTCATTAAGAGCATATTGTTTAATTTCCATACATTTGTCTTGTTTCCAGAGTTCCTCTTGGTGCTGACTTGTTGTTTTGTTCCATTGTGGTCTGAGTATACATTGAGTAAATATTGATTTTTTTTTTAATTTATAGAGACTTATTTCGTAGCCGAATATATGGTGTATCCTGGAGAATGTTTCATGTACTGATGAAAAGAATATGTATTCTGCAGTTGTTGGGTAGAAGTTCTGTAAAAGTCTGTTAGTTCCATTTGGTCTATAGTGTAGTTTAAATGTGATGTTTGTTTGTTGATTTTCTGTCTAAGTGATCTGTCTTACTGAGAATAGGGTGGTGAAGCTTCCCACCATTATTGTATTGCATTCTATCTCTCTCTTTAGATCTAGTAATATTTGCTTTATAGATATGGCTGCTCCATTGCTGGGTGCATATATATTTAGAATTGTTATATCCTCTTGCTGGGTTGATCCCTTCATCATTATATAATGACCTTCTTTGTCTTTTTCTACTGCTCTTGACCTAAGGTCTGTTTTATCTAAGTATAGTTACTGCTGCTTACTATTGGTTTCCATTTGTGTGGAATATCTTTCTCCATCCTTTTACTTTTGGTCTATATGTGTCTTTTCTTAAGGTGTGTTTCTTTAAGCTGCACACTGTTGAGTCATTTTTAAAATCCATTCAGCCATTCTATATCTTTTAAGAGGATACTTTAATCCATTTACATACATGGTTATTATTGATTTGTGAGGCTTTCTTTCTGTCAGGTTATTAAACATTTTCTTGTTTTAAACATTCGTTGTTTCTTTCCTTTTATCTTATTGTTTGTCCTTGTGATTTGGTGGATTTCTGTAGTGGTACCATTTGAGTCCTTTCTAGTTCTCATTTGCATGATTGCTTTACCAGTGAATTTTTTACTTTCATATGTTTTCGTGATGATAAAATCATCCTTTTGCTTCCAGGTTTAGGACTCCTTTGAGTATTTTTTCCAAGGCTGGTCTAGTGGTAATAAATTTCATCAGCATTTGTTTGTCTTGGGATGAATCTATTTCTCTTTTATTTATGAAGAATAGTTTCTTTGCATGTTCTGTGGTGGCAGTTATTTTTTCTTTTAGCACTTAGAATATATCAGTTCCTTCTTTTCTGGTGTGTAAGGTTTCTACTGAGAAATCTGCTCTTAGTCAAATGGAATTTCCTTTAGAGGTAGCTAGATGCTTTTCTCTTGCTATTTGTAGAATTTGCTCTTTAACTTTGACTTCACACAGTCTGACTATAATGTGCCAAGGAGAAGACCTTTTGCATTGGGGATCTGCCCGGGGATCATTGGGCCTTCTGTATCTCTATACCTAAATCTTTTGTTAGACTTGGGATGTTTTCATGTATTATTTTGCTGAGTAGGTTTTCCAATATTTCTTTGTTTTTTCACCCTTAGAGATACCAGTAATTTATAAATTCCATTGCTTTTTGTTGTCCTAAATGTTATTAAGGCTATGCTCATTATTTTTTGTACTTTTCCCTTTATTTTTGTCTGACTAGATTATTTCAAAAAACCTGTCTTCAAGTTCCAAGATTCTTCTGCCAGATTTAGTCTATTATTGAACTTTTCAAATGTGTTTTGCATTTCCTTCAATTAACTATTCAGTTCCAGAATTTATATTTGGTTATTTTAAAAAATATATATCTCTTTGATCATTTTCTCATTTATACCCTGAATTGTTTTTCTGGTTTCCATAGTATTGATTTTCAGAATTCTGTTGTATCTCACTGAGCTTCTTTAACATCAATATTTTGAATTCTTTGTCTGGAATTTCAAAAATTTCTTTGTGATTAAGATCTATTTCTGCAGAATTCTTGTGTTCCTTTCCTTGCTGTTTCATGTTTCCTGTGTCCTTATGTTAAAATCTGTGCATCTAGTATAACAGTAGCTTCTTCCTATTTTTTAATTTACTTTCATAGAGGACATTTCTTTTTTTTTTCATGGTCCAAGCATGTGGTGATTTTTATTAAGAATAACTTTGGTTCTAAGAATTCCACTCTCAATTCTTTAATGCTTTCTGTTAAAAACAATTATACAACGGCAAATACAAAAAATATTAAATTATGAAAACCAATCCATTAAGGCTCCCTTTATATATAATATACACTCAAACAAGTCAAGATTTTTCAGAGTAGAAGAATAAAATCAACTGTTATAGCTTAGAAAGCAACACTACTACTATGAGACTATAAAACATTGAACTACTTTAAGAAAATCACAATGTGGAAAAATGGAGCCTTTTTTTTTATCAAAAAGTGGCTCAAAGCACAAAACTGCTCAGATGTTCAAGGGTCCCAGGGGTTTGGGCTGCACAGTGTTAAGGGGAGAGAGGAGACTGACAGCCTGTTTGAATCAGGCTTGTGAGCCCAGCCCATCTGACAATTTCAAAGAGCTTCTCTGCCTAAACATTCCACCGTTTAGTATAAGACACCACTTTACGCTATTTACAAGTCTCCTTTTGGCCAGCCTTTGTATTATTAATTACAAATAATTCTGCAGATTTGAGTGAGATTAGGAAAGAAATGCTTTCTTAATTAACTTTTTTTTTCAGTGAACAATTAATTCTAGTTAAGCTCTAGGAACAGAATTGGTCCTTATAAAGGAGCCTATCAGGGCCCTTGAGAATACGATCAAGTGGCAGAATTGCTTTGAGAATACGGATTTCAAGATCTGACATCTAGTTAGATAAAAAGATATGAGCCAGTCCCGAATAGAAGACATTTCTTGAAAATGTATCTACGTTGCTTGTTTGGTGGGGTGCTTTGGCTTTGATTCTGTGTATGTGCAGTAGTGTACTTTCTGTATATTTCTTTGACTGTAAACAGCATTAGTGATATGTGTGATTTCTTTGGCTAGTTGGAGCATGGTTATTAGTGGAGAATATGGTAAAGTTGTGCTAGGGACAGGGATGCTGAGCGGGAGAGTCTTCAGGTCCCCAGCTTTGGCATCAGTGGGCTGAGCATCTATCTTTTTGCCCCAGGGTGGTATATGCTGGCTTCTCTGTTGGCAGTTACCAGTGGGTTGATTCTTGGGCTTTCAGGTTGCTCATTTGGATGCTCATAGTAGCACCAATGGATCAAGCAATTGTGTGGGTTTTCAGGCCCCTGGGCAGCCAGCATGGCATTGACAATAGCAATAGCATGGGCAAGATGATTCTATGAGTCCCAAGTGATGTGCATTAATGTTGGTGCTGGCTGCAATGGGCTGGACAAGACAGCCTTTGGACCCACAGTTGGCACTTGCAGGTAGGCGCCAGGCAAGGTAGTAGCAGCCAGAAGTTTAGATCCAACCTCAAGCCCCCAGAAGAAGTGCTCAGGTGCCCAAGGTAGTGAATTGGGTCGAGCAATCCGCAGGACCCTGGGCTATGTGCTCTGTCTCAGAGCGGGAGAGGTGAGGTGAAGCTGAGCTAGATGGGTTTGTGCTCAGGTCCTCAATGTTGACAGCAGGCACTCGTCATTGTGGGCAGGGTCAGAGCAATCGTCGGGTCCCAGGCAGAGGATTACTGAAGAGGGTAGGGCCATCTTGAGTGGTCATAGCCTGGGTCAGTTGAAGGTGGCGGAAGAACATATGTCCCTTTCACACTCCAGTCCTGGAGGGGCTCGACACCCCCCCTCACCCTGGTTGCTGGAGCTCCCATCTGGCTTGCAAACAAGTTCCAATGGCAATTTGTGCCCCTCTTGCATCCTTGTCTCAGATCCTGGCAGTGCTTGCTTCACAGCCACAGCTGACCAAACCTTGCTCACTTTCTAGCCCCACCTGCAGGAGCACTCCTGGTTCGATCTCCTGTCCCAGCAGCAATAGCTTGAGTTTCTGTAATGCCCCAGTTTCAGTGTCTCTGGGTCCTTGAACAGCATACAATTTCCAGAGGACAAGCTTGAAAATGCTTAAGTGTCAGAAAGGTGTGGAACCCAGCAGGAGTTCCCTTCCCGGAGTAGTTCTGTCCAATGGTGTCCTGACTCTCTATGTTAGTTTCATAGGGTTGAGTGCTTCTCCCTTGGCCAGGATTGCTGAATTCCGCCATGGAGATGTGGATGACTGGAAATCCCTAACTCAGTCCTTTGTGCATGGGAAGTCACTCCCAGCTCCCAGCCAATCCCAGCCAGGGAGGCTGCCTCTTTTCCTTCTCCTTCCCTGTTTTTGATGTCCTCTGCCACTTCTCTGGTGGATTCCAGGATTTTCCCTTGGATAATGTAATTCGACTGTGACTGTCTATACATTACTCTGGTTCTTCTAAGTGGAGGAGGCAGGCATGAAATGCTTCTAGTTAGTCGTCTTGAACTACACTACCCTTATTTGAACAATTTTTAAACACAGTAGTATCTAGATAAATATTCATTCATCCTTACTAAAATAAGAGAGCTAGTTTTACCTTTATTTGATATATAAGTAATTGAGCCACCAATAAGTATAATACCTGTCCTAGATTATCTTTTAAGTAAAAATGTGGCACATAATAGAAAATTCAACGAAATTTGTTTTAATAGTAAATAAAGTTATATCATGCTCATAGACTGGAAGGTTAAATATGAAGTTGTGATTTCTCATTATGTTTCTTTAATGAACTTTATTAGGTATAATTTTATAGTTTAATTTGGAATTTATTTTGCCTAAAAGAGTTCCAGTGAGAGAAACATTTTGACATAACAGTGAAAACAAAATCCCTCATACCTTAAAATTAAAATTTTTGGATATTTGTACCATAAGCTTGCCCGGCCTGTAAGAAGCATCATTTCTACTAGAGATTTCTCACCAAGAATAAATTAGGTCATTTTCATGAGGAAAACAAACAAAACTCTTAGTCATAACTTTGATCCATGTTCAATCTCCTCAACAAAGTTTTGTGTGCATTATCTCTGTACTAGAGATGTGAATTTTTAAAATTAGCAACACATATTTTTAATATACCTAAAGATATTTCCTTATTCCTTCCAATAATTATCAATAAAAGGAAAGGCAGGTATACGTATTATTATTATTAGATCTATCAGCTTAATTTTAATTTCTAACTTATATCTTTATCTAAATTGCTCAGTTTAATAAAAATAATTTAATGGGTTAAGACACTGCCTTCAACTGGGTTTTAGTTTAGAGCAGGAGACAGACCCTACGTGAATATTTAACGTTGCATCTGGGCACTTTTTCTGACCTATGCCAGTTTGCCAACCAGTGTTTGTCCAACATACAAAGATAGGCTGCATATACTCAGAAACTGAATTACTGAGATTTCAACAATATACAAAAGTCATTTCATATGCTCAAACTTTCCATTTATTCTCTTATTTAAGGAAAAGTGTGCATTGTTAACAGAAAAACAGGTTCTTGTGCCAGCAGGCTAGTAAATCTCATAATTTCATTAAAAACACTTTGGGTCACTTTGTACACTATTAATGGGACTGTACGTTAGCACAGCCATTATGGAAAGCAGGAGGTTTGTCCTCCCAAAATTAAAAATGGAACTACCATATGATCCAGAAATCCCATTTATGGGTATCTATTGAAAGAAAACAAAAGAGACATTTGTACTCCCATGTTTACCAAAGTACTATCCACAATAGTCAAGATATGGAATCAACCTAAGTGTCCATCAATGGGTGAATGGATAAAGAAAATGTGGCATGTATACGCAAGAGAATATTATTCAGCTTTGAAAAGAAAGAAAATTTTGTCACTTGCAACAACATGGATGAACCTGGAGGACAATATGCCAAGTGAAATAAGCCAGGCACGGAAAGGCAAATACTTCGATTCTGCTTATATGAGGAATCTGTAGAAGTCAATTTCATAAAAGCAGAGGCTAGAACCCTGGTGATCAGGGGTGGAGGTTGGAGACAATGAAGAGATGTTAGTCAGAGGGTACCAAGTTTCAGGTAGACAAGAGGAATCTGGAAATCTCCTGTACTGCATGGTGACTATAGCTAATAATACTGTATCATATATTTCAATACTGCTAAGATAGTAAATTTCCAATGTTCTCATCACAAAACAAAACAAATATTGCTGGATACAAAGCAATCCTTTTGATGAGTATAAGGTGTTACTTTAAAGTGCAAAGGGGTTGATAAGTGTGAGATGGCAATGCATATATTAGCTTATTTCTTCATTACACAATGTACACATATTTTAAAGCATTATGTTACATATCATAAATATACACAATTTTATTTGTCTATTAAAATAGAATAATGATAAAACACAAAGGAAATGTCCACAAAACATCACATTGTATGCTGTAAATAAATACAATATTTATTTTTAATTACACCTCAATAAGGCTGGAAATATTGCTTTGAAAAATCCAAAGGCACCAGGCACGATGGCGGGTACCTGCTGTTCCCACTATTCAAGAGGCGGCTGTGAAGGAGGATAGCTTGAGCCCAGGAATTCCAGGCTACAGTGGGCTATGACAATCATACCTATGAAAAGCCACCACACTCCCACCTGGGCAACAAAGTAAGAACCTTCTAAAAAATATAATAAACAAATAAAATTTTAAAACTCCAGATGGAATCCAAATAAATTTTTGGAATTAATAAACAAAAAAACCTGCCGTTGCAAAGATCATGAGTGACAAAGGTGCCCACTTCTCCGTCTGTCCTCACCCCTGTCTCTCCTCATCTGTGGTCATCACTTTACTCCAGCTGTGCATTGAAACATCTCCATCCTGGACCCCTCTCCTGAGCTCCAGACATTTGCATTCAGCTGTCTCCCTCCTATCCCCATTCAGATGTCAGGGGGATTCTCAGAATTATCATCGCCCCTGAAAGCCACCCGTCTGCAGTCCTCCATGGACACAGCTCTTTCCTTCCAGGTGCTCAGAGGAACATTCTGGCCCCATCCTTGCTCTTCCCTTCCCCTCCCTGACAACACTCATTAGAAAATTCTGTGAGCCTGACCTTCCACTCACATCCAAAAACACATCCTTACCCCATCCTGCCTCCCTGGCTCAGCCCCATGCCTCCTCCTGGATGACCCAGCAGCACCTTCCCAGCCTCCTTGGCTGCCGTGACACACGCGGTTCTGCTCTGACCAGAGCAGCTGAGGGTCCTGTTAGAGTGAGAGTCCAGTCAAGCCTCTGCTCTCTCCAAAGGCTCCAGGTTCCTGCGTAGCCTCAGGGCCCCACGCAGGCTGCCCTGTCATCCCCGCTGCTCCCTCCTCTGCCTCCTTCTGCTCTCAGACTGGGGCTCTGGCTGTGTCTGCAATGCCCAGGCCTGCTGCTGCCTCTGAGCAATGCACTCACTGCTCCCCTTCCCTCTTGCTGGGATGCTTGTCTCTCATTCAGACACAGAGCCTCCCTGCTCAGCACCTTCATGCCTTTGCTCACACACCACCTCCCCTCATTATCAGATAAGAAACGGTTCCCCAGTCTATCTTATGTTTCTTTCCCTGCATGCTTTTTCTCCAAACACAGATCTCCACCCCACATGCTCTTATTTTATTTATTATTTCTTTTCATTTGTACTTTTCCTGTCTCTAGAATGATAGCTTCTTGAAGACAGAGATTTTTTTCGTGCTGTGTCTACTGATGAACCCCTGGTGCCAATAATAATGCTGACACATAATGGATGCTCAGTAGAGTCACTGAAGTTAGTCGCTTCGTGTCTATCACCAATAATGCCTCTGCTCCACTCAGAACCAAATAAGAATTACACACACACACATACACACACACATGCACACAACACACACACAACCCTGAGTGACATTAAGACTGAGCCTGAAGGACAATTGGGACCTAGATTGGCAGGAATGGGAGGGAAGGGCATTTCAGGAGAAGGAATTACACACGCAAAGTCTCAGAGCCACAGAGGGCTTGGCCTGCAGAGACTTTGGGTGGAGAGTCTGGCCAGGAACAGACTGTGCAAGGCCTCCATTCCAGGCTGTGGCATTTTCCCCTTGTTCTCCAGCACCAGAGAGGAAACACGGCTGCTCAGACTGTGGAGGAACTGGATGAGGAGGCATCTGGAAACGGAGTCTGGAGTCTGTGTTGGGAGAGATGGAGGCAGGAGGTGAGGAGGGCTCAGTGTTCAGGGAGGAGGCGAGGCCCCAGGCATGACCAGGGCCAAGATGGAGAAAAGGGCCCCAGGATGAACCCTGCTTAGAAGGAGGGACAAGAATTAGTGATTTGTGGGATCTGGAGGAGGGAGGGAGGTGAAGGTGAAGACCCATATCCTGGTTCTGACTTTAGAGATGGGAGCCACTATGTCATCAGTAGGATGGGGATCCCAGGAGAAGTGGGTTGGGGGAAGAAGATGGGCAGCTCAACTTAAGCCATACTGAGCAGAGCAATCCTGGAGGCCATTGAGGGGGAGGTGTCCAGTGGGATGTTGAGGATGAGATGCCCACAACCCCTGAGAGATTAGCCCGTGACAGGGTCTGCAGCCTCCACGCCTGCTGCTGCCCTTCCTTCCTGCAGAAACTGACAGTGAGTAAAAAGACAAAGGCCTGCCAGTGTGGCCGGATCGGGGTGCAGAGGGCAGCAGACTCATCTCCCCGTGCCCTGCTAAGGGGCAGGAGGGGACTGGGGTGGAGAGAGCAGGCCTAGCCCCCAGAACCTCCCTAATGAGAGCAGGAACCTCCCAGCCCGGACATTCAGTGAAAGCCGAGGTCAGACAACAATTGGTCCATGTGGAATTCTCGCCACAATTCAGCCTACTGCCTGGCCCTCTTGAGCCTTCAGATTCCTCCAGCACTGGGACCTGGGATTCAGCACCATGTCCCCTGTACTCCCCACATCTCTCCTTGGTCCCTGGGGCAGCGCTCAGCTGAGGAAGAGGAAGCAGAGGCAGATAGGCAGGATCTTCACAGCCGCCTCCCCGACAGCCACCAAGACCACCTCCACCACAGGCCCTGATTTCAAAAAGTTTTGCCCCGGCTGGGAGCAGTGGCTCACACCTGTATCCCAGCACTTTGGGATGCTGAGGTGGGCAGATCACTTGAGGCCAGGAGTTCAAGACCAGCTTGGCCAACATAGCAAAACCCTGTCTCTACTAAAAATACAAAAGAAATTACCTGGGTGTGGTGGCACATGCCTGTAATCCCAGCTGCTAGGGAGGCTGAGGCACAAGAATTGCTTGAACCTGGGAGGCAGAGGTTGCAGTGAGCCAAGATCACACCACTGCAGTCCAGCCTGGGCAACAGAGTGAGACTCTATCTCAAAAAATAAAAAAAAAAGTTTTGCCCCACAATGGGTAGGTGAATACATACACTTTTACCCCTCCCTGTTGCGCGTGTAACCTTGTTCACCTTCATGGGTTCTCCATGGCCATATTTTTTCAAAATTAGAAAGAACATATGACCCAACTATTTTGCATTTAAGAACTGATTTCACAGGCATAGATGTACACTTGTGGCAGTAGATACAAGATTATTTATTGCAGTGTTACTGTTGGTAAGATAAAATTAGTGCCATGATATTCCATTAGGCACAAAATCAGAGTCCACATTTTTGATGCCACGAAATTGGAGTCCATCCACACAGTGGAATCACCCACAGTACTGGAGGAGAGTAATGTCACTCTGATGTCACTACTGATGTTAAACCATCACTGAGATCCTTCGGGCAAGCAAATCAAGGCGCAGCGCAGCCAGGACAGACACTGGCGGATTCTGGGGAAGGGGACGGGTGTCTGAGGGTAGATTCTACTGTGCACTCTGAATTCTCACCCATGTGACTATATCATCTGTTCAGAAGAACTTAGATCAGGACTACTGGGGAGAATAAGAAGATGAGGGAAGAGGAGTATTCAGCAGGTGGGGACTCAAAGCCTGGATCTGCTATGTGAATGGCACCCTGCCCTTGTTATGGGGCCAGTGGGAGTTGTGTGTGGAAGAGGCCAAGGGGAGTGAGGGGAGGATGGGGACAGGTGCTCAGGTGGCCTTGGAGACTAACGATGGGGAAGACCTCTGTTTCACTTACAAGAGGGTCTCAGGTTACGAAGTTGAGTCCAGGAAGAAGCAGTAGCCCAGCCCTGCCCCAAGCTGCAGGCCCTGCTCCCTCAGCCCCAGGGAGGGGGCTCTGTCCTACCTGTGCCGTCTCCTAGAGAGACACCAATCCTTGGGTTCCTTAGAGCATCTAGAACAGGAAGAGAGAATTTCCCTTTCTTTGGGGTGGAGATGAGGTAAAAGTAGGTACTCCTCCCCTACCCCAGAAGCCACAGGAATGTCAAAAGACAGAGCTTGTGTCCTTCTAGTTCCCCTGCTCAGCCAGGCCTCCAGGACATAGCCACAAAGTGTCCCCTGCCCTGACCCTCCTCTACCCCCTACACCCTCAGGAACCCAGGCATCCTGGCCCCAGCACTCACAGGAGACACTGAGCTGGATGGTTCTCTCTGTAGTCACACCAGCTCCAGGGAACTTCACCTGCCAGGTGAGGTTGGTGCTGTGGTCCTGGGGCCATGGGGTGATCGTGAGCACTGAGGAGCCGAAGGTCCTGGAGCCCAGATGCAACAGGGAGACCCCCATTCAGAAGAATGTGGAGGGGGCTCCTCCCATTCACAGGCCCAGAACACATAGCAGGTAAGGTTCCTGGTGTGACTGGTACCCCAGAATCCCTGGGATGAAAATGTTGGGCTTGTGGGTCAGGGCTGGTGAGGAGAGAGAGGAGCTTGGGGACCCTCTGAGTGTTATCAGCCCACCCCAGGGTCCTTTCACGCTGTCGGCATGCCACCACCTCTAGAAGGAGCAGAACCTTCATTGCTTTATTTCTGGTGTCTGGGCTTTTAACATACTTGTCATATTCCAAGAGAGCATCCTACAAGATATGAATGTTTCCTGAATGGTTTCTCCTTTCTGAAGAGTCCGTGTGGGCTGGGCGCAGTGGCTTATCCCTGCAATCCCAGCACTTTGGGAGGCCGAGGCGGGCAGATCATGAGGTCAAGAGATTGAGACTATCCTGGCCAACATGGTGAAACCCTGTCGCTACTAAAAATACAAAAATTAGCAGGGCATGGTGACGGGTGCCTATAATCCCAGCTGCTTGGGAGGCTGAGGCAGGAGAATCTCTTGAACCCGGGAGACGGAGGTTGCAGTGAGCCAAGATTGTGCAACTGCACTCCAGCCTGGTGATAAAGTGAGACTCCATCCCAAAAAAAAAAAAAAAAAAAGAAAAGAAAAGAAAAAAAGAGTCCCCGTGTGTGCCTCTGATGCTCAGGGAGAAGTTGCTGGTCTTGAGGTCCCTGGGCAGGAGGAATTGGTCCTGGGTCCTGCCATGAAGCATTTGTCCTGGTCACTGGAGGATTGTGGTCTACATCCACCCCTTTCTGGAACCAGCACAGGTGGAGGGTTCCATAGTAAGTCCAGGAGTAGGGAAATTTCTGCAGCCTGAGGACACACAGGCCCTTCTGCACCATCACAGGTTCCTGGAACTGCAGCTGTTCCAGAACCTAAGCCAGGAGCCCTGGAGTGAGGAAAAGACTAAGCCTTGGGCTCTGGAGCCTCCTGAGTGGGGGCTGCTGTCCCCGCAGCCTATGCAGGGTCAGCAGCAGTGGCATCTCTGCCTCATACCCAGGGGCAGACCTCTCTGAAAGGGAAGGGAAAGCTACAGGTGTGGGACAGCAGAGGAAGCTTGTGGTGAGAACAAGAGGTGACCAGCCCAGTAAAGGGAACTTCAGACACACAATGAGTCCATTGTAATTAACTCTTTAAGAAAACTGAGTTCCATTTCTGCATGTTGCTCAGACAAGGCAAGAGGCTTGCCCTAAGTAAGGCAGCAACGAAGGACCGGAGTCCCCAAGTCCTGCCTCCTGGACTTGTGCACAAGTGACTGGAGAAACAGGTGCCACCTGGCCAGTTCCCCATGAATCACAGGCGTGGGACCCCCACAGAGGTCAGTCTCCTAGAGATCAGCACCAGAGGCATGAAAGGGTCCACGTGAGGTAAGAGCAGCAACACTTCATTCATTCCATGTGTGCATTCATTCTCAAACAAAAGTAAAAGAGACAGATTTGCATCATTCCTGACGCTCAACTAACTCAAGTAGTCCTGGAAGACAGAAACAATGATGGGCTTGAGCTTTCTCCAAGGACAATAGGGAGTCATGGAAGGTTCTCATGCAGAAAAGGGTCACCATAATATATACATGTCAGATAGATCCCTCCAAGGCCAGACTGCAGGCTAAGGGCCTAGAGAGAAAGCTGTTGCGATTGTTCGGTAAGGAAGAACCATGCCTTCAAGGAGAGAGTAATGTAGTGAATTCTTAGAATTGCATGCGACCTCAGTGTCCTTTTGAAATACCAGAAGCGGGGCTCAGTCATCCTTAACAACTTCCAGTTCTAAACCACACTCAAATGGCTCAAGCTGGTGGCCAGAGATAAGAACTTAGACAGGCACAGTGACTCATGCCCTTCAACCAACCCCAGCACTTTGGGAGGCTGAGCGGGTCGATCTCTTGAGTGGAGTTCAAGACAGCCTGGGTAATATAGAGGGACCTCATCTCTACAAAAAACAATAGGTAAATAAAAGAACCAGCGGCATCTCTCCTGTAAAAGCAGACTTGCCTTCCTGCTTTTTCTGCTGCTACCTTTAAGGGAACCACAGATATTTACCCATGAACTTAAAGTAACCACACCCGATTCCCTGAGAGGTACTGCCAGTTGCCGTGTGCTTTTCTTTCTCACTCTGCCTGACTCCTCATTCCTGACTCGGGTGACCCAGGGATGGACTGGGTCCCCCCACTAATTACTGCCCCCCCTCCACTCATTACACCCTCATTGCCTGGAGTTTATAAGTAAAAATCTTTAAACATATTTCCTAGCTTGATGGTGCATTGAACTTGCACCCTCCACCTGAAGAACTGTGGCTACTCTAGGCTGGGTTTCCCCCCAGGACACCTGGGAGGGTACAAGGGTGGACTTCCAGTGCCAGGGAAATGGTCAGGCAGGCATAAAGTGAACACGGGTCAGAAAAGAACCACAGGGGCATCTGTAGCTTAAACAAGTTGCCCATGTGAGGCACCCATGGTCATGGGTCAGACAACCAGGCATTAGATCATCCTCCACGTAAGAGAAAGATCCTGTGAAATGTACGCTGTAGACACCACGTCCAGCTCTCCTTCATTTCCCATTAGGGCAGGGTCATCAGCCACTCTGGCACTGAAGCCCCAGTTTAGCTGGGGACTCTCAAAACAAGTCACCTTGGTGATTGAAGAAAGAAGCAATTTGAGACATTTTCAGAAAGTGGACTTTGCAGGGTTGGTGGTGGTGCATGACAGAGCAGGAGCACCATCATCTCAGACTAACACTGCCACTTTAAGTTCCAGCTCCCTTTCTAGCCTCGTGCATTTCAAGGAAATCACTTATCTTCTGACAACAAGCAGCCGGAAAGAGCAGACAGTGAAACACAGATAAGACAGCTCAGGCATAAAGGGATGTCTGAGGGGGAAAAGTCTCCTGGGTAACCACCAAACTTCACACTCATACAATGGGCCCCAGTAAAACAGTGGGCCCTAATAAACACATTCCTTCCCCTTTAGGTACACTAAGATAGGGAAGCTAAAAGCAGACTCAGGGGGTATGCCTGCAGCTGCAGGAAGACGTATGGGATTAGACACAAAACTCTCCCTCCCAGGTAAGCAAGACAAAGAGACACAGAAACATTCTGAGCCTGTGATAAGCTGTACCGCCCTGAATCCTTAAAAACTCTTAGTCGGTAAAAGAGAGTGCCTCTGACCTAACTCAGCCAGAAGCCCTTCTCAGGTTTAGTCTCCAAAATAAACCTATCTTTAACTGTTCAGCTGTTTTTTGTGTTTCCTTCTTCTTTCTTTAATTCTTATAATGCGTGAGAGAGGGGAGCATCTGCAGTGGCTCCCAGAGCCCCGACTCAAGCAGCAGGGACTTGGGGGTGTCATGGCAGAGAGCTGGTGAGATGAACCGTCAGGGCTTGGGGGCAGGTCTGGGCTGGAGAGGGAGGGGTAGGGAGTTTCACAAAGCCTACTGGGGTTGTACTCAGGGGAGGTGGATGTGTTCACCAAGGGGAAACAGAAGGCCCCAGTGGGAGGGGTGGGGAACACACAATCTTAAGCTTAATTGTGGGCTGGGGAATGGCTGAGATGGCCTGGCCAGGGAGGTAGGAGGAGAAGGAGCTGCACATTGGTGACAGCAGTGGTGAGAATTTTATCAGGGATGGGTGGGAGGGGCAGACTGCAGGGGGCAGCGGGGTGAGGGGGAGTGGGACTCATTGGGATGTCTTCAGTCCTCTCCTGTCGGAGCTCTGGGCCTCCACTTCTGTCCTGAGCAAGCAGCAAGCCCACCTTCATCACGACCCCAGAGGGAAGGTTTTTTTCCTACCTGTACCATTTCCTTGGGTGGGGCCAATAGCCAGATTCTGTGGAGAATCTGGCATCTGGCATCTGGAATGGAGAAAGCCACCATTTTCTACCACCATGCGGAGGAGTATGGCTGCTCTGCCTCTTTGGCTAAATCCATGGAAAGCTGCTGAGGTGGGGACTGCTGTGATTTCTCCTCCCTTCTCCAGTCGAGCTCCTGACCAGGCGTTGAATCTCTCAGGCCCTGAACCCTTCCTGTCCATCCTGGCAGCCCTCAGCCACCCAGGTGTCCTGGCCAACATCCAAGGGGGATGCTGAGCCTGGTGGTATGAGGAGCTCAGCTGGGCTGTGAGAGAGAGCTGTGCTTCAAGGTGGCAGGATCACCGATTAAAGCAACAATAGACCAAACTGAAAGAATGAATCAAGCCTTTAATCACAGACAGCAGTGATAGAGGCAAGAGTCTAAACCAGAGAATGCACCAACTCTTCTTGTTTCATTTCCTGCCACCCCTCTGGAACAGTGCACACTGCTGGAGGGTCAGGTGGCTCATGGATCAACACAGACATAGGGGTCGGGGTCCTCTCACTGAGGAGGGAGCCCTGAACAAAAGGCTCAGGCAGTTCCACAGACCCTGGGAAGGGTGGGGGCATGAGAAGGGCTAGGAGTGGAAAAGAACTGAGTACTGAGTCAGAGTGGGGAAACGTGTCTTCAAGGTTCCTCCTCCTGCCCCCCGCAAGGTGGTCTCAGCAGAGGCATCTGTGGAAGACCTCTGTCCAAGGCCTCAGAAAACGAGGCCTAGAAATAAATGTAACTGGGATAGAAATGCAAATATGCATAGCGCATGACTGGCCAGAAAGGTGGGGTCCTTGACCACAACCGAGTGTGAAGAGGGTGGAGTCTCCCAGTGAGGCCTGCCAGGAAAAGCCTTTGCAACTGCCTGTGATCGAACCTGAAAAGCCACACCTAGGTTTTTAACCATGTGCTGGACTCCTCAGATAGTTCTACCCATGGATCTACCGCTTCCTAGGAAGGTCACCTGGCATGGAGGCCTGATGCCACAATCTTGGACCCTAGGATACAGGGGTACACTGAGGACTTGAAGCGGGGGCTTCAGAACCCCAGGAAGAGAGGTGCATCTTCCTTCACAAGCCCCTGGCATGGTGCTGTTTAGACTCCAAGATGGCTGGCTTTAAGCTTAAAGGGATATAAATTATGGGTATCTGATACAAGCTACAGAGGAGGAGAAACTCAGAGGGGAGACCCCAGAGTGTCAGCCTGGGGTTGGCCTCCCCTGCCCTCAGCCCCAGGATCCTGCACCTCTCCCTTACTCTCCAGATAAGAAACAGGTATGTTCCTGCCTCTGGGGCTCTCTCCTGGGGACCCTTCTCTACTGGTCACAGTCAGAGGCAGTGTCATTCATTGGGAGCTATATTTCATGTGATATCTCTGACCTAGAGATGTGTTCCTACTTTCCTGCATCTGGAACATCTGATGCTCTGAGAGCAACTGTGGGTCCTTGGGTCTCTGAGGAGGTTAGCTTTGCCCCAGGTCCTCTCTTCCAGGTTTTTCTTTTCTTTTCTTTTCTTTCTTTCTTTTTTTTTTTTTTTTTTTTTTTTTTGAGATGGAGTCTCGCTCTGTCACCCAGGCTGGGGTGCAGTGGCACAATCTCGGCTCACTGCAACTTCCACCTCCCAGGTTCAAGCGATTCTCCTGCCTTGGCCTCCCTAGTAGCTGGGATTACAGGCACCTGCCTCTACACCTGGCTAATTTTTGTATTTTTAGTAGAGATGGAGTTTCACCATGTTGGCCAGGCTGGTCTAGAACTGCTGACCTCAGGTGATCCACCCACCTCGGCCTCCCAAAGTGCTAGGATTACAGGCATGAGCCACTGCGCCCAGCCTTCTTCCAAGTTTTGACAGGGCTTATTTGTGGCCACAGGGGGATTATGGTGTCTGTGGGCCCCCTCTGGGATCCAAAGGTGGGTGTGGACTGGATTAAAGTCAGTCCAGAAAACCCATGGATTGGACTGGAGAATGAAGCTGGGCACAGAATGCAAAGGTTCCCTCTTCACCGTCACTGACTGAAAGGTGAGAGCACAGCCGGCTGATTCTCATGGGACTGCTGCCGGGAAGCAAGCTGTGGCTGCAGCCCGACTGAGCAACCTCTTCCTCAGGCCTCTGCTGCCCTCACAGCTGGGGCAATGGCAGCAGCGGAAAAGGATGTTCTACATTCCGCTGACACCATCTGATTTGTTGGGAGCCGAAAAGGCCAAAGAGATCGTGACCAACTCAGCATTCCACTGGAGGCTATATGATCAAACAGCAAACTGTTTATCATGAATACAGGATGTGAGCAAACTCACGACTGCACCTGCCGCCAGAAGGTTTGCTGAGGGCGGTCACTCCCTGGCGCCGGCTCCTTGAAGTTATCTTCTGGGACATCTAGGGCCTACTGTTCAAGGAATACAGTCTTGCAAGCCTACTCTAGATGGAGCAGCTGACCTCTTCTTCCACCCCTCCTTCTCGCTATCTCTTTTGCCTAATAAATATGGAGGGCTGTGTAAAGTTCAGGGCCCTTGTCCACTAGAGGCAAGGTGCCCCCTGACCCCTTCTTCCAAACACATTCTTTTGTTCTCTTGTCTTTGTTCCCGCGTTCGTCCCCCTTTGTTCAGTCCCCCAAGGTCCGTGCAGTTTACAAGCGGTGCCCCGAACAGTGACAGGATTGGGCAGTCTACAAGTAGCACCCCAAACAGTGAGAGAACTAGGCTGTCTTCACTGATTAGCCTCTCCCACTTGGAAGTGGGCACAACCTTGGAGTGATAGATTCTCTTCCTGGATTGAATGTATTGTTCCTCTCCCAAATTTCTGCCTTCAGCAAACGCTACTTTTGCCCTCAGACCACTACAGGGGAAATGAAAGCTGAGCTCTCCTCTCCCCTGACCACAGCAGGGTGGGACCTTCCTTCCTCCTCTTCCTCACCACCTGAAGACCAACCCCCACTTCCCTCAAGAGAGATGTGGAGTTTCTGGGTCTGTTTTCCCCAGTTGCTTTTCTTGGAGCCCCTTGCATAGGGTCATAGGAGAGTGAGACTGAGACTCTCCTAAAATGGAACCCTCTCTGTCCTCAGCTCCAGCCGTGGCTCCAGCTCTGGCTCCAGACTTAGGTGAGCTCTTTGGGTTCAGGGTGAGGCAGAAAGAACTTGTCCTGTGTCTCTCCTCCTACTCTCACTTCCTGTGGGCCCTGCCTGCACATATACATACACAGTCTCTTCACTTTGACTTTTCCACAGTTTTCCAGCCTCTACAACTCCTCCCCTCTGTGGAGTGACCAGCAAATATTCCTCTCCTGGCCTCTCTCTCTCTTGAAATGAATAGCCTGCTAGGTCTCCCATGGACAGCTCCCCATCTCTGAGCTCACGGGACTCTTTTTTCAATCTAAGTAAGATCCCTTGTGTGCCTAAACACTTTGAATGTCTTCCATCACTTCCAAAGACCATGCTTCCATCAGCTGCCTGATATTCTGTTCCTCCATTTAGCCTACAGATCCTGAAGCATATATACATAATATATATATTATATATATGATATATGACATATATATATATATGTAATCTTTTAGGATTGGGCACAAAGCTAAAGACTGAAAAGGACCATGAGTCTTGTTCTTTGTCCTCCAGAGCTCCAATTGGGTACGAGTACCAGTCGGAGGTGGTACAGAGGTGAGAGGAGTAGGGAAGAAGAGGGAGAGGGGAAGAGACACAGATTGAGACAGAGAGAGAGAGAGGGAGAGAGAAAAAGAGAGAAGAGGAAGAGAGGGAGAGGGGAAAGAGATAGAGAAAGAGAGAGACAGACAGACAGAGAGAGAGAGAGAGAGAAAGTTTTCCTTCAACAGGAACATTCCCTTTGCCCTCAGACAAGGCAAAGGGGGAAAGAAAGAGACTAGAAACAGACTGAGACAGAAAGAAAGGTAGAGAGGCAGGAAAAAGGGAGACAGGGAGAGAAAGACAGAAGAGGGGAAAGGGGAAGAAGGTGAAAAGAGACATAGACTGAGATAGACGAAGAAGCAGGGAAGAGAGAGAGAAAGGGGTAGGAGAGAGGGAGAGAGACAGAGAAAGATGAGCAGGAGGAAGAGGAGGGGGGGAGGAGAAGGAGGAGGAGGAGGGGGAGGGGAGGAAGAGGAGGGGGAGGAGAAGGAGGAGGAGGGAGAGGGGGAGGCGAAGGGAGTTTATCACAATTAGACAGGGATTCCTGAAGGCCCCGGGGGTGGAGTCTGTCCTAAGAGGCAAGAAACCAGGGATATGTGCAGATTCCCTCTCTGAGTGATCTAAGGGCCCATCTCCTGGGCGTGACCGAGAGCCCGAGAAGGGCAGACACAGACTGGGAGGTTTTCCTATCCTGCGCCGTTCTCTCCCATGTCTACCATCAGGGACCGCGCAAAGAGGCTGGTGGCTCTCGCTGCACATCCAGACACGTTTTGGTCCTGGCGAGCCACAGGCATCAGGGAGAGTGGCGCTGTCCCTGGTGCTGAAGCAGGACTGTGTCCCTGGTTTAGGAATGACTGGGCTATGCAGAGGAGTCTGACTAGATAGGATCCAGATCGGGGTCTCCAGCCGGCAAAACAGCTGAGTCACAGGATTGGGCCGCCCAAGAGGGAGGAAGTTAAGGAGGGGCCGACTGTGGGTCTGTATGGGCTGGACTTCCCTCTGTGCCCCTCCCGGCTCCTTCTTTACCCCAGGAATGTTTTGGGTCAAAGCCAGCAGCAGCTCATCTGTAGACCTCTTGTTGCATGAAAAAAAAATCTTATTTGTTAAAGCCCCTGAAAATCAACAGACTCACAGTAAAGTGCATTTCTCGTTGATACAATACGGAGGGGTGAAGATTACCCCAATTCCATTTGAAGCCAACAGGATATTTTCCAAAAGTGCCATACTCCTTTAAATCTCCTGACCATGCATGACAGTGCCCAATATGACAGACTTTTTTTCACTTTTGGTAATTCAAGATTAGATAAATAATATAATCTCCCTTCCTTACTTTTCAAAGATGTGATTATAAACAGCCTTGTTGACCCAATTTTTAAATTAATCTCTGTGAATTATTTATTTAAAGAGTTTATGCAGAGGGGCTTTGGGGTTTTCCTTAACAATGTGTCTAAGCTTTTTGTGAAGATATTAGTCTTCTCCTATTATTTACCTTGGAGAATAATACAATTTTTTTAACCGACAAAATATGCATCCCTAAATATCAAAGTTTAGGTTTTACTGTTTTTGGCATTTATGTAAATTGCATCATATTGTATGCATTTTTCCTAGCTACTTCACACAATAATAGCTTAAGAATTTTTTACTGTCATGCAGAAGGGATGCAAATCATTAAGTGTACAGCTTAATGATTTATCACACAGCGAGCACATTCAGCTCACAAAATAGGTATTGCCAGCTCTGAAAATGCCTCAACAAACTGCACTCCCACCATCAGAACACAAAGGTCCCGATTTACTCATATCTTTGCCACACTCGCTGTTATTTGCCTTCTTGATTTTCTGAAAGAGTGTAAAGAAGTATCTCATTTCTGTTTAATTTGATTTTTTTTCAGCTACCAGTGAGGCTGCGCATCTCAACGTGGACTTGTTTTCCACTCATGCTTCCATACTAGCAGATTAATATTCATGTGCTTTGCATACTTTTACTTTGGCTTGTTTTCCTTTTTCTCATTGGTTTGTGGGAGTTTCTTACACATTCTAGTTCAAAAGTCCTTGTGAGCTTTAGGTGAAACAAATGATTTCTCTCATTCTGTCATTTCTCAATGAAAGTAGTCTGATTTGTCCTTGATTTGATGGAAAACCAGAGTTTGGATGCAACCAAATGTGTCCTACAAATTGGTCTTTTTTTTTTTTTTCCTGGTTGGTTAAACTCAGAATTTTCGAGCTTTAACACCCCTATCCCAATTACCCCAAATCACCTCAGCTTCCCTCAGGCTTTACATAGGAACTGGTGGCGACATCAGTGAAGGCCTCTCTGGGCAACTTCCGGTTCACATTGGCGTCCAGGCGTGATTTCTTCAGCATGTCCATTGACGCGCATGTTCAATATCACTTTTGGAGCTATGCTCTGCAGATAGTTATCATGGTGTAACGCGGTGGAGGGCGTGTCCGTTATTTCCATTGTAAACTTTTCTTCAGCGGCTTTGTCAGGAGAACAACATGGTCGTGCCCAGATAGAGTTGGTCACTGGAGGACGCCATCTTCAAAAGATGGTCGTTCCATACAGCCAGGGAAGGCCTTGGGGTCTCACACAGCAAGGTCTTGGAGCTGTGCCATACTGGCAGGGACCCTGTTGTGTATATATCTACGCAGATATGTGTATGACTGACATTACATATTCTGAAAAATAACTCTTTTATATTTTTACACTTATTTGAAGGGTTTTTTTCCCCCTTCTACTAAAGAATTCAATGTCTTCTTGAAAATTAACAAACTGCATGTGCTTAGGTTTACTTCTGGGCTCTCTAGTCTGTTCCATTGGTCTAACTGGTCCATATGTCATTTGGAATATAGCTAGCACCATACGGCTTTGATTACTGTAGCTTTGTAATGTAATTTGAAATCAGGAATGTGATTCCTCCAACTTTGTTTTTCTTGCTTAAAATTGTTTGGCTATTCAGAGTCTTTTGCAATTCCATAAGAATTTGGCAATTATTTTTTTCTGTGAACAATGCCATTGGAATTTTGATAGAGATTACACTAAATCCGTATATCACTTTGGGTAGTATGGATATTTTAACAATATTAATTCTTCTAATCCACAAACATGGATATTTTTCATTTATTTGTGTCTTCTTCAATTTCTTCCATTAATATTTTGTAGTTTTTCACTGTACAGATCTTTCACTTCTTTGGTTAAAATTTATTCCTAAGTATTTTATTCTTTTTGGTGCTATTACAAGTGGGATTACTTTCTTGATTTCCTTTTTGGATGGATTATTCTTGGTGTAAAGAAATGCAACTGGTTTTTGTATGTTGATTTTGCATCCTATTACTTTGTGGAATTCATTTATTCATTCTAATAGTTTTGTGGGGTTGTTAGGATTTTAAGACACAATGTCAAAAGGGTAATCTCTTCAATAAATAGTGTTGGAAAAAGTGGATATCCACAAGCAAAAAAATGAAACTGGACTCTCTCATCTTACATCCTACGCAAATATCAACTGAAAATGGAGTAAAGATCTAAACATGAGACCAGAAATAGTAAGACTCCTACAAGAAAACATGGGGGCAAATCTACCTGATATTGACATTGATGATAATTTTTTGGATATTACACCAAAAGTTCAGGTAGCAAGAGCAAAACTAAACAAGTGAGATTGCCTGAAACTAAACAGCTTCTGCACATCAAAGGAGACAATCAACAAAATGAACATGCAGCTGATAGGTTGGGAGAAAATATTTGCAAACCAAATATCTGATAAAAAGTTGATATCCAAAATATATGAAGAATGTATACAACCTAATAGCAAACAAACAAACAAACAAACAAAAACCCAACTTCAAATTGGGCAAGGGACTTGAATTGACACTTTTCTGTAGAGACATGAAAATGACCAACAGGTATATGAAAAGCTGCTCAATATGAATGGACAAAACTACAATGAGATACTGCCTCACACTTATTAGAATGGCTGTTCACAAAAAGATAAAAGACAACAAGTGTGTTGTGTAGGGTGGGGAGAAAATGGAATGCTTGTGCCCTGTTGGTGGAAATGTACATTGATACAATTGTTATGGACAAGAGTTTGGAGACTCCTCAAAGAGTTAAAGGGAACTCAATATGACCCAAAAATCTCTCTGTTGGGTATATACCTTAAGGAAATGAAATCAGCATCTCGTAGAGATACCTGCACCCCCATGTTCATTGCAGCATGATTCACAATAGCTAAGATATGGAACAACCTAAACTCCTATCAACAGATGAACGGATAAACAAATCACTGTGTGTGTACGTGTGCACACACACACACACAATGAAATGCTACTAGCCTTAAAAATAAGGAGATGCTGCCATTAGCCACAGCATGGATAAAACTGAAGGACATTTTGCTAAGTGAAATAAACCAGACACAGAAAGAAAAATTCTGCACGATCTCACTTACATGTAGAATAACAAGGAAAGGTGAATACATAGAAACAGAGTAGAATGGGGCAGGGAGTGGGAGGAGATGGGGAGAATGTTAGAGGGTACAAACTTATAGTTATGAAGGATAAAGAAGTCTAGAGATAAAATGTACAGTATGGAGAATAAAGTTAATAATATTGTATACTCAAATTTTGCTAAGTGAGTAGCTTTTAGGTGCTCTTACCACAGAAATAAGTAAGTATGGACGGTGATGGATATGTTAATTTGCTTGACTGTATTAATCATTTCACTGTGTACATGTCTATCTGAATATCACGTTGTACATATTAAATATATACAATGAAAATAAATTTTAAAAATTAAAATAAAGAAAAATAAATGAAAACCAAATACTGCATGTTCTCACTTATAAGTAAGATCTAAATGATGAGAACTCATGCACACAAAGAGGGGAACAGATATGAGGATCTAGTTGAGGATGGAAGGTGAGAGGAGGGAAAGGAGCAGAAAAAATAACTATTGGGTACTAGGCTTAGTACCTGAGTGATGAAATGATCTGTACAACCACCTCGTGACATAAGTTTACCTATGTAACAAACCTGAACATGTACCTCCGAACCTAAAATAAACGTTAAAAAAGAGAGGAGGTGGGGGAGAAAAGAAACTTAAAAAATAAAATTTAAACCAAAGTTCCAGCATCATTGATTAAGTAATTTATCCTTTCCCACAGACCTGTTGTGCTGGCTAGGTTCACCTTTTCCCCAGTGATCTTCTACTTGCCCTCACACATGTTAGAATTCTATACTATATCAGCCTCTTGGCTTCCATTGGCTGTTCACACCCACTGGTATTTTATTATTTATATTGCTTTATAATAACCTTTGATATATAGTAGGACAAGCCTCACCATTTTACTCTTCTCCTTCAAAGTGTCTTATTCTTAGTCTGCACTTTCACATGTTCCATTCCTCTCTACCCTAAATGGGATTTTGAATGAAAGGGTATTGAAATTATTGATTCGTAAATGATTGGCATCTTTATGTAACTGGGACGTTCTATTCATTAATACAGCATATGGATCAATTTATTTAGGTGTTTGATATCTTCCAACACAGTTTTATAAAGTGCTACATTTAGATGTAACACATCTCTTATAGTTCCTTATTTTTGTTAATACTTCAAGTGGTATCTTTTTATTACATTTTCTATCAACAGTTACTGGTATATAATGATACAATTATTAAATATATCTGTATTCATTCGTTTGCTAAAGTTTCTGTTATAATTTGTTTTTACATTATTTTGGAATTTTCCATATAGAATTGTATATTATCTTTAAAAAATAAAATAGAATTGGCAAAACTGAAAAGTGACTGTCAAGAAGAAAATCTCTCTTCCAAATTATATTTTAAAATAATTCATCCTCTCCCATAGTGTTCTAAAAAAATTTTATCTTTGGTATCCTTGCACAGTTTCTCTGTATACCTGGATGAACCCATTGATGAAATTATCCATTAAGAGACAAACTGTGAGATAATTTAGGAATCCTGCAATATTTTATTTAAAGGGAGGTGAATAAAGAAAATGCAGTCAAGTTAATGGAGAAAACACAATTACTCAGGACTACACCCAGCCAGCCTAAAGGGACAGAATTTTCAGGATGAGATTTTTCAGTCATCAAATAGGCAGAAGTATATCTAAGATTGTGGGCAATGGTGGCCATAAAGTAAACAACTGGGCTGGTTATGGGGAAATAGAAAGGTGGGAACACAAAAGTGTGGATCTGAGACGAACTCCTTCTTCATGATAAAATAAAAGCTTTTAATGCTCATAGGAAGTACAAAAGTTAGATTGGAATTGGAAGGAGCAGGAATATCCCACAAAATAACACTGAAATAAGTTTGACCTACAAATTCCTGATTGCACAAGTAAACATGTTTAAGACTAAGAGAGAATGATGATGCTTAGGAAATGGACCAGGAATGAAAAAGTCTGGGGTAAAATCCCAAGGCTGGTAAGAGGGTTACATTCATTGAGTAGAATCCCCACCCACCTATTTATTAACCCATCCATCCATCCATCCATCCATCCATCCATCCATCCATCTGTGTGTCCGTGTTTCCATTTATCCATCCATTCATGTGTCCATATGTATCAGTTAAAGTCCAATTACTAAAAAAGAAATCACATAAATATTTAAAACAGAGGACATTTAATGGCAGAAATTGATTACGCAGTTGATGTTAGGGATGAAAAATTAAACAGAGGACAATCAGGCAACCTAGAAATGAACAACAGCAGGAAACCACCACCACTTCTAGGCTAGAGGACAGAGGGAAAGGGCAGTGCACCAGAGCCCAGTAATCAGGGGCACCCAGAGGCTGAGTGCTGAGCACTCCGAGTCTGAGTGCTGGAGGCTCAGAGAGGGTGCTGCCACTACCAAAGAGATTGCACAATTCAGAGAGAAGGGAAAAAATAAATGCTGCTGCTTCTCCATTTTCTTCCTGTATTTTAATCTCCAGCATTAGCCTCTCATTATCTGAACCTAGTTGGAAGCTGGCTAATAAAGATGCCTGATAAATGTGGTCTGGCAGAGGAAGTATCTGGAGTACATAGCAATGTAGAGGAGGTGCAAGGAAAGGTTCTGAGAGCAGAGCAGTCATGGACGGTCCATCCAACCATCAACTATCCAGCCAGCCACTCATCCATCCATCCAATCATTCATTCATCCATCCATCCATCCATCCATCCATCCATCCATCCATCCATCCATCTCGCCCAGCAGTACAGTTCAGGAGATAGGATATGAAACTGGACAGAGATTATTTCTGGATGAACCAAGTCAGCAAGTGATTCAAGATGCAGAGAGGTGGGCTTTAGTAAGAGATACAGGGGCTCTGTTCCTCTGGACTTCAATGTCCATCTTCTCACCATGTCCAGAGGAGAGAGATCAGTTCAGTCCACTCTCCCAGCCATGCTTCTCTGGGACCCTCTGATCCTGTGAGAAAATGTAAGAGGAGGTTAGCAGTTAGGGCTGCAGAGAGCTCACCCTGAGGAAGACAGACCAGGCCACTTTTCCTTGGAATTTGGGGGCTCAGAGACTGGGTCATCTGAGCAAGGCACTGCTCACCTAGTGCAGCAGATCCAGGTGAATCCACAGATGAATGTGCAGCTGGTCCCCATGAGGATTCCCCTAATCAGTGTGAAACCCAGGGTCTGTAAAACGCCTTCTTCTATAGAGATAACGGAGTCACCTGAAGGGGAGGAGAGGAATAAAGTGTTTCTCCTAGACCTCATCCCACTCACAGTCCCATCCTAGAATCCAGGTGCCCTGTCCATTCTTCCCACCAATGACTCACTCTGCACAGAGAGGCTAATGGAGACATGCTGGGAGCCCAAAGGGTGCTGAGCTTGGCAGACAAATTCCCCTCCATCACAAGACTCCACTGGGGGCAGCTCCAGGACGGCTGATTCTGACGACTGGGAGAGATTCAGGGCTTGGCCTTCCCAGGTCCAGCTCAGCCTGGCAGGTGGGTTGCTGTCAGTCACATAAACAAAACGCAGGGATTGGTTCTTCAGGACTGACAGGGAGGTGGCATTCTCCAAGGCTACAGGTGCTGGGAATAGAGGGGAGAAGAGAAACTCAGCAAGAGAGATACCAAGAGAGGCACATGCAGGCCTTGGGTTCAGATGTACAGAGGGGTCCCCCTTCCCCTTCATGATGCAGTTTGGTCTCTTCCCCTTCTCCGTTATTCTGTTAGTTTAGATGCAGACTCCGTGAGGTACAGGAATAGAGGAAAGGACTTTGTCCTTGATGAGAATCCCAGTCAAGATCTCCTGGCCACCCCCTAGTTCCCACACCCTCTTTCCTGCTATCTTTACCAACATCTCCAGTTACCCTAAAGTCTAATCATTTATTTATTCAATCTGCAGCCCTTTACTGATCCTTGTTTAAATGAGGTACTACTGAGAGGGTATCAGCTCCTGAGGGTGTCACAGTCTAATGGTTATAAGAGGCCCAGGACTAGATCTTCACTCTGCAATATGACAGGTGATGTGATGGAGTGACTCAGGTGAAGGAGGGTGAGCAACACAATAAGACAGAAAGTCAGGGAGGTCTCCCTGGAGGAGGAGGGGCTTAAGAAGAGTGAGATGGACAAGTGGAAACAGACAGTGGACAATATTGGAGCAGAAGACCATGCTGGGAGAAAGGAAGAGCAGTGCAAAGACAACTATGACTAGAAATGGCCTTGGAGTTTCAGGGAATGGAAATTAATCCTGTAAGGGAAGAGGATAGAAATGTGCATAATCATGTGGAGAACAGGGTGAAAAGAGGAACCTTTGGCAAGATTATATATAAATATAAATGTAAATTAAATATAAACATAAATATAAATATGTGTTTGTGTATATATACACATACATTATGTATACTATGTACATTATATATAATCTCAGAGGCGGGAGAGCCAGAATGATAAACAAAGATTTACAAGCAAAGACTTACAAACTCAACTACATAAAACAAAACTTCCATGGCACATCCAAGCTAAATGAAATCAGGAGAGAATGATGAAATTGACAAACTTTTCTGACCAATGACAAAAATACTGGAAAAGACATTTGCAATTATATTATGGATTAGTGGTTGCATTTCCTAATATAAAAATAACATCCAAATCATGAAGAAAATAAGCACAAGCTAATGACAATAGGAAATTGTATGAACAGACAGTTCATAGCATGGCAGAACACAACAGAACGGACAATGTTAATGTCAATTAAACCTCACCTTCATGCCCAGCTAGAGAAATGCAATTAAAGCTATGGTGCGGTACATTTTTTATCAGTAGTCATGGAAAAATCAAAATCATTGCTAACGTATTTGGTTGTTGAGGTTGGAGTGAGGCAAAAACTAACACATTGCATGGGCTGGGGAGGACGTGGGGATTGCAAAATGGTACAACCACGGGAAAAGCCATGTGGCCACACCTCTCAGAATTGGTAATGCATGTGCCCTTTGATCAAATAATTCAAATTTATACAGACATATTAGCTTCCTTGCAAAATATATGTAAGTATTATTTATTGTAGCAGTGTTTATAAGTAGCAAATGACATATATGCAATGGAATATTTTGTAGTTGTGAAAAAGAATGAAGTTCTTTATTTACTGGCATAAAAAGATCTCCAAAAATTATTAAATTTAAAAAAAATAGGCCAGGCACGGTGGCTCATGCCTGTAATCCTAGCACTTTGGGAGGCCGAGTCGGGTGTAACACCTGAGGTCAGGAGTTCAAGACCAGCCTGGCCAATATGATGAAACCCCATCTCTACTAAAAATACAGAAATTATCCAGGTGTAGTTGCGGGTGCCTGTAATCCCAGCTGCTCGGGAGGCTGAGGCAGGAGAATCACTTGAACCCAGGAGGTGGAGGTTGCAGTGAGCTGAGATAGTGCCATTGGACTCCAGCCTGGGTGTCACAGTGAGACTCCATCTCAAAAAAAAAAAAATAGGGTGCAGAACAGTGTATCAAGGATGTTTTGTGTGTAAAAAAGCATGCTCACATGAAATTTTTATATTTACTTGTAGATGAAGATACACATGCATAAGGCATCTCTGGATGAATGTATCCAAAACAGTTTACAATGGAGGCCTCAGAGGAAGCAAACTAGGAATCTGGAGGGCAGAGGTGAGACAGGTGCATTCTATACATGCCCACTTATATCTTTTCTTTATGAGATCATGTGAATAAATCGCCTGGGAAAAAATCTTAAATTAAAATTGTTGAAAAGTAGAGAGGAGAGGCTGAATGAAGAGGCAGGAAGGCAACATGTGATTCTCAGATTTGGTTCTGTTAGTGTTGGGGAAAGAGCTGAGAAGTTCCAGAAAGCTGCCAGGCCAGGCACAGTGACTCACACTTCTAATCCCATCACTTTGGGAGGCTGAGGCCAGCAGATCGCTTTGAGCTCAGGAGTTTGAGACCAGCCTGGGCAACATGGTGATTCCCTGTCTCTACAAAAAAATACAAAAATTAGCCAAGCATTGGTGGCTCGCACCAGTAGTCCCAGCTACTCAGGAGGCTGAGGTAGGAGAATTGCTTAAGCTTGAGAAGCAGAGGCTGCAGTGAGCCGAGATGGTGCCACTGCACTCCAGCCTGGGAGACAGAGTGAGACCCTGTCTCAAAAAAAAAAAAAAAAAAAGTCATCGGACAAAACAAAACAAAACAAATCCCCCAGAGAGGTCTAGGTAAGTGAGGTCCAGGAAAGTGTCTATAAGATTTGACAATAAGAGGCCAGGCGTGGTGGCTCACACCTGTAATCCCAGCACTTTGGGAGGTTGAGGTGGGAAGATCATGGGGTCAAGAGATTGAGACCATCCTGGCCAACATGGTGAAACCCCGTCTCTACAAAAAATACAAAAATTAGTTGGGCATGGTGGTGCGCACCTGTAGTCCCAGCTACTTGGGAGGCTTAGGCAGAAGGATTGCTTGAACCCTGGAGGCGAAGGTTGCAGTGAGCTGAGATCGCACCACTGCACTCCAGCCTGGTGACAGAGCGAGACTCCATCTCAAAAAAAAAAAAAAAAAAAAAAAGATTTGACAATAAGAAAGTCTTTGTCATGGTGGTGAGATTAGGGAGTGTTCCCTGGGGCTGAAATAGGGGACAGAGGATTTAGATTTAGGAAGTCTTCTGGCACCTGTGCTGGAATTCCTGATCTCAACCCTCCTATCGTGCAAGCTCTGAGACTTAGACTCTATTCTGAGGTGTTCTTAGATTCTCTCTAAGGTGCCCTCCCACCCTAATCACAACCTTGGAAAGGAGGGCTTGCCTCCTACCTGTTTTATTTCCATGGAAGACACTGATGGTCAGGTTCTGTGGAGCATCTGAATTCAAAAGATGACACATCCCTCTTCAGTTTTGAGGGTTAGGGGAGCATCCTTTGGTCCCTTCCCCTGCCCAGAATCCAGGACCCCACTCCAAGTATCCCATACCCTGACTCTCTTCCCACAGTCACTGCCCAAAATAACTCAGACTCACAGGAGACATTGAGTTGGATGGTCATCTCTGTGGTCACATGAAACCTTGGGAAAGTCACTTGGAAGGTGATACTGGAGCCGTGGCTCCAGGGAAGTGGGATGATGGTGATCTCTGAGAAGTGAGGGGTCCTAGGGCCCAGGGAGATGACAGTTCCCCATGTCCAGGAAAAGATGAGTGACTTTCTGCTTTTCCAGGCTGCTGACACGTAGCAGGTTCGCAGGATGGCCAGATTCCAGAGTTGCTGGGACTTGGATGTCAGGTGTCTGGGTGAGGGCTGGGAAGGAGAGAGGCAAAGACCTGGGACACAGAGAGGGGACTTCCAGGGTGTGAACTCAGAAGCAGCCTCTGTCCCAGCCCCAGGAATGGCTCCCCCATCTGAGCCCTAGGCTCCTGGACACAGCACGCCTACCTATCACGTTCAAAGACAGTGTCTTTTGCTTGAAGCTGAATTTCACGACAGGACCCCTCTCCAACCGAAATAAATACACTCCGCCATCTTTCCTCCTGGTGTCTCTGATGCTCAGGGAACAGATGTCAGTCTGGGGGTCCCCAAGGAAATTGGAAATGGTCCTAGCTTCTCTTTTGCAGCTTCTAGCTGGGTTTGTTTGTGGCCATGGGAGGATCCCAGTGTTCATTGTCCCCTTGCCGGAACCAGAAGACGTAGGGTGGGTCTGAGTGACTCCATCTGTCACTGGGGTAGGAGAAGGAGCAGGGCACCAGGACATACAGGCCCTCCTGCACCATCACCAGCTCTGGAATCTGCAGCTCATACCCCGCGTGGTCCTCCAGCATTTAGGCTTTGACATTGAGCTCCCGCCAACCCTCCCGCCTCTGCCCAGCCCCCTCACCTCCCCACAGCAGGGACAGCAGTAGCAGCAGAGATGGCATCTCTGAGACTGCAAGGGCTGTTTAGAGCCCCCTTCAGGCCATCTGAGGAGCCCTTCCCAGCAGACACCTGGTATCTATTTTGAGTTTTTGCCTCAAACCCTTCCCTCCAACAGAAACACCCAAACCACTTTTGGGGAAGTGAAGGCTTAGCCCAATTCACCGCAGGGCCAAGGACACCCTAGCAGGGAACTTTGTTCCTTTCGCTTCCCCACTCAGACTTCAGATTATGCCCCCTGAAGCCAATTCTTCACCTTCCCTCAGGAGAGCTGTGGATTTGGGGTCATTTTCCCACCATGCAGGGAAGGAGATGCTGGAAGCTGGGTCCCACCTGGGACTGAATCCTCCTATTCCATGCTCCTCTTCAGATCTGGGCACGTCGGGAGCCTTGGGAAGCCCTGGCTGAGCTCTCGAAGTTCTCTGAGCAGGGAAACCCGTGGTGCTAGGGTTGAAGCCTGGGGGCCATGAATGGAGCCCCTGACTTAGGTGGGATATTTGTTGCTTTCTGATGCTTGTTTGGGTTCAGGAAGGAGCCTGGACTTGCCTCACAGACCTTTCTTGGGTTTCTGTGTGAGCTCTGACTTTGCTGTGGGGCTTTTTTTCTTCCAGAAAGAACCCAGGAAGCATTGCCATTTACTGCTCTCACTGCCCTGAACGCCTGCCCTGAACCCCTGCTCTGCCTACCCCTTGGATTTCTTTCTCTTCGCAGGCTCTTGCAGCAGGTCCTGATGCCCCTCCTTCATGCTTTACCCAGTCCTTCATCTGTCCCCACATCCACTAAGACCGCAGCATCTCCCTTCCTCATCCTGCCTCCTCCCAGCAGACATCTGGCCTATGGGCTGCCTTCCTGAAAACTATCTGGCTTGTGGTTACATGAAGCCAGAGTCCACTTGTGGTTATGAGCACACGATTGTCCTGGGCCACATAATGTGTGTTTAGCTTGATCCTAAATGAGTTTCAACCTAACACCCTCATCTGGCCTCTCCTATCTGAGTCTGGATGTCAGCTACCCATCCGTTTGACAGGTATTGAGCACCTTTGACCTGCCCCAGAAGTGGCATCACATTGACCTAAGAAATGGCATCAAGGACAAAGAAAAATGACCACATCAAGACCCTCCTACACAAGAAGACACGGGATGACAGAGAACCAATTCTGCTACTGATAGTGGAGCTATGGTTTCCAGGACGAGAGTAGATGAAGGGGTTTGCCAGCTGCTATAACAGGATCCAGTAAATGGGCTGGCCCTAAGGGGTGAAAGTGCAGATTCCTCCCTCAACCCCTGAGGAGTCTGACTGGCACTTCTGATATTTGGGGCTCAGGAAGTTAAAAACCATAGAAAATATTAATTCCCCATTCATAATATAATTGGCATGTACTATTCCCATATGTGCAAATTAACTCTTCGCTGTGAACATATGCAACTTGGCATTCCACACTCAACCGGCATAGGGGCAGACTAGGAGTCCCATGGAGCTGATGTTCCCAGGAGCACCCCTCAGCCTATGCTGGTGGATAATACCTGGTGTGGGGGTGAGTGAGAAAGATCCCAGTAGAATAGCCTTTCTCCTCCCCACTCCTTCCTCCACCCATGAAGACTATTCTTTATTCAAGAGAGACATGAAATTGGGGCAGAAGTGTGCTGAGAAATATTTAACAACTGGATTTCCAAAAAATACATATTCATAATAAATTTTACTGATATAAAGTATTTGTAGCACACTGTTGAGCACTCAATTTGTCGCTGTTCGGGGTGCCACTATGTAACTCTCATGGACCTAGGGTAACTGAACAAAGGGAGGTGAACGTAGGAATAAAAGACAAGAGACAAAAGAGCATGTTTGGAAGAAGGGGTCAGGGGGCACCTTGCCTCTAGTGGACAAGGGCCCTGAACTTTACACAGCCCTCTGTATTTATTAGGCAAAAGAGATAGCGAGAAGTGGGGTGGAAGAAGAGGTCAGCTGCTTGGTCCAGAGTAGGCTTGCAAGACTGCATTCTCTAGATGTCCCAGTAGATAACTTCAAGGAGCTCGGCGCCAGGAAGCAATGGCCCTCAGCAAACCTTCTGGCAGTGGGAGTAATTGTGAGTTTGCCCACATCCTGCATTCATGATAAACAGTTTGCTGTTTGATCATATAGCCTCCAGTGGAATGCTGAGTTGGTCACGTCCCACGGGCCTTCATCTCCCTGCAGCACGTAACTTTTAAATAATAATAAAATGTACTATACTTTTTATTGTAAATTCTACATAATCAACTGATTCTCACAGAATGTTTTCACTGATTTTTCTGAACTTTTGCAACTTGAGCTAACTTATAATGGCAATTGATGAACAGTACACTGTGTAGTTATGAATGTTGGTTGATATTTTCATTTACATTAAGGAGTAAGATAAAACAGAAATAATGAGATGTATGGTGGGATTTTATTCTTCTGTCAATGACAGGAGTAAACTCTTTGTTTAATCAGATAAGTTTTGGAATATCTACACTAGAAGAATATTTCTGAATTTTTGTGCTATTTACAGTGTAATGACTGCAGATATTAACATCTTTTAAGTTGCATTATTAATATTTTATTCATCACTATATCAAGCGTAGACAATCAATAAAATGATAAATCAAGACTTGATGGATAGTATTTGCCAATTTCTGCAGTGTAAACACTTCTATCATGACTGACTTCAAGCTACAAATGTGACTCGTGTAAAAATATAATTTCTGATTATTTCCGTAGAAGATATTTTTAGCAGAAACTGGATCACCTTTTCAAGAGAAAGTAATATGTTTGCAAGACAAAGATGAGTATTTACAAACTGCTTTCAAAAATGGCTGTAACAGGCCATGCACAGTGGCTCACACCTGTAATCCTAGCACTTTGGGAGGCCAAGATGGAAGGATTGCTTGAGGCCAGGAGTTTGAGAAAACGGCTGAAACAGTGTCCATTTCCCCAATCTTGAATGAGAGTAACCATTGCCTCTCTCGTTTCAGGAATTATTAATTTTTCCAGTTTTGTTAATTGGCAGTTTGGATAGTCATTCTAGACACAAGAATAAAGGAGATCACACTCCTGATTAAAACCTGTCAGTGACCTTCATTCCTCCAGCCAAAGCCCTCAGCCATTTTCCCACATAAACCCTAAGCAGACTAAGAATCTCATTTTCATAGGCTTGGCCAAAGTTTGTCTTCAGGCCACATGCAATTTCCAAGGGCTCCTCTTCCTTTACTTCTGTGGAAGGTGCAATATCAGAATATGAATGAATCAGAATGATGTTCTTAGAATCTTAATATTGGATCCATTTGAACAGATCAGTAATTGAACTTTGGGAAAACTTCAGCACACTTCCTTAGCATACAATTTCTTGTGATGCGAATCACAACTGTTAATTTGTATTTTGCTTTTGAATCCTATATCTCAGAGTGATGAAGTCTCTTTTTACCAGAGGTCTTAGAATAGGTTTGCTTAAAATGAGATATATGAAAGAAAAGGGTCATTTTAGTCAGTGGGCGAGCATTTATCCTTAGCTATAAATGAAGGTGATAAACAGTTTCATTTCTGTATATAGAATGGTCTGTTCAATACTATATTTTTTGGGTAAAGTTTCTTTTAATGCTCTTGGTTGTTTACTTTCTTTGATTTCCAGGAAAAAAAAAACAGGCACAATTGCTATCAGATATTTTGAGGGCAGGCATCTTGTTGAGATCATTATTTAATAAGGCGTTGAGTCATGAAGGCAGTAGACTGGTTTGAAGTTGGCCAGGATGAGAGTTCTTGGCATAGTTTAAAGCAAAGCATTTGAAATTCTGAAGTCCTCATAAGTTGCAAACAGTTGTCTTTATTTTTTGAAGCACTTTAATTTTGAAGCACTTTTATTTAAGTTTCAAGAACCAGAATTGTTTTTCTTTTTCTTTTTTGACTTTCATCTGCACAAGACTTTTTGTCTTTATTTTTTGAAGGCTTTTAATTTTGAAGCTCTTTATTTAAGTTTCAAGAGCCAGAATTCTCTTTCTTTTTATTTTTCTTTTTTGACTTTCATCTACACAAGATATATGAAGATTCATAGTCAGAAAGTTTTGTCTGTCTTCTTGAGGAATAGCCAACTCCAATCTTAAAAAACTCTTCTAGAATGTCATAATCAAATTTTTAAACTTCTAAAGATTAGAATAGATGAAATAAAAAAGCAACCACAGACTGGAAGAAAAATGTTTGTGATATGTATATCTCTAAAAGACTTATTTTTAGAATATATAAAAAATTTTCACAACACAATAATTTTAAAACACAATGAAAAATGGGTGGAAGATTTGAAGAGTTGCTTCAGCAAAGAGGATAAATGAGTGGCCATTCGGCACTTGAAAAAATGCTTGATCTGGGAAATGCAAATTAAAATTACTATGAGATACCACTATGAGATACTCACTAAAACATATTAAATTAAAAAGACTAACAATACTAAGTATTGATAAGGCAGTGGAGCAACTAGAATTACCATGCATATGATAAAAGATAACTATTAAAACACCAACTCTCACCCTAAATAAGGAAAATTCAGGAGCATTCTCATTTGAATCAGAAACAAGACAAGGATGCCCACTGTCACCACTGTTACTTGACATTATTAAAGAGGTTATAGCCAACAAGGTAAAACCAGAAAAATAAGCAAGAAATGTAAAAATTAGAAACTGAGAAATATTTCCAGTATTTGCAGATGATGTTCAAGTTCCCATAGATTTTAATATCATAATCTAATAATAGAGATAAGTCCCATAACTTTTGCCATATTCTGTTGGTAAGAAGCAAATCTCAGGTTCCGTTTGCACTCAAAGGGATGGATTTGTACAAGGTGTGACTCAGTAGGTGTCACCTTAGGGTATGCCTGCCCCACTAAGAGTATGAGGGCGCAGTTACCCCTCATCCTACAGATATACAGATGTCCCAGTGGAGGGACGCCTTAACTTGCCCTGAACATACACATGCGGGGCTGTTGTACTTAAAGCCTCCTACTTCTATCTCAATTTTCACTCTCTGCATTTTCCTTTTTTTAAATAAAATGTACCAAAGCCGTAGGGTAAATCCTATGACACAGTAAAGAATAGTCTCAGATTTATAAGTGGAGAAAATTCAAAAGTTCTAAGTCCGGGGAATTTCTTAGTAACTCAAACAAAATGTCACACTTTCTCACATAATAAAGATAAGTGTTTTTATTGATTTTACACTATTTGCTTACAGTAAATATATAATTGATGTTTTAAAATAAAAGCAGGTTTCATGCTTCATGTAACAAAGTTAGGTTCAGATACTAATGTGAAAACTCAACTATTCCTGGGAAACCATGTTCAAAAAAATGCTTCATTGGCTAAGCAGTCTTATTTTATTATTCAAATGGACTAAAAATGAGGTATGAAGTAATTAAAAGTAATATGGTGGCTTTAAGTGCAGAGATGGGGTGGCAGAAGCTGTGAACACAGAATGTAAAATCGGTAACTACAAAATGGCACAAACTACGAAAGCAATATATTTAAATTACTATTTTTTAAAAAAGAAGGATCATTTCAGATCTTCACCTTCAGATCCTCACTCAGCCCTGCCTCCTATTTCCCATAATCAGCCATTTTTTTAATTTTATGATTGCTATTACTCACCTTCTAGAATATATTTTTGTTTATTTGATTGAACAACCTCTTCCTGAAAATTCTGCCCAGTTGGGCTGGCTGACATTGATCTCAGTAATTGTGTTTTTTTCCTTTAACTTGATTATATTTTTTTCATTCGCCTCTCTTTAAATGAAGTGTCCCAAGAGCCCTAAATTCTCTCTTCAGGTGGTCGCTTGGTAGGTTACTTCATCAATAGGTTCATCCAGGTATAGAGAGCAATGGTGTAAGGATAACAAAGATACAATTTCTCAGAAAGATAACATTTTCAAAAGTGCTATTAAAGACAGTGAGTTGTTCAGCAATTCAGGAAAAAAAAGTCTTTAAATCAGAGGGAAAAATATAGAGAAAAAGTATTTTTCAGAATACATGTCAGTTTCTCCTAGAAATATATATACACAAGTATTGAATAGGTCCCCTGCCAATGTAGGACCCAAGACTTTTACTCTGTGACATTCCATTTGTCCTTGGCTGTACGGAATAAAAGCCCTTTGACGATGGCGGCCTCCAATATCATAATCCGTATGGGTGCGGCCATGCCGTCCTCCCTACCAAGTTTCTGAAGTTGAATGAACCGCGGAATAAAGGTACGCCGTTATACGCCATGATAACTGTTGGCGGAGCGTAGCTTCAAAAGTGTTAGTGGGCATGCGCGCGGTTCAACAGCGCCTACGGAAATCCTAACGGGAATGTAACCCAAACCGGAAGTGGCCTAGAGCGACCATTTAGCTTCTGTTGTTAAGTGGATCTAAGCCTATGTCGCTTACTGGACGCTGAAGTGATTGGGAATATTAGCAGTGGGGGTTCTGTAGGGTCAGGAAGGGGCGGCTGGCTTTGGGGGAGTGATGAGGGGCTTGTTGGGGGTGGGGGTGCGTGATAAAGGGATTTCTCGGCTGAAGACGAGGCTGTGAGGTGAGTGACGGGCTTGTTTTGGCTGAGCGATGAGGGGTTTCTGGGGTGGGTGATGGGTGCTGTGGGGTAAGTGGCGTTTGCTAATTTTAGTTGGATAATTAGCCTGTTAATTTTCCCTCTTTTCTTGCTTATTTTCTGCTTGTAGTATTTTTGTGACTTAAATTCCAAGTGTACTTTAATATCGGATTTTATATTGGTCCACGAAACTTGCTAACTTGAGGACAGTGAACGTGCATCTTAAGAGCGCCTTTGCGGATGGTGCTGGAGGACGTTCAGGGAAGGGATTCACTGTCCGTGGGACTAGGGGAGTCAGTGATTGATTGGCAGCCAAGAGCTTCAGAGGTTGGAGGACTTTGAGGATCACACTGTAACACTCTCAGGGGACCAGTGATGGGCAACCTATAGGAATCAGTAGAGTGGGGTTGCCAGGGGTAGCCTATGGCAGCCAGTTGACTGGAGGCGTAGGGGGTCAATGATGGGGATTTGTGAGGGTGAATGCATTGCTTTCTAGGCAGTGAGTGTTGGGGTCCTTCAGGGATTGGTGGGTGGGTCAGTGTTGGCCTCTTCTTGGGTCCCTTGGACATGGTAAGGATCAGTAATTGACAGTTGAGCACATCGATGATGGTTTCCTATTGGGGCATTTCATTTGGACCCCTATGTTGGGGATTATTTGTCGTTTTATGGAAACCAGAAAATTGTGCTCGCTGGGAAACATTTCTTGGCTATCAGGGCAGTAAAGATTTCAGAAGCCTGTGCCATGTCAGTGACTGGGAGGCATTTTGGAACTTTCTGGCAGCCCTGTAGTACACTCATTGGGGATTTCTGAAAGTCAGTCCTGTCAGTGATTGCATTCAGGTGCGGTGGGGGCAACTTATTGTGGACAGGCAAGAAATGGTAACTGGAGGCCCTGATGCATGTCTGCAAATTTTCTGTGTCAAGATGGGGATTGGGACAGTGATTTTAAGTTTTAGCTCTAGTCAGAAGAGGCTGGTCTGTGTGTGGTGTATTATGGACGGGGACTGAAAAGTCCAGAAGCTCAGAATAGGTACACCAGACAGAGCCACCTCCCGGCCTGAGTTCTATGAAGGCAACAGAAAGAGGAAATGGTGTTTCTGGAAGCTGGCCACGTATGGGTACATGAGATAGTGGAGACAGTGTACAGTTTAGAACAAGGCAGATGTGGGGCTGATTCCCTGTTTTTCCATTTACAGACTGAGTAACCTTCAGGCAAATTATGTAACAGCACACAGCCTCATTATCCTCATCCTCAAAATGGGTATGATAATGCCCATGATATTTAGCTGACAATTAAATTGACAACTTTCTTTTTTTAATTCATATTTATCACGTGCCAGGCAGGCACTGAGGACTTGACAAGCTTCATCTTGGTTAAGTTTCCCAACATCTGTGATAAATACCTGCATTTTCATTTTGGAAACTACAACTAAAGTAATATTTTCATATTCTCACAGTGAAAATGTGGCAAAGCTGCAATGAATTCACCATTTAGTCCAGACTCAGTCTTTATTTTTAACCCTGACTAATAACTAGAGTTGGGCTTTCTGAACTTTGTCTACTCCAATGTCTGACACAGTGACTTCACCTCAGTGCCCTCAGGAAATATTTGTGGAGTGAATGTTGAATGAGTGACCATGTACTCATTGCTTTTCCAAGGCTTCTGCAGAACCCCCAGGTCAGGCCACATCATTGAGGCTGCAGGATCTCTCTTCATAGCCCAGTACGACTCTCCGCCGTGTCCCTGGTTGGAAAATCCAAACACCTATCCAGCTTCTGGCTCCTGGGAAAAGTGGAGTTGTCAGCAAGAGAGACCGAGAGTAGAAGCCCAGAGTGGAGATGCCTGCTGATGTGAATTTATCCCAGAAGCCTCAGGTCCTGGGTCCAGAGAAGCAGGATGGATCTTGCGAGGTAAACAGGGGCAGCCCTGGGGATAGTTCTCCAGAACGTGAGGGCAGACACAGGATGCAGCAGGTCTGGGCTCCCTGCTCCTGAGTCAGTCTTGAGCCTCCTGTCAAGCGAGGACCACAGAGGCTGATGTTTCCACATTCATAGGCTATCTGTGTTCTAGAGGAAACCATGAACTGGCTGATAAAAGAGGATAGTAGAGGGTTGGCCTTGGGTCAAGAAAGAAGAAACTGTAGTCCCTGGTCTGATCAGAAGCCCCAGTCATAGGATGGAAAAGCTGACTCTTTCCTGCTAAGCACTGGTTCTGCTCCTTCATCCACCACTGGGTCTTTGAAAAATTTCAAGTGGTCCCCCCCACCAAATTCCTTGCTTGGTCCATGGGGTTTGGCCCGTTTTTCCTCTGTTCTCATAAGGTGCGGCAAAATCTCCTTCCTTTGTAATTTAAATAGTCACAGGGAGGTAGAGTGAGAAGAGGCTTTTAAGGACCATGTGAAGAGGCTTTTAAACACTTTTTCCTGTTTAAAAAGGTGAACAAAAAATGCTGGAAAACAGTGTTTCCAGATTGCCCACAGATAGAAATAGTCAGGATTTGGTAACAAGAAATCAGAATTCTTGGTATAGTCAAGATTTCCTGAAATCCTAAATTATTCTGTGTATCTCTTGATGCTTTATTTACAAGTCTTTAAATAGTATGTGACTATAATAGTAAACAGTGTACCATTGTTCTGTGATGGGTTTATAACCAAATTTACAGAGATGTTCTGTTTTTTAAAAAAAGTATAATAAATATGTGTGTTATTATCCTGAACCAATATATTGTGAGATTATATATTTCAGTAACCTGTTAAAATCATCTCAACCTGCTAGAAACATTTGATAATAGAAAGTATTAAAAGAAGGGAACATTAACACAAAATAAATTGCACATATAAATCATTTTCAAAATTGTAAATACCCCAAATATTTAAAAGTCGTTCTTAAAAGAAAAATTGAAACATACAAGTTTAGGTGGGGCACAGTGGCTCATGCACTTTGGGAGGCCGAGGCGGGCGGATCACTTGAGCCCAGGAGTTGGAGACCAGCCTGGGCAACATGGCGAGACTCTACAAAAATACAAAAATTAGCCAGGTGTGGTGGCATGCACCTGTAGTCCCAGCTACTGAGTACGTTGACGTGGGAGGATCACCTGAGCTTGAGGCGGTCAAGGTTGCAGTGAGCTGCAATCATGACACTACACTCCAGCCTGGGCAATAGAGTGAGACCCTGTCTCAAAACAAAACAAGTTTAAAACATGAAATTGTCTAAGTCTTTGTGACAGCAGTGCAGATGCACAAACGTTTCTCTCATTTGCATTGATGTTGGTCAACTTGCGTGTTCAGAACATCTTCAAGTTTAGCGTTTTAGGACACATGTTCAATATAAGCTTTTTTCCTTTTTTAACAATGAAATTTTTTTTCTGCTTGACCTGATTTCCAGTTTATCATTTGAATCAATACTGCTGTCGCTAATTCAGATTTTCCATCAGTGTCTGAATTCATGTCAGAGTATATCCCAGTACCATGCACATTATCTTCTCTTTGTGGTGTGTATTTCCCTCTGCTCTGGACAGTACTATTTTTATTTTGTTATTTTTATCTTTTCTAATGTGATGGAAATAAAGATAGTATAGTGTTTTAATTTGCATTACTTTGTTTACAAACAGGCTTTTTTTTCATAATTTTATTGGTCAATTACTTGTCTTTAGTGAGTTACTTTTTCTTACCTTTTGATTTATATTTTGGTTTGGTTTAGCCTCCGGATTTTTAGAGAGGTTTTTTTTTTTTTTTTTTTTTTTTTGAGACGGAGTCTCGCTCTGAAGCGCAGGCTGGAGTGCAGTGGCGCAATCTCTGCTCACTGCAAGCTGCACCTCCCGGGTTAACGCCGTTCTCCTGCCTTAGCCTCCTGAATAGCTGGGAGTACAGGCGCCTGACAGCACTGCTGGCTAATTTTTTTGTATTTTTAGTAGAGATGAGGTTTCACCATGTTAGCCAAGATGGTCTTGATCTCCTGACCTCGTGATCCGCCTGCCTCAGTGTCCCAAGAGAGTTCTTACACAGTAATAACCTAAGGTCCTTTTTGCATATGTTTGTAAATACTTTTTGTTACTTTTTCCTTTGAAAGTAGGTTTTAGTTTTGTTTGAACATAGGAAAGAGGATCAGATGGTTTTGTGAAGCCTGTAATCTTTTAAAAGGGCTGTCACTTGCTATATTTTTACCAAAGTTCCAGCTCCTCCCAGGCAATCACATTTTACATTTTTAGCTAATTATTTTGGCATTTACCTCCTAATCTTTTAGTGACATGCTTATATTGCTGCCTCTTGGATTGTTAATTAACACGTTAATTAATTAAGAAACATGTCATTAAAAGGTTTGCTTTTACCCGCTTCCTCATACTTTCACCCCCAACACCTGCTTTCCTTGCCCATCCTTCTCTAGAACTGGTTCAGATTCTGATCAGGTCAATCTTCCTTGTTTGTGATTATGACTGTGTAAACTATATTCAGAGCTGCCTGTATAGACACCCTGATAACTCTCTGCCTGCATAACTTACGGTTTTTCCCTGGAGCACACAATTTTATGGATTATTTACTTGCCTATATACATGTTAATGTATTATACCATTTTCTCCAAGTGTGTACACACTGTCTTCATAAATTGAATTTGTTACTAGGTAATTGCAAACCCTCGCTATTTCAGGGACAGTTTTTTTTTTTGTTTTTTTTTTTTTTTGAGACAGAGTTTCGCTCTTGTCTCCCAGGCTGGAGTGCAATGGCGCGATCTTGGCTCACTGCAACCTCTCCTCCTGGGTTCAAGCCATTCTCCTGCCTCACTCTCCTGAGTAGCTGGGATTACAGGCACTTGCCACCACGCCTGGCTAATTTTTATATTTTTAGTAGAAACAGGGTTTCACCATGTTGGGCAGGCTGGTCTCAAACTCCTGACTTCAGGTGATCCGCCAGCCTCGGCCTCCCAAAGTGCTGGGATTACAGGCATGAGCCACCACACCCGGCCTTCAGGAACAGTTTTAATCCTCATAACTTTGCGAGGTACTGCTGCCATTATCCCCCCTTTACAGACAAGAAGACTGAGGCACAGAATGAAATAAGTGGCTCAAGTTTACATAGTCAGCAAGCAGCCAGCCTGGGATTGAAGGCAGGCAGTTTGCTTGAGGGTTGGGGCTGTCAATGCCATCTCCTTGAGGAAACCTTTCCTATTGCTTTTTTGTCTTGATGCGATTGGACCTGGCTGTTCTCCTGGCGCCTCACGCTGTCTTCTCATGGTGCTGTGTTCACCATCACCTGGGAATTCTTTTTTTCTCTGTCAAGTGTCCAGTTCCTTGTGTCTTGAATCCTTTCTTGAATCCTTTGGCTTTCTCTTCCACGGTTTACCGTTACTCTCATTTCGTGAAAGTGCATCCCCTAGGAGTTCTTGGGGACGGTACACGGCAGTAAATCCTGTGAGAACTTATCTGAACATGTCTGTTCAGATAACGGAGACTAAACTTAAGAATAGGAGAATCACTTGACCCAGGAGGTTGAGGCTGCAGTGAGCTGTGATGGCACCACTGCACTCCATCCTGGGTGACAGAGTGACATCCTGTCTCAAAAAACAAAAACGAAAACAAAAGACCTGAGAGGTTTACATATATGAGCATGACATGAAAGTGAAATGATATGAAAATGAATGATATGAAAATGTCACGCCAAAAAGCAAAGATCATATATTTGCATATTTAATAGAAAGATGTCACGGAAAATGACTTGATTTACCCTCACACTAAGTTGATCTTTGCCTGGGTTCATAGGTTGGAAATCATTTTTTTCTTCCTAAAACACCCCATATACTACTTCCTTACCACACACATATAGTCTCTCTGCTCTCAAATCCTGAAACTCTTTATTTTTAAGCTGTTAGTCTCCATTTAAAAGGGTTTTTATGCTCTGTCATTTTCTATTTCTTTGGTTTTGGACCCTCTTTCTGGAAGAATTTCTCAACTTTATTTTCTAGCCCTCCGATAATCATTACTGCCTTAAAAAATTTTTAAGAGCTTTTAGATATGAATACTCCTTTTAATGACATGATGTTTTTGTTTAATGATTGAACTATCTTACCTAAGGATATTTGAGATATTTTAAAATGTAATTTTATGAATAGATAATACACAGCATTCACAAATTAAAACATCATGAAAAGTAATTTTTTTACAAAATACTCCTTTCTCTCTCTTTTTTTTTTTTTTTTTTGAGATGGAGTCTCACTCTGTCGCCCAGGCTGGAGTGCAGTGGCACGATCTTGGCTCACTGCAAGCTCCGCCTCCCGGGTTCACGCCATTCTCCTGCTTCAGCCTCCCGAGTAGCTGGGACTAAAGGCGCCCGCCACCACACCAAGCTAATTTTTTGTATTTTTAGTAGAGATGGGGTTTCACCGTGTTAGCCAGGATGGTCTCAATCTCCTGACCTCGTGATCCGCCCGCCTTGGCCTCCCAAAGTGCTGGGATTACAGGCGTGAGCCACCGCACCTGGCATACCCCTCTCTCTTTTGTCCCTGATTTGTCCAGGTTTCTTCCACATAGGTAATTATAGTTAGTCATCTGCCTTTACCTCCCAAACACTACCACTTTCTTCCAAAGTTAACTACTTTCGTCACTTTTAAGTTAATTACTTCATTTTAAAAAACGAGGCCGGATGCAGTGGCTCACGCCTGTAATCCCAGCACTTTGGGAGGCCGAGGCGGGCTGATCACGAGGTCAGGAGTTTGAGACCAGCCTGGCCAACATGGTGAAACCCCATCTCTACTAAAAAAATACAAAAAATTAGCCAGGCATGGTGGCGGGTGCCTGTAATTCCAGCTACTTGGGAGGCTGAGGCAGGAGAATCGCCTGAACCCGGGAGGTGGAGGTTGCAGTGATCCAAGATCATGCCATTGCATTCCAGCCTGGGCAACAAGAGTGAAACTCCATCTCAAAAAAAAAGAAGCAAGCCCCAGAATGGGAAAAGATTCTTGTTACACATACAGCTGACAAAAGGTTCCTATAAAACGTTGAGGACGGCTGGGCGTGGTGGCTTATGCCTATAACCCCAGCACATTGGGAGGCCAAGATGGGAGGATTGCTTGAGCCCAGGAGTTTGAGACGATCCTGAGCGTCATAGGGAGACCCCATCTTTACAAAAAATAGAAAAATTAGCTAGGTGTGGTGGTGTGTGCCTGTGATCCCAGCTACTCAGGAGGCTGACACGGGAGAATCACTTGAGCCCGGAGGTCGAGGCTGCAGTGAGCTGTGATTGCACCACTGCATTCCATCCTGGGTGACAGAGTGACATCCTGTCTCAAAAAACAAAAACAAAAGACCTGAGAGGTTTACAGGACAATGAGATACTCCTTCAGAAACACAGAAATGGCCACGTGCAGTGGCTCACACCTGTAATCCCAAAACTTTGGGAGGCCAAGGTGGGTGGATCGTGTGAGCTCATGAGTTTGAGACCAGCATGGGCAACATGCTGAAACCCCATCTCTACAAAAAATACAAAAATTAAGGCTGAGTGTGGTGACTCACACCTGTAATCTCAGAACTTTGGGAGGCAGAGATGGGCCGATCACTTGAGGCCAGAGTTTAAGACCAGCCTGGCCAACATAATGAAACCCCGTGTCTACTAAAAATACAAAAATTAGCCAGGCATGTTGGCAGGCACCTGTAATCCCAGCTACTTGGGAGGCTGAGGCAGGAGAATCGCTTGAACCCAGGAGTCAGAGGCTGCAGTGAGCCAAGAGCATGCCAGTGCACTCCAGCCTTAGTGACAGAGTAGACTCCATCTCAAAAAAAAAAAAAAAAAAAAAAAGCTGGACATGGTAGTGCACGCCTGTGGTCCCAGCTACTTGGGAAGCTGAGGCAGGAGGATCGCTTGAGTCTGAGAGGCAGAGGCTGCAGTGAGCCATGCTCGTGCCACTGCAATCCAGCTTGGGCAACAGAGTGAGATTCTATCTCCCAAAAAAAATTTTTTTTTTTTGAGGAAAAGTGTTTTTTAACCCAGTAGAAAACTGAAGAAGAGACTTGCTTGAATAGGCTGGTAAACATGGGAAGATGCTCAGCTTCATTAGTCATCTGGGAATTGCCAGTGTAACTCCCATGCCTGTACCAAAATGCATACAGTTACCAACACTGATAATACCAAATGTAGGTGAGGATACAGAGCAACCAGAAGGATTTTGTGTGCTGCTGGTAAGCATATAAATTGGTACAACCAATTTGGAAAATGATTTCTAATTTTCTACTAAAGGCGAGCATGTTTTTCCCATGACCCAGAATTCCACCCCTGGGTATATGCCCAACATCTGTTCTGAACTGGTATTTAAATGTAGACCTGTGCTGTCCAGTATGGTAGCCACTCACCACATGTAGCTATTGAGCACTTGAATGCGGCTGGTTCACCCTGAGATGTGCTTGAAGTATAAAATATATGCTGACTTCTGAAAACTTAGTATGAAAACAGAATGTAAAGCATCTCATCTCGATGATTTTTAAAATATTGAATATAGAATATTCAATATATAGAATATAGAATGTTTTAATATATGTAATATTAAAATATTACATATAGAAATGATAATGTTTTGAATATAATGGATTAAGTAAAAATATCATTAAATTGATTTTATCTGTCTTTTAAACATGGCTACTAGACAATTTTAAGTTATATGTGTGGCTCACATTCACGGTTCATGTTTTATTTCCATTGGATGGCTCTCCTCTAGAGGCTTGATCAGAGTCCACTTGGATTTCTTTGTTTTTGGAAATGATACTTAATAGTTTGCACACCACGTATTTTCCTACCTCTCTACTTTTATTTTTTTATTTTGCATCATATTAGGTGCACTTTAATATCTGGTTATCTCTCTCCTTGTGATAAAATTGATGATTGGGTTCAGATATTGTCAGCCTACTCCTCCATTATAAAGACCCATCAGTCTTTCATATGGTTTTAGCAGTCATTGGTGATCAGTAACAGTGACATTTTTGTTTTGTCCTTCAGGCTGCATTTATCATCTGCAGTACTTCTGTAATGAAGATCTTTCCATCATCAGTCCTTTCATTAACCTAATATTAGTTATTACAGGAGAGATCATCTTGTTGAAATATTATATGATCATATCTCTTCCCTGCACTTAAAATCCTGAAATGGCAGTCCGTTCATTAAAATAAATAATCCATACCCATTATATATTGAGGCACCAGCCCACTTCTTTGGAGCTTGGATGGTAACCACCTTCCAAACATGACATAGTCGCCTCTTATCTTACACAGAGCTGTCTGCTTCTCCCTGAATTCACAGTGTTTTCCTACCTCTCTAGTTTTATTCATGCTCTTTTCTGGAAAATGATTTCCTTCACACATCCTGCATCACAGTTCTTACTTCCAGCGTAAGCTTCACCAACTCTAAGTAGCATTACCTTCTACTCCTAGGTAGAATTTGCCTTTCCCTAATTTGCCCTTCCCCAACAGTGTCCTCTGCATATATTTCTACCATGTTCCCTTTTTAACCCTGTAGTTGAGCTTTTGTATTTACATGTCTTCCAAGTCTCTGAGTTGCTGCAAGAGTAGAAGCTTATGTAATTCTGTGTTGAGCACCAGAACCCAGCTCAACTACAGCCTCACATGTAGTTGCTTCGTCAACATCATGCTGGTTATTCCTAAATTAGCTAAAGGACTTAGAGGGAACCCATTTCTGGCCTCATTTTTGAAAAAAAAAAATGAATGAATGAATGTAGGTGTACAGTGGATGGAGGATATTTCTCTTATTTTTTTTTAAATCCCTAAAAATGTGAAATAGGTGTTTGGTGGGAAGCCTCTGTGATGGATCGTGGTGAAAATCATTAAAAGCATGTTCCTCCTATATGTGCCATCCCCACTCGCCAATGATGACCTAATTCACAGTGAGCTGGGGTACACTGTTACAGGCATCAGTGTCATTTGAGGACGTGACCGTGGACTTCAGCAGGGAGGAGTGGCAGCAACTGGACCCTGCCCAGAGATGCCTGTACCGGGATGTGATGCTGGAGCTCTATAGCCATCTCTTCGCAGTGGGTGAGCACAACTGACCTGGGAATCTTGGCTGGATCCTGTTGAGGAGATTTCCTTCCTCCTCATTGCAGAACGCAGTGGGATATCAAAGTATGTCATGACTCTTTTATCGGTTTGTCCTGGATTGTTTGTTTCTTTTGGGCACCTTCTAGTATTATTTTGTGCCCAGTGGAAAATGTTGACTTTTCTAATGAGCCAGTGTAAAGCTTCATTGAATGGCCTCTAAAACTGAAGAAGCTACACCCAAATCCAGTATCCTTTCTAATTAACAGGGTATCACATTCCCAACCCAGAGGTCATCTTCAGAATGCTAAAAGAAAAGGAGCCGCGTGTGGAGGAGGCTGAAGTCTCACATCAGAGGTGTCAAGGTGAGTAAGTTGTACCCGGGCAAATGTAGATATCTTTGCAGGGAACCATTACCAGTCTACCATACTTTTCTATTCCCTCCATTCCCCCAGTGATGGCCCGTAGATTGCCTCCTACTCCCAGTTTCCCATCAAACACTGTAAATGTGCTATAAATGTTAAATGTCCTATAGGGGCTGCCTTAAGAATTTTCCATTGGTGAATACTCAGGAATGGGATTGCCTGGTCCTGGAGATAAGTATACTTGACTAAATCAACCATATTGCTCTTCTGATGGGCTGCACCAGTTCACACTCCCCATGTGCAGTGCACAAGGATTTGCATTTGCACATCTTGCTTGCTAACACTTGGCATTAACAAAATTGGTGAATTTATAGCCCTACTGATAGGTGAAAGGGCTGTTTCATTTTTTTTTGTTTTTGGTTTTGGTTTTTTTGAGACAGAGTCTCACTCTGTCACCTAGGCTAGGGTGCAGTGGCACGATCTTGGCTTACTGCAACCTCTGCCTCCTGGGTTCAAGTGATTCTCCTGCCTCAGCCTCCCGAGTAGCTGGGACTACAGGCACCCGCCACCACACTCGGCTAATTTTTTGTATTTTTAGTAGAGACAGGGTTTCACCCTGTTAGCCAGGATGGTCTCGATCTCCTGACCTTGTGATCTGCCCACCTCGGCCTCCCAAAGTGCTGGAATTATAGGCGTGAGCCACCGCACCCAGCCTGTTTCATTGCTTAAGTGTTATTTTTCTAATAACTGAATGGTGAGAGCCTCTCATCTTATCTGTTATCTGATTGGCTTTTTCATTTGTTTGTTGCATTTTCTTACCGCTTATCTCTTTACGTCCATGGAGTTTTCTGCCTTTTTTTTCCAGTTTTTTTGCCCCTAATTTTATTTATTTTCTTTTCTTTGCTGGATCTGCTGTCTTCTTTTCCTCCCAGTTGTGGCACCTCTAGCTTGGGGCCCTGTTCTTCCATATGGGCATCTTTTCTTTTTTTTGAGGCAGAGTTTCACTCTTGTTGCCCAGGCTGGAGTGCAATGGCACGATCTTGGCTCACCGCAACCTCCGCCTCCCAGGTTTGAGTGATTCTCCTGCCTCAGCCTCCCAAGTAGCTGTGATTACAGGCATGCACCACCATGCCCGGCTAATTTTGTATTTCTAGTAGAGACGGGGTTTCTCCTTGTTGGTCAGGCTGGTCTCGAACTCCCGACCTCAGGTGTTCCGCCTGGCTTGGCCTCCCAAAGTGCTGAGATTACAGGCGTGAGCCACCGTGCCCGGCTATGGGCATCTTTTCCCACAGGAATTGACTTAAAGGACCCATCCATTCTGAACTCTTAGTCCTCATATTTTTATTCTAATGATTTATATATCAGTACCTCTAGTCCCTGTGCTTAAACTGTGTTCTGCTACCTTACTTAGCTCCACGGAGGACAGTTCCCATGAGATGACTCACTTCCTTAATTTTGGGAGATCAGAAATTGGAATCATCATCATCCAAATAAGGAATTCTCACCTGATAAATTTTGTGAGATTTTTCTGTTTCTGGGCTCAGAAACACAGTCCTCTAATTTAATTTATTACTTTGGAATTCTTACCAGTTTTTCTTGTTTTAATTAAGAAAAAAGTGACCCTTTTTCTTAATCCCAGTGGTATTACAACAAACTAGATCCCCATTTTCTCATATTTAGACAATTTTGTTCCCAGTGAGATATGTTGATTTCAGGTTTTTGAGTTTAGTCAAGATACTGACAGATTTTATGACCCCAAACATGGCTATTTTGTTTCTTTTTTCCTCAGTAGATATGATAAAAACAGGCAGTTCTATTTCCTACTGTGTAGGATTAACAAATTCTTTTCAGTGATATTGTCCTCATGGCCACATATTTCCAATTTAAAAATATACCTGAATAGTTTTCATCACTCATGCTCTGCTCCATTGTTTTTGTATGTTGTTTAATGTCTACTCCATAGAATGATTCACTTTGCATACACTCTGCTGATTACTTTGTACTTTCTTAATCTTCATTATATCAATGTTTAGCATGAGGAAACCATTGTATTTAAGATATAGGATTAGGATTTTTGTATTTAGGATACAGAAATTACTGATTTTCTGAAAATGGGCAGAAAAGAATATTTCACAGTATTTTAAAAGGATGCTTTAAATATTTGCTGAGATAAATTCAAAAGAACGGAGATTGTATTTGGATGGAGAGGACAATGGCATTAAATGTTAAAAGTATTAGCCTTTGTGCATCAATCATGTCTATTTCATGGAAGGCTACTCAAAAAGTAAGTGTATCAACATGGGAAGCATGGATAGCAAATGCTGGTGAAGTTCAGAAAAATGATGTCAGCCTAGAGGTGGAGTGACATTGGGAATTAATTTTAAGGGCATAGTACCTATAACTGGTTCAAGAAGCCATTTTGAATTGAAACAAAGAAGCAGATGAAGCAAGCTTAATGGGAATAGAGGACATGAGAGTGTGCTTGGATTTGAGAATAAATTGGACTTCTTTTTTGCAATCGACATTGTTAGGCTGTGTTGGAGAGTTGTGGAAAAGCTTTTCAGTACAGTTCTGATAGTTTACATTGAACATTTTGGGCAGTAATTTAAGTGTTACCAGGTTCAGCAAGATTTTTATGACCTGAATAAAGTGAGAAGTTAAAAATGTTTCAGATCGCTGCCTGGGGACACAGTGGAAGATTGCCAGAATAAATGACCACCTGTATATGGGTAAAATTGCTATTTAAGAGTGAAAAATGAAATAGAAAACAACCTATTTTAATAAGTGGGAAAAGGATGTGAATAGACATGTCTTCAAAGATGATATACAAGTGGCCAATAATAGGAAAAAATGCTCAACTTCACTAATTATGTGGGAAATGCAAATCAAAACCACTGGGTGATATCCCTTTACATCCATTAGAATGGCTACAATTAAAAAAACAGAATAACAAGTGTTGGCAAGGATATAGAGAAACTGGAATCCTTGTGTATTACTAGTGGGAATGTAAAATGGTGTAGTCCTATGGAAAACAGGATGATGATTTCTCAAAAATTAAACATAAAATTACCATATGATCCAGCAACTCCACTTCTGGGTAGATACCCACAAGAATTGAAAGCAAGGACCCAAACAGCTGTTTGTACACTCTTGTTCATAGCAGCACTATTCACAATATCCAAAAAGTGGAATTGTCCATTGACCAATGAATTGGTAAACAAAATGTGGTCTATACATACAATGAAATATTATTCAGCCTTAAAAAGGAAGAGGAATTATGAAACATGTTGCAGTGCGGATGAATCTTATCATGATGCTAAGTGAATAAGCCAGACACAAAAAATCCAAATGTATCATTCTACCTGTATGAGGTACTTTAAGTAGTCAATTCATAGAGACAGAATAAGATTGTGGCTGCCAGAGAATGAGGGATGGGGGAAAAGGGAAATTGTTTAATGGATACAGCATTTCAGTTTTGCAAGATGTAAAAGTTTTGGAGATCCATTGCACAACAGGGTGAATACAGGTAGCACTACTGAACTGTACAATACAAAATGGGCAAGATGGTAAATGTAATATTATGCACTTTTGCTACAATAAGAAAAAGTTAACAATAAAGATTAAAAGTGTCCTTTTTTTAAAAAAAGAATGAAAGATGATTGAGTTTTTTTGATAGGACAAGAGTCTGGGATACAGTTTAAGTGACTGAAAGCGAAAAGAAACTACATGTGATGTTCATACTCAGTATTAAAATCTGGTAGAAAAAGTAATAGTAAAATTTAGTAACTATTATTTTTATTGAGAACCTGCTGTGTTTTGTGCAGTATACTAGTAAAGTGCACAGGATGATCAGGGACTCTTATTCTTGGCAAAAAAACAAAACAAAACAAAAAACTAAACTAAAAAAGGCATATTTGATAGCATAAAGCCAAAAGTTCTAACAAAGAACAATTAATTTCAATGGAACAAGGGTGAAACAAATTCTGGGGAACAGCTTGCTTGTCCAGTCTTTTAGAATATATTTCTGGGGATATGGGTATATTCCTAAGTTCAAGAAAAAAAAATTGTAGCTTCATGGAGAGTTGAGGCATAGGAGAGTTGAGGCATAGTCATTCTTTCACTGGTTGGCCATGTCAAGATAGGTGAAGCTTTAATAGTTTTCAGAAGGATATACAGGGCTGATGGACTTGGCATTGTTTCTAACAAGTAAGATAAAGCAGGCAGATTGGTGAGGATTCATCTCTGAAAGTTAATGAAGACCTACACACTGAGCCCCCTCCTTCAAGCCTTGGCTGCCCACACATGTTGCCCTGCAACACTTGTCTGTTTTATCCTACTCATCCTACTAGATCTGGGTGTCTAGACCACTTGCATAAGTGTCCTCAGGTTGTTGAAATCTAATCCCCACAGATTAGCAAAGTGATCTTGGCCAATTACATAACCATTATGTGCTTCCTTTTCTTTGTAAAACAGGAACACCCATCATCGCTACCTCCTGAGGTTATTATGCAGATTAAATGAGTATGTGTGCACCATGTAGGCCACTGCCTGGCACATGCTAAGTGCTATGTAGATAAATGCTCATCATGTAATAAGGGCTCTGTGTTTCTGCTCATTGTCAGCATCATTAGCAGCATTATTACATGACTCAGCAATTTCCTTGTGTTCTGTGTCAATCAGCTTCATGCAGTTTCTCCTCTTTCTTGTTCATTGTGTCTATTTCATCTTCTCTTTCTCCTTTTAGAAAGGGAGTTTGGGCTTGAAATCCCACAAAAGGAGATTTCTAAGAAAGCTTCATTTCAAAAGGATATGGTAGGTGAGTTCACAAGAGATGGTTCATGGTGTTCCATTTTAGAAGAACTGAGGCTGGATGCTGACCGCACAAAGAAAGATGAGCAAAATCAAATTCAACCCATGAGTCACAGTGCTTTCTTCAACAAGAAAACATTGAACACAGAAAGCAATTGTGAATATAAGGACCCTGGGAAAATGATTCGCACGAGGCCCCACCTTGCTTCTTCACAGAAACAACCTCAGAAATGTTGCTTATTTACAGAAAGTTTGAAGCTGAACCTAGAAGTGAACGGTCAGAATGAAAGCAATGACACAGAACAGCTTGATGACGTTGTTGGGTCTGGTCAGCTATTCAGCCATAGCTCTTCTGATGCCTGCAGCAAGAATATTCATACAGGAGAGACATTTTGCAAAGGTAACCAGTGTAGAAAAGTCTGTGGCCATAAACAGTCACTCAAGCAACATCAAATTCATACTCAGAAGAAACCAGATGGATGTTCTGAATGTGGGGGGAGCTTCACCCAGAAGTCACACCTCTTTGCCCAACAGAGAATTCATAGTGTAGGAAACCTCCATGAATGTGGCAAATGTGGAAAAGCCTTCATGCCACAACTAAAACTCAGTGTATATCTGACAGATCATACAGGTGATATACCCTGTATATGCAAGGAATGTGGGAAGGTCTTTATTCAGAGATCAGAATTGCTTACGCACCAGAAAACACACACTAGAAAGAAGCCCTATAAATGCCATGACTGTGGAAAAGCCTTTTTCCAGATGTTATCTCTCTTCAGACATCAGAGAACTCACAGTAGAGAAAAACTCTATGAATGCAGTGAATGTGGCAAAGGCTTCTCCCAAAACTCAACCCTCATTATACATCAGAAAATTCATACTGGTGAGAGACAGTATGCATGCAGTGAATGTGGGAAAGCCTTTACCCAGAAGTCAACACTCAGCTTGCACCAGAGAATCCACTCAGGGCAGAAGTCCTATGTGTGTATCGAATGCGGGCAGGCCTTCATCCAGAAGGCACACCTGATTGTCCATCAAAGAAGCCACACAGGAGAAAAACCTTATCAGTGCCACAACTGTGGGAAATCCTTCATTTCCAAGTCACAGCTTGATATACATCATCGAATTCATACAGGGGAGAAACCTTATGAATGCAGTGACTGTGGAAAAACCTTCACCCAAAAGTCACACCTGAATATACACCAGAAAATTCATACTGGAGAAAGACACCATGTATGCAGTGAATGCGGGAAAGCCTTCAACCAGAAGTCAATACTCAGCATGCATCAGAGAATTCACACCGGAGAGAAGCCTTACAAATGCAGTGAATGTGGGAAAGCCTTCACTTCTAAGTCTCAATTCAAAGAGCATCAGCGAATTCACACGGGTGAGAAACCCTATGTGTGCACTGAATGTGGGAAGGCCTTCAACGGCAGGTCAAATTTCCATAAACATCAAATAACTCACACTAGAGAGAGGCCTTTTGTCTGTTACAAATGTGGGAAGGCTTTTGTCCAGAAATCAGAGTTGATTACCCATCAAAGAACTCACATGGGAGAGAAACCCTATGAATGCCTTGACTGTGGGAAATCGTTCAGTAAGAAACCACAACTCAAGGTGCATCAGCGAATTCACACGGGAGAAAGACCTTATGTGTGTTCTGAATGTGGAAAGGCCTTCAACAACAGGTCAAACTTCAATAAACACCAAACAACTCATACCAGAGACAAATCTTACAAATGCAGTTATTCTGTGAAAGGCTTTACCAAGCAATGAATTCCTAGTGCATCAGCATATTCATAAATGAAATATACTCCGAGTTTCTTGAAGAAGAGAAAATCTTCTCAGAATCAGGTCTAATTATATGTTATTGAATTCATGCTTCAGAAAAACTCTAGGGATGCACTGCATGTGTGAACACATGATAAAAAAGTCATGCTTTATTTTAGTGAGGGCAATTACAGAGAAAAGAGTAAGCAGAAATGTCCTTCTGAGTACTGGCCTCATTAAGGATTATAAATTTTCTCCCCGGGAAGAAACCCTGACTAACGCATTGAGAAAAGCCTTTCTGTAAAGAATGGTACAAGACAGGTTGTTACTCGATTATTTATAGTAAAATATGTGGGAAATTATATCAATGATAACCCTGTTTATTGTGGGATATCAATATTTTTAAAGTGCCAACACAGTCATGATAGGACAATATTTTATGTGTGTGTGTGCGCCTTATGTATATAAGCATATATATAATATATAAGCATATTATTATATACAGGTTGAGTATCCCTTCTCCAAAATGCCTGGGATCAGAAGCATTTTGGATTTCAGATACTTACAGATTTTGGAATATTTGCATTATATTTATTGGTTGAGCATCCCTAATCTGAAAATCCAAGATTAAATGCTCCAATTAGCATTTCCTTTGAGCGTCATGTTAGAGTTCAAAAAGTTTCAGATTTTGGGTTTTCAGATTAGGAATACCCAACCTGTATGTACGTATATTTCTGTATCTATGTATGTATATATATGCATATGCAGACATATGTATATGGTCTGGTCAGCATATGTGTATGTATGCGTATGTATGTATGTATGTATGCCCTCAGTGCAGTGGGGTTTGCTGCAGAATTCACTGCATAGCAGGAGATGTAAGCAGATGAGTTATTTTTTAAGAGAATCTAATCTAATTGTTTTTATAAAAATTATTCCCTATTGAATATTTATATAATGAGGTTGTATCAACAATGATTAACTCCTTTATTATACATACACATGAATGTGCATTTTTGGTAAATGCATAAATGAGATTCTATAATGTTTACTGATCTTTATATTACAGATTTTCTCTTCTTTTAGGATTAGCTCAGCTTGCCCCCCCTTTCCATCTCCACCATCTATAGTGAGCCTCTCCATAATTAGTGCCAACCATTAGTCTCGTTCATATTTTTACACCAGGAGTCAACAAACTGTGGCCATTGGCCAAATATGGCCTCCCAACTGTTTTTTTAAAATAAAGTTTTATTGGAACACAGCCATGTTCATTTGGACATGTATTGTCTGGGCTTCTTTTGTGCTGCACTGGCAGAATTGAGTAGTTTTGGCGGAGATCAAATAGCCCCCAAGCTGGAAACTGAAAATATCTACTCTCTGGCTCTTTACAGAAAATGTTTGCCAGCACATGATACACACACAAACACACACACATACACACATATTACTATGTTCATCATCATATACCTGTGTAAGTACTCTTTCATTGATTTATAAAACTCAGATCTCTTACGTGTGTGGATGGTATTTTTTTCATTCTACAATCCATGATGGATTGTACACACGTGTATTCTATGAGGTTGACCTGCCATAATTTATTTAGCCATTCCCACAGTTTTGATTACTTATTTCCTCCCCACACACATTTTTTGCTAAAAAACGGAGAGGGAACTGTTATCAATACTTCCGAGAAGCAGACCAGCATAATCTTTTAAGTGCACAGGCCCAGGAGCCAGGTTCCTGCATTTGATTCCTGGCTCCACTCTCTACCCTCTGCATCTGCTGAGCAAGTTATTTGGTCTCATCTATTCTGGTTTTCTCATCTACAAAAGGGAGATGATGATAGTACCCTACCCCCATGCATTTGGTGTGAGAAGTGTGTGTGTGTTAAACCCTTGGAACTGCATGGACAGACCAAGTGCTGATGAATTTTAGCGGGCCTCGTATCCCTGAGCCTGCCTGGTTCCCTTGTGCTGGGTGTGGGACTGTGGTGGGAGATTTCTGTCAGCTGGAAGTCTTTTCCAGAAGGGTGTTAGAGATGGGCACCCATGGCTTTAGTCTCCATACCCCTTCAAGGTTGATAGGGGCCCACACAGCTGGTCAGGAACCAGCACAGACCTCAGGCTGTGTCTAAAACAAGGTGACTGCACATGCAGGAGCCTGTGCTGGGCCCTGGAGAGCAAATCTGTTCTGTGTCTCACTGGCCTCTCCCTGTCCAGGGGCGTAGTATCAGTGACCATGTCCCACCTCCTGAGAAAGGTGGAAGAGTCTCACCTGGGGAGTCCAGGTACAAGGGCTGGCCGGCCGTAGATGACTGGTGTGGGGTGGAAAGGCTGCAGAGGCCTCTCCATGGTGGTGAGGGGTGGAAATAGTGTGCACCTGGGTCCTGGGAGTGGCACCCTGACCAGTTTCAGGGAGGAAGGTGGCAGGGCCCTAGGACAAGTGTGTTAAAAACTTGAGCCCACAGTGTAGACACACTGGTTCCAAAGACCCCTCAGGATGTGCCTCCCTTCTCAGATCTGGGCTTTCCCTGTTCCTAAGCATCACCTGGGGGGATCACTCTGGGTCCTCATCTCCAGCCACATGTTCACTCCTCACGTGGGCCTCCCTAACTGTCCCCCTCAGGGCAAGCCCTTCCTCCCCACTTCCAGAAAGCTGCTCGTTCCCTGGCCATCCCACACCTCTGACCTCGTGCCACTTCCGGGGCCTGTTGGCTTTAACAACTTAGTTTCCTCCCTACCTCGCAACCCCCTCTGTCTAGAGTGCTCACCTCCCTCCCAGCCTCTGTCTCATACTATTTTTTCTTTCCTCTCAGTACCAAGCGCTGGGACAAGCCAGTCTGTACTCAATGCCTGTGGGATAATAGACGGAGGAATCTGGAGTTTGGTTGGGTGATTAGCTTTGGAATTGATGGGTCCCAGGGAGCTATCTAAAGTTTTCAGTCACATGAGGGCATGCTCACAGATCTGTGAAAAGATCTGTTGGCTCAGAGAACTAAGAGATGAATAAATGTTAGTCCAATGGCCTCATCATGAGATGAGAGGTCAAGAGTTTTGAGTTTCCAGAGGGAGAAGCTACTATTCTAGGCAGCTTGTATGAACTAACTCGTTTATTCCTCACAGCCATTGTAGGAAATAATCTAACCTCATAAACCCCATTTTAGAGATGAGGAAACAGGCTTAGAGAATTTGACGTAAACTCAAGACCGAAAATCTAGGAACAAGAAAAGCCTGGATTTGAACCAAGCTATCTGATGCCAGTGTTTTAACTCTCAACCATTGTACTACTTTACCTCCTCATGACCTTTTTTTTTTTTTTCTTGTGAGATGGAGTCTCGCTCTGTCGCCCAGGCTCTGGAGTGCAGTGGCACGATCTCAGCTCACTGCAAGCTCCGCCTCCCGGGTTCACGCCATTCTCCTGCCTCAGCCTCCCGAGTAGCTGGGACTACAGGCGCCCACCACCATGCCTGGCTAATTTTTTGTATTTTTAGTAGAGACGGGGTTTCACCGTGTTGGCCAGGATGGTCTCGATCTCCTGACCTCGTGATCCCCCCCCCTCGGCCTCCCAAAGTGCCCATGACCTTTTTATTGTTGGGCAGTGAAAGCCATGGTGAAATGAAGAATGTCCTACTGTCATGTGATGTGATCAGAAAACATACTGCCCAGAGTCCCCTGCCCCCACCCCCAAAACCAGTACTTGATCCATCCTTTGACTGTTGTGGCGATTGGCACAAAGGTTGGGCACAGTAGTAGTTAGGCTCATGGGCTCTGGAGCCAACCTACCTGGATGCTACACATCCCAGCTCTGCCCCTCGCTAGTTTGGTGGCAAGCAACTTAACCTCTCTGCCTTAATTTCTCCAGCAGCACAATGGGAATAATAATAGATCTCGCCTTGTGGCTCCTTTGCAGATTACATGCGTTAATTATGTAAAGTCAAGCATTAGAATGGTGGCTGTCCACCATGAGTACAACACAAATGCTCGTTCTTAATGATTCAACAAACATGGAATTTCATTAAATCTGAAATAAAGGTATTTTGAGAAATTGAATTCCGTTATCAAGTGTGAAGTCCTGATCCAGACTCACCTCGTGCACACTATTTACCACAAAGGTGGACTCCCTATTTTAAATGCATTCACTTAAAGAGACCTTTCCCTGTACTAATTAGTGTTTGTTAAGAAGGACCTTCTGGACATAGTTGAAAGAAAGAGAAAAGAAGCAGGTGTGGGGAGGAGGAGAAGGAGAAGGGAGGAAGGGAGGGAGGGGAAAGAAGATGGATGGACAGATGGAAGGAAGGAATTAGGGATGGCAGAAAGGAGATAAAATAAACTCTACTTTTAAAAGAAACCAGGTGGGGTGAGTGGGAGGGCTTCCCTGTGACCTTGGCCTCAGGGGCTCTTTCTGGCTTCCAGATAAGATACCCCTCAGCTTTGCACTGGGTCTCCTGAGGCTTGGAAGTTATGTCCACAGTGAGGTTGGTGTAGAGGGGCAGCCACTCTTTGGAGAGCAACCTGTAGCCCAGACAGTTGATGCCATCATCAGAGGATCCAGGGATCGGAGGATTGGCGGATCCGGGACAGAAGGCGAGGCCTGGAGGATGGGGAGGGGCAGCCATGTGAGCCTCAGGGAGGACCCAGAACCAACCACCCCACTTCCAACACTGATTCACCTCCAGGGCCTCTGCTTGTGGCCAGGATCTTCCCCCTCCAGCATATGGTAGCCTCTGAAAAGCAGGTGGGGCTGGGAGAGGAGCATCCCGCTTAGTTTCACCCTTCCAGAGACACAGGAAGGCATGGAGGCCAAACACCTGTCTCTGACAGGGTCCCCATGCCACAGCCCAGCCCTCCAGTCCAGGGTAGCCCATGTCCCCCTCAGCCCAGGGCGGCCCATACCTGCCTCATCATGTCAGGACCTGCAGCTCCTGCCTCCCACCTGGCAGTGATGTCATCCTCATCATCCCAACCCCACTACACGTTGGAGAAGCCATTTATCTTCAGGTAGTGAGTGGGGTGCAGGGCAAACACCCCTCCAAGGCACAAGCTAACGGCTTAATTGCTGTTGTTTCCCCATGTTCTGGCTTGCAGCACTTGTAACCTCTGGGCTCCTGCAGCCCTTAACATCTGATACCTTTACATTAAGATTTATCATCCTTATCTCTGGACCAGGCTGAATACACCTGTGTCCCGGTGCATCTGGCCAGCGGGTCAAAGGGCCTAGCACACAGATTAACAAATGAATGAGTTCCAGTTACCAAAGTTCAATCCTTGAGGTGGACAGAAGACGCCCAAGGCGTGTCTCCCATCACCCTTCACTCTCAATCCTCCTTATCAAGGGCCTCACGGGAATAGTGATAAGATCTCAGAATATACAGGAGGGAGCAGTTTCGGGAAGGGGGGCATTGGAAGGAAGTGGAGGGCTTGGATCTGGGGAGCAAGCGGGGAGAGTGCTCCGTTCCTTGGTTTTGGGATCTTGCCTTACGGGTCTCACCTGCCCTCCATCCTGGCTTCCACCTGGCAGGGTGTGTTTGTGTCAGAAAGACGATTGTGCGTAACTGTTCACCGCGTCCACGTCCCGAGAGTTGCGCACGCGTGGAGATCTGCAAAACGCTCCCTTTCAGCTCCGCGCATGCACAGAGACCCCACCCCGCAAGTCCTTGCCCTTCGGCCTGGGCAGGCGTCCACTCCCATGGCTGCAGGGCGCGCCGAAGAGCCCACTCTGCATCCCCGAGACGCGGCCCAATCCTAGGAATGTGCTTAGCGCAGGTGCTATCTTCCCTTTTCACATTCCCAATCTCTTTCTCCGCCCCCTCAAACTCTTGCCATACTCCCACAACAGCAGAAAATCTGAAAAAAAAGTCCATCCCATCTTTGCACTGACAGCAGTGCACAGCAGCTGGCAGAGAATTCTGGCACGGCTATTGTGCTTGCGCAGGCGCAGACGGGAAGCGGGCCGGACCGGCCTAGTACACTCTGGGAGGCGTGCGCAGAATGCGCAGCGCTGCCGCGAGGATCTCTGGGAACTGTAGGCCCAGTTTGTCCGAGAGCCGCAAGTGTTTCGGGACGACGCAACGCAGGGGCACCTGGGAGTCGTAGGCGGATGGGCCCAAAGCCTTCCGGGAGTCGTAGTCCTTCCGCCCGCTCCTCGTTTCTTTGGAGGTTGGCCCTTCCAGCTCCAGTTCTGCCCAGGTGAGCGCCCATCCCGCGGCCGGCCGGTCCTGGCCCTTTGTCGCGATGACGTGGCGGAGTTGAGGGTCTCTGTATTTCTCTCCCCCGCGTTCTGGTAGGCGTCCCTGGAAAGATGGCACCCTTTTCCGTGATCTCTCAATCCCTCTCTCCGGGTGGGAGTGCTCTAAGCAGCTGTTGTACCTGCTGACCCGCTTTGGATTCTGCGGCCCAGCCTGACACCTTCTCACTCTCGCCCTTCAACCTGGGTGCAGTGCGAGTGCACCCTCCTCTGTCCTGGTTACAACACAGAGTGGTCAGGGCTGGCCCAGGGGGTGCTCAGGAGGCTGTGGGAACACAGAGGAGGTGCTAGACCCAGCCCAGGGTTCAGGAAAGACCTTACAGAGCAAAGGACCTCAAATCTACCACATCCAAACGAAATCCCAGATTCCCTGTCCTAAACCTGCTCCTCTCACAATCTTTCTGCCTCCTCCCCACTAACTGTCCATCCAAGTGCTCAAGCCAAAATCTTGGAATGGTCGCCAGTGTTCTGTTTCTCTCATCCGCTTCCCTCCCGCAACCAAATCTTGTGTGAGTCTCATCGTCTCTATCTCCAGAAGAGGCCCAGAATCTAACCACTTCTCTCCACTTCCACTGTCTCCATTCTGCTCCGAGCTACCGTTACTCCTCACCTGCATCACTGCAGGGGCCTCCTCACTGTTCTGTTTCTTCCCTTGCCACACTCCACCCTCTATTCAGGCACAGTGCCAGGAAGCCTGTGGAAATATAAATCAGATCCTGTCACCAGTCACTACCCTGCCCCCCAGCTTAAAATCATCCAGTGGTTCCCATCTCAGAATAAAATCCAAGCTCCTTATCCTGCCAACCTCTAAGCTTCTGGTCCTTTCTGGTCGTCCTCAGTCACAACACACTTTCCAATGGGCTGAACACAGCCAGGCCCTGCCCTTCATGTCCTTTGCATTTGCTATTAACTCAATTTGGAGCATTCTTCCCACCCTGACCCAATATCTGTCTACTCATTTTGTTGGCCTCAGCTCAAAGGCCTCCAGCCACCCTAAAGAACCCCCTCCCTGTTCCCCCCCCCCCAGTCATACCACCAAAGATAATTCCCTCGTATTTGGAAAGCATCTTAGTCATTTACTTCCTTATCCATGGCCTGGTTCCTCCATTAGAACATCAGTGCCCTGACAGCTGCAACCTTTCCTATCTTGCTCACTGCTGTGTCCCAGTACCTAGAGCATGCTGGGTACATAGGCGGCACTCAGTGGGTATTTGTTAAATGAATGAATGAAAGTTTGAGCTGAGACTTGAAGGTAAGAGTTAGGTCTACCACAGTGTTTAGGGAAGTGTCTTGCGCAATGAGATCAGCCTGGCCAAAGATGCAAGGGGTTGAAAAACCAATGGGAAGTTCATCTGGCTGAGGTGAGTAGGTAACTAAAACAGGGATGCAACTGGATCTGATAAGGACCTCAGGAAGTGAACCCCAGTACTAGGTGACTGCAGATTCAGAGGTTGAAAAAGCTGAGTTGTCTTCCATAGAGAAGCTGGGTGAAAGGTGGTGTTGCTTCCGGGAGACGGGGAGCTTGGTTAGGTAAGTTTCTGCCTTGGGGTGTGAGAGCTGGTCAGTTGGGCACTGAGATATGAGAGGCCTAGATGGGATCTTCCGTGGGGCATTTGGAGGGCCAGGCTGGTGGACATTGCGATTCAGAGTCACCCACAAACAGAATGAGAAGAGGGGTGATGGGCAGGATATGAGGACTGTGAAGAGGCCTCCCCAGAAGATATTAAGCAGGAGGCAAAAAACAAGAACAAAGAGGGAGGACTAAATCAAAAGCTGTGGGAGAAAGTATTTCAAAGGGGACTTTGCTCCGCTGTGACAGATGTACCTGACATCACCGCAGTTGAGTCCTGAGGGCTGCTTGATGGCTCAGTGACAGGGAAGAGTGCTTTGGGCAAAGAGAAGAGCCAGTGAAAACAACTAGAGACAAGAGTGTTCCTGGGGGTACTCAAGAGTAGACACCAGTAAGCAAGAAGGAGAGTGGAAGGAGATGAGGACAGAGAAACAAGGAGCCAGAGCCTGTAGGGCCTCGTCGGCCATTAGCAGTTACATTTTGTTTTTTGTTTTTTTGAGACAGAGTCTCGCTCTGTCACCCAGGCTGGAGTGCAATGGCACGATCTCGGCTCACTGCAACCTCCGCCTCCCAGGTTCAAGCAATTCTCTGCCTCAGCCTCCCAAGTAGCTGGGATTACAGGTGCCCACCACCATGCCCAGCTAATTTTTTTGTATTTTTAGTAGAGACAGGGTTTCACCATCTTGGCCAGACTGGTCTTGAACTCCTGACCTTGTGATCCACCCGCTTCGGCTTCCCAAAGTCCTGGGATTACAGGCGTGAGCCACTGTGCCCAGCCAGTAGTTACTAAAGTGAGATGAGATGCAGGGCAGGATCCCACTGGCTGTTATATGAAGGAGTGTGTGTGGAGGAGGCAAGGCAGGGAGCATGGAGACCTGTGAGGAGCCCCCTGCAGCCATCTAGGAGAGAGGCAGACCTGACTAGGGTGCTGCCATGGAGATGGTCAGAAGTGTTTGGCTGTTTTGAAGCTATAGTCAAACAATATGTGTGACTTTTCATTTGAGCACCTGGAGTTTGAAAGGGTCCGGACTTAGCATTGCAATTTGGCTCCACCCACTGGGAGAGTGACAACTGTAGTGATAGAAAGAGCAGTCCAGGGTCCTGGACCCCAAAGCTTCTGGCCTGAGCAGCTGGAAGGGATGGAGCTGCCCTGTACTCCAGGAGAAGCCCGTTAGGTTAGAGGAATCAGGAATTTGGGTTTTGAGATGCTTATTAGACATCTGAGTGGCACTGGTCTTTACTTGCATGTAAGTTAGAGACGGTAAATACACAGTCATATGAAATAATTCCACACATTGTGGTAAATCCTAGAAGCAGCGTGACCTGCTCTGAATGGCAAGGATGTGACGGCAGTAGTGCAGGCTGGAGGTGGTGGTGGCTTGAGGAGGGGGACTAAGCCTGGGGAGTTTTTATGGGTTCACCAGACAAGTGGGACGAAGGAGGTTCGATGGGACAGTTAGAGTCTTGGCTGGGTGGGGAGGGATGAGGTAGGAAAGAGAACAGTTGGGGGCCAAGGATGAGCCAACCCCATCACTGACCCCTCCCCTCCCAACCTCTCTGTGTCTTTCGGGGGCCACAGAAGCTTAGGTGGATTCTGATACCAGAGCGGGGTTAAGTTCAGAACTGGAGGCCTACACACCCTCACCTCAAAAATAGGTGCAACCCCTGCTAGTCTCCCTAGAGGTTGATCTAGCCTGCCTGTGTATGTCCTTGTAAGACACAATCAGGACCCATTCCTGGAGACAGAATGCCCACCCCGACCCCTGAAAGTGAAATCCAATTGGTCTTTTCTGTATAGCCCCCTTCCCTTGAACAGAGCATGACCTCCCTCTGTCCTTAAGAGTCTCTGACCCCTCCCCTCCCAATCTCTCTGAATAGTCAGTAATATCTACCTTCTGATCAGGGCTGTAACATGGGTGGCCTCCTGGAAGTTGTTACAACTGGTCCTTAATAGACGCCCTCACCCCTTTGGACAGGACACGATCTAATTCTGGGTATAACCTGCTTGTTGCTCCCTCTTTTTCCCCCTGAAATCAGCTTAAGTTCCTTCTCTTCTTGGTGCATAATGGGTGCAGTCCAGGAAGCCTTCCTGGAGGCAGTGGCCTTCTTACACCAGAACCCATTTATAACCCACGTATATAAGAGCAGCAGCCACAGCTGCCCCTGGTCTATTCCAGGCAGGGGCACTATCTAGGGAACTCCTCAAAGGCAATGAAACATGTGTAACCCGCCTCCTCTCCCGGTCTAGGAGAAGCTGTCCCTTCTTGCAATGCCCGCCCCGTCATGTGCCTCCTGCCACGTGGCATGCGCCTCCCTCCGCCGTCCATGCTCGGGCCAAGTGCTGTGCGGTTCCTGCTTCTGCACCGCCTTCGAGGCGGAGGTGCAGCACATGGTGCTTGTGGGCTACCTGCTGCCGCCAGGCGCAGTGGTGGCCCTGGGCACCTCGGGCGGCAAGGATTCCACGGTGCTGGCACACGTGCTGCGCACGCTGGCACCGGGCCTGGGCATCTTACTGCAGCTCATGGCTGTAGACAAGGGCATCGGGCGTGGCTTAGCGGGAGGATCCCAGTAAGGAGCTGGGGAAATACGCATGTGCCTATTTAGGGCCGGAGCCTACTGAAGGCTCATGTGGGTAGTACGTGTGGCTCCCTACGATGGAGTAAGGCAGGTTTTTCAAGCCTCTGGGTCTCTGACATCATCTTAGTGAGAGATGAAGCTGGCTGGGCTTCTGGGTCAGGTGGGCACTTGGAGAACTTTTCCGTCCAGCTAAAAGATTGTAAACACACCAATCAGTGCTCTGTGTCTAGCTAAAGGTTTGTAAACGCACCAATCAGCACTCTATAAAACCAGACCAATCAGCACTCTGTAAAACCAGACCAATAAGCACTCTGTAAAATGGACCAATCAGCGCTCTGTAAAATGAACCAATCAGTGCTCTGTAAAATGGACCAATCAGCAGAATGTGGGTGGGGCCAAATAAGGGAATAAAAGCTAGCCACCGAGCCTGCAGCGGCAACTCATTTGGGTCCCCTCCCACGCTGTGGGAGATTTGTGCTTTTGCTCTTCACAATAAATCTTGCTGCAGCTCGCTCTTTGGGTCCGCACTACCTTTATGAGCTGTAACACTGCGAAGGTCTGCGGTTTCACTCCTGAAGTCAGCGAGACCAAGAACCCAGGGGAAGGAACCAATTCTGGACACATTGGTACACACATTGGCAGGTAGAGGGGCTACCTTGTAGGAGCTAAGGCTGGAATACTCTGCTATCATTATTATTATTATTATTATTATTTTGAGATGGAGTCTCACTATGTCACCTAGGATGGAGCGCAGTGGTGCAGTCTAGGCTCACTGCAACCTCCGTGTGCCAGGTTAAAACGATTCTCCTACCTCAGTCTCCTGAGTAGCTGGGCTTACAGGTGCCTGCCACCACACCTGGGTAATTTTTCTATTTTTAGTAGAGGGAAATGACTTTGTATCTCCCTTCACAAAGAGAGATGTGAAGAGGTGTCTCTCATCGAAAGTCACACAGTCTGAAATGCTACTGTGTCTCTTAACTCCTTTTCTTTATAGGTTTCTCTCTGACAACTCTTATTTTCTCTCAATGATTACTTCAATAAGTAATCATCGTCCATTGACTAAATACCAGATACAAGCTGTGTAGCCTAGAGCAAATTACTTAACCTCCGTTTCATCTTTTGTAAAATGGGGATGTTAATAATATCTGGGTCCTTGAGTTGGGAATTAGATGAGTTATATATAAAGCACTCAGACTAGAGGCTGAAAAACAGTAAACATGATGTAAATGTTTGCTGTTATGATGATCCACAAGAGCACAAGACAGTCTCTGCTCCTGCCTGATTCTCACGAATGTAATTATAACCTGACGAGTGCTACTACGGAAAATTACACAGAATGTGTGAATTTATATCAGGGGGTACTAGTGGCGGGGAAAAGGTGGGGATTAAGGAAACGTTTCCTGAGTGAACTGAGACCCGAAGGCTCAGTGAATAACCAGGTGAAGGATGAGTTGGAGTTTGGGCGGGGGGTGTTCTGAGCTGAGGTCACAGAGAGGCAAAGGCCTTGAGGAGGGGAAATATGACCAACTTGAGAAGCCCGAAGAAGAACAGCATTTTAATATACAGACTCAAGTATAAGATGACAAAATGCAGAATAAACGTAGTTTCCATTTAAATTGTATGGCGACTGGTGTGTATGTATTCATTAACTTTCTTTCTGGTCTTTGTAAATCGCGTGATCTGCATTCCCAGAGACACTTGTGTCTACAGCTCTCTTGAGAATCCCCATTAGATGGCCCTTTTTTCTCCTGTGTAGTCTGAAATACAGTTTTAACTGAGGCTGAAATGGTGTTTGCAGCTTAAAGCACTTTTACCCGCTATGTGGAAAGAGAGCTAGCGAAGGGCTTGGTATACAGTAGGTGGATGGCAAATGAGGGCTCCCCCCAAGGAGCTTGTTTGTGTTCCCTTCAGGTTTTCTGTCCACCTCCAGTCTCCTTCTGGTTGCTCCATGGTGCCCGGGAGTCTCCATGGTCCGGTTTCCCCATCAGTATCTGTTCCCCCTCCCCCTGCCCCTCTCTGTCTTGGGTCCTGGCGGCCCCGCTGTGCCCTGGGTCTCCCTTCCCCGTCTCTCTCTGGGTCCTGGTTACCCACAGTGTCCCAGGGGTCTCCATGGCTCTGTCTCCCCCTCTCTGTCTCTGGATCCTGGCTGTTGCACATTGTTCGGAGGTCTCCATGGCTCGCTCTCCCCGTCGCCGTCTCTCTCTCTGGGACCTGGCGGCCCCACTGTGCCCTGGGTCTCCGTGGGTCTCCCCTCCCAGTCTCTCTCTGGGTCCTGGTGGACCCTTGGTTCCTCGAGGGGCTCCCTGGCCAGCAGCGCCCTCCGCGCCGCACCTCACCCTCTCCCGTCTCTCCCCACCAGGTCACAACGCCGACGACATGGTGGACACCGTGCTCATGAACTTCCTGCGGGGCGGCTGGCCCGGGGCGGGGGCCTGGGCTCTCCGGGCTAGGGGGGTGCCCTTCCGCGCTGCCGCCCGCTGCAGTTCGCCTCGCAGGAGGTGGTGCCGTACGGGCACTTCCGCCGCCTCGACTACTTCTCAGAAGAGAGGAGCGCCCGGGACCTGCTCAAGCGCCTGGAGGCGCCGCGGCCGTCGGCGGTGCTGGACCTGGTGCACTCGGCCGAACGCCTGGCGCTGGCCTCGGCCGCGCGGCCCCCGCGCCCCGGCGCCTGCCCCCGCTGTGGGGCGCTGGCCAGCCGCGCGCTCTGCCAGGCCTGCTCCCTCCTGGACGGCCTGAACCGCGGTCGGCCCCGCCTGGCCATCGGCAAGGGCCGCCGGGGGCTGGACGAGGAGGCGACGCCGGGGACGCCCGGGGATCCGGCCCGGGCCCCCACTTCCGAGACCGTCCCCACCTTCTAGCGACTCCGGGCCTCCCGCCGGGATCCGACGCGCCCGGGTGAGGTCTGCCTGTAAATGACACTGTGAATAAACCCGTTACCTTACCTGGCCTTCCATGTGAGGTGGGAGGGGGATGGGGGCCCAGTGACCTGAAACCCTGAAGCTGGGACCCCAGACTTCGGGGTCTCAGGGAGGAAGGGTCTCGAGCTGGCCTTCTGGCTCTGAGGGAGGAGGGGGCTGGGGGGCCATCCTAGGTCTGAGAGAGGAGAGGACCAGGACTAGGGCTAGAGGAAGTGGGGCTGGGGACCCCAGGCATCTGTGGCTGAGGAAGGAGGGCCTGGGGTCGTGGACTCCTGGATCTCAGGGAGGAGGGGGCTGAACACCTTGTGATTCCTGAGCGAGTGGGGGTTGGTTGGGGACCTCCTGCCCAGTTCTCTGCTGGTTCTGGGTGCGCTCAGCATGGTCCTGACCCTCCTTGAGCACCAGATTCCTGATGTTTCCTGTTTGCCCGCAGTGGGGTAAGCGGAGTGACGTGACTTGATGGACACACGCCATTCACAGCCCCCGTCACGATGCCTCCCTTCCAGCGCTTCGTGTGCAGCGCGTGCTGCACCCTCATTTCGTCTCCTCCACGGCCTCACTGGCAGTAGCCTGAGCCGCAGTAACTGACCTGGGGGCTCCCACCAGGTTGGCCTGGCTCCAGAGCTGTCAGAGATTTTGGGATTGCCTTTCCCCCATGCTATCCTGTCCTCATCCATCACCACCTGAATCTCCCTTGCCGTCTCTTGTCATAGGTAAGGAGGGGCTGGTGGGCTTTGCAGACCTCTCAAGCTCTGAAGGCAGAGCTGCGCGAGCCTGAATCGCCGCTTAACTCTTCTGACCTTCTATTTCCTCCTCTGAAAATAGAAGCAACCCTCCCTCTCCACTCCCCCGACATCAGGGTACTCTTGGGAGGATTCAGTAACTTGGTTGTTCATATTAAGGTTTGGCCACCAGGGAGCTTTTAGTTTCAGGATTGCTGCTCAGCTGGTCCTGAAAGGAGTGAGGCCCAGAAACTTCCTGCCTAACCTGTGGGAGATTTGGTGTTCTCAGTCCCACCTCCGAGCTTTGCTGGCTTGCCTCCCTAGTCAGGAATGCCTTCCCTTTCCCATCTGCCTGCTCAAACCCTCCAGGGTCCTTACAGAAAGAGGACCTTCCTGATTCTCCCCTCCCACCCAGTCCAGGGCGTAGGGATCTCCCAAACCCCACCCCATAGGTCCCCCACCCATAGGTCCTGTCCTGACTCTGTGGCCTTCCCACCGTTTTGGGTTATGCTCTCCCTAATTAGACTGATCATTAAGGGCAAAGACCAGACCTCTCTCCCCATCGGACAATAACAGCATTATTCATCCAAGAAACACTTATTGAGCACCTAATGTGTGCAGGGGCTGTTCTAGGCACTGGTGAGAGAAAAAAGACAGAGTCTTTCATGGAACTTAGGGCCTTGTGGGAAAGACACCTATATAATGTCAGATAATTAGTGCTGTAGATAAGAAATAACATAAAGGGAAAAGGTGTAAAGAGCTGTTATTTTAGTTTGAAAGGCCAGGGCCTCTTTGAGAAGGTGACTTTGGGGCAGAGATCAAACAAAGCAAGCGAGGTTTCTAGCCATGATAGAGAAGCTAATGTCAGAACAACACTTCCACACTAAGACTGAGACCAAATGGAAAAACAGTACACACATACACACACAAAAACAATCTGATGACATTGGAGAGCTACCAAGTTGGCCAGGATCGCAGAGAAAAGGGAAGCTCATTCTCCTGGAGGGGCCAAAAGGCTAAGGAAGCAAGCAGAAAGCAGAGGATAAGAAGATGGGAACCTGAGTTGAGCTTTCAGCAGTGTTATGGCTGGGGCTGGAGACAGAAATCATGGTGGCCAGGTGCAGTGGCTCATGCCTATAATCCCAGCACTTTGGGGTGCCAACGTGAGAGGATCTCTTGAGCTCAGGAGTTTGAGGCCAGCCTGGGCAACATACAGAGACCCTGTCTCTACAAAAAAAAAAATTAATAAAATTAAATAAATACAAATAGATCATGGAGCCTGGTGCTACCAAGGTAGACAGGACTTGAGGGACCAAAACCCTGGAAGGAAGGGAAGATCACTGAGGTGAGCCCAACATGTTTAAACTCTCCTCTCAGCAGTCTGATGGAACTGGGTAAGCCAAATTTGATGTTCCGGGTCTGATAAGGAGAGGCCCAGTAAACACCCCAAACCTTCCATTAGAACTCAAGAAGGGTTACAGATTAAAAGTAAGGGTCGGCCGGGCGCAGTGGCTCACACCTGTAATCCCAGCACTTTGGGAGGCCAAGGTGGGCGGATCACGCGGTCAGGAGATCGAGACCATCCTGGCTAACACGGTGAAACCCTGTCTCTACTAAAAATACAAAAAATTAGCCGGGCGTGGTGGCGGGCGCCTGTAGTCCTAGCTACTCAGGAGGCTGAGGCAGGAGAATGGCGTGAACTCAGGAGGTGGAGCTTGCAGTGAGCTGAGATCGCGCCACTGCACTCCAGCCTGGGAAACAGAGTGAGACTCCGTCCCCCCCGCCAAAAAATATGGGTCAACTGGGAGTAGACCTGCCCACAAAAAGACCAAAACCCATCTTCAAACTCACTCAGCCTGGGGCTGGCTTAAGGGATCTGTCCCTATTCCACTTGCCAGAAAGCAAAAATAGGGTAGCCCTAGCCACATGAGCCGATTTATCTTTAAATTAATTAAAATAAAATTAAGGATTAAGTCCTCAGTCACCCTAAACACCTTTCAAGTGCTCCTTACCACCATATTGAACAATGCAGACACAATGCCTCCATCGTCATGAAAGTTCCATCGCACAGTGCTGTTCTAGACTGTACTAGAATCCAGAGGAGGAAAATTTCAGTCAGAGCTCAAAAAAATCTCTGCAGTTTTTCAAACAAAATACTAGAAATTCAACTAAAAATTAAAAAGTTGACAAGCATGCCAGGAGATATGACAAAATTGTTGAATACCAAGAGGCTGGGCATCAAGCACAGATGTATTTACAGGTGTTCTAGATATGAGTTTTAGGTATGGACTTTAATTGTCATCACGTAAAAACAGATGCTAAAATGGAGAGTTTCACCATTGTATTGGATTACATTTTTAAAAGAACCATTAAAATTGTGAATGTGATTAATAATAATAACCAGGCAGAATGGAGTAACTAGTACCAGACTTACCCTCCTGCTGTAAACAACTATAAAATAGCATAATGTATTAGGCAGTTTTCCCTGCTTTGCTCCACATGCAGGCCATCTTCCCAATTGCCAGCCCTGGGGATGACCAACACCAGCCTCAAATCTACCACCACCTGCTTGGCTGTGTGCTTACAGAGGTAGTAGCTACGCAGGCAACAGTTTTCCATAGAACTTTCTGAGATCCCCCTTTGGGGGTCCCATGGTAACAATGGGCATACTTGGCTTTTCATATATCCCTGCACGCTCTGTCTTGCCTACCCACACCTGTTCTTCAATGGAACTGCTTAATGATGCTCTCATGATCATCCTGCCTTCTCCAAAGCATCACTTTCCAGCTCTACCACATTTGCATTAAGTTCTAGGTCCTCTAGTGAGCGCTCTATTCTCATAAAACTCTTGGCTGCTGTTTCCCTGGCCACACTCTTGTCTGGTGGAGTGATGAAAACCTATGGAGATAATTTTAAGCTCTGGGTCACATTATCCTTCTTCAGGGCATATTTACTGTTGCTTGTGGCAAGCCGACCACTTCAATTTGATCAGATATTGAGGAAATTTGGTCTGGCTTTAATCCTTATGAGGTATCATCTAGTTCCAACTCATCCTTACTCTACAAGGTCCCAACCACAGCACTACAGTGTTTACCATGGCCCTTTTTCCTTGGCAAGCCCTCAGCCATAACTTTTATCATTCTATCCCCATGAGATTCAAATGTTCTACTTAGCTTTTCAGTCTATGCTTGGAATCAGCAACCTGTTTCATCCAAAGGATTGGGTTGTGGAAGACATGAAGGACCCTGAGCTGAAAGCAGAGGACCCAGCTCGGGGCTGATCCACAGGCCACTCCTGGTACCATACCCTCCTCTGTTCCCCAGGTCCTCCCTCTCCCTGCAAGTGCTGACCCAGACACCTGACATTCACATCCTAGGTATCCTGGAATCTGGGTGCAATGGGGCTCTGACTTCCCCATGTCAGAGCCTGCTGAGGATATAGGACACCCAAGAACTGTTACTGGGAATGGGTCACCCTGAGACACACCTCCCTCCACCCCCACACACACTTATTGTGGTTGTGATGATCAGAAGAGCTTGCACCTTGCACTTTTCTCACTCCAGGATCCCCAGATGGACCCAGATCCAGTTCGTGGCTATTGGTTCTGGAAGGGGGCCATCCTCACCTGGATCCTCCAGTACCAAACATAACAGAGTCTAAAATGTGAAAGAAGAAGGCAATGGCAAATCTACCTTCTCTGAGGCCTCCAAACTCGCAACTGGCCCTCAAGGATGAGAGGTGCTCAGATATGGGACACGGGAACACCTAAGCTCTCTGTAAGTAGAGTAGTACTCTACCTTTCACATTTAGAGGTTATGTTTTCTATTTGTGACAATATCTCACTAAAAGTCTTCTCCTCATGAGGGAAAAATGTCATGCTCCCCTCCTTCTTGGCATCTCTGTTGCTCAGTGAAGGTCCCCAAGGAGGTGGAATCAGCCTACGGTTCTTGGTGTCTCTTCTGCAGCTTTTGACCTGGTCTATTTGTGGAAATAGGAGGATCATGGAAATGGAAATGTTGACCTCTTCCACAAACCAAAAGACATAGGCTCTTCTAGAGTAAACACAAAAATTTCAAGATGAGAGATCAAAGCATGAGAATACAGAGGCAGTTTGTCCTGTACCACATCTTCAAATCTCAGACCTGCAGCTTCTATCCTGCATATTTCTCCAAGCTGTACCCCAAAATGATGACGAAGGACCTTCTGTGAAGTCACATTTCCTGCAATCCTCTTGTCCCTGCACCTGCACAGCAGGGGCAACAGCAGCATCTTGGGTTTGGAGGGGGGTGAGTCTGGGACTCCTGACATCGCCTGATGAGTCTCTTCTACCTGGAGATCAAGGCAGCTACAGAAAGAGCACAGCTAGAGACTTTTCCTGGATTGAGCTGCTCCAAGTTCCTCTCTCTGTTAGGAGTCCTCTTCCCTCAAACAACTACCAGGGAAGTGAAAGCTGACCTCCTTTTACCCCAGGCCTACTGATAACCTGTTCAGTGCCCCCTGCCATCTCATTCCTCACTCAGATGTTGCCTCCTCCAGGCATCCATTCCTACCTCTCCTCAGAAAATGAATGGGGCATGCCCCACCTCTTCTCTGTTCACTTGGAACTCGGAGATCTCTCTCAGAGCAGAAGAGTGTAGGAGCCCTGAAACTGAATCTTCTGCCCCTCCACCCATCACACAAGAAGTCACGAGAAGGTGGAACTGAAACTCACCTGCAAGGGGGGCCCTTCATGGTCAGAGACGGTGACTCAGAACTGAGGCCCTGGCTCCAGCTTCACACTCGACTGTGATGTTTGTGGTTTTTCTGGTGTCAATTTGAGTTCAGAAAGTCACTGAATTTTTGTATGTCTCCTCGCTTATTCTCAGGTTTCTGATAAGCCCTTCACTCACACCTTCAGTGTGAGTTTTGACTTCTTGACAGTTCCTCCAGCCCTATGGGCCTCCCATCTTCACAGTATTTATCAGATCTCTCCCTCCTTAACGCACATCCATTTTACCCTGACATTGCCTTGCCTGTTCTGCCCTTCATGACAACTCTCTCCATCCTGTGGTCCACTGAGGCCCCAGGATCCTTTTCCTAGTCTAAACACTTACTATTCATGTAGAATGAAGGAAAACTTAGAATTTATTTCTGTGACCCCTCAGCTCCAAATATAACTTCACAACCAGCCTTCTAATAGATCCTTCATTCCTTCATTTGAGCTGATTCAGGATTTGGCACAGAGTCAGGTATGGAAAAGGATCACATATCATGTTCTGTTTTTCAGAACACCATGACAGGACAAATAAGGGATTCAAAGCAAGAGCAAATTATCAACTCACTGGAAAAGGAAGGGAGGAAGAGATGGAGCCTACCACATAGAAGGTTTCCTGGAAGGAGTGAGGGCAGAGTCAGCCCAGAGAGGCAAGGATCCCAGTGGCCTGTGAGAAATGCACCATCTCTCTGAAGTTAAGTCTTCTCTTCCCTAAAATGAGGGGGACTTCAGAAGAAGACTGAGGAGGAGTTTGAATGTCCTCTGACCAGCACCTCTGTCCTGCAGCACAGAATGTAACCAACTCTGCTTTCCAACCTTCTTACCTCTGCATTTGAGACAGGACAGAGTTCTGCTCCCAGGGGGCGCTCCACCCGCCATGCCCGATTTGGGGAACAACTAGCCCAGGGTTGGCGCTGTCCATGGTTCTGCACCACAACTGTGCTCTGAGTTCAGGAAACTCCCAACTCTGCCATGGACACGAATTTACAAGCACACGGTTCTGAGCTGTAGGCCAGCGGGGCACCTAAGTCAGAGAGGCTTCGAAAAGGCTGGGTCCCTTTTGGGAAGGAGAGGCCAGGGAAAGAGACTTATCGCTGTGCTTTTCCTCTCACTCCTCTTGTTGAGCTAAGGATCATTCTTTTGAATTGTAGTACCGGCCTGGCTAAGGGACAGGGAAGAACAAGGTATTTTTCTGAAGTTCCAGATTATGCTGATGTTGCTGGCTCTTGGACCACGCTTTAAGTAGCAAGTCCGTGCCTGGATCTCCTCTCGGATAAGGGTTTAGGAAAGAGATGGACATTCACTGAAGCTCCCCAAGTTCCAGACTCAGGGCTGTGCTTTTCTATATATGCCTCATTTAATCTTCATAACCAACCTAAGAGAGGTTTGGTTAATAATTCTCATTTGACAGAGTGGGAAACAGAGACTGGATGTATACGCGATTTCATGGGGTCTCACATTATTGGTGCATATATATATGTGTGTGTGTGTGTGTGTGTGTGTGTGTGTATATTTTTTTTCTTTTTTTTTTTTTTTGAGACAAAGTCTCACTCTGTCACCCATGCTGGACTGCAGTGTCATGATCTCAGCTCACTGCAGTCTCAACCTCCAGGGCACAAGTGATCCTCCCATCTCAGCCTCCTGAGTAGCTGGGACCACAGGCACCTGCCACCATGCCCAACTCATTTTTGTTTATTTTTTGTAGAGATGGGTTCTTACTATGTTGCCCAGGCTCTTCTTGAACTCCTGGGCTCAAGCGATCATCCCATCTCAGCCTTCCAAGTAGCTAGGACCACAGGTGTGTGCTTCCATGCCCACTAACTTTTTTTTCTTTTTGTAGAGACAGGGTCTCACTACATTGCCAGACTCGTTCCAAACACCTGGGCTCAAGTGATCCTCCTGCCTCACTCTCCCAAAGTGCTGGGATTACAGGCATGAGCCACTGAGCCTGGTGATATTTTCCACTGTGATGTTGTCAAATCTATCAAGATTTTTGGTAAGAAGGATGAGTTTTTATTAACTTTTTGTCATAATCTCCTTAAAGAAAATTATTTTTTCTTCAAAAAATTTAAGAAAAGATGACTATCAGAAGATCAGACATTTCCTAGCTTGCAATATTTTTCCATGTTTGTGTTATCAGAAATATACTTACCATTCACATTGTGTGATCATCTGTTATGCTGAGAAATAGAACATGCGGGCACCCCAGGAATCTTAGAACCCCTCTTTGTTTCCCACCCTCCCTGACCTTCTTATGAGTACCACCTTGCTGATATTTGGGATTATCCTTTTCCCTGCCTTTGCCCATAAGCATAATACCTGTGTATATATTTTTAAGCAAGAATAATTGCTTTAAACATTCACACAAATGGAACAATGTGGTAATGTGTATTTTGTATGGCCAAATAGGACTGCACTAGCTTTCCTTTTATTAATGTCGGCATAATATACTTTCACTTTTGGCCTTCTCTATCCTTGTACTTTACGTGTATATGTTGTAAAGATCATATACTTGGAATCCATCCAAGTGGACTCTGTTTTAAACTGAAGCATTTATCCAATTATATTTAACATAAATATCCCATGTTATATTTTGTTTTCTGTATGTGTCACCAATTCTACATTACTTTATTTCTCCGTTTTGTTTGTTTGTTTTGTTTACTAAGTAATTTTGTTGTTGTTTGGCTTTTTGTTTGTTTTTTGAGACAAGGTCTCACTCTATCACTCGGCTTACTGCAGTCTCCACCTTCCGGGCTCAGGTGATCCTCCTGTCTCGGCCTCCCAAGTAGCTGGGACTACAGGCATATGCTACCATGCCTGGCTAAATTTTTTGTACTTTTTTGTAGAGGTGTGTTTTGCCATGTTGCCTAGGCTATTCTTGAACTCCTGGGCTCAAGTGATTCTCCACCCCTCGGCCTCTCGAAGTGCTAGGATTACAGGTGTGAGCCACTGCGCCTGGCTGGTTTACTAAGTTTTTAATAGTATACCTTTAGTGATCACTAGGTTGAAAGTTATATATTATGATTCTGTTCTTTTAGCCGTCATGAGAAAAATTTACAGCATGCCTTATTAACCTATCAAAGTCTTTAGTAAATGAAAACCTCTCTCTCCTCCTGGATAATATATGGATATTGGGACATGTAAAATACACTTACCTTGGTACTTAACTATTGTGATTGTCAGGAATTCTAAACTATCTTTTGTTTTTATTAAAGCTCCCCCATTTACTTGCTCTGAAAGATCATTATTGCTTTCTCATTTTTGAGTTGACTTTACTGAGTATAGATTGCAAATTGATGTTAGAAATAGTATTTGCCTTCTTCTACTCTCCAGGTTGCTACTGATAATTCAGTTGTCAATTAAATGACTTTTCTTTTGAAGGTGATCCTTTTTCTCTGGTAGCTGTTCAGATTTTTTTCCTTGTCTTCAGTTTTGATTCAGCCTTACCTTGACACAAACCCAATGTAGGGATGGTCTCTTTTGACATTTGCAACCTTTCGCTGGGCCACAGACTTAACCTTCATTTCCAGAGCCACATGCAAGACCAAAGAACCAAAGCTTCCTTTTTCAATATGAGCAAATGCCCCTGGGAATTTTGGCTTAGTGATTCTGCTTACTTCTCTGGGTTCAGCCTTTCCCCAGAATTTTGGCCTAAGTTTCCATTTTCTTTTCAGGCATTCTATACTATTTAAGGGAAGGATTCTTTTTCTACTCATTTTTTCCCCAAAAGATTTTATTATTTTCAACACAAGGCTTGATCAAAATTATCTAACCTGTCATAACCAAAACAGTAGTCACAATTCACCTTCTTTACAGTGATGAAAATGAAGTTTGGGTGGTAGATATTGAGAATCAATGTCCTCCCAGTACTCCACTGGAATTATCCACTCATTTCCTCATGACCACTTGCTGAAGTTTCTAACATTGTCATTTATCTGGGTTTGGAGATACCCTAGATAAGTAACTGGAGAATTTTTAGCTGCTTTTGGTTTAGCATTTTAAAAAATAAATTAGTTCAATTTTAGAGGAGGGAGAGTATAAGTTCTTTCTTCAGTCCACTCTTCCAACTCAAGACCACCCATTAACTCATGTTTGGAGGAAAAGATAGTGTAAGCCAGATGAAAGCAAGGAGGCATGGCTTCCAGGAGGAGGAATCTCAAATTGCAAAGACAGTGTGGTATGAACCAGCATGAAAGGCTTAAGGAAGGGTTAGGCAAGAGGAAAGTATAAATGAATAGATAGCAGGGAGATCATGAAGGACTTTATGTGTCAGGGGAGATGCTTGTGATATATTGTCTAAGGCCAGGGGGCCGTGAATGGGTTTGGGCAGGAAAGAGTTAGACTCAACTCTTTGGCTGTTGGAAGGATTCCTATGGGTCTCATAAATGAAGGACTGGAGCCAAAGGAATATGATGCAAGGATTGCAGGTAAAAGTGGGCAAAGATATGACTCTGGCAAGGATATAAGATCCCACATCATGAACCAAGTGCCAGGCTGAGGGGCTGGTCTTTCCTAGGGAGTCTTCGAAGAGTTTTGGGAAGGGGAGTGACACCAACATATTGCTGCCCTGTTTTTTGTGCCTGGTCATCCCCAGCCTTGAGAGAACTTGCCAGCAGGACCTTTCTATTCAAGGAAGAGAGACCAGAAAGCACTGAGCACAACGCCCTGTTCCAGGACCCATGTTGGTTGATTTCCATGTGTTGATTTCTTTAATGTTCACAACAACCTTTGAGGTAGCATGCATGATCTCTGATTTACAGAATGGGAAACTGAGGCACAGAGGGATGCAGTGAATTGCTTGATGACAGTGCCAGGGCCTAGATTTGAGCCCACCTCTCTAATTCCATCTGCTTGGAGCACTTAAACATCAGTTAATGTTAACATTGCCACAAGGGCTCTTCGTGCTTCAGCAAGTGGTCCCTGACTTGTCCTTTCCCCCAGACAGGCTGTGGCTCCTCCAGCCAGGACTGAACTCTGGGCAAATCCTCACTTGCTTGTCTTGATCTCCGAGTACTCCGTGGTGCTTGGGGCCTCCTGGTCCTTAGGCTCCCTCGACTTCATCTCAGAAAAACTAAGGGAGGCATAATGGAGCTCCTTTTGTTCTTCCAAGGGAGGGGCATCCCCAGGAGGAGATGCTTGATCTCCGGGGCTGTCTGGCCAGGGCTTCTTCCTGGAACCCTGAGTAAAGGGGAAGGAAAGGTGTCACAGTAGGAATAAAGAGGCAGGTGTAGAATAATGAGTTCTTATATTTATATGTTGCCTTGGGATTTATTTTGAATGTAAGTTGGACTTTCTCATGCCAGAAGCAGGGCTTAGTCACCTGGACACAATTTCCAATTCTCTACCTCCTCCCAGTTCCCCAAGGTGGTTAATCCAAATGTCTGCCTTATACAACCATCTCCTTGTGACCAGCTCCCTATGGGACATACAGCTACAACCTACTTGACTTACGTATTGACTCCTGTGTCCCTCATAGGCTGCGCAGATATACTGCAGCAACCACCTCTCAGTCACAGTGTGGCTCCACAGAACTCCTGCCTGCTAGCTCTAAACCCCCAGTTAGAACTCCCTGTGGGAAGCCTGCTTAGATTATGCCCTGGACTCTAATTAAGGCTTTGGCTCATGGGTTCTTCTCTCTCTCTCTCTCTCTCTTGCCCCCTACCCACTGGATGAGCACTTGCGTCCTGGTCAGTTCCCTCCTTTCCATTCGCCCTTCCAGGCTTGCTGTGCTATCTTCTCTCTGGGACCTGTGAGTAATAAACTGCTTCTGTTATTTCATGTGTTTTGTTGTGCTGTCTCCTCTGTGTCCCACCCGCCCAACAGACCTGAACCTCACTTCTTTTCTGGTCAAGGCTCTCCTAGAGAATAGCTGTCTTGGTGGGAATAAACCGGACACAGGTCATAGGAAAGCTGCAAGGGAATCTGCCAGGATAAACAAGTTTGCTGTGAGAGGGGGTCACAGGCTGGGCACTCAGGCAGCAGGTGGTGTGCCAGGATAAAGGAGTATTCTGTGAAAGTCACACTGTGAACATGATGGCCAGATCTCTGGGGTTCCCATTCAAGGCCGGGCTAGATTTTATGACCACTCCCCAAAGAGAGACCTCAACACCAAATAAGAGAAAAATACAACAAATGGTTCCCACAGGGAAGTTGGGCTGATGTGACATTTATCAATTCATCCTTTTATAATCCACTCCTCCTAAGGACAGGCCATAGGCTGCCTAGGTCAGGGTCTATGTCTGATTTCTCACACTGTACGTGCCCAGGAACCGGCACAGGGCAGACAGGGCTGGGTTCAAATCCCGGCCCCACCTGTCCATATACATTTCCTGTGAACTCAACTATTCGCTCATTCTTTCAAAATTTTGTAATACTATGATTGATCAGACCATATTGAGGACTTACTAATCACATTGAATCATCACCAAAAAAAAACCCACAACAGTATAAAAGATATTCTAATTATCCCCACCTTACACACAGGGAAACTGAGGTGGAGAGAGGTTAAGTAGCTTGCCCAGGGTTATTCATCTAATACATGGCGAGGCCAGGATTCGAACTCAGCCCTGTCTCCCCTGTTTCAGGTTCTGGGCACGTACAGTGTGAGAAATCAGACATAGACCCTGACCTAGGCAGGAGGAGCGGATTATTGATGAAGCAAATGTATACCTTCGGCATAGGTTACAAGGTGTCTTATGTGCAAACCAGAAAAGAGATGGCAATTCTGATCCTGGACCCAGTTTCCATGAAAGAGAAACAAAATGGAGCAGATCCTGTCCCCAGCAAAGATGGTAACCAGATACAAGTAAGCAATTTCTTTCCTCTCCCACCTTCACCCATATCCCTACCCATCACGCTATGGAAAATATGTTGAAAGCAACGTGAGTCTTCAAACAGTAGCTCAGAAGTTTTCTTTTTGAGACAGAGTTTCACTCTGTCATCCAGGCTGGAGGGCAGTGGTGTGATTTCGTCTCACTGCAACCTCCCGTCCCTGGCTCAAGCAATCCTCCCACCTCAGCTTCCTGAGTAGCTGAGACCACAGGCACAAGCCACCATGCCCAGCTAATTTTTGTAAAGACAGGGTTTCGCCACGTTACCCAGGTTGGTCTCAAACTCCTGGGCTAAGCGACTGGCCCAGCTTAGCCTTCCAGAGTGGTGGGATTACAGGTGTGAGCCACCACACCTGGCCATACAGTTTTTTTAAAAGGACTCCGCAGTTAGGGAAAAATGGCTTCATTGTGTCAGAAAAAAATAGACTTTCTGGAGAGAGCTGCTTATATTAGGCACAAGAAAGATGAAATAAAATGAAAAAGTGGCTATGCACACCAGCATTATGCAGGCAAAGGAAGAAATAAAGACATATGTCTATCAATAGGTGTGCGGTATATGAAATAAAAAGGGTGAAATTGACAACTGAAAGAAAAGGCACAGCTCAGATTAGTAAATAGGACAATGCAGTATGTTCACCCTTTCACTCAATAGCTCTTTGCTGAGTGCTTTCTTTGGGCTAGATGCCGTTCGTATAAATGAGGACATAAAGCAGACTGAAACCACCCAAATACCTCCCCGTCATGCAGTTCCTTGTTAGACAGAAGGAAAAGTAATACTGGGTAACAGTTATAAGTGAGCTCCCTGTGAGCTTGCCACTTTACTAAGCACTCCTTGTAACAATCCGAGACAGATACTAGCATATTAATAACCCAATTTCTATAGGAGAAAACAAAAAAACAGAGAGGTTCATTAGCTTATCCAAGGTCACACAGCTTGCAAGTGGGTGAATCTAGAACCTGAATGCAGGACGTCAAACTCCAGGGACCATGCTGTGCCTCGCTTTACCATTCTGCCTATGGCATGAAAGTGTGCAGAATGGTTAAAGGTAAAATAAAGGAGAAAACAAAGCTCTCTCTACCATAGTTCTTGTCAAAAGAGTGAATTCATACACCGGCTCTGTTCTCCAAGACCTACCAATGATGGAACTAAAGATGGAGCTCCTGGGTGAACAAAACTTTACAAATCAATTTATGATCAATCAATCACACTGATATCCCTAGGGGAAAGTTAAGGCTCATTTGAAGAAAAGGGGTGGGAGAACTGGGCGGGGGGACAGCTGGCTTGTTGAGAGGATGGGTTAGCCCAAACATACTTGAATTCTGCTCCTTTCTCTCCTCTACCCTTCCAGTGGGACAAACATTGTCTGCCCCTCACTGCAGAATTCAGAGTATGGACAGGATTATGATGTGCCAGTGTCCAACAGGCATGTGTTGGGTAAGCACCAGAGGCCCACTGGGGTGAGGAGAAGGAGAACGGAGGTGGAAGCTCACTGGTCTTTGACATTCTCCTTGCCATTTTCTCCACTCCAAACTCCCAGGGCTGGTGGATCACAATGCAACGAGAGTCCTTGACCAATGTTGCTTCTCCACGAGGGTCTGAAGATGGAGGGATGACTTAAGCTGCCTTACTGGGGTGATAGGAAGTGGGACTGGTTGGGTGTGGTTTGGGTTCTTGAGGGGATCCACCCTGGGGCTTGTCCCAGTCATTTCTCTTTTTTTGAGACGATGCTTCACTGTTGTTGCCCAGGCTGGAGTGCAATGGCATGATCTCGGCTCACTGCAACCTCCACCTCCCAGGTT